>NC_000011.10:12560000-13185000 GCF_000001405.40 Homo sapiens
GAAACACCCTTGCCAATAACATATGTTATCAGCTTTTAAATAATTTAAAAACATAGGTAAAAAATTATTTTATTGTTCACTTAATTTGTATCTCCTGGTTAACTGGGACATTGAGCTTTTTTTCCATTGATTCTTGGCCATTTGTATTTTTCCTGTGAGTTGCCAGCTCATTTTCCTTGCTCATTATTTTTCTTTTGGGTTGTCTTTTAATTATTTTTTTGGAACACTGAACATTATTATAAATGTGACAAAAGTTTTATCTCGGTTTCTTTGATATAGTCATTCAAAAGTTAAAAGAATTTGATACAGTCAAATTCATCAGTTTCGACACATGGCTTCTGAATTTTGTGTCCTTTTTCACCCACAATGATAAAGTATTCTATTTTTCCTTCTAACATTTTATTTTTATGTTAAACTCCATATTCCATCTGGAACCTGTCTGGATATGTAACTTGGGCTCTAACTTTTTAAATGGAGACCAAGTGTTCTCATCACTATTCTTTGATGTGCTATGCTTATCGCATTTTACATTCCCATAAACGTAAGAGTCTATTTCTAGACTTTCTATCAAGCTTCATTGTCCTAATTGTCTAGTCCTGTGCCATGACATTTATGTAAAGCACCAGGAACACAGTCGGCCATAATTAATGTCAGTTATCTCCCTCACCTCTTCTTAACCTTTCTATATTTTTTTCCTTTCCACAGTTTCAACCTATAGAATCATACCTATGTTATTTTTCACCTATTTAGAATCTCTCATCCTGAATTCTAGGGTAGTCATCTGACTATTCTCGTTTCTAATGAAATGAGATGATGGGGTCACTTGACCAAATCATTTTTATAGCTTTACAGCTATGTATAATATGGCTTCCTCCCAATCCTATTAAACCAGCTAATCTTTCTTTATTGATCAGGATAAGAAACAAGGCTGAATTTCTTCAGGTTGCTTCTGAGGGTTCCCAGAGGTGAAATCACTTACAAAGCTGCTTGTCAATCATCCTGCTGTTGGCAGAGGTCTGAGGTTTTGGGAAAGGATCCAGAGAAATAGCCTCCCATCACGGCTGTGTGCACCATCTGTGTCCTTTCCGTCAGCTGGGTCAGGATGCATCCTTTGGTCTCACTCAAGGCCATGTGGTCTGCTGCCCTTGCCCTTTCTCTCTTTACATAAAGGTGACTCTTCTGTCACCATATTCCAACCCAGTTCTGGTCTCCACAGTGCCAATAACACTATAAAACTTCTCAAGTAATAAACAATAATCTCAGATCTGTTCTGCAAGTTACCAAATTTTCATGCATTGATGTTTGAATACTTAGGGCCATAATACAGTAAGTCCTCACTTAACATCATCAATAGGTTTTTGGAAACTGCAAGTTTAAGTGAAACAACATGTAACAAAACCACTTTTACCACATATAAACAAGAGGTAAGTTCCTAGAGCATATTTGTGGTCCCCAAAACATTACTAAACTTCTAAACAAAGACCCAAACACTTCTAATATTAAACATTGAAATAAGTGTGAGCTACATATACATTAAGAAAGGTTAATAAAAACAAGGTAATTGTTTACCCAATTTTTGGTAAATCAGCTAATGATGGTGGTCATAGTGGTGATGAGTTAAATCAAGAAATAAATGCTTGCAAAGCAAAAATTGTCAGGAACACCTCCTCCCACCACATAGTTCGAAACCAACAATCACAAATATGGCAGGCTCGCAGAGCTTTTTTTGTGCTGCATTGTTTATTGTTATGCATTTGTATGATTATGGTAGGCTTGACGAATATTTATTTGACAATAATTGGTATTCATTTATTCATTCCTTTTCTAACCCATTTATTGCAGTTCAGGGTCACAGGTGGCCAGAGCCTATCCCAGCAGCTTAGGGTGGAAGACAGGAGCCAGCCCTGGAGGGGACATCATTCCCATCACAGAGCTCACTCACACACACATTCTTAAAACCGGGATCATTTAGACATGCCGGTTCACCTAACAGGCACAATTCTGGGATGTGGGAGGAAACCAGAGTTCCCAGAAAAACCTCATACATATATGTGGAGAATGTGTAAACCCCATACAGACAGTGGTCCCAGCAAGAGAGTAATTTTTTTTTCTCATCAACATTATAAGGAAATGAGTTGAAAGAAATGACATTATTCAAGGACCCGCTGCACTCTCTTCAACTACTGTCCTAACTGTTCCTCGATATAACATATGTGGTTAAGAGCATGGCCCCTGAATCCAATCTGCTGGGTCTGAATTCCAGCTCCCTCAAGGAACCAGCTGTGCAACTTCAAGCCTCGGTCAACCTCAGTTTCCTTATTTATAAAGTCAAGGTGGCAATGATAATGTACCCATCCTATAGGGTTGTTGTAAAACTAAATGAATAATTGTAAAGGACTTAGAATACTGCTGATACGTTGTAAAGAACTCAAAGTGTTGGATGAAATAAACAGGATGACACATCAAGCCTTTCCTACACTTTCATTAATCTCCCCATCTCATTCCTTCTACTCTATATAACAATTGTTTGTTTCTCCCACCTTAAATTTTCATGTGAAGATAGTCTTTAAATATATCAACTAGGTTCAGAACATGGTTTTTTCATCCTCCGTAGATGTCCTGCAGACTTCGATAAGATGGATAATCTCATAGAAATAGCAGCAGCTGAAGTAACGATATTATTAAACAAAGAAATTTGAAGGTCTATGTGAAGAGAACTTTTTAATTCTCCTGAAGGATACAAAAGATGACTTGCCTCAGTGGCAAGACAAACCACATTCCTGAGTAGGAAGACTCAAAAGGATGCCAGTTGTCCCTGAGTTTATTTCTGTATTAACTCCATAAAAATACCAATAAGTTTTTTAGGACTAAACAAGGTAATTCTGAAGTTTGTGTGAAAGAAAAAAGCAAAAATATCCAGGAAAACTCTTAAAAAGACAAATGTGGAGGGAACTAAGATTAGCAGATTTTTAAAAATTCTTCTTATTATTATTTGAGACAGGGTCTCTCTCTGTCACCCAGGCTGGAGTGCAGTGGCACCATCACTGCAGCCTCCAACCTCCTGGGCTCAAAAGATGCTCCTACCTTGGCCCCCCAAGTATCTAGGACTACAGGTGGCCACCACACCTGGCTAACTTTTAAATTCTTTGTAGAGACAAGGTCTCGCTATATTGCACAGGCTGGTCTTGAATTCCTGGGCTTAAGCGATCCTCTCACTTTGGTGACTTTGAAGTGACACCTCAAATCAGTGGTGAGAGATAGACCATTCAAGTGATTGTATTAGAGGAGCTATGTAGTTATCGTGAAAAAATATATACAGTTGATTCTCATGATTAGCAGTAGTTCTATAAAGATGCTGCAAACATGAATTAGTGAATACTGAATCATTGCTGCTAGTGGAAATGCTGGGTCCAGTTTCTTCAAGCCTCCGGTCACAACATTTTTTATCAACTGATTAATCCATAACCTTGTTTATGTGTTTCTGTTAATGACACCTTAGTTAATATATATTGTTGATTCATTAACAATGAACTCATGGCCAACAGCACTGGAACTCATGCCTGAACAAAGCTAATCTAACACATATATTTGCTCTGTAAGGCAGTTGGGAATACTAGATAACACTTCAGCACTATAATTAGGCACCAACAAACAGCACAAAAATGTGAAAATGTCATACTAAATAGGCTGGAAGGAGCCCACTTGCTTATAGTACTAGAGAAGGCAGTGCATCACTTGTTCGACCTCAGCTAGGAACACTCACATGTCACACAACTGAAATTTGTTGCCACTGCTTGTATCAAGAATGACTGCAAAAATACCATGAGTATAGATTCTGGGGTTATAAATACATTTTAGCAAGTAGGTGAATTCATAAATACAGAATCTGTGAATAATGAGAACAGACTGTAGTTAGACCCAAATTTCACACTATATACTAGAATAAATTACAAAAGATCAAATCTTTAAGTGCGAAACAAAATGACCATAAAGTAGTAGAGAAAATAGTGGAGAACTTTCATGACCTTGGAATGAGGGTAGAACTTGAATTAAAACATAAAATCCAAAGGCCACAAATAAAGATAGTTAAATTTGACTGCAGTAAAAAAACAAAAACAAAAAAATGTTTTCAAGGCAAAAAAAAGTACTACAACCAAGGTCAAATCTAACTTATCAAATAATTAAAATGGCAAAAGATAAATGATGAGTCAGGAAAATATTTGCAATTTGTGTGACAGCAGAGGGATAATCTCCCTAGAATGTTAAATGTCCTGGACATAGACAAGAAACACACAAAAAACCTAGTAGAAAAACTGAACTAAAGATATGATGAATTCACAGAATACATAAACAGTTCACAAAACATATATAAAAGGCTCAACTTTATTCTTAATAAGAGTAATGCAGACTAAAGCTATATTTAGGTATTATTTCTCAGTTATAATGGCAGAAATCCAAAAGATTTCAGAATGATGTAATAATGCTGATATGAAGTAGTATATTCTTTCATATATATATATATTTTTTTTTTTTTTTTTTTTTGAGGTGGAGTCTTGCTCTGTCGCCCAGGCTGGAGTGCAATGGCGTGCTCTTGGCTCACTGCAACCTCTGCCTCCCGGGGTTCAAGCGATTCTCCCACCTCAGCCTCCCAAGTAGCTGGGATTACAGGCACCCGCCATCACGCCCGGCTAACTTTTGTATTTTTAATAGAGATGGTGTTTCACCATGTTGGCCAGGCTGGTCTTGAACTCCCAGCCTCAGGTGATCTGCCTGCCTCAGCCTCCCAAAGTACTGGGATTACAGGCATGACCCACCGTGCCCAGTTCCTTTCATACATTTCTATCAGGAGTTTTAATTGGTGCCATCCCTATAGATGATAAATTGGCAATAATTATCAGAATTCAAACACATATAGCCTTTTTCTGTGAAACGTATTTCAATTTTAAAATTATTTATTGATACATAATAGATGTAAATATTTTCAGGGTACATATGCTATTTTGATACATTCATATAATGTGTAAAGATCAAGTCAGGGTAATTGAGACATTTATCACCTTAAATATTTATCTTTCCTTTATACTAGGAGCATCTGAATTATTCTCTTCTAGCTATTTGGAAATATACAATAGAATATTGTCAACTGTAGTCACCCTACTAATCTATTGAACAGTAGGTCTTATTTCTTCTATCCAATTATATATTTGGACCCATTAATCAACATCTCTTCATTCCCCCAACCCCCAACTCCCTAACTCTTCTCAGCCTCTTGTCAGTATAAACTTTTACCCAGAAATTTATCTTAAGGATTTATCCTATACAGGCATACCTCAGAGATGCTATGGGTTCTGTTCCAGATACCACAATAAAGCGAATGTTGCAATAAAGTGAATCAATTTTTTTTGGTTTCCTACTGCATATACAAGTTATGTTTAGGGGAGGCACAGCTCATGCCTGTAATCCCAGCATTTTGGGAGGCTGAGGGGGGAGGATTCCTTGAAGCCAGCAGTTCACGACCAGCCTGGGAAACCCAGTGAGACCTTGTTGCCACAAAATTTTAAAAATTAGCTGGGCGTGGTAGTGCATGCCTGTAATCCTAGTTATTCAAGAGACTGAGGTGGAAGGATTGCTTGAGCTCAGGAATTCAAGGCTATGTGAGTTATGATTACGCCACTACATTCCAGCCTGGGCAACAGAGCAAGATCCTGTCTTAAAAAAAATAAAACAAAATAAAAAGTATGTTTGCACTACACTGTAGTCTAAGTGTGCAATAGTATTATGTCTAAAAATGTACATAGTTAATTTTAAAATATTTTATTGCCAAACAATGCTAATGATCATCTGAGCCTCCAGCAATTTGTAATATTTTTGCTGGTGGAGGATCTTGCCTCCATGTTGATGGCTGCTGACTGATCAGGGTGGGTGGGGTTTGCTGAATTGAGGTGGCTGTGGCAATTTCTGAAAATAAGACAATAAAATTTGCTGCTCAGTGGACTCTTTCTTCCATGAAAGATTTCTCTGTAGCATACAATGCTGTTTGATAGCATTTTGCCCTCAGAACTTCTTTCAAAATTGGAGTCAATCCTCTCAAATCCTACCACTGTTTTATCAACTAAGTTTATGTAATATTCTATACCCTTTGACATAATTTCCACAATGTTCATAGCATCTTCACCAGGAGTAGATCCCATGTCAAGAAACTACTTTCTTTGCTCATCCATAAGAAGCAACTCCCCATTCATTCAAGTTTTATCATGATATTGTAGCAATTCAGTCATATTTTCAGGCTCCATTTCTAATTCTAGTTCCCTTGCTAGCTCTACCACATCTGCAGTTACTTCTACTAAAGTCTTGAACTCCTCAAACTCATCCACAAGGACTGGAATCAACTTCTTCCAAATTCCTATTCATGTTGGTATTTTAACCTCCTCCCACAAATCATGAATCTTCTTGATAGCATCTAGAATGGTGAATCCTTTCCTGAAGATTTTCAATTTACTTTGCCCAGCTCCATCAAAGGACTCATTCTCTATGACAGCTATAGCCTTACAAAATGTATTTCTTAAATTAAGTCTTGAAAGTCAAAATTACTCCTTGATCTAGAATGTAGAATGGATGTTGTGCTAACAGTCACGAAAACGGTTTTAATCTCCTGTACATCTCCATCAGAACTCTGAGGTGACCAGGGGCATTGTCAATGAGCAGTACTTTCTTTTCCCCAAAAATGGAATCTCACTTCGTCACCCAAGATGGCGTGCTATGGTGCAATCTCAGCTCACTGCAACCTCCACCTCCTGGGCTCAAGAAATCCTCCCATCTCAGCCTCTCAAGTAACCAGGACTACAGGCACACACCACCACACCAAGTTAATTTTTGTATTTTTTGTAGAGATGTGTTTCATCATGATGCCCAGGTTGGTTTCAAACTCCTGGGCTCAAGGGATCTGCCCATCTTAGCCTCCCCCAAGTGCTGGGATTACAGGTGTAAGCCACCACACCTGGCAGAGCAGTACTATTTTGAAAGGAATTTTTCTGAGCAGTAGGTCTCAACAGTGGGCTTAAAACATTTAGTAAACCATGCTGTAAACAGATGTGTTATTATCTAGGATTTTTGTTCCATTTATGGAGTGCAGCATAATTCTTAAGGTCCCTAGGATTTTTGAAATGGTAAATGAGCATAGGCTTGAACTGAAAGTTACCAACTGCATTAGCCCCTAACAAGAGAATCAGCCTGTCCTTTGAAGCTAGGCATTGACTTCTGTCCTCTCTGGCTACAGAAGTCCTAGTTGGCATCTTTTTCCCATAGAAAACTTGTTTATCTACATTGAAAATATATTGCTTAATGTAGCCACCATCATCAATTATCTTAGCCAAATCTTCTGGATAACTTGGTACAGCTTTATCATCAGCAGCACTTGCTGCTTCATCTTGCATTCTTATGTTATGGAGATGGCTTCTTTCCTTAAACCTCATGAACCAACTTCTCCTATCTTCCAGTTTTTCTTCTGCAGCTCCCTTGCCTCTCAGCCTTCACAGAATTGAAGAGAGTTAGGCTCTCCTCTGGACTAGGCTTCAGTTTAAGGGAATGTTGTGGTTGGTTTCACCTTCTATCCAGATTTCTCAAACATTCTCCACATCAGCAATAAGGCTGTTTTGTTTTCTTACTGTGTGTTCACTGGAGTAGTACTTTTAATTTCCTTCAAATCACTTTTCCAACGCATTCACAACTTAACTGCTGGGTGCAAGAGGACTTGCTTTCAGTCTATCTCACCTTTCAATATGTCTTCCTCATTAAGCTTAATAATTTCTAGCTTTTGATTTGAAGTGAGAGAATGTGCAACTCTTCCTTTCACTTGAACACTTAGAGTCCATTGTTAGGTTATTAACTGACCTCATTTTGCTATTGTTTTGTCTCAGGGAATAGGGAGGCCCAAGGACGGGGGAGAGATGAGGGAATAGCAGGTCAGTGGAGCTGTCAGAACAAACACATTTATCAAGCTTGCTGTCTTATATAGGCACAGTGATTCATAGTGCCTCAAAACAATATAATAGTAACATCAAAGATCACTAATCACAGATCATCATAACAGATATAATAATGAACAAGTTTTAAATATTGCTAGAATTACCAAAATGTGACACAGACACACAAAGTGAGCACATGCTGTTGGAAAAATGATGCCAATAAATTTGCTCCACACAAGATTGCCATGAACCTTCAGTTTGTGAAAAACGCAACATCTGCAAAGCACAATAAATCAAAGTGCAGTAAAATGAGGTATGCCTATACTTAGGACGTGCAAAATAACAAACAGACAGGCTTATTCATTGCGATGGTGTTGGCAACAGCCAGAGATTAGAAAGTCTATGGATAAAACACAGATTTAAAAGCTATGGTTATTTATACAATGGAAAACTGTGCAGTTGCAAAATGCATGAAAAAACTATGGATTAACACAAAAAAATCACTAAGATATATTATTAAGTGAAAAAGCAAGATGCAGAATAATATTTTTGCTATCACTTATATATAAAGGTGAGAAGAAAAAATAGTTATGTGTACTGGCTTTCATATGCTTAAAAATTCGATGAAATGATTATTAAGAAACTAATACCAGTAATCACCCATTGTGGAAACTGAGCACATATAAAAATGAGGTGGAAAGGATATTGTCTTATAATTCCTGATGTTTGACTCTCAGGAATTTATTACATATTCAAAAAATTAAATAGAAAATTTTATTTTAAAACGGAAGCTTGATATATTTGATTATAAGATTAAAGCACATTATCCTTTTATCAACACAAACACAGAAAGGCAATCACAAACTCTAGAAAGGGAGAAAAAATAAATAAAGGCTATACCTAAAGTCCTTGTCCAAACTGGAAGCAAAGTAAAATTCATCATGATTTGTGTAAATGGCATGCTATATGCAAAGAGAATCTATTTAACCTTGATGCTTGGGATAGCATTCAGGACCCACCTATTCCCTGATTTCCAGATTATTTAGTACACAGTCACATCAGTGGGTGCCTATTTAAATCCAGCTCAGTCTGTTACACCCTTGATGAAACTAAGATCAATAGCATTCAGTAGGGAAGATAACCAATGGGAAAAATCACTATTTGGACCGGTCACCTTGTCTTTCTGTAAAATTACTAAACTAGGCAAGGCGTGGTGGCTCATGCCTGTAATCCCAGCACTTTGGGAGGCTGAGGCAGGAGGACTGTCTGAGCCCAGAAGTTCAAGACTAGCTTGGGCAACACAGTGAGACTCTATCTCCTTTTTTCTAAATAAGTTTTTAAAAATTACTAAACTATTAAAACTAAACCCAGCTGTTGAAAATTTTTTTCTTTAAAAGTTCCACACTTCTCCAGCTGACATTATCATAATCCAAAAACTCAACCTCGCTTTGGTCATTCTACCAGCCCTACAAGGCTCTGGGAAGACAAGAATGATTCAAAAAGTCAATGGAATAGTATATTCATCTTATGAAAAGCTCCTTGGCCAAGATCAACATTGTTTACCTTCTTATTGCAGTCAGTCTGTGATAAGAGAAGAGGAGGTACATGCCAGGGTTCCATCTCATTTTCACTACTCTGTTGGAGTTCCAAGAGGAGCCACCCAGATTCTCTCCACCTGACTCAGACAGCATCTGGGAATTCCATGCGCACAATGAAAGCCTTAATTTATGGATACATGGATTATAGCATTTTATTATGGAATAGACTCAAGAGCAGGAGCCAGCAAACCACAACCCATGGACCAAATCTGTTTTTATAAATATAATTTAATTGGGACACAGCCACACCTAGTCATTTACATATTGTTTATGGTCCTTTCACACTGTAACTGCAGAGTTGAGCAATTGTGACAGAGGCCATATGGCCTGCAAAGCCAAAAATATTTGTTATCTAGCCCTTTACTGAAAAAGTTTTCTGAACCCTGCTCAAGAGTGTCCTGAAATGGTATTCAGCCAATTCCCACTAACAAAGTCAGACAGTTATAACACATGTAGCCTGAATCATCATCACTAAAAACTGTTTAGCCCTGTCCCTATGTGTGTACATATACACAGATATATATGTATGGTGGTATGCTCTTACTAAAAAATAACAATAAGATCACTAACAAAATGTTCATTCAAAGAGACTATAATAATCTTACAATCATTCTGCTTTCTCACAAGAATCCAGTGTATTTCACATACCTAAGGGAGGCAGCATCACTTAAGGGACAGAACTGTAGGTATGCACCACCATGCCTGGAATTTTTTTTTACTTGTTGTAGAGACAAGGTCTTTCAATCTTGCCTAGGCTGATCCCAAACTCCTGGACTCAAGCAATTCTCCCACCTTGGCCTCCCAAAGTGTTGAGATTACAGTCATGAGCCACTCTGCATGGCCAGGTACTTAATTTTTGAATTCAAATTATTGAGGGCTGGAAGCTTCAGTAAGTTGCCACTAACTAGTAATCAGAGAAAATATGTAGTTTATCTGAAATATTTTATTTATATAAATATATATAATCTTTCAGATATCTTTATAATTTTTATGTATAAAAACATACATATGTAGTTTTATATATGTGCATCCTTTAAAATTAATAACTAATACTATCAGAAATAGAGAGAAATCTTCACATCCTATGAATGAAGAGGAATCCGAAAATCAGAATAAATATGGGAACTAACTCTGAAATTCCTAGAGAATAGGGAAGAAATGCTTGTTTCAATAATGTAAGGATTTGGGTTCTACACCCATGTGAGACAGAAAAGTCCCATGTGATACTGGGAGCTGGAACTGAGATATCTACCCAAAGCTTGACATCTTCCAGGGAAGAAAAAACTATCCATCAGCATGCAAGCTATATTAGTTCATTTTCACACTGCTATAAAGAACTACCCGTGACTGGGTAATATATTTAAAAAAAAAAAAGGATTAATTGACTCCCAGTTCCACATGGCTGGAGAAGCCTCAGCAAACTTAAAATCATGGCAGAAGGTGAAGGGGAAGCAAGGCACGTCTTACATAGTGGCAAGAGAGAGAGAGCACGAAGGGGGAACTGCCTCACTTTTAAACCATCAGATCTTGTGAGAACTCACTCACTATCATGAGAATTACATAGAGGAACCACCCTCGGAATCCAATCACCTCCCACCAGGTCCCTTCCTCGACACATGGGGATCACAATTTGAGATGAGATTTGGGTGGGGACACAGAGCCAAACCATATCACAAGGATTATGGGAAAGTTTGTCAGTCTTTGCTTGGGCTCCATATTGAAAAAAGGAACTCTCAACAACTTAAAAATGTGGACCAACATCATACATTTGTTTCAACTTTGAATTTACATTCTCCATGTGATCTGAGGATACCAAAGATATCTGATGTCTAAAAACAATTATTTCAGATATGTTTGTTAGCTCGTTTTCAGTGGATTTTCATCTGTGGAAATTCTGCAAAGTTGAGAAATTAACATAATCTGGTAGAAGGAAACACAAAACTACCCTTGAGGAATATTCCATCAACACAGGCTACATAGGATTCTGACAGGAAAAAAAATGTAATCAACAGGAATCGTAGATATAGTCTGCATCCATAAAATAAGTACTTTAAAAGTACTTTTAAAGTTATTAAAGGTGAGGACTTTTATAGAGAACCCAGAAATAAATCCATACATCTACAGTGAACTCATTTTTAACAAAGGTGTCAAGAACACACATTGGAGAAAGGACACATAAATGCTGCTGGGAAAACTGGATATCCATACTCAGAAGAATGAAGCTAGATCCCTATCTCTTGCCATATACAAGAATCAAATCAAAATGAATTAAAGACTTAAATCTAAGACCTCAAACTAAGAAACTACTGAAAGAAAACATTGGAGAAACTTTTCAGGACATTGATCTGGGCCAAAGTTTCTTGTGTCACAAGCGTAGGCAACCAAAGTTTCTGTGCCTCAAGCACAGGCAACTAAAGCAAAAATGCACAAATGAGATCACATCAAGTTAGAAGGCTTCCACACAGCAAAGAAACCATCAACAAAGTGAAGAGACAACCCACAGAATGGGAGAAAACATTTGCAAACTATCCATCTGACACAGGATTAATAACCAGAATATATAAGGAGCTCAAACAACTCATAGGAAAAAAATCTAATAATCTGATTTAAAAATTGGCAAAAGGTCTGAATAGACTTTTCTCAAAAGGATACATATGAATGGCAAACAGCTATATGAAAAGGTGACTACCATTATTGATCATCAGAGAAATGCAAATTAAAACTACAATGAGATATTATCTCACCCCAATAAAAATGGCTTTTATCCAAAAGACAGGCAATAAGGAATGATGGCGAGGATGTGGAGGAAAGGGAATCCTTGTACACAGTTGGTGGGAACGTAAGTTACTACAACCACTATGGACAACAATATGGAGGTTCTTCAAAAAACTAAAAACATAACTACCATATAATCTAGCAATCCCACTGCTAGGTATATACCCAAAATAAAGGAAATCAGAATTGTGAAGAGATATTTGCACTCCCATATTTATTGCAGCACTATTCACAATAACCAAGATCTGGAATCAACCTAAGTGTCCATCAGCAGACTAAGGGATAAAGAGAACATGATACATATACACAATGGAGTGCTCTTCAGCCATAAAAAAAGAATGAAATCTTGTCGTTTGTAACAATGTGGATGGAACTGGATGATATCATGTTAAGTGAAATAAGCCAGGCACAGAAGAAAACAACTTTGCATGTTCTCACTCATTCGTGGAAGCTAAAAATTAAAACAATTGAACTCAGAAATATAGAGTAGAATGATAGTTATCAGAGGCTTGGAATGGTGATGGTGGGAGGCGGAAGTGAGTATGGTTAATGGGTACAAAAATACAGTTAGACAGAAAAAATACAATCTAGTATTTGATAACACAACAGAGTGACTATAGCCAAAAATAAAAAGAAATTAAAAAAATAAGGACTTCTACATTTGGTCAATATGGAGTAATAGAGATTGGATACTCCCTCCCATCTGAAGCAATTGAGAAAAGGACAAAACATATGAAACAATTATTTTCAGATGTTGAACATCAGGCAGTTCTGGACAATGACATCTCAGAGAGGGAAAACACAGGACATTTTAGCTTACTGCCTAGAGGGAGTTTCCAAGTCGCTGCATGAGAAGAGAGATTCCAGGCAGAGGCTAGCAGTCTCCTTGAGCTGAGGAGAAACAGCTGGAAGATAGGGAGGCTAAAGTGGCTAGACCTGACAGGACAGAGCACCAGAGAAGAGAGGGGCACATCAGGAGAGAACTCCAGAATCTTCAAAGCCTTGAGTCTTCAGCTGAGGACAGATCAGAGAATGCATGTGAGGAAACTACCCAAGGACGAGGAAAGAATCAACCAAAAAGAGTAGAAGGAAAAATCTCCAAAGCTCACACAGAGCCAAGAATAGTTTATATTCTTACCAGCCAGCATGGAAACCCTCATAATTCAAGGGCATTGAGTAAAGTACTTAAAAAGATATCATCTCATTAGTGATATCAAGATTTAGGACAAAGAAATTTGCCATGGATAAAGAGAGCTATGTAATAAGAATAATTATGATGATGATGATGATGAAGGGATCAATTCAACAAAAGGATGACGAGTTGAGAAGATGTAGCTGAGAGTCTAGAGAAGCCAAGGTGGCTAGCATTTGCAGGACAGAGTACCAGAGAAGAGAGAGTATCACAGAAAAGGAGAATCTGCAGAGGGTACCCATAGGAAGACAGCCTGTTGCACACCAAGACTGATGCCATCTTGCAGTGAAACTGCTATGATGACCCATGTTTGACCCTCACATACCAAGGTGTTCTGCAGTAAGATCTTTAAGCAATGCCTCTAGCATAGATAATCCCTCACAAAGATGCTTATCTCATCTCCCCAGTGGTTGCAAGTTTTGCAGAAAAATTTGAGGCATGACCAGCTGCACATGTCTTTACCTTAAAAACTTGCTACATAAAGGACATTTTCTGGAGGGCAGGTATGGGGAATCCACCATCTCACAGCTGCCTGAGACCACTTTTGTTTGCAAGCTCCTATTAAAAGTTTCTTTCTGAGAAACTGGATTTGTCAGCCTCTTTCTTCAGTCTATCAGCTCCCTAGCCTTTGGAGGTAGGTGTGCATATACTTGCTCACTGTGGAACAGTGCCCTTGAGTATTCAGCTGAGTATAATAAGCACATGCGTGTGGGGAAGCTAGACAAGGCTGGGGAAAGAACCACCAAAAGATTTAGAAGTAACATTGTCCAGTGCTCACATACAGCTAGACATGATGCCTTTCCCCTTCAGCCAGACTGAAAAACTTTATGATCCTCAGAGTGTAAGATAGAGTGCACAGAACAGTCTTGCCTCAATAGTGGAAAAGAATTAGTACTGAGTACTGCTCCAGCTTTACATAATAATCTTAAAAGCAAAACCTGAAAAGATCAAATGCTTCAAGTAACTTAGCTATGTCCCAGAACAAAGAGCTATAACATTTTATGGAAACACAAAAATATGCAGTAACCATCATGGAAAAATTCACAGTATCTGGCATCCAATAAAAAACTCCTAGGTACAAAAAAGGAGGTAAATATGACTTGTAATGAGAAAAACTAAATAAATTGAAAATAAACCTTAACTGATAATAGATATTAGAAATAGCAAGCATAGTCATTGAAAGTTACTACAACTATATGCCACACATTTAAAAAGTTGAGTAGGGATATGGAAGATATAAAAAAGAACCAAGTAAAACTTCTAGAGAAGAAAACTGCAATGCGTGATGGCAAATACATTGGATAGGATTAGTGACACATTAGATTTTGCAGAAGAAAAAATTAGTGAACCTGAAGATGTAACAACAGAAACTATGCAAAAAGCAAACAAACAAAAACAGAGAGAAAAGGGAATTTTAAAAAATGAGCACAGACAGCATCAGTGAGCTATGGGAAAACTTCAAGTGGCTTAATATACTTGTAATGGAATCAGTAAAGAAGAGAAAACATAGGAGCAGAAAAAATTTTGAAGAAATAATGGCCATAATTTTTAAAAATTTGATAAAAATCTTAATCCTACAAGAGCTAAGAATCTAAAATGCTAAGCCCAAGAAATAGAAAGAAAAGCATCCCAAGGCCCATCATAATCAAATTGCTCAGAACCAGTGACGATTAAAAAAAAAAACTTAAAAGCAGCCAGGTTAAAAAAAAATAATAAAAATCACCAATATGTAACATATGGGGGAACAAAGATAACTCAACAGAAATGATGTCAGTGGAAAGACAACAGACAACATCTTCAAAATGCTGAAAAAAAAAGAACTGTCAGCCTCAATCTTTATATTCAGCAAAAATATCTTTCAAAAACAGAGGTGATTCAAGATCAAGGAGCTGGCAGGAAGAAGCAAAAAAAGAAGGTAATATTGGTTTTCCAGATATTCAAAAGCTGAGAGATTTCACCGAGAGCAGAGCCACACTACAAGAAATATTAAAAGAAGTCTTTCAGATAGAAGCAAAGAGTTATCAGATAAAAATATGAATCTACACAAAGAAAGCACACTAGAAATAATAACTACACAGGTAAATATACAAGACATTGTTATATAAATGCCTACGAAGGTCCCTGATTCTTTAAACTAAAGCAATAACTAATATGAGATTTATAATATGTAAAAGTAAAACATATGACAATAGCACAAAGTTTAGGAGGAAGGAAGTAAAAGCACAATATTGGAAATAAAATGAAATCATAAAAATATTCAATTAATTTTTAAAGAATTAGAGGAAAAAAGGAACAAAGACTAGAGGGGACACATATTTTAAAATAGCAAGATGATTTAAAGCTGACCATATTAATAATCATATTCACTGTAAGTTGTCTAAGTATTCTAAGTAAAAGGCAAATTTTGTCCGATTAGGTTTTAAAATTGTGAAGCCCAATTATATGCTGCCTATTAAAAATGTACTTCAAAGCCGGGCGCAGTGGCTCATGCCTGTAATCTCAACACTTTGGGTGGCCGAAGTGGGCGGATCACTTGAGATCAGGAGTTAAAGACCAGCCTGGCCAACATGGTGAAACCCTGTCTCTACTAAAAATACAAAAAAATTAGCCAGGTGTGGTGGCAGGCGCCTATAATTCCAGCTACTCGGGAGGCTGAGGCAGGAGAATCGCTTGAACCTGGGAGGCGGAGGTTGCAGTGAGTGGAGATCACACCACTACACTCTAGCCTGGGCAACAGAGCAAGACTCTGTCTCAAAAAAAATAAAAAGAAAAAAAGAAAAGTACTTCAAATATAGACACAAATAAGTTTAAAAAGTAGGCAGATAGAAAAATACACAGCATGCAAACATTAATTCAAAGTCAGATAGTTGGAGTGATTGTATCATTAGACTGAGTAGATTTCAGGCCAATGTCTATTTCCAGGACTAAATAAGGTCATTTTTAATAGTTGCTCTAGGGATTATAATAGACACGACTAACCGTTCATGGGGTCCTTAGAATATTTTACCATATGAATTAAAATGTAGATGTCTTACAACCACATTGTTCTCTTCACTCTCCCACTTGTTGTTATAGTTGTCATAGGTATTACATTTAGATACGTTGAAAACCCTACCAATCTTATATTTGTTTTTGACAGTCAGACATATTTTCAAGAACTTATGAGAAGAAAAATTATCTATTACATATAAATTATCTATTACATATACCCAGATATTTATCATTTCTGTTACTCTTCCTTCATACTGAAGTTTCAAGGATCCCTCTGGTATCATTTCCCTTTAAACTGAAGAACTTTCTTTAACATTTTTTAAGACGAGTTCAGCTTGGTGAATTCTCTTCGTTTTTCTTCATCTGCAAGTGCCTTATTTCTCCTTCATTCTCAATTAATATTTTTACTGGATATAGAATTCCGGATTAACAGTTCTCTTTCCTTAAAAATTTTATTCTACCGTTCTTTGGCCTCCAAGGATACTAATAAGAAATCCACAGTCATAAAAATCATTATTCTCCTCTATATAATATGTCATTTTTTTTTTCTGGATGCTTTCAAGATTTTTTTTTTTTCTTTCTCTTTGTTATTCAGAAGTTTTTCTCTGATGAATAGATGGGCTTTGTTGTTGTTCTTCAGTTTTTCTTGTCTGGGGTTCAATGATCTTCTTGAAATATAAACTTATGTCTTTCACTGAATTTAGGAAGTTTTTTGCTATTATTTCTTGAAAATATTTTTTTCTGAATCCATCTCTTTCTCTTCTGTTTCTGGGACTCCAATGATATAAATATTAGATCTTTTGATAAGAGCTCACAGATTTGTCAATCTTTTTTCTCTTTGTTTTTCAAATCGGATCCTTCCTATTGCTCCATTTTCAAATGTCATCTCCATTTTGTTATTCGGTTCGTTGAGTGAAGTTTTTATTTCACATAGTACATTTCTCAGTTTTAGAAGTCCCAATTGGGTCTTCTCGTAGTTTCTATTTCCATATCTAAGGCTTTTATTTCTCTATTAACTTCAAATTGTAATAGCTGCTTAAAGCCATTGATAACTTCAGCATCTGGATCACCGTGGGATTAGCATCTGTTTGTATTTTCTCTTGAGAATTTATCACATATTCCCAGTGTTTCACATGTTGAGTAATTCTGGATTCATCTGGGTAATTTGAATGTTGTGTGTGAAACCTTTGGTTTTGTCAAAACCCCTGAAGAAGGTTGATTTGGGCAGTGAACCTGTTTAGATCTAGACTGTGAATTCCGTTTCATTTTTCTAGGGGCTGTGCTTCTAATGCGAATTTTAAAAGCCTTTGCTATGCTCTAGTGAGTTTGCCCCATATGTGCGCCATTAGTCCAGGACTTAGCTGTGGATTATATTCTAGTTCAGTCCTCAAATCCCATGCTATGCTTCTCTGGGCCTGTTTCCACACATGCGCAGCTGAGGGATGACTTGTACTGGTTCATATAGAATCAGGTGATTCCCTTCTCCAGCTCTCTTCTCCTCAGGATTTCTCCCACACTTTCCAGCTCCTGAGGTCCCACCTTTTTTCATTTCTTTGACTAGAAATACATGTTTCTCTCTCTGAGTTTTAGCTTCTGTGCTTTCACAGTTTTGCATGGCTGGAGCCACACCCAGAGTAAAATGATGAGATAAAACAGAGGGAGTGCTCCAGACTCTCACACCACAGGAATCCCTTATTTCGGTTTCTCTGACCAAAGAGATAAGTTTTCTCTCAAGGTTTTCAGTGTCTATGCTATTGTCACCACTACTACAGCAGGTAGCTTCACAAATGGGGCTGCTGAAAAAAGATAAAAGAAAAACAACTGGGATTTTCCCCCACACTCTCTGGCGTGCAGGAGTCTCTTCCTTTGGTCTCCTGGTCAGATGGGGAAGGCCTTCTCTGAGTTTTGCTGTCTGTACCTGTTACACAGTTCTGCCACTGGGGCTACCCTTGGATCAAACCTTGAAGACAAGGAAAAAAACCCAGAAAACTCCTTCCCATACTGCTTGTTCTTTAAGATTTGACATTCTTCCCCAATCTGACAACTAGTGTTTATTTTTCAGTCTTCAGGTAGTTTTTTTTTTTTTTTTTAATTCTATCCAGAGTTATTAGTTGTGATCTGTGGGGAAGATAGGCCATAGTGGAGTGAGTCCATTTTGGCTAGCACTAGAAGTCTCAAATAAATTATTAAGGTAGGCAAAGGTTATAAACATACATTTGACAGTGGCAGAGAACCATAATGTCTGATAAACTCACGAAAGTACATTGACCTTCATTTATAATCAGGAAAATGGAAGTTAGTTTGATAAAATTTACACACAAAATTTTATCATCTGATAATATCCAGAGTGGAAGATAAAGTAAGAAAACAGGAATGGAATCATTTTATATTTTAAGTAGAATTATAAATCAGTATAACCAATTCCTAACCAAAGTCATAATACAGGTTAAAATAATTACAAGAGACTATCATATGCAACTCCACAGCTACAGATTTGGAAACCTATAGGAAATGTATCATTTCCTAACAAAATAAAAATTATCAACATTAATGCAAGAAGTAGCAAAAAAAATTGAATACATCAATTACAAAAGCTGTTAGAAAATGACAAGAAATCTACCTGTGAAAGTAATACTAACTCCAAATGATTTTAGAATTGAGCTTTAAGCTATTGGACAAATTATTATAATACTATTTAAATTATTCCAGACCACATAAAAATATAGAAACTTCTTGAACTTATTTTACTAGTAAACATTTTAATAACCAAATTGCTTGAAGATAGTATGAAACAAAGAAGATCAAGCTCACCCATGTATCTAGAAAAAGTTTTAATCAAAGTGTTAGCAAAAAATACTGCAGGATGTAAAATAATACAATGTGACCAAATAGGGTATATTTCGAGATCCAAGGATGGTATAATAGCAAGAGATTGATAAACATATTACATAAAGAAATCAAAGGACAAAAACTGTACCATTAAGCATCATCTGTCAAGATGTTCAAGATTAAGAAGCATAGCTGAGAGGGACCCCATCTGATAGTCTTTTAACTCCCTGAATTCTAGTTGTTTATGATCAACACTTCATTTGTTCTTCTTCATTACATAAACCAATATACTTTCTTTTATTTTTTCTTAAGCTAGTTTGAGTTGGAATGCTGTCATGTGCAACTAAGTATATTTTCTGCTGGGTGCAGTGGCGCACACCTGTAACCCCAAGACTTTGGGAGGCTGAGGAGGAAGGATTACTTGAGACCATCCTGGGAAAGCATAACAAGATATCATACCTACAAAGTTTTTTTTTTTTTTTTTTGAGACGGAGTCTCGCTCTGTTGCCCAGGATGGAGTGCAGTGGCGCTATCTTGGCTCACTGCAAGCTCCGCCTCCCGGGAGACTGCAAGTTCAGCCTCCCAAGTAGCTGGATCTACAGGCGCCCGCCACCACGACCGGCTAATTTTTTTGTATTTTTAGTAGAGACAGGGTTTCACCATGTTAGCTAGGATGGTCTTGATCTCCTGACCTCGTGATGTGCCCGCCTCGGCCTCCCAAAGTGCTGGGATTACTGGCGTGAGCCACCGCGCCCGGCCACAAAAAAAATTTTTAAATAAAAATTAGCCAGCTATAAGTGGCACATGCCTATAGTCCTAGCTATTCAGGAGGCTAAGGCAGGGGGGTCACTTGAGCCCAGGAGTTCGAGGCTGCAATGAGCTGTAATTGTGCCAATGCACTCCAGCCATGACTACAGAGCAAGACCCTACCAGTAAAAACAAAACAAAACAAACAACAACAACAAAACAGAAAGAATGTGTATTAATACAAGCATCAACATAAAAATAGTTAATAAAAACAATTTTCCGTAGTCACGTACAACATAAATATTTTAAAGTCAGTAGAAAACCATCATACATTGTTAGTAGGAATGTAAAACAGTATAGCCCTTTTGGAAAATAGTTTGGTAATTTCTCAAAAAGTTAAACATAATATTACTGTATAACCCAACAATTCCACTCCTATGTATCTGCCCCAGAGAAATGAAAACATGTCCACACAAAGACTTCATGTTCACAGTAACATTATTCATAATACTCCAAAACTGGAAAGAATCTAAATGTCCATCACTGGTAAATGAATAGAGGAAATGTGGTATAACCATACAGTGAAATATTATTCAGCAGTAAAAACAAAATACTGACGCACACTACATCATAGATGAACCTTGCTAAGTGAAAGCAAGCCAGACACAAGAAACTACATATAGCAAGATTTCGTTTACATGAATTGTTCAGAAAATCTATAGGGATAGAAAGTAGACTGGTGTTGTCCTGGGGGTAGGGGCTGGGATTCACTATAAATAAGTATAAAATATATCTTCAGAGAATGAAAATATTCTAAAACTAGTTTACGGTAGTAGTTGGACCACTCACTAAATGTCACCAAACATCATTGAACACTTGAAATGGATATAATACTACAAAATATGACTCAATAAGGTTGTTAAAAATTAGCCAATAGATTCCTAATATACAAACAATAATCAAGTAAAATAAAGATAGAAGAAAGCATTCCATTCACAACTACAGAAAGTCATAAAGTATCTAGCAATAATATAACCAGAAATGTTTGGTACTTATAGGAAACTACAAAATTTTACTAATAAACATTAAATCTTGAATAAAAGGAGAGAGCTTTTTTTTAAAAGTATATTGCACCATCATACATATTTCCTAATTTACACTGTAAATTTAATATATTCGCAATCAAAATCTCAACAGCATTTTTAAGAGAAGAAACCTTAAAAATGATTGTTAACTTTATCTAAAATTATAAACATATGAAAATAATCAGGAAAATCTTTAAAAAGAAGAGCAAGAAATGGGAACATACCCTACAGTACTATATTATCATAAAACTACAATCCTTACAACAGTACAATAGAATTTACAGATGTATCAATAGAACAGAATTAAAAGCTAATAAATTAGCAAATAAATATGCAAGTTCAATATCTTACAAACCAAATTTCAAAGGAACGGAAAAATATGAAATATTCAATATGTGGTGTTTGGACCCATGTCAAGTCATTTGGAAAAACATAAAGCGTGATTCTGACCTCACTTCTTATACCGAAATAAAATCCAGATGGATGATACTTTTAGAATAGCTGAATGAGAAAGGCTTTAAGCATTTCACAAAGATTAATGTCTATAGAGAAAGGGATTATAAATTGGATTGCATTTTAGTTAATAGTATTTGAGAGCTCACTTTATACCAGGCACTTTTCTGAGCATTTTATTTAACCTAAGATTAAATGCAAGTAATGTATTTAATCCACACAATCAACTTGACCTATTTACTGTTCCTCCTCATAGTCTCTCAGCCTCACCTGTCTCCTGGACTCAGCCATTTGCTCTGCTTCACTCAGCATCTCAGGCAAAGGACACACCCTTCTGCTGCTTGAGGCTGAGCAGCCACTTATCTGGAGTCTCTGGCCCCTCCTACAATCTCCAGACCCAGATGAAATGCCACTCCACAGAAGTGGCTACACATAGCTGCCAAAAAGCCTGATAATGCAACCCACAGTGTGGAAAAGTTAACTCCTATTGGGGAAAATTTTGACTAGTAAAAGACAGGAAGCAGAAGGATAAAATCTCTCCTTCCTCCTGCCCACTGACTGTGCTGAGACATAGATGGCCATGCAGCCTGTCTGGAGGCTTCATGCATGGCTGAGTGACTGACTCACCTGCTGAGACGCAGTTATGTGTTTGTAGTCATGACAGTAGCCAGTGCAGAAAGGCTTTACCCTACATTGCTTCCCACACTTTACCACCTCCCTTTTCTTTTCATCCTTTCTTGCTGCCCTGGGATCACATCTCTCACCTAAAGCATTAGCACTTAATCCTTGTCCCAGTGTTTGCATTTTAGGGAATCTAGAGTAGGACATCCAATTTTTCTGATAAGGACACTAATTCACAGACAAGTAAAGAAACCAGTTAAAGATCATTCAGCCATTAAGCTTGGTTTTGAATACAAGGAAACTCATTAATCTTATACAGTGTAACTACAAAAATAAAAACCCAGCAGCAAACTGTGAACTATGGAATGCTATTTTTGGGATCAAGAGTAAGACAAGACAGGGCCGGGCACAATGGCTCACACCTGTAATCCCAGCACTTTGAGAGGCCGAGGCAGGCGGATCATGAGGTCAGGAGATCCAGACCATCCTGGCCAACATGATGAAACCCTGTTTCTACTAAAAAATACAAAAAATTAGCCAGGTGTGGTGGCACGTGCCTGTAGTCCCAGCTACTCAGGAGGCTGAGGCAGGAGAATCGCTTGAACACGGGAGGCGGAAGTTGCAGTGAGCTGAGATTATGCCACTGCACTCCAGCCTGGGCGAGAGCAAGACTCCATCTCAAAAAAAAAAAGAAAAAAAAAAGTAAGACAAGACTGCCCACTATTATCGTCTCTCTTCAGTATTAGATTGTTATACTATTATACTATGATACTAGAAATCCTAGCATAATGGCAAACAAAAGAAACAGAACTGATTTTACTCACAGATGTTTTGATTATATATGTAGGTGATTTTTAAATCCGTAAATGAATTATTAGAATAAACTTGAAATATAAAATGTTGCTGAATACAAGGGCAATATACAACTCTCAATTATATTTTTATATATCGCAACAAGACACAAAAACACAAATACTGCTTTTAACTGCATTTAAAATACCCAGGAATATATCTTACAGTAACTCTGCAAAACACTCACAAAACTATAAAACATTATCAAGAGAAATCAATAAGGATTCCAAAAATGAAGATACAAATCACATTAATAGATTGTAAGATCCAATTTTATTATGTCATTTCTCAAATTGATCTATAGATTCAAAGCAATCCCAATCAAAGTCCTAGCAAGTTTTTTGTTTGGAGGAAGTGGATTTTGAGTGTGTGAAATGTGTGCCAAGGGCCAAGAATAACCAAAAATGTCCTTGAAGAAGAAGAAATGGAGAGGAAGTTGTTCTAACAGATGTTAAGCTACAGGAAACTCAGTAGAGTATTGGTACAAAGGTTGACAAAAATGAAAAAGACACAGGCGTAAGGTGAAAGATGCCATTGGACCTTACTTTACACCATAACTAAAATCAACTCTAGGGAGATTAAAGGTAAAATGAGAAGGAGAAAACTACGTAACTTTTAGAAATTAATATATCTTCATTATCTCACAGCTGGAAATAATTTCTTTAAAAAGATGCAAAAAGAAAAAAAAAGCCGTAGAGAAAAAGGTAGATAAATTCGACTTCCTTAAAAGCTAGAACTGCAGTTAATCAAAGAGAACTATAAAGAGAGGGAAAAACCAAGCAACAAATCAGGAGAAGCTATTTGCAACACGTATAACTGGCAAAGGTCTTCTACTTAGAACACCATAGTTTTTGTATCTAAGACAAACAGTTTTCCACATTTTACCATCATGGACGTTGGGGTGCATCTTATGATCACTGGCAGGTTACAACGTAATTGAAAATGTTTTTGTTCTTAATGTAATACAGTGGTACATTTTTAATGATGGCATCTTAGATTTGATGAAAAACTGCATATAAAGAACACTGAAGAATCCTTAAGTAAAAGACAATTCAAGACCAAAAATGGACAAATGACTTAACAGGAATTTCATGAGAGAGGAAACCAAAATGGTCAATAATTACGTTAAAAAAATAGCCTCATTAGGATCAGATAAATGCAAATTAAAGCTATAATGATATATGAAGGCAAAAATTTTTAAGCCTGGCAATACCAAGTATTAGCAAACATTTAAAGAAATAGGATCCTCTCATCCATCATGGATCAGAAAGTAAATTGGTAAATCATTCTAGAGTACAATTTGCATTACCTAGTAAAGATTAACACATCCAAATCCTGTGATTCAATAACCCCTCTCCTAGGTATACATCATAAGAAAACTTCAATATACTTACACCAGATACATGTATGTGTGTGTGTACGTATTTAAAATAGCATCATTAAAAATATCAAACAACTAAAAATGACACAAATGTTCATCAAAAATCCACTGGCTAAACAAACTGATTTCTATCACTGCAATGGAATATTATGCATCAATAAAAATGAATGAACTACAGCTATGTGCAGTAAAATTAATATATCTCATTCTCAAAGCTGAATGAAAGAAAGTTACAAAAATGCATTCAGAATGATTGATTTCATATAAGTTCAAAACAGTCAAAACTGAACAAAAGATTATTTAGGAATACATAGATACGCGGTGTAAGTATGAAGAAAAGCAAGACAACGGTTGTCACAAAAGTCAAGGTCATCGTTTCCTATGTTATAGGAGTAAGTACTTGTGATTATGAAGGGGCACAGCAACTTTCAAAGGTGCAGGCAATTTTCTGTTTCATACTCTAAGTAGAGATTGCACCAGTGTTCATTTAGTTATAATTTGTATGCATCCATTTATATAATCTTCTGTAGGTATACCATATCACATTTTTTTAAATGAAAAGAGTTGCAGAGCAATATGATCTCATTTAATTTTCATATTTATATGTTAAGTACATATAGGTAGAAAAACTCTCAACTGTTTTACTTATGGGATATTACCTCTGGGGTTTGGGGTTGTGAGTGTGTAAGAGATTTGTAGTCTGTGTTATGTGAATTTTTACAATAAGCACATATGACTTTGTAATCAATTAAAACAAGTAAGACATTTAATCAACTAGGAGAAGCATGCCAGGTAAAACACACCACTTACTGAGACTGGCCAACTTCACCCAGATAATTTGAATTGAACATTTCTATAAAATTTTATATTCCTTGCCCTACTGCCTGGGTTGCTATGAATCAGATTTCAAAGATAATTAAAGCCTTTAAGGAAAACCGATTCTACAAGCACAGCCAAAATTGTAAGGTGTTGACAGTAATTCTAACTACAGTCGCACCATCACATCATTTCACAATTCACCTTTACCTCTTATAAATAATTCTCAGCTTCTTTAGACAACATCCCAGAGCCTCTTCCAAATATAACAAGAGTCAAAAACGTTCCAAAATGTACACAACTGTCTTGTAGCTTTCCATAGAGAGAAGGCAGTGGTCATGCAGTAGCGGCGCAGTGGCAGGGTGTGACGAGTGTTCGATTTGTAACATACATTACGCCTCACGCAACACCTCCAAGTTTAAAAGACAAAAGAATCCCAGTATCTCATCTCTAACTACTTTATATACTAATGGGGTTTTGTTAGACCTCAAAAAATGTTTACCAATTGAGTTTATATTAATATTATCTAATTTCTATTTCACAATTTTATTCTCATAAGCATTTAAACCATTTTTTTCTATACCAAACATTTCTATTTGCAAAATACCAAAACCCCATTCTCCAGCTCCCTGAATGCTAACTACCCCAAATAACAGAGGGCAGCAACCACAGGGAACTACAGCTTTAATCTGTACTGTTCTTTGGCTTTTGACATTTGGCTCTGATCTTGGCCCCTTTCCCAGGGATTAAAGCAGTAGTAGTGTGCTGACAAACATCTGACAACCAGCTTTCAGAAATGGGAGGACTGATATGTAGTGCTTGCCAATTTCCACGGTGTAAACATTGGACGATGGACAATTTCAAGCTACCTTCCCAACACAGAAGTGGGAAGAGATGCACAGTAGCATACCACTATATAGTATTTCTACCATTCAGTTTCAGCAGACGTAACTCAAGAGCATAAATAATAGTGAAATGTAATAAAATCATTAGGAAGTAATAAGTTTTAAGTATTTGTTACCTTTGCTTTTAATATACTTTTAAATTACAGGTTTATAAAAGTTAATGTTTAATAATGACTATATCTAATAACCAGCTTGCAAAATTCCTAAAAATTTAACAATCAGCTCTTAAGAGCTGGCACACCAGTGGCTTTGACCTGCCAAACTTCCTCCTGGTTCCAATTCGGACTTAACTTCCCGTAAAGACCTCTCTTGGCTCTTTGCAGCTGAGAGATATATATTCCACTGTGGGCTTCCTTGGGGGCTGCCACACCCCTGCACAAACAGGTGCCTGCTTTACTTACCTTTTGCCCAGGAAGGAACATTCCCTGAAGACTTTGTGCTATTCACAGCTTAGGTCTTCACCCTTGAGTTAGAAAAAAGAAAAAAAAAAGCCTATTAAATTAAACTTAAAACTAGTTATTTAGAAGTTATAATAGTTACATTGCTTAATAAAGACAGAAAGACATCAATCCTAATCTTTGCTCCACTACTTATGAAATATAGGACATCATTCACCATCTGAGTTTCAGCGTCCTCATCAGTAAAATGGGAATAACCTTATAGGTGGTTGTGAGGATTAAATGTCTGTAAAACAGCACAGTGTTTGGCATGGGATAGTATTCAACAAATGGTAGTTGTTATTATGTTTTAAATGCCACTTTTATGGGTTACATATGTGATGCAACTTTTGAAAGTTTAGAATAATATCAACTCCTGACTGACCAGCTCATTATCAAAGCAAAATGCCTTCCAGAAATCACATTTCTATACTCACACTCAAATGTTAACATCAGGAATATGTTCTCTGGCCACCAAAACACCCAATCTGCTTTTTTATGCTAATGACCTGGAGAGGTGCATCCAGGCATGGCAAACACCATATTTAACAAAGTAGACACCATTTTCACCCTCATGGAACTTAGAGCCTAGCGGGGACAGGGACATAGAACATAATCACACAAATATAAGTTCGCATTGTTATAAGTGCCAGGAAGAGCAAGGAAGAGATGTTATAAGAAATTATTTCAGGCAGACCTTATCTAGTCTAGGGTGTTAGGGAGCTTTCTGTTAATAAGAGACATTTAAGCTAAGATCTAAATGATGAGGAGTTAACCAGACACAGAGTATGGGGGAACACATTCCATGGTAAGGCATCAGCCTTTGTTTAGGCCTTGAAGTGGGAGAGAGCATGGTGTGGTCGGCACACTGAGAAAAGAAGCTACACAGGGCAATAAGTGTAGGAGGAAAACTGCGTTTGTTATTGATGTAAACTCGACTTGTTACTCCCCCCTTATTCTCCCCTACCGCATCTCTCTAGCTCTAAGAGGTGGATCCTATACCTAGAGAGCCCCTTGTGATTCATTTGATTGTCTACGTTTAGAGGTAGTGGTTGGGATCAAGTTTAATTAATTGCTCAGCATATTAAAGGCTGACTCAGAGGAGAAGCTGAGAGCCAGCAAGGCTGCATACTGCACTGGGGAAGGTAGTTGCAGCAAACAGGAAATACTTGCTGAAGATCAGAGGCTAGTGAAGGTATTTAACTCCCTGTCACTCTGCCTCCAGCTAGGTCTCTAGCAGCAGCTGCATCTCCACTGTGATTTCAGATCCTACCAGCCCCTCTCACCTTGGTCCCAGCTCCCATCGGGAAACCCTGGCCACAGGGCTAGCTACCACTCAGTGACACTGAAATAGCATCCCCTCCCGTGTTTCTTCAACCCTAAGGAAAGTTGTGTCTTCCTGTTACTGCTAATCTCTGGTTTCCTCAACTTTTCCTATTTCCTTACTATTCAAAAAGTGTTTCAGGAACCAGCAGCATTGGCTTTATCTAGGAACATCTTTAAAATGCTGAATCTCAGGGCTCATTCCAAATCTATTAAATTTGAATCTATTTGTTGTTTTTTTTTTTTTGAGACGGAGTCTTGCTCTGTTGCCCAGGCTGGAGTACGGTGGCACAACCCCGGCTCACTGCAACCTCCGTCTCCTGGGTTCAAGCAATTCTCCTACCTCAGCCTCCCGAGCAGCTGGATAATAGGCGCGCGCCACCACGCCTGGCTAATTTTTGTATTTTTAGTAGAGATGGGGTTTCGCCATGTTGGTCAGGCTGGTCTCAAACTCCTGACCTCAAGTGATCCGCCCGCCTCGGCCTCCCAAAGTGCTGGGATTACAGGTGCAAGCCACAACGCCCAGCCTGAATCTGCATTTTTAAAAGATCCCAGGTGACATTAAAGTTTGAGAAGTAAGGAAGACCATCCTCTAAGTAACAAATAGCCTATATTAAATTCCCTCTGATTGAAATATCTAGATGATTTCTGTCTTCTGACAGGATCCTGACAGTTTTCATGTTCACACTGTTCACTTATTTTCAATGTTTATTACCTGTTCTATTGTACTACAATTTTAACATTCTTGAATTAATTTAGATTCTACTAGATTCTAGAATCTAATGATTTAGATTCTAGATTAGTGTTCACAGAACTCTACCGTTTCTACCACAATGTTTTTCCTTGAACAGTTATTCATTTCCAGATCCCTCACCTGGTTTCTCTGACCATTACTTGGTTCACATTTTTTCCTTCAAAACTATGCAGAATTGTTCTATTTTCTTAAGTTATTCAGTGTTGCCAATGAGAAGTCTGATTTTTGTTTCTTGATAATGTGTTGCTGTTGGTTTTGGTTGTGTTTTGTGATTTTTTTGCATGAATTTTTACAGAACTTTTTGTCTTCCTTAAACTTTAAAAAAATGTCATCAGCAATATATAAAAGTCACCTGGAAAATACCAAATCACGTTAATCTCTAAACACTGGCCTTTTCTTCTACTAAAGAACAGTTTGTTTTATTAAAACTTAGATATTTTTGTTTCATTCCAATCTTTTCTTCAGGAAATTTCATTTTATAAAATCATGTCCAAAATGGACATGAATATTAGTCTTGCTTTTGGAATTGACTTTCAAACTCTTTTCATCTCACACCATTTCTGTTTCAGGCTCACCTGTCCTTTTTCAGAGATACCATGACTTTTTGCATTTTATTGAAAAAAGCAAATGTTTTCCAAAATATTTTCTGACTTCTGTAGCAAGTAATTTTTAGAGTTATGATTTCCCTTTGAGCCTAGAGAATAATTTTCCATTTCCTTTATGCTATAGTAATTTTTATAGGGCACTTTTAAAAAACCTATTGACTTATCCTTGTACAAAGACCACCTTATGCCAACAGGTAGAGGCCATGGCATCTCCTTGGTTTCTCTCTGTCCCTTTGGGTGCTGAAGTATTCTTTTATAAGATTTAGACTTAAAGTAGGAGTGGATATGCATGGCCCCTAGTCCTAGGCTGGGTAGGTAATTATCCTTCTTGACTGATCAGGGCTGAGGAGAACTCTCCTCTCACTGACTTTGGGGCTAGATGCATTTGTTGGTTCTTTTATTATATAGAGCATAAAGACCCCATCCTTTTTCTCCTGCCTCTTCCTTCATCACTACCCCATCTCTACCTACTGCACTGTTCCCAGAACTCTACCATTTCTACCAGAATGCTTTTCCTTGGATAGCTACTTTCTAGATGCAATGCATCACATGTTCTGTGAGTTGTAGCTTCTGATTATGTGTGGAGAAAAATTATGAAAATGAGAGGCTAGGACTTCTATCAAGCTAAAAAATATCCAAATGCAGAAGAGATGTTGCTGCATAAGGTTTGTCAATATTTCGGATCAATTTACATCCCTGCTTCCCAAAAGGGAGTTCCATGGTTTCTATATAACAGTATTATCCAGGATGGACATATTTATCAATAGTAGAGCTGGAAAAAATTCCCCTTCAGACTTTGGCATATGGTCCTTTCTGTAGCATCCAGTGTTTGAGGTTTTGCATGTCTTCATGGATACATTAAGGGAAAAATATCAGAGAATATATTGGGCCCTGTTAATCTACTGCCATAGTAACAACAATAAAAGCTAACATTTGTTCAGTGTTTACTGCCTGCCAGGCACTATGCTTAGAGTGCTCGCTGTATATTTTACCTCATATTTAATCCAGTTCTTTGCTAATATGGATGTTGGAAGCACCCTCCCTTTCTCAGACTTCAGGTTTTCCTGTAGATTAAGGATCTTCACTACAGCAAACTCTTAGCCTCTTGCTCACCCCTCATTCTCCCTGGGAGAGTCGCTCAACCCATTGGTTAGTTGGGAAGAAGAAACTAGATGCACTTGGCTCAGCCACGTCTAAAGCCACTCTTTGACCTGAATGCATTCGAGTCTTCCTGCTGAGTAAGCTTCGTGGAGCACATTTTCCTCCTAAAAGGGGCCTGTAGTTTCCATTTCTGCCAGTGCCTAGTGACTATGTTCATTACTGGGGTGTAGAATTAGGAAGCCCATCATTTCTAAGCATCCAAGTTTTTCAATACAGTTTTATAAGTAGTAACATGACATTTTTATACTTATCTCTCTAATTTCCACCCTTTCAATTAGTTCCAAGTCTAAATGAGGAAGACAGGAAATTTTTTGTTGGTCCCTTAAAGTTTCCAAGGTAGCTATTACTAGCATCTCCATTTTAAGTTGTGTAAACGCAAGCACCTGAACCAACTTATCCAAGGTTCATCCAACTCATCAATGACAGAGCATGGATTCTCACTCAGAGTTCTGCCTAGCTATAGAGCAAATATTTGATTATCACACCAAGCTAATCATCACTTCACCACTTCCCACAGCGATCTTCACAAAACCTCATCACAGTTTGAAGATGCCATTAGTGTTAACACCATCTGAGGAAAAGCCAACCTATCCTTCAACTCTCCTCTGCCCAGTTCTCCCAGGTAGAGTTAGAGGCTCCATGCTCTGTGTTCTTTGTACAGTCTTTTGTTGAAGACCAAAGGTTTGTTCAGCAAATCAAAGGTTTACATATTCATTTCTCTCTAAACTTAGCATTCAGCACTGCATAGATGCCAGTTCAATTTTTTGTTAAATTGTTCATAGGAACAAATAAACTAACACCAACTTATCCAAAGCAGCTACTTTATGCACAAGGTCTACACTGATTCCAGGACAGACATAATTGCACTCCAGCAATATTTAAGCTACAGGGCTTGCCTTTATTCCATTTGGTTTGGTGCTTTTTCTTTTTGGTTTTAGGTTTTTAAAGTTCCCTCTACCCTTGCTTTTAGAAAATATCGTGTGATAAGTCAGTTAATTGACAATATATATGATGTCCATTAGCCATTAGCAGTATTTCGCTGCACGTGGCACCTGGTTTAATCTTACCCTGAATTGCTACAGGAAACCAAAGTAATTACATTAACAGAACATGAAAATAGTAACAATTATAGCTACCATTTATCAGCACCCACCAGGTACCAAATCCTGTGCTAAATGGCTTATGCATATTAGCTCTGAGTTATACAAGAAGGCTTTGAGTATTTTTATCCCCATTTTACAAATGAGAAAACTGAGGCTTAGTGAGGTAAAGATATTTGCCCCCTGCCACATCAGTAATTGGCAGAGCAGGAATTGAATCAGTGCTGTCCAGCTCCAGAGCTGGATCTCTTTCCTTCATTCGGTGCCCTCTGGAATACCGTATATAGCAGCTGTTGTGGCGATTAGAAAAGATAATGGGTAGGAAAGTGCCTGGAAAACTCCACAGAGAACCAAGCATGTAAGAGATTATGAAGACTTGTTGAGAGCTTTGGCAAGGGCACTGTGACAATAGCCCTAGGGAGGGGGAACAAATTGATCTGGCTGGAGTTTCGGGACATTTCCCATTATCTAAGTGCTCTGAGTTCAGCATTTCTGAAATAGTGGAGCTGCAGACCCTCTTTCTTTGTGAACCAGTCCCCATGTCTGAGAACGAAGGCAGGAGAGGTTAGTTTGGCTTAAACCAGTCATTTTCTCTTGAGACAGATTAAAGGGTTGGGGGTGAAAAGTGGTGGTGTCCACGTGCTTTTGGGTCCCAGACATTGATTGATTCCGGACCCTACTCTGAGGGACAGCAGTAACTTACAACACATGCTGAAACTTTTTCCATTTAAAATGCATTTCAAAAACACAATAGGCCTGCATGTTTATTCTCTGAAATATAGAACAACAGAGCACGGATTGTTACATATGTTCTGAATGTTTCACCAGACTTCAGAGACACAGAAAGGCTTTTTGTTCTTTCATTCACCCAAACATTTAATGGATAATTTCTGTATGACGGGCATTGTGCTAGGCACCAAGGAACAAGACAGTGTCCCTGTTGTCAAAAACTAAAACTACAGTAGGAGAGGCTGACCTATAAGCTAATTTTTAAAATATTATGATACAACATCGGTACAACAAGAGGAGTGTATACAAGATAAACAAAATAGAATGAAAGAGAGAAATACTTTCTGCCTATGGAGAGTCCTTCCAAGAAGAGATGATGTCTGAGCTGGCTTTTGATGACCAAATAGGAATGTTAAGCTCCACTCCTCTTATGTGCATTGTTCCCCACTCTTCATATAGATCTGGTGCTTGGAAACACACTAAAATATTTTTTAATAATTATTAAGCACATAACATATACAGAACACTAAGTTAATATCTGTGCACAAGTCAAAGAACAAGGTATGATTCTATCTATCTGTCTTACTTGTAAAAACAGATTCGAGAAAACAAGACATGATCCAAAATAATAAAAGAATGAATAACAATAAGGAAAGCATTTAACATAACACTGGCTATAAAAGATCAAGCAAGGAAAATGCAAACCTGAATCGATAGGCAGATAATGGGTCAATAATATAACCTTAAGAAGCTAGAAAAAGAAGAGCAAATTATACCCCAAAAATATGTAAAAAGAAATAGTATAACCAAGAACAGAAAACAATAAAATAAAAAACAGATATTAGGGTTAAGGTTAGGGCAAAAGCAAAAGTTCGTTCTCTTAAATAATCAATATAATTATTAAAATCCTACATCAACTTCTCAAAAATAAAAGAATACAGCCTGGGGCTGGGCGCAGTGACTCACACCTATAATCTCAGCACTTTGGGAGGCCGAGGCGGGCGGATCATGAGGTCAGGAATTTGAGACTAGCCTGACCAACATGGTGAAACCCCGTCTTTACTAAAATTACAAAAATCAGCCAGGTGTGGTGGCACATACCTGTGATCCTAGCTACTCAGGGGGCTGAGGCAGAAGAATCACTTGAACCAGGCAGGTAGAGGTTGCAGTGAGCGGAGATCACACCATTGCACTCCAGCCTGGGCAAGAGAGCAAGACTCCATCTCTAAATAAATAAATAAATAAAAGAATACAGCCTGGGCAACATGGCAAGACCTACTCTACAAAAAATAAAAAAAAAATTAGCTGGGCATGATGGTGCACACCTGTGGCCCCAGCTACTAGAGACGCTGAGGCAGGAAGATTGGTTGAACCCAGTGGTTTGAGATTACAGTGAGGTATGATCATACCACTGCACTCCAGCCTGGGTGACAAAGACAGACCTGTCTCAGAAAAAATAAATAAATAAATAAAAGAATAGATATAAATTGCTAATATCAGGAATGAAAGAGAGAACATCGTTACAGATATTTCAGATATTAAAAGGATAAAATATTATCAATAATATAATGCCAAAAAAATTGGCAACTTAGATGAAATGGACAAATTTCCTAAAAGAATGCAACTTACCAAAACTGACTCAAGAAGAAATAGGAAATCTGAATAAACCTATGTCTTATTAAATAAATTAAATTTGTAATTAATCACCTTTACACACAGAAAAATCTCTGGGGCCAGATGGCTTCCTAATGAATTCTACATTCAACATTCAAACATTTCAAGAAAAAAATAATACAAATTCTACATAAGCTCTTTCAGAAAATAGAAGATGAGGCCAGTATTCCCTGTTAAGAAAACTTGACAAAGACATTATATGAAAAGAAAATTATAGATCACTGTCCTTTATGAACATGGATAAAAAAAATCCTTCCAACACAATTAGCAAATTGTATCTAGTAATATTTTTAAAGGATAGCAATACATAATCAAGTGGGGTTTATTCCTGGAATACAATCTTGGCTTTACATTTGTAAATCAATTAATGTAATTTATCATATAACCTAGTAACAGAATTTAATGTTAATTTATAATTTAATATGTTAGTTTATCATATTATCATGGTAACAGAATATGGTGCATTTCAATAGATGTAGGAAGAGTGTTTAACAACAGTTAACATCCATTCATGATCAAAACTCTGCAAACTAGGAATAGAACTTCTTCAACATGATTAACACTATCTACAAAAAAACCTACATCTAACATCATACTGAATGGTGTAAAACTGAATATTTTTCCACATAAATTTGGAACAAGGAAATATAATGCTGGAGGTCAGAGCTAACGTAAAAAGGCAAAACAAAAAGGGAAGGACATACCGTTTGGAAACAAAGAAATAAAACTATTTGTAATTACAGATGACATGACTGTATACCTAGAAAATCCTAAAAAGTCTTCCTACTAGAATTAATAAATGAGATTAACCTTGTTTCAGCATACAAGATTAACATGTAAAAATCAATTGCATCTGTATATATTAGCAACAAACAATTGGAAAAGTAACTAAAATATAATTTATAAGAGCATTCAAAAAGATGAGCTACTTAGGTATAAATTTTTAAAAATTATTCAAGATCTTAATTAAACTAAAGAGCTTCTGCATAGCAAAAGAAACTACCATCAGTGTGAAAAGGCAACCTACAGAATGGGAGAAAATTTTTGCAATCTACCCATCTGACAAAAGGCTAATATCCAGAATCTACAAAGAACTTAAACAAATTTACAAGAAAAAAAAACCCATCAAAAAGTGGGCAAAGGATATGAACAGACACTTCTCAAAAGAAGACATTTATGCAGCCAACAGACACATGAAAAAATGCTCATCATCACTGGTCATCAGAGAAATCCAAATCAAAACCACAACGAGATAGCATCTCACGCCAGTTAGAATGGTGATCATTAAAAAGACAGGAAACAACAGGTGCTGGAGAGGATGTGGAGAAATAGGAATGCTTTTACACTGGTGGTGGCAGTGTAAATTAGTTCAACCATTGTGGAAGACAGTGTGGCAACTCCTCAAGGATCTAGAACTAGAAATACCATTTGACCCAGCCATCCCATTAATGGGTATATACCCAAAGTATTATAAATCATGCTACTATAAAGACACATGCACATGTATGTTTATTGTGGCACTGTTCACAATAGCAAAAACTTGGAACCAACCCAAATGTGCATCAATGATAGACTGGATTAAGAAAATGTGGCACATATACACCATGGAATATTATGCAGCCATAAAAAAGGATGAGTTCATGTCCTTTGCAAGGACATGGATGAAACTGGAAACCATCATTCTGAGCAAACTATCACAGGGACAGAAAATCATACACCACATGTTCTCACTCATAGGTGGGAATTGAACAATGAGAACACTTGGACACATGGCAGGGAACATCACACACCAGGGCCTGTCATGGAGGGTGGACAGGGGGAGGGATAGCATTAGGAATTACCTAATGTAAATGACGAGTTAATGGGTGCAGCAAACCAACATGGCACATGTATACCTATGTAACAAACCTGCACATTGTGCACATATACCCTAGAACTTAAAGTATAATTAAAAAAAATTATTCAAGATCTGCAAAATGGAAACTAAAACACTGCTAAGAGAAATTAAAGAAAATTTAAATGAACACAGGGATATATTATGTTCACAGATTGGAAACTCAATATAGTTAATACTTTCCAAATTAATTTATATCTTTAACTCAATTCCTATCAAAATCTCAGCAGATTATTTTTAGATATTGATAAGCTTATTCCAAAATTCACAAAGGACATCAAATACCCAAAACAATTTGAAAAAGAACTAAGTTGGGAGACTTATATTACCTGATTATAAAGCTACAATCAGAGCCAGGCGCAGTGGCTCACGCCTCTAATTCTAGCACTTTGGGAGGCTGAGGCGGGCATATCATGAGGTCAGGAGTTCGAGACCAGCCTGGCCAACATGGCAAAACCCCATCTCTACTAAAAAAAAAAAAACAACACAAAAATTAGCCAGGCATGGTGGTGGGTGCCTGTAATCCCAGCTACTCAGGAGGCTGAGGCAGGAGAATCGCTTGAACCCGGGAGGCAGAGGTTGCAATGAGCCGAGATTGTGCCACTGCATTCCAGCGTGGGTGACAGAGCAAGACTCCGTCTCAAAAAAAAAAAAAAAAAAAAAAAAAAAAAAAAAAAAGCTACAATCAGGACAGTGTAATGTTATAAGGGCAGATTTATAAATCAAAGGAACAGTATTGACAGTCCAGAAATAGATCTACTATATGTGATCTATTAATTTTTTCTGAGGCGGAGTCTCATTCTGTTGCCCAGGCTGGAGTGCAGTGGCATGATCTCAGCTCACCACAACCTCCATCTTTTTAACAAATGGTAATGGAACAACTTTGTATATTCATTTGGAAAAACTTGACCTCATCCCTTATGATATGGTTTGGCTCTGTGTCTCCACCCAAATCTCACCTCGAATTGTAATTCCCACGTGTCAAAGGAGGGACCTGGTGGGAGGTGATTGGATCATGGGGGCAGTATCCCCCATGCTGTTCTCATGATAGTGAAGTGAGTTCTCACGAGGCCTGATGGTTTAAAAGTGTTTGGCAGTTCCCCCTTCGCTCTCTTTGTCTCCTGCCACCATGTAAGTCATGCCTTGCTTTCCCTTCACCTTCCACCATGATTGTAAGTTTCTGAGACCTCTTCAGCCATGTGGAACTGTGTATCAACTAAACCTCTTTCCTTTATAAATTACTCAGTCTTGGGTAGTTCTTTATAGCAGTGTGAAAACAGACTAATAACCTTACCTCAAACATACACAAAAATTAACTCTAAAATTACCATAAGTATAACAAAGAGGCTAAAACTATTAAACTTCTAAACATTGAGAAAATTTTTTCAAACTTAAGGTTAAAGACTTTGTGTGTGCGATTTTCTTTTTTGTTATTTTCTTTTCTGAAAGACACAAAAAAGCATTAAGCACAAAAGAACAAAATTAATAAATTGGACTTAATCAAAAGTAAAAACTCCTGCTCTGTGAAAGACAACATATTTAAATATTAAAAAGGCAAGTTTCAGATACATGTATATAATATATAGTTACATAGTCATTCATATATATACACACACACACACACACACACACACATATGTATACACACACACGGACATACACACATCTGACAAGGAATTTTTTTCTTTTTTTTTTGAGACAGAGTCTCACTCTGCCACCCAGGCTGGAGTGCAGTGATATGATCTTGGCTGACTGCAACCTCCGCCTCCCGGGTTCAAGCAATTCTCCTGTCTCAGCCTCCCAAGTAGCTGGGATTGCAGGTGTCTGTCACCATGTCTGGCTAAATTTTGTACTTTTGGTAAAAACGGGGTTTCACCATGTTGGCCAGGCTGGTTTCAAACTCCTGACCTCAAGTAATCCACCCACCTCGACATCCCAAAGTGCTGGGATTACAGGCGTAAGCCACTGCGCCCAGCCCTGACAAGGAATTTATATCGAGAATATAAGAACTCCTATAACTCATTCAGAAACAGATAAGAGGCCCGATTTTTTTTAAATGGGCAAAATATTTAAACATCCATTTCACAAAAGAGGATTATGGGCAGCTAATAAATACGTAACAATATCTTCAACATAATCAATCTTCAGGGAAATGTAAATTAAAATTATGAGACAACATGAACTAAAACTTATGTGTAATGGTTAAAATTTGAAACACTGATAATAGTGTTAATGAGGATGTAGAACAACCGAAACTCCAACAGTGTTAGTGGGAATATAAAATAGTACCACTTGGAAAAACAGTTTGGCAATTTCTTAAAAAGTTAAACACATGCTTTGCATACAACCCAGAAATTTCATTCACAGGAAATAAAACATTTGAGAGAAAAACAAAAGTATATGTCTAAACAAAGAGTTGTACACAAATGTTCATAGCATTTTTCATAATCGCTCAAAATTGGAAGCCACACAAATGTCTATCAGGGGGAATGGTGAATAAATTGTTGTATATCAATACAACAGAGTACTACTCGGCAATAAAAAGAAACAAACCCCTGATGTATGCAACAGTATGGATAAATCTCAGAAGTGTTATGCTGAGCAAAAGAGCCCAGACCCAAAGTGTACACAGTGTGTGTGTGTATACACACAGACACATACCCCTTAGAATATCTATCTATAAATCAGAATATGATACTTAATAGTGCTCCAATAACGTTACTTGTCTCTAAGTTCCACCCAAGAGATGACAGAATCAGAAGGTTCTGATATTTCTTGGAGATCTTTAGCCAGCCCTCTGAACCCTAACAGTTCAGAAGTAATTACGGCCCGAGTTACAGATCAAGCCAGCAGACACTACTTTCTTCTCTGAGTAATAAGACAAAACACAGGAAGCTGCGGCTTGGCAGTGATTCTTTGATAAAAGGAAAGCTTGTAGAACAAACCATAGGGAGGGAGAGGGATAGGAAGGAAGGAAGGAAGACACAAGTAGAATTGTGAATAATTAGGTTTCTCCCTTCTGCTTTGACTCCAGGTTTTTTCTTCAGTTCTATGATTGGTCATGTCTATAGGTAACAAATAATTACTGTGTTCAGTGCAGGATAGCCTGGTGGAAGGCAAACAGCCCTTGAAGCTCTCAGATCTAGGCTTCAATGCCAACTTTTCTATTGCATGGCTGAGTGATCCTCAGCAGGAGACACAGGATCTCCGTATTGCAGTCTCCTCATCTCCAAGATGAGGATAATAAAAGAATCTAGCTTACAGGGGCATCCTGGGGATTAAACAGCACAGGCTTCCATTGAAATGTATTAGAAACTGGGTAGTCAAAAACTGGAGTATTCAAGTGTGTGACCAAGAATAGACACAGGCTGCACAGAGCTCAGGGCCCAGTCCAGATTGGACGAGAAAGTTCCCTAGGCCAAGCTGGCTAAGCACCGCAGGTACCATTATAACGCCAGCCCTGAGGGATGTGAGCCAACTACTTAAGAATTAGAGAGGCCATAAAAGGCTTCGGCCTCCTCCACCCAATTCCTCAGCCACTTTCCTCCCAGAGGACCTAAGCTCTGTCCCCTACCACTGTTTGTCCTCTTGGTACTGGAATCCCCAGAGCAGAATGTGAGTGTGTCCTCCACCTGGGGAAGGATTGCGTCACAAGCTGGGTGCCTCCTGTGAAGTGTTTGCCCTGCTTGGGCTTAGTAAATACAAATGGCGGCCACCATCTGCTCTTGACCCTTCTGCTCCACGAGCGCGGAGGCTCCCTGGCCCAGTTGGTACTGGGTGCTTCTCCGCAGCGGCCGCCAGGGGGAGCCTGGGCCGAGAGCTCTGGGAAATCGAACAACTCGTTGAGGTCTTAGTTATGGTAGAAAACCTTGAAGTGGTGTTAGGTCAGCACCTGCGAGGGTCTCATTCTAAATACACCAGTATTTGGAGGATGTTTGAGAAAGGGAAATTGTCCAACAGTTAAGTAAAAAGAGCTGGAAACAAATTATCTCCATACTCTCCCTTCACTGGCTGAGAGACTAGTCTGGGTCTTCCCTGACTGCCCAATTTACATTCAGATGCTATGCAGTGGAGCCAGGTGCCGTGGGTCATGCTTGTAATCCCAGCACCTTAGGAGGCTGACGCAGGAGGATGACTTGAGCCCAGGAGTTTAAGGCTGCAGTGAGCCGTGATCACACCACTGTACTTCATCCAGCCTGGACAACAGTGTAAGACCCTATCTTAAAAAAAAAAAAAAAAAAAAAAAAAAAAAAAAACTGTGTAGTGGAAAGAACAAGAATCAGAAGTCATGGGTGGATCCAAGACTGTTCTGGACCCTCCCTAGTTATGAGAACTTGGACATGTCTCTATTTCCCTGAGCCTTTGTTTTTTAATAATGTCTGTTACCATTCATCAGTTATTTTCCATATGCCATGCTGCCAAAAATTATCTCATTCAATCCTTGCCATAATTACATGAACAAAGTGTTTGCTATGTACAGTTTATAGATTAAGAACTGAGGCATAAAAAGTAGCTTACCCGAGGTTTTTAATCTACTAGTTGTTCAGATCTTTCTGACTTCAAAGAGTATGCTGAAGCCCTCTTCTATTTCCACTATACTCTCATTTTCAAATGAGCAATAGTAATAATAATAATATTGCCTTTATAACAGATTTTTACTTGCAAACTTGAAAGTTATTCAAATGATTATATTCTAAGTTTCTTGTTGTATGTTTTGGGATCTGCAATGAGCTGAATGACATATGAATGTCTCAAAATTCATATGTTAAAATCTCAATCCCCAATATAATGGTATTAGGAAATGGGACCTTTGGGAGGTGATTCAGTCATGAGAGTGGAGCCCTCATGGATGGGATTAGTGCCCTTATAAAAGGGACCTCAGAGTGCTCTCTAGGGCACCCCCCACCGCTTTTTTTTTTCCACCATGTGAAGACACAATGAGAAGACAGCAGTCTGCAACACAGAAGAGGGCCCTCATCAGAACCTGACCATGTAGGCACCTTGATTTCAGACTTCCAGCCTCCAGAACTGTGAGAAATAAATGTCCATCATTTATAAGCCACCGAGTCTGTTACTTTATTGTAGGAGCCGAAACTGATTAACACAAGGTCTAAAGGTCACTTTGCAAAGGGCTATGACATGGTATGTGAGTAGAGAGAGAAAAGGTCTGTGGAAAGGGCTGAAGGCAAGGCTGTGATCACAAGCGTGACAAGGGCCTGAGCAGAGCCCATCTCGGGAACCTCGGGCAGGCAACAGCCTTGCCCCTCTGCCTTCTCCCCTTGCCTGATGCTGATACTGTTATAGAACAGCCCTATCTCCTTCCTGGCCACTCCTTTGCCCGTGGAAGAGAAGCCCCCAGTCCTCTAATGAAAAGTCTGATGAAACAATCACCTCTCCCTTGGTTTAACTATGCAGGCTGAAGGTAGACTCTTGCTGCTTTATTCTTAGGAAATTCTCTGTGCCTCTCACAAAACATTGGCTCTTTAATTTACCCAACATCTTCCTCCACCCCCTCCTTCCACCAGCTCCAGGGATTGCATGACTTATAACAGCTAAAACTTTGAGCAACTGAAATGCCCATCCATAGAGGACAGATTAAATAAGTGATGCCACATCCTTAACAATGTCCATTAGTTACCTAAAATTTTATGGTAGTTGAAATAAGTACAACTCAAACTGCCTAAAGCCAAAATAGGGGTTTATTGGCTCTTGTAACTGAAAGGGCCTAGGACATCTGACTGCAGGTCTGGGAGGAATCAGGTGTTCAAATAATGTTGTCAGGAACCTGCCTCTTTCCATCTCTTTTCTCTTTCTTTTGCATCAGCTTCATTCTCAGGCAGCAAAAATGGCTAAGAGCAGCTCTAGGTTTTTATCTCACAAAATATACCTCCCCAGAAACTTTCAAGCAAAAATCCTGTGACTGTCCATTTCTGGACCAATCTCGGTGATTCAGACCAGGTCAAGCCTTAATTAAGGGATTGATATAACATAAAGATTAGACCATTAAACTTCTAAAAGGAGACATGAGAAAATCTTCACAACCTAGGGATAGGCAAAGATTTTCTTAGATAAGATACAAAAAAGCACTACTTATAAAGGAAAAGAATGATAAATTGAACTTAACTGAAGTTAAAAGCTGTTGTTTGACAGATATCATTTGAAAATGGAAAGGTAAGACTCAGACTGAGAGAAAACAATGTCTCTTACACTGTAAAATAGTTCTGCCACTGTTAAAAAAGACATGAATATATGTGTGTCAGTATGAAAAAAATTGAAAAGATAGAGATATAGTGAATGAGTGAATAAAACAGAAATATCTTATCTAAAGTAGTTCACAATATTTATTGAATGAATCTTCAAAATATATTATTAAATTTAAAAGATGTACAGATTGATCTATGTTTTTAAAAAGTATTTTGTGTATGTGTGTAAATGCATAGAAACAGATTAGAAGGGGTAACAGAAAGGTGGGCTTTTGTTTTTTACCCCCTTATACTTATGTAGATCTTTAATTTATATCAAAATAAGTAGAAAATAAAAGATAATAAAAATCATCATGCTATCTTAAGCCCTCAGACCACACCCTTCCTGGAGTAGAAGAGCCATATCTTGTGGTTCTGGGAATTTCTCCAGATCCTGCCTCCCAACCCCACTTTAAAGTTTCATGCATGATTGATTTTTCAAGTTTTAGTCCCGTTTGTGTAAAACTGAGCTTCTTGCACTTGACAAATTGACTGGCTAGCTCTTAATTTGCCTTTTCTCCAAGACGCTACCTCTCTAGTCATTTCCTCAGTCCCACCCATTTCGGCTGTTAAATGAATGATACGCCAACCAGTCATTGATCTAAGCTCCCTACACACTATGTCCTGCCCCAGCAATGTCCTCAGCAAAACAAGTGAGGAATCAACCTGGCTTTCCCAATAGGGTAAAATGTTTGCAATAGGACTTTGAGTAATTTGAATTATGTGAGACATAAGCGCATGAGAAAAACTAGCACATTTAACATGTGTTTAACACATAAGCATTACTATTTTCATTGAGTATGAACAGAACAAGCTTCATTATTGCCATTTTAAATAGAGGGGGAGATTGAACCTCCAAGTTTGAAGAACATGCCCTAAGTCACACAGCTAGTAAGTGGCTCTGGCGCAAAAGGAAGTCTGTCTGAATATAAAGTTTATTCTTTCTCTTTTAACTACACCAGTTGGCAATGGGGAATATGAGGTGAGAGTAGGACCTTGGCTATCCCCAAATTTCCCTCCTGTAAATTTAGAACTAACAGACTCTATCTAAAGAATGAAGAAAGTTTCTAATCAGATTTTATGTCCTCTGCACATCCCATAGATAATGTTGTTTTGAAATAGCCAAGGTACTAACCATCTCTGAGCAGAAATGGACATCCCATCATCTGGAATGTGTCCCAAGTGGGCCTTATGAAAATTTTTAAGTCCCTGACAAGAGGAAGCTGACTACTCAAAATAGCTTGATTATTTTTCCACTCTCCCAAATCAAGAGGAGTGATTTCCTTGAAAATATAAGGATTTCAGAACTTTCAGAAGTGCTTCAAGTAAAACAAGATATAAGAATGTGCCTTATGAAGAATACGCCCATAATTTCCTCCCATTCAAATCCTCTTGGGAAAATACATTCACCTCAGTGCCAAAGTGGCAACTCTATAACATGTGACCAAGTCCCCTGATCACAGCTGATTGGGCCTGAGATGAACACAGGAAATTGAGGTAGTCATATTCTATTACCAGGTGGAGATGATTTGAACTCAGGGAACAACTCAAGGAAGTGGTAAAGCATTGGTCTAAACATTGAAGAAATAAAAGTCATAAAACTGAACAGTGAGACTTCCCAGGACGTTGGCAGCTAGGAGTATAACCCTGCTCAAGAGAAAAGACACACATATACTGACATTTTGATGACCCCTCCAGCCTAAGGAAACAGCAAGGTTAGCCCTGATCAGTGAAGTCCACTAACATCTTTTCTCCCCTCCCCCACCCCGCTTGATCTCTCTCTCTCACACACACACCTCTCCAATCAGCATGTAGTCCCTGTTTTTAAAACATTAAAAAGACACACACACACACAAGGCTTACCATACATTTGAGGAAAGCCTTTTACCATAACAGACAAATAAAATTTAAAAACCAGAGGAAAAAAGGGGGAGAAGAGAGAGAGAGACATGGACAAATTAGAAAAAATTAATTTCCTGAATTTTAAAAATTATGGCCAGGTGCACTGGCTCACACCTGCAATCCCAGCACTTTGGGAGGCTGAGGCAGGCGGATCATGAGGTCAAGAGATCGAGACTATCCTGGCCAACATGATGAAACCCCGTCTCTACTAAAAATAAAAAAATTAGCCAGGCGTGGTGGCTTGCGCCTGTAGTCCCAGCTACTCAGGAGGCTGAGGCAGGAGAACTGCTTGAACCCAGGAGGCAAAGTCTGCAGTGAGCCGAGATCGTGCCACTGCACTCCAGCCTGGCGACAGAGCGAGACTCCATCTCAGGGAAAAAATAAAATTATAATACACTCAAGGAAATGGCAAATGAGGTTATTAATGTGGGACTAGATAAGAGAACCATTCTTCTATTGGAAACATCTATAAAAACTGCATTTTAAAAAAGTTTAAAACTGCCTAGAGTACTGAAGGGCCCAAAAGATAGTGAAGAACTGGTGGACCAAGATGCATAAGATGACAGAGCTAACATGGAATTAGGAGCTTCTTTTAGAGACACTTATCAATTCTAGAAAAAGTATCTGAGTTGTTTAGCAGCCTTTGATAAGCTTGCAGGCCTGGGGACCAACAGGAGATATCCAAGGCCTGCCAAGGAATAGAAGGTGATAAACTTGCTATGTTTGGGTTAGGATCCTAAAGGGCTATAACTTAGAAGTAAAGGCAAATCAGAAGGTGACTCACTTGTAGGAAATGCAGCCATGTTTTAAATTATCTCACTTGCTGAAATTACATTAAGTTTATCCCAAACTGGTAGTGGATCCAGAAACTTCACAGAAGCAAAGTAAAATCCTTTCCAGAGGAGGAACATAACTTCCAAGTCCTCACATGATTTCTAAAATAATTTTCACATATAAGATCTGGCACACAATCTTAAAATAACTTGGCATACCGTAAGGCAAGGCAACAGAAAAGACACCCAGCAGAAATAACAGACAATAGACACAAACTCACAGAGATCCAAAGATTGCATAATTAAACAGTCTTTAACATAATTTGTGTCAATATGATAAAAGATAAGATGTACAGTTTCAGTAAAGACCTAAAAATAGGTACTTTTAAAACTCATAAAAGGACTTCTGCCATTTATGAGAAACTATCTTATATCAGAACAATACTTTGCCATAAACAACTAGAAAAAGTGGGTTTAAATGTCTTTTGGGAGACAAAGAAGAGCTCCCAACTTGGCCAGGAGATGAAGGGATGTGAGCCCAGAGATGGGAATCTCATAATTGGGCATGGATTTTTCCTTTGAAGCATTTGCTTCAAAAATGAAAAAGAACAATTTGAAAGCAGGGTAGAGAAAGAGAATATATTATCCGTACAAAAAAGCCCCACAACAATCACAGCTAACTTCTCAACAGAAGCTCTAAAAGCAAGAAATCAATGGGATGACTTGTTTAAAGTGCCAAAGGACATTAAATGTTCATAGAAATAGAAACAAAATTCTTAGGCTGGGTGCAGTGGCTTGCACCTGTAATCCCAGCAATTTGGGAGGCTGAGGCAAAAGGATTGCTTGAGGTTAAGAGTTCAAGAAACAGAATTCCTTATAGCAAAATAATATAAATCAATAGAATTGAAAACAAAAAAAGGAGAAAAAAGTAATGAAATCTAAAGCTAGTTAGTTGAAAAGATCAATATAATTGATAAATCTCCAGCCAGACTGATGAAGAAAAAAAAATTTTAAAGATACACATTACCAACAATAAGAATGCAGAGGCAGGGAAGATATGGACATCACCACAGATTCTACAGACATAACAGGATAATAAAGGAATACTATGATCAACTTTATGCCAATATGCTTGATAACATAGATAAAATAAATTCCTGAAAATTGTGAACTATCATAGCTCACTCAAGAAGAAACAGATAACATGAATAGTCCTATATCTATTACATAAATTGAATGTGTTGTTTAAAACACTCCCTCAATGAAAACTCTGGGCCCTGATGGCATTACTGGTAAATAATATCAAGCATTTTAAGAAGAAATAATATCAATTCTATTCAAAATCTTCCAGAATATGGAAGAGAAACACTTACCAACATATTTTGTAAAGCCAGAATTTTCCTAATATTGAAACCAGAAAAAAAAAATTTAAAAAACTGCATAAAATTTGTCTTGTAAATAGACATAAAACTCTTCAACAAAATAGTAGTCAAACTCTAAAGGCTATATACTGTATATAGCCTTTAGAATTTGTATATTCCATTTACATGACATCTGCCAAACTCCAGAGGCAGAAACCAAATCATTAATTACTTGGAGCTTGGATGGGAGAAGACTGATTTCAAACAAGCATAAGAGAACTTTTTTGTGGTGACGAAAATGTTCTATATGTCTCTTGCAGTGGTAGTTACATTACTATATATATATATATATATATATATATATATATGTTATATATCATTGAATTTATACCTAAAAAGGGAAAGTTTTACTGAATGTAAATTATGCCTGAATTAGCCTGAACTTTAAAAACAATACCACTTACAATAGTGTCAGTTTCCTGAGGCTGCTGTAACAAATTACTACAAACATGATGACTTAAAACAACAAAAATGTATTTTCTCATAGTTCTGGAGGCCAGAAGTCCAAAATCGGTTTCACTGGGGAAAAACAAGAAAATCAAAGACATGTTCCAGAGGATCTAGGAGAGAATCTGTTCCTTGCTCCTTCCAGCTTCTGGAGGCTGTTAGCATTCTTGAGCTAATAGTCATCTCTCTCCAGTCTCCAAGGCCAGCATCTTCAAATCTCTTTCTGCTCCATTTCCAGATGGTTTTCTCCCCTGTGTGTCTATGTCAAATCTCTCTCTGTCTCTCTTATAAGAATGTCTGTGACACGACTGTATATTTAGAAAACCCCATCGTCTCAGCCCAAAATCTCCTTAAGCTGATAAGCAACTTCAGCAAAGCCTCAGGATACAAAATCAATGTGAAAAAATCACAAGCATTCCTATACACCAATAATAGACAAACAGCCAAATGATGAGTGAACTCCCATTCACAATTGCTGCAAAGAGATAAAAGGAATACAACTTACCAGGGATGTGAAGGACCTCTTCAAGGAGAACTACAAACCACTGCTCAAGGAAATAAGAGAGGACACAAACAAATGGAAAAACATTCCATGCTCATCAATAGGAAGAATCAATATCATGAAAATGGCCATACTGCCCAAGTTAATTTATAGATTCAATGCTATCCCCATCAAGCTACCATTGACTTTCTTCACAGAATTAGAAAAAAACCACTTAAAATTTCATATGGAACCAAAAAAGAGCCTGCATTGCCAAGACAATCCTAAGCAAAAAGAACAAAGCTGGAGGCATCATGCTACCTGACTTCAAACTATTCTATAAGGCTACAGTAACCAAAATAGCATGGTACTGGTACCAAAACAGATATATAGACCAATGGAACATACCAGAGGCCTCAAAAATAACACCACACATCTACAACCATCTGATCTTTGACAAACCTGACAAAAACAAACAATGGGGGAAAGGATTCCCTATTTAATAAATGGTGTTGGGAAAACTGGCTAGCCATATGCAGAAAACTGAAACTGGACCCCTTCCTTACACCTTACACAAAAATTAACTCAAGATGGATTAAAGACTTAAATGTGGCCAGATGTGGTGACTCACACCTGTAATCCCAGCACTTTGGGAGGGTGAGGCAGGTGGATCACAGAGTCAGGAGATAGAGACCATCCTGGCTAGCATGGTGAAACCCTATCTCTACTAAAATTACAAAAAAATTAGCCGGGCATGGTGGCAGGCACCTGTAGTCCCAGCTACTCGGGAGGCTGAGGCAGGAAAATGGTGTGAACCTGAGAGGCGGAGCTTGCAGTGAGCTGAGATCATGCCACTGCACTCCAGCCTGGGCAACAGAGTGAGACTCTGTCTCAAAAAAAAAAAAAAAAAAAGAATTAAATGTAAGACCTAAAACCATAAAACTCCTAGAAGAAAACTAGGCAATACCATTCAGGACATAGGCATGGCCAAAGACTTCATGACATCAAAAGCAATGGCAACAAAGCCAAAATTGACAACTGGGATCAAATTAAACTAAAGACCTTCTGCACAGCAAAAGCAACTATCATCAGACTGAACAAGCAACCTACAGAATGGGAGAAAAATTCTGCAATCTATCCATCTGACAAAGGGCTAATATCCAGAATCTACAAAGAACTTAAACAAATTTACAAGAAAAAAACAACCCCATCGAAAAGTGCCCAAAGGATATGAACAGACACTTCTCACAAGAAGAAATTTATGCGGCCAACAAACATATGAAAAAAGCTCATCATCACTGGTCATTAGAGAAATGCAAATCAAAACCACTACGAGATACCATCTCACACCAGTTAGAATGATGATCACTAAAAACTCAGGAAACAACAGATGCTGGAGAAGATGTGGAGAAATAGGAATGCTTTTACACTGGTGGTGGAACTGTAAATTAGTTCAACCATTGTGGAAGACAGTGTGGCAATTCCTCAAGGATCTAGAACCAGAAATACCATTTGACCCAGCAATCCCATTACTGGGTATATACCCAAAGGATTATAAATCATTCTGCTATAAAGACACATGCACACATACGTTTATTGCAACAGTGTTCACCATAGCAAAGTCTTGGAACCAACCCAAATGCCTATCAATGATAGACTGGATGAAGAAAATGTGGCACATATACACCATGGAATACTATGCAGCCATAAAAAAGGACGAGTTCATGTCCTTTGCAGGGACATGGATGAAGCTGGAAACCATCATTCTCAGCAAACTAACACAAGAACAGAAAACTAAACAGTGCACCAAGAACACATGGACACAGGAAAGGGAACATCATACACTGGGGCCTGTCGGCGGGTGTGGGTCGAGGGGAGGGATAGCATTAGGAGAAATACCTAATGTAGACAACAGGTTGATAAGTGCAGCAAACCATCATGACACGTGTAGACCTGCGTAACAAACCTGCACGTTCTGCACATGTATCCCAGAACTTAAAGTATAATAAAAAAAATTTTTTTTTAAAGAAAAAAAGAATACCTGTGATAGCACTTAGGACCCACCCAGATAATTCAGGACAATTTCCTCACCTCAAGATCCTTAACCTAATCACATCTGCAGAGACCTTTTTTTCCAAATAAGATAACATTTATAGGTTTTTGGGAACTAGGACCCAACATTGTTACAGGCCATTTTTCAACCTACCCCAAGTAGGATCAAAAAACATCAAGTATCTAGCAATAAATTGGATTAACTATGATTAAGGCCTCTACACTGAAAACCACAAAATGTTATTGAGAGAAATGAGAAACTTAGATAAATGGAAGGAGAGACCATTTTCATGACTGTATAGACTTAATATTTTAAGACACCAATTCTCTCCAAATCCTCATATAAGTTACATGCAAAGCTGACCAAAATGTCAATACTTTATTAATGGAAATTGACAAGCTGATTCTCAAATTTATATAAAAATGCAAATCTGAGAAGAGCCAAAACAAACTTGAAAAAATTAAAAAAGAGGAATTAGGATTAATCTGCTAGGGAAAATAGCAGATAGGAGACAGGACTAACGTGCAGCGCGGACCACCACAGGAATGTGCCCAGAAAATTGAAAGAGTTCACAGATCTTGTGGAATAAGTGGCTTGCTGCTGTTAACTCCAAAAGACAGCTGGAAAACTGTGAGTTCCCAAAGTGTGATGGGGGGAAACCTGCCTTTGAATACACAACCCCATGGGGGAATCTGAAAATCCAGCTCATGGGAGAGGATTTCATCTTACCTAGAGTTGAAACAGATTTAAGGAGCTGAGTGAAATATTAAAGTAGAAGGAGCAGCAGGAAGAGCCCTGTAGGCACTCCCAGTCCCCAGCTCAAGCCCAGGGAAGCTATCCCTGACTTTATCTCACAGGGGTCCTCAGGGAAGGCAGCCAGTGGAACTAGAGAGGGGTAGCAGGGTGAAAGAAGCTTCCCACTAAACTTTGTAAAAATTTCAACGAAGCACAAATTTTCTTGAGCAGAATCGGGGGCAGTGGGGGGGCAAACAGGAATTGCTGCAGGAGTTGCAGTCAATGGTGTGAGCAGGTGGGAGCTGTGAGGTCTGAAAGCTTGCTTTCTCAGTGGGGAAGATTGTAACCTGGGACAACATCTGAACTCCATGCATGGGATGCCTGGATAGAAACTTGGTGCTGTTAGCAGAGCACGACAGGAGTGAGACTGGCCTTGCTGGCTGCATGGAAGCTGGGTTATGCTTGCCACTGCCAGGTTCCCCCACTTCCCTGGCAACCTGTATGATGCAGCAGAGGAAGCCAAAGTCTCCCTTGGAACCCCATCCCCCAAAGTGGCCGCAGCAAGCCCTGCCCAAGGAGAGTCTGAGCTCAGACCTGCCTAACCCTGCCCCCACCTGATGGTATCCCTCAACCCACCCCGGTAGCTGAACACAAAAGACATAAAGTTTTGGGAGCTTTATAGCCCTGCCCATCACCTGAGAAACCCAAATAATTGTGCTGGCCAACTTAGGGCATGTTTATATCCCCCTTCTACTACCACAGCTGGTGCTCTCTTGAAAGTACCACCTCCTGGCTGGAGGTCAGCCAACTCAAGCCATTACAGCAACTCAAGACAGAATAATCCTGCTCCAAGAAAAGAGAAAACAACAGCTAATTCCACCACCTGTAACATCCTGGCTAACCAGAGGTCCTGAGCATATCTACAGACAACTTCGCTACTAGCATAACCAGCATTCAAGAAAACCAGCACACTCAACAAAACTACAATCAAGGACTCTCAGAGTCTACCTCTCTCCCCTGCCACCTCCACCAGAGCAGGTGCTTGTATCCATGGCCATGAGACCTAAAGACAGATCACATCACAGGATTCTTTGCAGACACTCCCCAACATCAGCCCAGAGCCTGGTAGCCCCACTGGGTAGTTAGACCCAGAAGAGCAATAACAATCACTACAGTCTGGCTCTTGGGAAGCTCCATCCCTAGAGGAGGGGGAGAGCACCACATCAAGTGATCACCCCATGGGACAAAAGAATCTAAACAGCAGCCTTTGAGTTCCAGATCTTTCCACTGAAATAGTCTACCCAAATGAGAAGTAACCAGGAAATTCTGGTGATATGACAAAATAAGGTTCTATCATACCCCCAAAAGATTACCTCCCCAGCAATGGATCTAAACCAAGAAGAAATCCCTGAATTGTCAGATAAAAAAATTCAGAAGGTTGATTATTAAGCTACTCAAGGAGGTATCAGAGAAAGGTGAAAACCAATGTAAAGAAATTTTTTTTAAAAAACCAAGAATATGGATGAAAAATTTTCCAGAGAAATAGATACCATAAGGAAAAAAACAATCACAACTTCTGGAAATGAAAGACAAACTCAGAGAAATATAAAATACACTAGAAAGTTTCAACAATAGAGCAAGTAGAAGAAAGAACTTCAGAGCTCTAAGACAAGACTTTTGAATTAACCCAATCTGACAAAGACAGAGAAAAAAGGAATTTTTCAAAAGTGAACAAAGCTTCCAAGAAATTTGAGATTATGTTAAATGACCAAACCTAAGAATAAGTAGTGTTCCTGAGAAAGAAGAGGAATCTAAAAGTTTGGAAAACTTATTTGAGAAAATAATCAAGGAAAACTTCCCTGGCCTTGCTAGAGATCTAGACATCCAAATACAAGAAGCCCAAAGAACACCTTGGAAATTCATCACAAAAAGGTTATCACCTAGGCACATAGTCATCAGGTTATCTAAAATCCAGGTGAAGGAAAGAATCTTAAGAGCTGTGATGCAAAAGCATCACGTAACCTATAAAGGAAAACCTATCAGATTAACAGATTTCTCAGCAGAAACCCTAAATGCCAGAAGGTATTGGGGTCCTATCTTTAGCCTCCTCAAACAAAATCATCATCCAAGAATTTTGTACCCAGCAAAGCTAAGCTTCATAATTGAAGGAGAAATAAAGTCTTTTTCAAATAAACAAATGCTGAGAGAGTCACCACTACCAAGCAAGCACTATAAGAAATGCTAGAAGGAGTTCTAAATCTTGAAACAAAACCTCAAGATACAGCAAAATAGAACCGCTTTAAAGCATAAATCTCACAGGGCCTATAAAACAATAACACAATGAAAAAAGAGGTATTCAGGCAATAACTAGCTTGATGAATTGAACAGTACCTCACATTGCAATATTAACATTGAATGTAAATGGCCTAAATACTCCACTTAAAAGATACAGAATGGCAGAATGGATAAAAATCCATCAACCAAGTAGCTGCTGTCTTCAAGAGACTCATCTAACACATAAGGACTCACATAAATATAAGTTAAAAAGTGGAAAAAGATATTCCATGCAAATGGAAACCAAAAGGGAACAGGAGTAGCTATTCTTATATCAGACAAAAAACAGATTTTAAAGCAAGACAAAGAGGAACATTACATAATTATAAAATGATTAGTCCAACAGGAAAATATCATAATTCTACATAGATATGTGCCTAACACTCGAGCTTCCAAATTTATTAAGCAATTACTACTAGACCTAAGAAATGAGATAGATGGCAACACAGTAATAGTGGGGGACTTCAGTACTCCACTTACAGCACTGGACAGATCATCAAAACAGAAAGTCCACAAAGAAATAATGGACTTAAAACTATACCCTAAAACAAATGGAATGAACAGATATTTACATAACATTCTATGCAACAACCGCAGAATATACTTTTTTCTTCAGCACGTGGAACATTCTCCAAGACAGACCATATGATAGGCCACAAAACAAGTCTCAATAAATTTAAGAAAATCAGAATTATATCAAATATGCTCTTGGACCACAGCGGAATAAAACTGGAAATTAACTCTAAAAGGAACCCTCAAAATGATACAAATACATGGAAATTAAATAATCTGCCCCGAATGATCTTTGGGTCAACAATGAAATCAAGATGCACATTAAAAAATTCTTTGAACTGAATGATAATAGTGACACAATGTATCGAAATCTCTGGGATACAGCAAAAGTGGTGCTAAGACAAAAGTTCATAGCATTTAAATGCCTACATCAAAAAGTCCGAAAAAGCACAAATAGACAATCTAAGGTCACACCTCAAGGAACTAGAGAAATAAGAACAAACGAAACCCAAACCCAGCAGAAGAAATGAAATAACAAAGATCAGAGCAGAACTAAATGAAATTGAAACAAAAAAATGCAAAAGGTAAATTAAAAAGCTCATTCTTTGAAAAGATAAACAAAATTGATAGACCATTAGCAAGATTAACCAAGAAAAGAAGAGAGAAGATGCAAATAAGCTCAATTAGAAAAAAATGGCAGATATTACAACCAATACCACAGAAATACAAAAGACCATCCAAGGCTACTATGAACACAAACTAGAAAAGCTAGAGGAGATGGATAAATGTCTGGAAATATCCAACCCTCCTAGATTAAATCAGGAAGAAACAGAAACTCTGAACAGACCAATAACAAGGAAAGAGATTAAACGGTAATTTAAAAATTGCCAACAGCAAAAATAATCCAGGACCAGATGGATTCACAGCTGAATTCTATCAGACATTCAAATAATTAGTACCAATCTTACTGAAACTATTAAAAAATTAGAGAAAGAGGGAATGTTCCCTAAATCATTCTATGAAGCCAGTATCACTCTAACACCCAAACCAGGGAAGGACATAAAAACACCAACAAAACACTACAAATCAATATCCCTGATGAACATACATGCAAAAGTCCTCAACAAAATACTAGCTAACTGAATCCAACAGCATATCAAAAAGATATGGGTTTCATACCATATGCAGGATGGTTTAACATATACAAGTCAATAAATGTGATACATCACATAAACAGAATTAGAAACAAAAATCATATGATTATCTCAATAGACACAGAAAAAGCATTTTACAAAATCCATCATCCCTTTATCATTAAAACCTTCAGCAAAATCGGCACAGAAGAGACATACCTCAAGGTACTAAAAGCCATCTATGATAAACCCACACCCAATGTTATACCGAACAGGGAAAAGTTGAAAGCATTTCCCCTGAGAAATGAAACAGGAGAAGGATGCCCACTTTCATCACTTTTATTCAACATAGTACTGGAAGTCCTAGCCAGAGCAATCAGACAAGAGAAACAAATAAAACGCACCCAAATCAGCAAAAAGGAAGTTAAACTGTTGCTATTCACTGATGATGTGATCCTATACCTAGAAAACCCTAAAGGCTTATTCAAAAAGCTCCTAGATCTGATAAATGAATTCAGTAAAGTTTCAGGATACAAAATCAATGTATGAAAGTCAGAAGCACTGCTGTACAACAACCATCAAGCTGAGAATCAAATCAAGAACCCAACCCCTTTTACAATAGCTGCAAAAAGTAAAAACAAAATACTGAGAAATATACATAACCAAGGAGGTGAAATATCTCGACAAGGAAAACTACAAAACACTGCTGAAAGAAATCATAGACAACACAAACAAATGGAAACACATCCCATGCTCATGGATGGGTAGAATCAATATTGTGAAAGTGACCATACTGGCAAAAGCAGTCTACAAATTCAATGCAATTCCTATGAAAATACCACCATCATTCTTCACAGAACTAGAAAAAACAATCCTGAAATTCATATGGAACAAAAAATAATAAAAAAAAAGGTTCACGTAGTCAAATTGAGACTAAGCAGAAAGAACAAATCTGGAGGCATCACATTACCTGACTTCAAACTATACTATAAGGCCATAGTCACCAAAATAGCATGGTACTGGTATAAACACAGGCATGTAGGCCAATGGAACAGAATAGAGAACACAGAAGTAAAGCCAAAAACTTACAGTCAACTGATCTTCAACAACGCAAACAAAAACAAAGTGGGAAAGGATACTCTATTCAACAAATAGTGCTGGGATAATTGGCAAGCTACATGTAGAAGAATGAAACTGGATCTTCATCTGTCACCTTATACAAAATCAACTCAAGATGGATCAAATACTTAAATCTTAGACTGGAAACCATAAAAATTCTACAAGATAGCATTGGAAAAACACTTCTAGAGATTGGCTAGGCAATGGCTTCATGACCAATAACCCAAAAGCAATGCAACAAAAACAAAGATAAATAGATGGGACCTAAGCGAAAAAGCTTCTGCACAGCAAAAGAAATAATCAGCAGAGTCAACAGCCCACAGAGTGGGAGAAAATCTTTGCAATCTATACATCCAACAAAGTACTAACATCCAGAATCTACAAGGAACTAAAACAAATCATCAAGAAAAAAACAAACAATCCCATCAAAAAGTGGGCTAAGGACATGAATAGACAATTCTTAAAAGAAGATATACAAATGGCCAACAAATATATGAAAAAATGCTCAACATCACTAATGATCAAGGAAATGCAAATCAAAACCACAATGTGATACCACCTTACTCCTGCAAGAATGGCCATAACCAAAAAATCAAAAAATAACAGATGTTGGTGTGGATGTAGTGAAAAGGGAACACTTACACTGTTGGTAGGAATGTAAACTAGTACAACACACTATGGAAAACAGTGTGGAGATTCCTTAAAGAACTGAAAGTAGAACTACCCTTTGATCCAGTAATCCCACTCCTGGGTATTTACCCATAAGGAAAAGAAGTCATTACATGAAAAAGATACTTATGCACGCATGTTTATAGCAGCACAATTCACAGTTGCAAAAATATGAAACCAGCCTAAATGCCCATCAACCAATGAGTGGATAAAGAAAATGTGGTATGTATATACACACCATGGAATACTACTCAGCCATACAAAGGAATGAAATAATGGCATTCGCAGCAACCTGAATGGAGTTGGAGACCATTATTCTAAGTGAAGTAACTCAGGAATGGAAAACCAAACATCGTATGTCCTCACTTATTAATACGAGTGGGAGCTAAGCTATGAGTATGCAAAGGCATAAGAATGATACAATGGATTGTGGGGACTTGGGGAAAAGGGTGGGGTGGGGGTAAGGGATAAAAGTCTACACAATGGGTAGAGTGTATACTGCTCGGGTGATGGGTGCACCAAGCTCTCAGAAATTACCACTAAAGAACTTATCCATGAAACCAAAAACTACCTGTTCCCCAAATACGATTGAATAAAAAAGATAAAAAAGAAAAATTAAAGACCCGGATATCAATAAAAAGTTAAAAATATAAATGAAGCCATATGGCAATTGAATTCTTAAATAGCATTTTAATAATGTTAATGTACACGGGGGACTAGATAGGGATATCGCTCAAATCATATTTCCCACTTTCTACCCCTGACTTTCCAGAGTAGCCACATCCGTTGTAGTGAGGGCTTTAGTAAAGTGGAGAGAGCAGTAGGTGCTCAGGACATATTTGTTAAAATGACTTTGGTAACTCAGTTCTGTTTGTAATTTTTTAAATAACAAATATCAAAAGAACAAAAACCTTCCCATACATGTCCATTAGTGATTCAGGGAAATAAGTGAGAACATACTAAATTTAGTAGATGTTAGATGAGTTAGTTTTCTATAAAGGTTTTTGTCCCATCTATGATCTACAGACCAAGACAGGGGGACTAATTCTATACTTCAGCTAATATCTAGGAAACGCCTGGCTCACTCGGTAATTCCTTCCGGTTAGGTGTGTATTTTACATCAGTACCTTTATCTACGCAAATGGCGCCAGAACCTCGCTCTATTGTAACTCAGCAAACAGTACCGGTTAGTGATCTGAAATCAGCTGCCTATACCAATAATGACTCTATTGGACCTTATCTTTCTATTGTGACTCCTTAAATTAGCATTTCTTTCTGTTATAATGAAAAAAAGATCTCCATTGATTGCAAAAAGCAATGCCTAATATTATAGCATGATTACTTTCAGAACAAATTGAATACAGTATTGTCCAGGAATAATTACCATGTTAAGGAGATTTGAGTCTGCAAGATAGGAAGAAATACTGCCAATTAGAGACAATATCCAATAAACCAATAACCAAACAGTACTAATATGTTAAACATAATTAGCCTTAGAGTTTCAAAAATACTTCGAAAGGTAAAGTTAAGTCATTTCCTGGGAAGATATTGTGATTGTCAACTGCAGCTTTAGTCATCCCTGTATCTGAGGCAGACTGAGGCTCAGAGGAGAGCATGATGTTTAAGAACAAGGGCTGTGTAGTGTTTTGCCTTTTTTATTGCCCTTTATCTCCACTGGACTAAGCCTTGTTCAGGCCCTTGTCACTTAACTTATGTTCCAATCTCCAGGCTGTGCCTCCATCCATCTATGCTATACGCCATAATCCAATTAGCTTAAAAAACTAAAAAGTTAAAAGTTATGCTTTCCCAACCTGAAATTATTTTGGTCAGCTGGTATTGGTTACATTATGGTGAGGCAAAAAAATATAGGTCTTATTGGCTTAACAAAAGTTTCTTTCTTTCTTACGCTGCATATTCAATTCTGATTGGCAGTGGGACTGCATTCTTTTTACACACTCAGACCTGCATGGAAGAAGGCTGTGATGGGTCATAAGCCCCACAGCTGAAGGAAGAAACGTGACAAATCACACCGTGATACTTAAATCTTCTGCCTGAAAGTGATATCCATGATGGCCATTCACATTTCTTTGGCCAAGACAAGTCACATGACCCATGCCTATCTTCAAAAATGGGCAGGAAGGTGCTATCCTACTATGTGCCCGCAGAGAAGTGGAGTATGTGTGAACAATCCAAATAGCTCCTGCTTCTATAATAGGAGAATTTCAAGATGAGAAACATATCCCCTTATGGGAAAGCTGAGGACCATTAACATCTCTTATAAATATTTTTTAATTTTCAAAGAAAATAAATTACTTTAGCACATCAGATAGCATTAGTTTTTAAAAACATTAAATTAGCAATAAAGACCCTATACAATTAATTTCCTATTATTATGGTTTTTCTCTCTGGAAAATTTAAATTTCTTCTCCTCAATGATTTTGGCAGTAGCCATTTATTCATTTTGCTTAGAAGCAGATATAATGTATGTGACGAGACATTGTCCTGTTTTATTTTAAAATCCTTATGACAAATAAAAATTCACATACTCCAGGCCGGGCGCAGTAGCTCCTGCCTGTAATCTCAGCATTTTGGGAGGCCGAGGCAGGCGGATCACTTGAGATCAGGAGTTGGAGACCATCCTGGCCAACATGGTGGAACCCCATCTCTACTAAAAATACAAAAATTAGCTGGGCGTGGTGCCAGGTGCCTGTAATCCCAACTACCTGGGAGGCTGAGGTGGGAGAATCGCTTGAACCTAGGAGGCAGAGGTTGTAGTGAGCAAAGAAAAAAAAAATTCACGTATTCTCTGTCATACATGTTTACAGTCTAATATAATTTTATCTTCAATAACTCAAATTTTACAGAAAAGATTTGAGATAGGAGAGGAATATCTGCAGTGGCTTATTCATATTTTATTTCTCTTCTCAAAACCTTCAAAAATTTCCATCACCCACCTGTTCAGACACAAATTCTAATGTTTGGCAAACATAGTCAGCTATTTGCCAAAAATTCAGAACTTCCCAGTTCCACAATGTGGAGTTGGCACTGGAAAACAGCTCCCCTTGCAGCCAGGTATAGCTAATGAAGTGAGCAGAAGTCTTTTTTAATGTTTTTATTATTTTATCTAGAAAGTACTTATAAAGCCCATACTATGTACCAGGTATAGATAAGTATTTGACAAATATTAACTCAGTTACTGTGCATAACAATCCCATGAGGTAGTTCTATAATTGCCCCCACTTTACAGATAAAGAAACCGAAGGTAAAAGCAGTTCAGTGACGGAGAAGCACAGCTGAGAAGTGACTGGGGTAAGATCTAATTCCAGGGCCAGAGCCCTTAAAAAGCAAGTGGGGCTTCTCTATGTTTCCTTCTTCTATCAACTCTGTGGCCCCAGTTGATTGCAGATCCACACAATTGTAGGGGTCTGGGTTTCTGATTAACCACAGGAAGCAAGCTGCCCACTGGCCAGGAACTCCCACACTACACTGCCACATGGATGAAAAATAAAATTCTGTTGAGCCAAGGCACTGAAATTTGGGCATTGTTACAGCATCTAGTGTTTTTTCTTATATCCATGGCAACCAAGACCACTGTAATTGGTCTATGTCTGGAATCAGGAGGCCTGGTTCTAGCCCAAGCACAGTCTCCAGCTTAAGGAATGACCTTAAGCAAGCACTTCTTCCCTCAGGGCAACATTTAAAAAAATAAGAAGATTGGATTGATCAACATTTTACTGCCTGTATTTCACAGGACATTCTCCTTTTAATATATTTGCTTGAACCTTCTTGAAAACAGGACTCCATGGACAAATAAGGTAGGCAAATTCTGAATAATACATCTTGCTTTGGAGACTCATAATGCACATTTGCGACATCCTTCCCTGAGGACTTTAACACAGTATTCACCAGATGGATTTGACCATAGGACCTCTTAAATTTTTTGATTGGGAAATATTTATTAATACTTAGAGAGATATGAGTGTCCTAAGAAATGTAGTTTGGGGAATGATTAATTAGATGAATTCAAAAAGTATTCCCAGTACTAAAACTGCTCTGCTATGATTTCCTACCTTTCCACATTTCCCAAATGCAGCTCTAATCAGATTACCTCTTTATTGCTACACATGTGCAGCATTTATGTCCACTTAGGGCTGGGAACCTCTCACCTTGCTTTCTGAATCTGGAAAAACATTTCCTCTCTTTTGCACCATTCCTAGTCTTGCCTATACTTAAAGGCCCAACTCAACTCTCTCTGGTCTAAGAAGATGTCTCAGCATGATCTAGCACACACCTTACATCTCTCTCACTCAAAACACATTAAAATCCCTGGACTCTCCACATGCGTTCATTAATTAAATTCATTCATTTATGAGACGGACTCTCACTGCCGTCCAGGCTGAAGTGCAGTGGCGCAATCTCTGCTCACTGCAACCTCTGCCTCCGGGGTTCCAGCGGTTCCCCTGCCTCACCCTCCCAAGTAGCTGGGACTACAGGCATGCACCACCATGCCTGGCTAATTTTTGTATTTTTAGTAGAGATGGGATTTCAACATGTTGGCCAGGCTGGTCTCGAACTCCTAGGCTCAGGTGATCCACCCACCTCAGCCTCCCAAAGTGCTTGGATGACAGGCATGAGTCACTATGCCCAGCCCATGCATTTTAGGATTAGATCCCAGAGAAAAGTCTCTTGACAAACAGCATCTGTAAGACAAGGGTTAAGTAGAAGGTGAGGTTCTTGAACCATTTTGATATGCATTGCTGAAACTGAGACAAAATCTGTCTGGAAACAGTCATAAACAAGAAATATATGCGTAAACCCTGGAAGAAATGGGAGGACAAGTTGTGTGATCCTTACCCAGAAAAATCTATGAAGCTCAAACAAGGAGTGATACGCAGTTTCAACTGGAAGTTCAGAAGCTAGTCTACAAACAAAAGGGGGTTATGTTGGGATTTCCTTATAAGTAGTTGCTACAAGATGGGTTTTTCTGTTTAAACCAGAATGAACATGCATTGACTGTGTGGGATTGGCTGTGTACTCATTGTGCCTCTTCTACATTATAAGGGTATCCAGTCCCCTTAGATCTGGGTTTTAAAAATCTATCTCTGATTTGGTGTGGAAGGTGGATGGGAATTGAAGATGGGAGTTAAAGACCAATTCAGAACAAGTTTCAGTTTTCTCCAGGTGGAAAAGGCAATGAGATTTTGACTAAGGCATGGAGGTGAAAGAATAGAGAGGTATTAGGCTTATTGCATGTATAAAGGGATGGAGAAGGAGAGAGGGAAGAAAGAAGAAAGGAAATGAAAGAGGAAGAAGGAAAGGAGAAGGAAGAAAAGAGGAAAGAAGAGGCTGAAGATGACTCCCAGTCTGCTGGCTACAAAACTGGGTGAATCCGAGGTCAGGAGATCGAGACCATCCTGGCTAACACGGTGAAACCCCGTCCCTACTAAAAATACAAAAAATTAGCCGGGCGTGGTAGCGGGCGCCTGTAGTCCCAGCTACTCGGGAGGCTGAGGCAGGAGAATGGCGTGAACCCGGGAGGCGGAGCTTGCAGTGAGCCGAGATCGCGCCACTGCACTCCAGCCTGGGCGACAGAGCGAGACTCCGTCTCAAAAAAAAAAAAAAAAAAACTGGGTGAATCCTAGGATTTTTAGAAGACTCCTCCTATTTCCCCATACTCCGTTTGCAGAGTTGCCTGAGTAGGCAGCAGGAAAGGAGAGACTTTCCTCCCCCATATTATCCTGTTATGTTGGTCTCAAATTATCCCTTCAGCAGAGTAAATATTTCATGCCCATTCTTCATTGTTCTAGGATTGGGTTTGGTAATCAGGAGTACATAAGGCAAAGGAGACCTTTCAAAAGGCTTGAAGTGGCATAGCCAGGATAGTCATAAACCAAATTGTTAATGACATGAAGCTGACTTTGGTTTCTCATCCAGATCCAGTTCCAGACAGGCAGCTCTCCTTATCTGCCCCATTCCCCACCTTACCCTACCACAAACCTGTCCATCAAGGAGTTAAGTCATTGTGAAAGAGGCCGTGTTGAGGGTTTAGGAAAGTAATAGAAAAGGAACATAGGAATCAGACCAACTTCACAGACCTTGCAGTCAGAGTGATCTGGATCTGAATTTCAGCTGTTGGACACAAAAGCCTATGGTTCAAGAGAAAGGATCAAGCTGAAAATAGAGATGCTGAGTCCCTTAGGTCCTAGGGAGAAAAGGAATTTAAGGAGATGTCTCAGGGAAAGTGAAGAAAGAGTGAACTGTTTCTGCATCTGTTTGCTTTGAACCCACCATGTTCAAAGCAGGCATTATGAGGGCCTTGCCTGTCTGTGGACACATTCACTAGAGGAAGAATTTTCACAAACAATGAAACAACAATTTCACAAACAATTTTAACAAACCTCTAGGTTGTTTCACTCCCATTCTGTCATTTTTATGCACTTGACTATCTATTCAGACCGAGGAACAAAAAAAAAGAAGAAAAAGAGCCTCAGAGACCTATGGGACACAATCAAGTGTATCAATATATTCATGAGAGTCCCAGAAAGAGAGGAAAGAAAGGGGAAAAATAATATTTGAAGAAACTATGGGCAAAAACTTCCCAAATTTGATTTTAAAAAACGTGAATCTACACCTCCAAGAAGCTCAACAAATTCCAATAGGGTAAACTCAAAGAGTTTCATACGTAGAAACATCATAATCAAACTGTCGAAAGACAAACAGAGAATCTTAAAAACAGCGAGAGAGAAGCAATACAGCACAAGTGGTCTTCATTAAGATTAACTTATTTCTCATCAGGAACTATGGAATCTGGGAGGCAGTGGATGGCATATTCAAAGACCTGAAAGACTCAAAAGCTCTGTATCTAGCAAAACTGTCCTTTAAAAATGAAAGAGAAATTAGGTCATTCCAATATAAACAAAAACAGAGAATGGAGTTCTTCCTGCCTAAATGAAAGGACCCTAGACAATAACTTGAGTCCACATAAAGAAATATAAGTCTCTGGTAAAAACTAAATATAAAAGACAATGTAAATATATCTTTTATTTATAACTGTTTTCTACTATATTATTTAAGAGACAACTACATAAAGCAATAATTATGAATCTGTATACCAGTCATGTATCAGACCATGCAATGTATAATGAGGTAATTTATATGAAAATAACAGCACAAATAAGAGGGTAGATACTAGAGCTATATAAGAGGAAAGTTTTATATATTGTTGTAATCAACTTTGTATTAATGCAAATTAGATTGTTATAAGATGTTAATTGTGGCTGGGCTCTGTGGCTCATGCCTGTAATCCCAGCACTTTGGGAGGCCGAGGCAGGCAGATCATGAGGTCAGGAGATCGAGACCATCCTGGCTAACATGGTGAAACCCCAACTCTACTAAAAATACAAAAAAATTAGCCGGGCATGGTGGTGTGTGCCTGTAGTCCCAGCTACTCAGGAGGCTGAGGCAGGAGAACAGCATGAGCCCAGGAGGTGGAGCTTGCAGTGAGTTGAGATTGTGCCATTGCACTCCAACCTGGGGGACAGAGTGAGACTCCGTCTCAAAAAAAAAAAAAAAAAAAAAAAGATGTTAATTGTAACACCCAGGGTAACCACTAAAAAAAAAAAAGTAAAATGGTCAACTAAAATGGCCCACTAAGTAATATCCATTTTACACAAAAGAAGGCAGTAATGGGGGAATGAATGAAGAAACAAAGAAGACATAATACATATAGAAAACAAGTAACAAATGGCAGATGTAAATCTTACCAGTTATTATATTAAATACAAACTGATTAAACACTCTAATTAAAAGACAAAGACTAGAATTATGATGGGAGGGTGCATGATTCAAATGTATGTTGTCTACAAAAGGTACATTTTAGAATCAAAGTCACAAATAGGTTTAAAGGATGGAAATATGTGTACCATGAAAACAGTAAACAAAAGAGCTGGAGTGGTTGCAGTATAGACAAAAGAGACTAAGTTAAAAATTGTTACTGGAGAAAAAAAGGACATTTTATAATGATAAAAGGGTCACTCCATCAAAACAATTATAAGCATATATGTACTTAACAACAGAGCCCAGAAATGCATGCAGCAGAACTTGACACATTTGAAGGTATTCATAGGCAATTCATCAGTAACAGAAGGAAACACTTCCTAACTCATTATTTGGAGCCAGAATTACCCTGATACCAAAGCCAGACAACTCACAAGAAAACTACAGAAAGCTATATCCCTTATGAATATATATACAAATATCTTCAACAAGATACTAGCAAACCAAATCCAGCAGCATATAAAAAGGATCATACACCATGACAAAGTGTGATTAATCCCAGGAATGCAAGGTTGGTTCAGCTCATGAAAAAAAATCAATGTACTAAATCACATTAATAGATTAAAGGACAAATCCACATTACTTTGCCAATAGATGCAGAGAAAGCGTTGACAAAATCTAACAACCTTTCATAAGAACACTGAAGAAGGCAGGAATAGAAGGGAATTTCTTTGATCTGATAAAGAGCATTTAAGAAAAACCCACAACTATCATCATACTTAATGGTGAAAGCTGATAGCTTTGCCCCTAAGGTCAGGAAAAAGACCAGAATGTCTATCTCATCCCTTCTATCTAATCAGCATTGTAGTGGAGAATCTAGTCAAGGCACTAGGCAAGAAAAAGAAATAAAAAATCATCAGATTTAAAAGAAAGAAGTAGAACTACTTCTATTCATAGATAGCATACTTAGGAATAAATTTTAAAAAAGAAGTCTTGTACACTGAAAAGTACAAAACATTGTTAAGGAAAATAAAAGAAGGAAATAAATGAAAGAAATCTCATGTTCATGGATAAAAAGATATAATATTGTTAACATGCTAACACTACTCAAAATGATTTATAGATTCAACACAAGCTTTATCAAAATCCCAGCAGTATTTTAATTAGCAAACACCCTAAAATTCTTATGAAAATATAAATAATCTTGAAAATAGCCAAACAGATATTGAAAAAGTAGAACAAAGGAGGACTCACACTTCCTGATTTCAAAACTTACCACAAAGCTACAATAATCAAAATGGTGTGGTACTAACATAAGAATAGACAAATAGATTAATGAAATAGAATTGAGAATCCAGATAAATCCATATATGTGGCCAATTAATTACTGACAAGGGTGCTAAGACCGTTTGATGTAGAATGAACAGTCTCTTCAATTTATGATGCTGGGACAACTAGGCATCGAAATGCGAACGAATTAAGTTGGCTCCTTTCCTCAAACCATATATAAAAATTAACTCAAAATAGATGAAAGACTAAATGTAAAATGCTAAGACTATAAAACGCTTGAAGAAAACATGGGTTAAATCTTCATAATCTTGGATTTGGAAAAAGATTATTAGATAATGACACCAAAATCTTAAGTAACAAAAGTAGATAAATTGGACTTTATCAAAATTTAAAATTTTTGTGTATCAGAAGATACTATCAAGAAAATGAGAAGACAACCCAAAGAATGGGAGAAAATATCACAAGTCATATATCTAATAAGCATTTAGTATCTAGACTATACAAAGAATTCTTACATCTCAATAACAAAAAGACAAGTAATCCAATTTAAAAATGAACAGAAGATATTTCTCTAAATACACATTCAACATAATTTGTCAAATTATGGCAAATAAAAATCTCAATAAGCTACCACTTCACATCCACTAGGATGGCTATGATGAAAAAAACAAATAACAAGTGCTGACAAGGATGTAGGGAAATTGGGACCCCCATATATTTGCTTCTGACGTCAAAAAATGTTGTAGTCACTTTGGAAAACATTTTGGCAGTTCCTCAAAAAGTTAACCACATAATTACCATATGACTCAGCAATTCTACCAAGTATATATATCTAACTTCTTTCACTTAATGTATATACAAACATTAAAAGCATAAGTCCACATGAAGTATATACACAAATGTTCATAGCAGCTTTACTCATCATAGCCAAAACGTGAGAACAACCAAAACTTCTATCGGGTGATAAATGGAGAAACAAAATGTGATATTCATATAATGGAACGTTACTGATCCATAAAATGGAATAAAAGTCTGATTCATGCTACAATGGGTCAACTTTGAAACATTATGCTAAGTGAAAGAAGCTAGACACAAAAGGTCACATATTTTATGATTCTATTTATATGAAATGTCCAGACAAGGCAAACTCATAGAAACATAAAGCAGATTAGTGGTTGCCAGGGGCTGAGGGGTGGGGGAATGGGGAATGACTGTTCATGAGTATGAAGATTCTCTCTGGGGTGATGAAAACACTATGGAATTAGATAGTCATACAGTGGTAATGGTTACACTTCTTTATAAATATACTAAAAACCACTAAATTGTATACTTTAAAAGTGAATTTTGTGGTTTGTGAATTTCAATTTGAAAAACAATAAAAACATGGAAGACATTCCCACCCATCAGACGGAATCCCAGCAACATATCCCTAAGTTATTAGGGATAGTCCTTTAGGGCATCATTTCTTCATTTGTCAATTAGACATATACCATCTGAAATGGTTTGGATCTCTGTCACCACCCAAATCTCATGTCAAATTGTAATCTCCAGTGTTGGAGGTGGGGCCTGGTGGGAGGTGACTGCGTCTTGAGGGGGTCTCATAAATGGTTTAGCATTATCCTCCCTTGGTGCTGTATAGTGAGTGGGTTCCTACAATATACGATTTTTTAAAAGTGTGTGGCACCTCCCCACTCTCTTCCTTGGTCCTGCTTCTGTCATGCAAGACGCCTGCTCTCACTTTGCCTTCAGCCATGAAAGCTCCCTGAGGCCTCCCCAGAAGCAGATGCTGCCATGCTTCCTGTACGCCCCATGGAACCATAAGCCAATTAAACCTCTTTTCTTTATAAATTACCCAGTCTCAGGTATTTCTTTACAGCAGTGCGAGAACGTACTAATACACCATCATTCCCACAAACTTGTGATGAAATCAGTATACGTGAAGTTCTGAGCCCCATATCCTCCATACTGTTAGTATTCCTAGTTGAATCTGAACCTACTTCTTGTTTATAGTATTGCCCTATCTAATCCAGCCTTACTCAGGCCACCAGATGTTTTTCTGGTTCTTTAGTGTGGTGTGGTTTTTTTTACGTGCTCTCTCTCTCTCTGAAAGTCCTGGGGAGGGAGACAAGGTAACATTCATTCAGGACCTGCTACCTGTCAGACTGTGGTCTAAAATACCATATTAATTTAGGCCTCCAGACAATGCCATAGACTAGGTTTTTTTTTTGGCGGGGGGGGGGGGGGGGGGCGGGGGAGTCTCGCTCTGTTGCCCAGGCTGGAGTACAGTGGTGGGATCTCAGCTCACTGCAACATCTGCCTCCTGCCTCCTAGCTGCAAGCAATTCTCCTGCCTCAGCCTCCTGAGTAGCTGGGACTACAGGCACATGCCACCATGCCTAGCTAATTTTTTTGTATTTTTAGTAGAGACGGTGTTTCACCATGTTGGCCAGGCTGGTCTCGAACTCCTGGCCTCAAGTGATCTGCCCACCTCAGCCTCCCAAAGTGCTGGAATTACAGGCATGAGCCACCATGGCTGGCTTTATTTCTATTTTTTTTATTTATGTTTTATTTTTTAATTTTATTTTTATTTATTTTTTTTGAGATGGAGTCTTGCTCTGTCGCCCAGGCTGGAGTGCAGTGGCACGATCTCAGCTCACTGCAACCTCCGCCTCCCGGGTTCATGCCATTCTCTTGCCTCAGCCTCCTGAGCAGCTGGGACTACAGGCGCCCGCCACCACGCCCAGCTAATTTTTTGTATTTTTAGTAGAGACGGGGTTTCACTGTGTTAGCCAGGATGGTCTCGATCTCCTGACCTCGTGATCCACCCACCTCGGCCTCCCAAAGTCCTGGGATTACAGGCGTGAGCCACCGCGCCCGGCCGTTTATTTCTATTTTAAAGGAAAGGAAACAGAAACCTCAGTTTTAAAAATACCCTCCAAGTCATGCCTTTGAAGGTAGGGACATTGGACTTTGAAGGGCCCGAGTTCAAATCTGACTCTCAACAAATCCTGTGGGATCTCCAATAAGTGCCCTACGCTTCTGAACATCAGTTCTTCATCAATGAGATGGGACAATAGGAGACTAAATGGAATTATGGAGTGGTTTTGAAGATTAAATGAGATAGAGAACATACACTTAGCACAGATTATAAAATACATATGAGGCTCAATAAATGTTAGCTAGTATTAGTCTTATGAGGAACTAACCAGTGGCTAAATTGAAATTAAAGGCTAGATCCATGGCCTACCAAAGCCTTCTCTTCCACTTCTCCATGTTGCCTCTTTCTTCTCTATACTTGTCTGAGCTACTCACCCTATCAACTGAAATGTAAGTCAGCAAGGAGAGGGACTGAGGCAAATTATCGATAAACATACCTATCCAGTTTCCCTGAACACTTGCCAATCCCAGCCTTTTCTTCATTGATGCTACCCATGCTCACACGTGCGCGCGCGCGCGCGCGCACACACACACACACACACACACACACACAGTGTTCTTGCCACTTCTGAGTAACTGGCACTCATACCCTCATGGAAAAAACGGATGCAGCTTGATCCGGAGTTTCACTGAAATATCCCCCCAATCTCACTTCATTGGCTTTTCACAAAAACTCCAAGACACATCCTAAAAGCTTGCAAAAACCTCTTTACCCTCTCTGGGTCTTCTTGGAAACTATTTGGCTTTTGCCTTTCCCAGCTACATCTGGTCTCAATGGAATGTGCTTATCGATCTTGGGAATGAGGCCAAACAACCTGGTACCCTGATGGCTAAAAAGGCTCATACAGTTTGTGACATGCCATCAGCAAGTGGGTTAACACAGGATTTCAATTTCTTATCTTCTGCTAACTTCCAGCAGACTCCGTAAGCACCCACCCTTCCAGACAAATTCTCTTCTCCTGTCTCAATCCTTCTTTTTGGATCTCTATTAGTATTAATTGAGCATCAACTCTCACTATAATTATGAACTTTTGATATAACTTATAGGAATCACTAATTCAGTTGGGCTTCCTGGTACAACTTGACAATAGGATTTCCCATTCTCTGGGGAGACATCATGGTAGCTATGGGCTTTGGTTTCGGGCAGGCCTGGCTTTGTATCCAGCTTTATTCTGAAAGAACTTAAACGAGATTCTTCACGTATCTGAACCTCTTTTCTCATTTGTATCTACTAAATGTATCTACTAAAAATCACCTAACCAGGTTGTTAGTGGGAAATAAATAATAGGCACCATAGTAACTATTAGCATTGTCATCATTGTTGTTGCTCTTAGAATGCCACAAACAACCAGATACGAACCCAGTTCAAATCATGCCATGCCCTCTTTGAAATTGTTACTTGTTAAAAAATTAACTATGGGATGTATAAACTTCAAGAGTATACACATTCTTTATACCCAAACACAATTTCTAAGACTTAGAAGAAATAACCAAAGATGTAGGGCAAAGATTTAGCTACAAGACTGATTATCACATTGTTTACAATATTGAAAAACTGGAAACAAACTGGACATGAAAAATGAGTTCTTCTACAGATAGTGGAACTCCCAATTCAGTGGATGACTTGCAGCCCTTTTAAATGTGATAAACAAATGTTCATGACAGGGAAAGGTGTTTACAATGTGTATGGTTGAATATACAGTCAAAGTGTTAAAAGATACTTACAAAATGGCATCTAGAACATGGTCCTGATTTTATTTGAAGGAGAGTGTTGCAGAGGACAACATTTGAGTGCATACAGAAAAAATCAAAAGGATAATCATTAAAATATTAAAAGTAGGTTAGCCTTATTGCAATTTTTCTGTTCTATATTTTCTAAATTTTTTATAATGAAAATATTGAGAAAAAGTAAACTTCTTGGTAAATTTTATTAATGAAAAACATACATAAAGTCAATAATTCTAGAACAGCTTCATGGATTTTGATAAAGTGAACACACATGAGTGATTAGTACCCAGATGTTGAAACAGAACCCATACCAGCATTCCACAAGCCACCCTTTTGCCCAGTTCCAGTCACTACTCACAGCCTAAAGATAACCACCATCCCAGTTTCTAACAGCCTAGACGAGTTTTGTTTATTTTTAAGCATTTCACAAATGAATCACCTCATATGCTCTGTGCCTATCTTTCTTCATTCGCCATTGTCTGTGAGAGTTATCAATGTTATTGCATGTAATCGTAGTTCATTCATCCTCATTGCTATCTTCTAGTGTATGAAGAGTTATTTATCCATTCTCCTATAAATGTACATTTGTGTCATTATTTGTTTTTGACATTATGAATAGGGCTGCTAGCTATATTCGTGTCCTGTTTTTTGTTGAACATATGTACATGTGGAATTGCTGACTATAGGAAATGTACATGTACAGGTTAGTGATACCGTCAGTTTTCCGAAATAGTTATTCCCATACACACTTCCAGTGTCAGTGTGAGAATTCTGGTTGCTCAATTCCAATTACTTGTCAACATTTGGTATTGTCTTGCATTTTCACTTTAGCCATTTCTCATGGCATCACATTGAGGTCTTAATTTACATTTCCCAAGTAACTAGCAGAATTTAACACTTTTAAAAATGTGTATTGGCCATGTGGGTATTCTTTTTTTGAAGTGCCTGTTTACGTCCTTTGTCCATTTTTCTATTAAGTTATCTGCATTGGAAGAATTCCTATATTCTGTACACAAGTCATATTAGGTGCGTATATCAGAAATCTTTTTTTCCCATTGTGTAAACTTGATTTTTCAATCTCTTAATGGTATCTTTTGATGAAAGAGGGTCTTAATGATAATGTCCTGTAGTTCAGTAGGACTCTCGTTGTGTCCCCTGGCAAGAGTGAGCCCCTGATGATATCCCATACCATGCCATCTAAACACAGGAAAGGCAAACTTGTGCTCAGAAGAGGTCTCTCTCCTTGTGAGGACAAACTGCTGGTCTTTTCAAGATGGAACAGGACCAGTAGCACTACTATCCCATTCGCAATGCTACGTTTGCTATTCCGGGTCCTTGAGAAATATGCCAAGATGTAACTAAATGTGCAAAGATTTTAAGAAAATGGGGAAAGAGTTGCAAAAATCTGGAAGAGGCATCAGACTACAAGTCTAGGAGATCCCAAGTATTGGGGTGACAGAAGAAAGGTTGAATAAAAACATCCTAGACTGCCATGCAGCCTAGGGAAGATTCTGCAAGGCCATCAGGAAGTCCTTGAGCCAAAGTCAGTTGTCAAAGTTGTCCCATGTCTCTCAGCAACAGATCTGCCTTGGTGTCTTTACTAGGCTTAATTATTGCTGGGAACAGCCTGTGGAAAGCATGGTCGCAGGGCAAACACAGTGATAGATTTTGGGGCACAGAAGATGAGTCCTTGGTTAATGACACTCCCCGTGGCTGGAGTTCTGCTAACACACTCTCAGAGGCAACACGCCAAGATAGGGAATCATGGGAGGAGGAGACAGTAGTGGCAAACAGGGAAGGTTATTGATGTGTTGACTTTGGGCATATATTGAGTTTGATACATCTTTTCCTCCTAGATATTCCATGTCCAGCCAAATATACAGGTCTAGAATTCAACAAGGGGATCTGGGTTGCTCAGACAGAACATTAGGAGTGACTTCTAGAAGGGCCTTATGAGAAAAGGGAGTCTCAGGTATCTCCATAAAGGAACATCCAGGGGCTCCAGGCATTTCAGTGACTCCCTGCTCTTTCTGCCCAAATAGTTTAGTTGAGGCGATAGAGAGCAAAGAGGGAAGAGAGAGAAAGAGGCCCTTTGTGGTAGACCATGGGGCCATTCTCAGACTTGAGGACTCTCATTACTAAAATACTTCCCCAAACATGGCAGCCTAAGGCTGTTGACACATTTCAACTATATTTGTCTCTTGGATTTTCCTACCTTGAACCTGAACATAGCCAAAAGTAATTTGTAACAGCAAGAATTTTGGAGGGAAGCCAGCGTGCAATTATACAAAAGTGAGCTTGCATGCACACTTATACACATACACACACACAGTGCAAAGGATGTGAGCAGCCAGATGCGATAAATCACAGAATCTACACTCCACAACCTGAGAAAGAGCATGTGGGCCCATGAGTCAGGATTAAACACCATAGCGACAAAGTCACTGAAGCCTGCCTAGTGAGGCAGCAATTTCTGCCCTTAATAGAGCCCTTAGATCTCAATAATTGCTTCAAAATCCGCACACAGCAGCACACAGTTTTTCATAACTGGAGAAGCCAAAAATCCAAGTGTGAAGTGAGAACTGACAGCATCTCTTATGCACATCTGAGATGCAAGGAAGGTCTATGGTTCTGCCTGCTTTCCAGTATCTGCCTCATTTCCAGCAGCCAGAACAGTTTCCCAAATGTCTGCAGTCTGGAACCTGCTCTGTGCTTGAACTTCCCCCTTGGCCTCCATCTTCCTGGCTGCTCCCAACTTCCCATTCTACTTTTTGTCCTTACCTGAAACTGTCTTTTCAGTACTGTCCAGTATTTCTGCCCACCTCCAGGAGTCTCATGGCAGACTAGGCTAGGTTTGTAGACAAGGGCAAGGTATTAAAATTAAATCTGAACTAAGATTAAAATTCAGTACTAAATTAAGTACTGAATTAAAATTCACAGATGCTGCTGACCCATATTAACCAACTAGAAAAAGGTGTCCCTTCTCAAAACACCTTTCTGAAAATCATAATATACTAATTTTGTTAAAACAATTTATAACCATCATCTGGAAATGTTATAATAAATATACAAATTAATGTTTATTTCATGAAGGATGTCCTACTAGATGTAGCAGTATACAACCTAGACAACAGTCCATGGTAGCTGTCTCGGCAGTATACGGCAGCCATCTCAGCTCAGCATCCAGGAATTGTCTTTCCTCTGCCCTTTGTTTTTCCACTATTGAATTTAACAGACTATATTTATATGAGTGCTTTTTGTGTGTGTGTGTGGAACCAAGGGGCCAGGGTCCTCTGGCAGGAATTTCACAGATGTAGGCACTCACGGTCAAGCAAAGTCCTGGGGAGAAAAAGAGGCAAAGACTTCCTGCATGGGAGATACTCACGTGGTGGCCTTGGAGAGTAAAAGAGCTTAGAGTCAGGAAGTGTTCCAAGCAATCTAGAACACTGTCTCCCAAATGGCTGCAGCCTGAACCCGCTCTGTGCTTGGATTTCTCCGTTGGCCTCTGTCTTTCTGGCTGCTCCCAACTTCGCACTCTACTTCTGCTCCATCCTAGGGTGCCTCTGCAGCAGCAAATGTGGCTGTTCAACAATCTGAAGTCTTTGATTGTGAACAGTGCTAACCAGCCCTGGGAAAGAAAAGCAGCTCTCTTCCCTGCTCTCCAGGGCTAGCAGATGAACACTGTGGGGTCGAGCCCAGTCTGGCCAGAGCAAGTCCAGGAAAAGGTGCTTCTCACTCTTCAGGGCACTGCTCAGATCCCCAAGCATAATTTTGGAAACTCTGATCCAGAACCCTGGATCGCAGGTTTTAAATCTTTTTTCTTTTGCATTTACAAGTAATACAAAATCATTATGGAAAAATACTAAAAAGAATGAAGAAGAAAATAAGTTTCCCTTCATCTCATTAACCAGAAATAAGTTGTCTGTTTTTTGTTCTGATTACAGAAATAAAATAGTCATTGTAGAAAATCTAGAAGATAAAGTTAAGGGAAACACTTTATCTATCATTGATTGTCACTTTTGGTATGATCTTTTCAGTCTTTTCCTATGTACATTTTTGTTTTGTTTTGAGACAGGGTCTGGCTCTATTGCCCAGGTTGGAGTGCAGCGGTGTGATCTTGGCTCACTGCAACCTCTACCTCCGGGGCTCAAGCAATCCTCCTATCTCAGCCTTCCAAGTAGCTGGGACTATAGGCACATGCCATCGTGCTGGGCTAACTTTTGTATTTTTTGGTGGAGATGGGGTTTGCCTTGTTGCCTGGGCTAGTCTCGCTCTCCTGAGCTCAAGCAATCCTCCCACCTTGGCCTCCCAAAGTGCTGAGATTACAGATGTGAGCGACTGTGCCCGGCCTATGTACAATGTTTTTAAAACAAATTAAATTATATCACAAATATGGTTTGCTATGGTATTTTTAAATTATTTGTATAGTATGAGCATTTCCAATCATTTTAAAATGTATTTCTACTTCTTTACTTTTAAAATCATTTAATTTTTTATTAATTAATGAATAGGTAATATGTCTATATGGTACAAAATTTGAAAAATATGAAAGAACATAAAGTGAATAATTTTTCCCTTTATTCCTGCTCCCCAAATGGGCCACCAGTGTTAACAGGGTTTTATATGTCCTTCCTAATAGAGTTTATCAATTTATACACACCCACCCACATTCCATTTAATATATTTAGGATATAGTTCCACAGAACTACATGAGTGGAATGAACAATCTCATTGTTTTGAACAGCTGTATAGTATGTTACATTGAAAGCTGTCCCATACTATTCACCCAATGCCCTGTTGGTAGGCATTTAGGGCATTTCCAGCTTTTGCATTAAAGCAATATTGTAATAACTTTCCTTGTATATATTTATATATATCATTAGACACAAATGCAAATCTTGCAGTATAAATTCCTAAAAGTTAAATTCCTGGGTCAAAGGGTTTGCACATTTTAAATTTCAATAGATATTGCCAAATATCTTCCCACTTCCAGAGTATGTGGGACTCCAAGATAGCCCAGATAATCTTCATCTGGTTCATATCCCCAAGTGCTCTCCTCCCACATTAAATCAGAGCTTGTCTATGTGATGCATAGAGTGTTGTGGAGATGATAGTGTGTGACTTGTGGGGCTAAATTATAAAAGGTCTTGCAGCCAAAATCTGTTCCCTTACTCAGGAGAGAGCCACCATGTCATGACAACACATGTCATGAGAAAGCCCTGAGGAGATGTCCCTGTGGGGAGAAACTGAGACCTGCCACCAACAACTAGAATCGCCTTGCCAGCCATGTGAGTGAGGTATTTTGGAAGGGAACTGTGCATATCCAGTCGAGCTTTCAGCTGAGGGCAATCTCATGAAATACCCCAAGCTAGAAAGACCCCACTAAGATGCTCCAAAATAACTTACACACAGAAACTAGGAGACATGACAAATGTTTATTATTGTCGTAAGCCACTAAGTTTAAGAGTTTGTTATATTACAATAGGTAACTAATACAGTATATGAGAGTTCCAGTTCTCTCTCTCCCTCAATAACACAAATTATCAACCATTTTACTCTTTCACTAGTGATAATTGTATCTCATGTTGCTTTAATTTTTCATCTCTCTTATTTGGAGTGAGGTGGAGCACTTTTTCACATATTTAAGAAAATTAGCTGGGCGCGGTGGCTAACACCTGTAATCTCAGCACTTCGGGAGGCTGAGGCAAGCAGATCATGAGATCAGGAGTTCAAGACCAGCCTGACCAACATGGTGAAACCCCGTCTCTACTAAAAATACAAAATTTAGCCAGGCATAGTGGCATGCGCCTATAATCCCAGCTACTCAGGAGGCTGAGCCAGGAGAATCACTTGAACCCTGGAGGCAGAGGTTGCAGTGAGCCGAGATCATGCCACTGCACTCCAGCCTGGGTGAAAGAACAAGACTCCATCTCAAAAAAAAAAAAAAAAAAAAAGGAAATTAGTATTTTCTGTAAACTGTGTATATATTTTCTCTAAGTGTCATTTTTTTCACGGAGGCCTAATATTTCACCAAATAAGTTTAATGTGACTAATTTAACTATTCTCTTATTATCAGACACTGAAGTAAATTTCCACATTTTGATATGAGCAATACTGGCATAAACGTCACAATTCTTTCTCTATATATCTGATTATTTCCTGAAAGGGGATTACTATAAACAGAATTATTGGGCAAAAGTGCATTATAAAACAGAATATGTGTAATCAGAGCTGTCTTGAAATCTGTCTAATTTCTCAAGGCTCTTTGTACTTGAGACTCAAGTACAAAGACAAAGACTAGTCTCAAGACTAGTAAATGTCTTTTGTTTGTTTTTTGTTTTGTTTTGAGATAGAGTTTCACTCTTGTTGCCCAGACGGGAGTGCAGTGGCGTCATCTTGGCTCACTGCAGCCTCCGCCTCCCGGGTTCAAGCGATTCTCCTGCCTCTGCCTCCCAAGTGGCTGGGACTACAGGCGCCCGCCACTAATGCCCGGCTAATTTTTTGTATTTTTACTACAGACAGGGTTTCACCATGTTGGCCAGAATGGTATCAAACTCCTGAGCTCAGGTAATCTGCCCACCTTAGCCTCCCAAAGTGCTGGGATTACAAGTGTGAGCCACCATGCGCAGCCACAAATGTCTTTTACAAAAAAACTTTCATTAACATATATTCCTACTTGTAGTATCTATCTCACCCCAACCCTTCACCAAAGTGAGTATTATCATTAAAAAAAAAATGTTGTGCTGAGTGTGGTAGCTTACACCTGCAATCCCAGCACTTTGGGAGGCCAAGATGGGAAGAATACTTTGAGGCCAGGAATTCAAGACCAGGCTGGGCAACAAAGCAAGATCCCATCTTTACAAACTAAAACAAATTAGCCAGTCACGGTGGCGTGTACTTGTAGTGCCAGCTACTAGGGAGGCTGAGGAGGGAGCATCACTTGAGCCCAGGAGGTTGAGGCTTCAGTGAGCCATGACAGTGCCACGGTACTCCAGCCTGACCAACCAAGCAAGACCCTGTTGCCAAAAAAAAAAAAAAAAAAAAGTTGCTAAAAGACAAAAATGGCCTTATACTAGCAACATTGCTTTGGAGGAGCATTCTCATCAAGAATTGAGAGATTCTTCTCAATCCCAACTTTCCTACCTGAAGTTGGAATTGCACCAAGACATGATTATTCAGTAGAGACTCCTTAGGGCCTCCAGCATCATCACAGATTCCCACTGTCACCTGCCTGTTTCCTGAAATGAACCTAGCTTAGACAATAACTTAAGAAAAGGCAGCTGCTAAGCTTGTGAGAACCACAGAAGCTGGGATCCAATGCTCAAAGTTTTGGCCACATGGATGCCAAATTTCTGGGATATCTCTGATTATGCATATTCTGGTCATAATCCCAAAAGCACACGCATGCTTGTCAGAGCTGGTGTCCCCAGACAGGGTGTGGAAAATGTGGGTGCGAATCTCATTACACATGCATTTCCTTGGCTCACATTCCCCAGGCAGACTGTGAGGTACAATCAGGATGGGCCTATGAATGGGCAAGAGCCCAGGGCCTTGACTGGGAGGGGTGAAAGGCTCCTAAAGTAAGATCTCAGGACCCCAGGCCTGCGAACTTCCCCTTCCAGGAGGTTTGGAATTCTCCAGGCCTCAAAAGCCTCTTTGATAAAACCTCAAACCGAGAGAGTTCATGTGATATTATTTAAGCTTCAGGCCTCCTTTCTGCCCAGTCCCAGTCTCGTGCTGCTCAGCAGTCAGGATCCTGCCCTCTTCTCTGACATTCCCTCCCAGTCCTGCCCTGGACATTCTCACAGGCTCCCCATGGACCTGGTCTTGCCCACCCTGCTTCCAGCCCTGTGACAGCCTCCAGCCTCCCTGCCTGCCTTTCCTACTCAGAGCTGTGGATCACAGGCCTTCCCTGGGACCTTGGGGAATTAAAAGAAGAAGGAAAAGAGCCTGCTTCCTACACCGCTAGTTAATTCGAACACTTGGGGCCAAGGCACACCACAGCCCCTTAGCAAAGGCTTTTTCTCAAGACAATGGCTATGAGGCAGCCCCCTCCAAATCCACACATAGAGTGACCACATTGTCTAAACCAACCCAATCAAAATGTCTAACAAAATAGGGGTATCTCTGATTGTACTATTTTAGAAAATTCTCATAAAGGTAAGGAATTATTTAACAGGCTGCTTTTATGTGGGGGAAGATCACTTACAAATAAGATATAAGGAAAATACCCCAAAATATTAATCTTTCTTTCCTGAAACTTCCTGACTTTCACCTAATAAGCAAAGTCATCCATGTTGCCTTAAGAAGTGAAGGCCTTGGCCGGGCACGGTGGCTCACGCCTGCAATCCCAGAACTCTGGGAAGCCGAGGTGGGTGGATCACGAGGTCAAGAGTTCAAGACCAGCCTGGCCAAGATGATGAAACCCCGTCTCTACTAAAAATACAAAAAATTAGTCGGGGGCAGTGACAGGTGCCTGTAATCTCAGCTACTCAGGAGGCTGAGGCAGGAGAATCACCTGAACCCAGGGGGCGGATGTTGCAGTGAGCTGAGGATCTGAGATCGTGCCACTGTACTCCAGCCTGGGTGACAGAGTGAGACTCTGTCTTAAAAAAAAAAAAAAAAAAGTGAGGGCCTTGAGGGGGTGAGTTCAGAGACCATTAGATATTAAGCCACACAAGTGATGGTGCCAAGAGGTGGTTCCACTGAAACGATTCCCCCCACACCCCCATTAAATGCCATTAGTTACCCCCTGCAGTCTCTCCACATCAACATACAACTTAAGTTACAATTAAACTAATTCCCAAATTCCCAGCCCCTGATTTCCAGTAAGATTGTTCCCTCTATAGAAATCCATTCCTACCACAGGCCCCTACCCACCCCAAAGCCTCAGAGCAGGATTATACTGTTTAACGATTCCATATCCCACAGGGCAAACATGGTGCCCAGTAGGCATGCTATGTTTGTCGGACTGAACAAAGTTTTGTGCATTGGTCTTGCTTCTGCCTAGTCCTGCCTCATGAACCTTTTGAATCTTTCAAAAAACTGTCTTTCAAATATTTGAAGAAACCATCAAGTTTTATCTGAATATTCTCCAGTACGAAATTTCCAACCCCTTCAACTGTACTGTGTGTGGCATTCATTCACTCATTCATTTAGTAATTTCATGCTCTGGGCTAATTACTGTGACAATGTGATTCAAATAACTGAGGTTCGATGTGAACCATGGGTGACAGAAAACTAGACTCACAATAGTGGAGTTGGTTTTTACATTTCATTAAATGGACAATTTAAAATGTAAATAGAACAGGAAGGTCAAGTAAAAGTCAGAAAGCCCCCCAGAATTACCCTTCTCTGATGTCTGAGTGTTGTGTAGGTAGTTTTGAAATTCAGAGTAGTTACATCCCACTTTATATGATCCAATCTGCTTGGAACACAGACCTTGTTTCCCATAGTCAGAAACAATGGTACATATAGAGGTGAATCCTCCCTATACCCTGAAAATCCAGCAAAGAGAGAAATCCATACTGAAGCTAACATGCTGTACATTTGCCACTGAATATTGTGAGGTATTCTGTGGCCACAGTTGCGACGATTAAACAAAACAGGAAAGCAACACAAGTTAATAAGGAAATTTTTACTTATTTTGCTGGTCCTTGAGGATAAGCAGATATTGTTCATTTATTCATTCATTCAAAAACCACATATTGGGTTTATTTAGAAAAGAAGGAAAAACTAGTTGACTATATCTGCAGGGCTTCTAAAAGGGACTTGTGGACATCTCAAGGTACTCAGAGAGTAATGCAATTAAATTACATGTGATTTCTCTTCTGAATGCCCTGTTCTCTCTTCCTCAATACAGGTCTAACACCAGCAATATTTACACACCGAAGGCACGAGTATGGCCATTTGGGGGGCTGTGATATTGTTATTGAGGAGTTTTCCAGAGATAACTAGACAAGAGCTAGAAAACAATGGAAGGAACTTTAGAAGCTCACAGGTATGTAACTGAACTAAAACAATTAACTGTGTACTGGAAAAGAAAAGAGGAATTTATTAAGTATCTACTTGTGCCAATAAACAAGACAGATATTATTTTCATAATTCTACATGAGACAAAAGAAAGGAGGTGATAGGGAGGAGATCTGAGTCAGCATATTCTGTGTTGGCCTTCACAAGTTCCTGTCATCTAGGATGTCTCATTTGATTTCAGAGAAAGATCTAGGTAAGGGAGGGAAGAGTGACCTTCCCCATTGGCATCAGAGGTACCAGAAGCAACACCTACCACTGCCTCTGTGAGTTAAGGATGCCTGATCTGGGCAGCCAAACTATATATACCTCCAAATGTAGATCCAAAAGAATCTATACACCTTGACCAAAACGTAATTTTTTAGAATAATTGCATAAATTCTCAAGAGAAGAAAAATAAAAAATAACTACTAACAACCATTGTGTTCTTCCCCACTTCATACCGCAGGATAATCCGGCATTGTTCACCCTGTGTAAAGGCTCTATGGTGGATCCATCAGGCTATCAGTCAGGTCTTTGTTGAGCTCCTTGGAAATGCACAATAGAAAACTATCCCTCAGGGAGCTTACAATCAAATAGGGAAGTAGATGTTATTAAATAAGAAACAAGGCAGGGCACAGTGGCTCATGCCTGTAATCCCAACACTTTGAGAGGCCGAGGCAGAAGGATCACTTGAGCCCAGGAATTCAAGACCAGCCTAATCAACATAGGGAGTGTGTACAAATGATTTAAAAATTAGTTGGGCACCATGGCTTGCACCTGTGGTTTCAGCTACTAGGGAGGCTGAGGTAGAAGGATCGCTTGAGCTTGAGAGGTCAAGGCTGCAGTGAGCTGTCATCTTGCTCACTCTCTTGCCCAGGTCTCAGAGCAAGATCCTGTCTCCAAAATAATAATAATAATAAACAACTTGAAATAATTAAATTATTACAGGTGTGGAAAGGGAAGATCTCAGTTTCAATGGAGCATTGGATCTATACAAGTCAAGAGGCAAAAAGTGGGCTTTGCTGAAGACTGATGCTAAAGCTGAATTCTGGACAATGAGTAGCAATGAGCCATGTAAAGAAAAGGAAGTGAGTAGGTCCTGAGGCAAAACAGAGTTTGCCACGTTTGAGGAACTGTGAGAGAACTGTTGTTCCCAGTGGGAGAACACTAAGAATGAAATTGGCTCAAAATGAGGCTGGAGATGTAGGCTTAGATTACATAGGTTGGCCAGCATAGGAATTTTAGATTTCATTTTAAAAATCAATGGGGAATCATTAAATTGCTTTAAGTTAGAGAGGAGGAATAGCTGCAGAGCAAATTTCCATTTTTTAAAGATTATTTTATGGGTAAGACTTCCAGAATAGCCACCACCATCCCCCCATCACCACATAACCCCCCCCACCACCTCCCCCCACCATACTCCCACATTCCCCCCATATCCCCCACCACAACATCCCCACCACCACCACATACCCACCACATCCCCCCCATCACCACATCCCCCCCACCACCACATCCCCCCCCACCACATCCCCCCCACCACATCCCCCCCACCACATCCCCCCCACCACCACATCCCCCCCACCACCTCCACATCCCCCCCACCACCTCCACATCACCCCCACCACCTCCACATCCCCCCCACCACCTCCACATCCCCCCCACCACCTCCACATCCCCCCCAGCACCACCACATCCCCCCCACCACCTCCACATCATCCCCACCACCACATCCCCCCCAGCACCACCACCACATCCCCCACCACCACCACCACATCCCCCCCACCACCTCCACATCCCCCCCACACCACATCCCCCCCCCACCACCATATCCCTGATACCACCACCATCTCTGGATCATGGAAGCTGTATTCTAGGCAGACACATCCGAGATGACCAGGGTACTCTTTCTCCACCCAGCCCTCAGTCATAGGATAGAAACTACCTCAGGCATGGCAAGCTGCAAACACTGGCAGTCCAATAGCTCTCTGCCCACATTCCATGTGCTCTTAGGAGAGTTTCCATGCCAGGAAGGTCAAGCCAAGTAGACAAGGGATTACCATCCACCCACCCCAACCCTATTCATAGAGCAAGGGTGTCACATCGATAAGTAGGTCTCCACCCCCAACTCCAGTGCATAGCACAGGGTCTCTGCCCAGAGGAGAGGCAGGCCATGAGATGAAGAGCTCTGCGGCTCTGCCTGAGGGGACCAGCTGTTTGGAACACAGAGTGGAGAATTCCAGGCCTAAGAATGCTGTGCATCATGGACAACATGGGGAAAACCCAGCTCTAAAAATAAATAAATAAATAAATACAAAAATTAGCCTGTGTGGTGGTGCATGCCTGTAATCCCAGCTACTCAGGAGGCTGAGGTGGGAAGATCACCTGAGTGTGGGGAGGTCGTGGCTGCAGTGAGCAGTGATCATGCTACTGCACACTGCACTCCAGCCAGGGCAACAGAGCAAGCCCCTGTGTAAAAAAGAAAAACAAAAAACAACAACGCTGTGGAAAACCATAAAGATCAGGTGGAGAATAATTAAGAGGAGGCTGGTAGCTCCGTTATACAAGCAAAACAGCAGAACAGAAGTTTAATAGAACCAGGGAAAGACAGCTAAAAAGAGGCCTGGTAGGATCACAGTCAACTCTAGGGGTCAAAAGGGTTGTGTGCAAGCACGAGGCTGCCCCCACACAGGAGCAATTGGAGCAGACGTGGGGGCGGACTTGAAAGCATTCCCCAAGCCTCACAGACTCATCAACACAAGGTGAAGCTTTACTGGAACAAGGAACTTAAACAGAACATCTGACAAAACACTAAGTGAACAATAAGCCACTCTGCCCCAAGAGGCAACTCCTATGAAGCCAAGCTTAAAAATAAAATCACACTCAGCCCTGGCAGTCTAGAAGACTGTGTGCACACACAAGGCCGCTTCCTCTCAGGAGCAGTCAGAGAGGAAACTTCCAAGTTACTAGTCCCCGGCTGAATCTGGAACAAAAATGTAAACTTCCTGCCCTATGATAGCTGACTGCACACCACACATACATCCAACAGTAAAAGGTAAAAATTTCACTGGTGACTTCCAGTTTCCAGTCTAGCACGTAAGAAGCTTGGAAGTCACCATTTCATTGTAACAATTAAAAAGCTAAGCACACAGAAAAACCTACTCTTCTTAGATCAGAGAAAGAAGTGAGATTAAGGTGCAAACCTCTGCCCCCCAAAAATTGGAAAGACTGACCGGTGAGTACAGAGAATCACAACTTACCACAGCAGAAACCACATGCGGAAACTTCCTCAGAACCAATGCTGGGGTACAGAAATCTGAACTGTAGCTGATAAATTGCTGGAGATAAAAACTCCATGGGGTCCCAGTCATCAGGGACCCTACACTTTAGTGGGTTTTAACTGCTAGAATCCACAGGGTCTCACAGTGATTTTGGGGAAAAATCTCCTCGTGCTGCTAGCAGAAGAGAGGAGAAAAGGGAACCATTTTGAAGTACACCAGTGCATTTTATTCTTCTTAACAAGGTCTGCCCTCAGGAGAAAGTAATTAACTGGAGCCAAACCAGCTGGAGTTTTATCAGCACCTAACATGGAGGAAGGGAAATACCCAAATCTATTACAGCTGGTTGTAGCCTTCCACGTGAAGGAAGAAAAATACCTAACTCTAGCCCCTTCTAGATTTCCATGTGAGAGAAGGGAAATGCTTAACTCCAGCCCACTCTTGTTATTCTGCTCCGCCTGGGCTGGGAGGTGCCGAGAAGCACATGTGAAGTTCACAGTCCAGAGGCACAGGATCACTAAAACACTGAAAACTACCTATGGGCCTGTAGAACACTTCTCCACCCCACAATACCTTACCACCACATTACTGAAGGCCTGTTTAGGGCGGTTCCTTTTACCTAGAACATCATCTCCAGCCATCATGAAGAAATTATGAGGCATACTCTAAAACAAAGAACACAGTTCGAAGAAACAAAGCAAGCATCAGAGCCAGACTCAAATACGGCAAGAATATTGGAATTATCAGACCAGGAATTTAAAACAAATATCATTAATATGCTAAGGGCTCTAATGGATAAAGTTGGCAGAACACAGTAACAGATGGTCAATATAAGTAGAGAGGTGGAAATTCAAAGAAAAAAATGCTAGAGATCAAAAACAACAAGAGAAATGAAGACTGCTTTGGTGGGGTTATTAGTAGACTGGACACAGCTGAGGAAAGAGTCACTGCGCTTAAGGATATCTCAGTTGAAACCTCCAAAGTCGAAAATCAAATAGGAAAAAAAGACTAGAAAAAAACAGAACAGAATATCTAAAAACTGTGAGACAATTACAAAAGGTGTAAATATACATAATGAGAACACTAGAAGGAGAAGAAAAAAGGAACAAAAAATTATTTTTAAAAGGATAATTATTTTAAATATTTGAAAAAATAATGACTAAGAATTTCTGCAAATTAATGTCAGACACCAAACCACAGATACAGGAAACTCAGAGAACATCAAGCATCATAAATGCCAAAAACCTACACCTAGGTATATCATATTTAAACTACAGAAAATCAAAGATAAAGAAAAAGACCCTGAAACAAGTAGAGAAAATGGCCGGGTGTGGTGGCTCATTCCTGTGCTCCCAGCACTTTGGGAGGCTGAGGCCGGTGGATCACTTGAGGCCAGGAGTTCAAGACCAGCCTGGCCAACATGGAGAAACCCCATCTCTACAAAAAATACAAAAATAATTAGCTAGCCATGGTGGCATGCACCTGTAATCCCAGCTACTTGGGAGGCTGAGACAGGAGAATCGCTTGAACCTGGGAGACAGAGGTTTCAACGAGCCGAGATCATGCCACTGCACTTTAGCCTGGGCAACGGAGAAACTCGGTTTCCAAAAAAAAAAAAAGTAGAGAAAATGAACACCTTATCTACATAGAAGCAAAGATAAGAATTACATCCAACTTATCCTCAGAAAGCATGCAAGCAAAAAGAGAACAGAGTGAAATACTTCAAGCGTTGAAAGTAAAAAACCACCAACCTAGAATGCTGTACCCTGAAAAATTATCTTTCAAAAATGAAGGAGAAATACAGGCTTGCAGACCAAAAAAAAAAAAAATTTGAAGGAATTCGTTACCAGTACACCTGAGTTTCAAAAAATATTACAAGAGTTTCTTTAGAGAGAAGGGAAATGATATAGGTGAGAAGCTTGAATCTATATAAACAAGGAACAGAAGAGAAGGCATACGTGAAGATAAAATAAAAACTATTATTTTTCTAATTCTTAATTGATCTAACAGACAAGTTTATTTAAAATAATAATACCAACAATGTATTTAATTATATATATTTTTTCACTAATATGCTTATGTATAAGTGAATGACAGCAGTGATACAAGGTACAGGAGGGAGGAATTGGGATGATTTTGTTATAAGGTACTCACATTACCCATGAAGTGGTATAGTGTTGTTTGAAAGCGAACATGGAATAGTTGTGAACATAAATTACAAACACTAGAAAAGAAGCAGAGGGGCAAGAAAATAAGAAGAAGTAAAATTGATACTCTAAGAAAGGAGAGAAAATGAAATTATAGATAATGCTCTCTTAAAACCACAAGAGGAAGAAAAAAAGACAAAAATAGGAACATAGAACAAGGGCAACAATGGAAAACCGTTTTTTAAATGATAGATATTGGCCGGGCGCAGTGGCTCACACCTTTAATCCTAGCACTTTGGGAGGCCAAGGCAGGTGGATCACCTGAGGTCAGAAGTTCAAGACCAGCCTGAGCAACATGGTGAAACCCCATCTCTAAGAAAAATACAAAAATTAGTTGGGCAGGGGGCGGGCACCTGTAATCCCAGCTACTCTGAAGGCTAAGGCAGGAGAATCACTTGAACCTGGGAGGCAGAGTTTGCAGTGAGCCGAGATTGTGCCATTGCACTCCAGCCTGGGCAACACAGTGAAACTCCATCTCAAAAAAAAAAAAAAAAAAAAAAATTTGATCAGAAATCAATGAAATTGAAATTGGAAATCAATAGAGAAGATTGATAAAATCAAAAGCTGTTTCTTTGAAAAGATCAACAAAACCAATGTCTCTAGCCATGCAAGCTAATTTAAAAAAAAAAAGAGAGAGAGAAAATACAAATTGCTAATATCAGAAACAGAAGAGGGAACATCACTATAAACATTAAAAGAATAATTTTTAAAATACTATAAACAACTCTATGCTAATAAATTTGATAACCTAGATGAAATAGACCAATTCCTTGAAATACAATCTTCCAAACTCACACAAGAGTAAATTGACAATCTCAATAGGCCTATATCTATTAAAGAAATTGAATCAATAGCTTTCCAAAACAGAAAGGACCAGGCCCAGATGGGTTCACTGGTTAATTCTACCAAACATTTAAGGAAGAAATCCTTCCAACTCTCTACAATCTCATTCAGAAGATAGAAGCAGAGGGAATATTCCCTAGCTCATTCTATGAGGCCAGCATTACTCAATTCCAAAAACAGATGAAGACATTACTAAAATTAAAAAACTCATAGATCAATGCTTCTCATGACTACAGAAGCAAAAATTTTCTACAAAATATTAGCAAATTACATCAAAAAATTTATAAAAAGAATTATGCCTCAAGACCTAGTGGGATTTATTAAAGGTATTTAAAACATATTCAGTATTCAAAAATCAATTAATATAATCCATCATATCATTAGGTTAAAGAAGAAAAATCATATGATTATATCAAGAGATGCAGAAAAACCACTTGACAAAATCCAACACCCATTCATAATAAATACTCTCAGTTAACTAGGAATAGAGGGTGCTACAGTTTGGATGTTTGTTCCCTTCAAATCTTATGTTCAAATTTGGCCCCCAGTGTGGTGGTGTTGACAGGTAGAGCCTAACAGGAGGTGGATGGGTCATGGGGGTGGGCCCGTAATGAATAGATTAATGCCCTCCTTTGTTGGGGAAGGAGTGGAGTTAGTGAGTGAGTTCTTGCACTATTAGTTGCCATAAGAGCTGATTATTAAAAAACAAACCAACAAACAAACAAAAATCTAGCATTTTCCCTTTCTCTTGCTTCCTCTCTCACCATATGATCACTGAACACATTGGCTTGCCTTCACCTCCTGCCATGAGTTGAAGCAGCCTGAATCCTTCACCAGAAGCAGATGCTGATGCTATGCTTATTTTACAGCATGAAGAACTGTGACGCAAATAAACCTCTTTTCTTTATAAGATACACAGCCTCCGGTATTCCTTTATAGCAACACTAAATGGACTAAGAAGGGAACTTCCCACCTTGCTAAAGAATATTTACAAAAAATTACTGCAGTTAACAGCATACTTAATGGTAAGTAACTTAAAATTTTCTGAATAAGATCAGAAACATGGAAAGAATGTTTCCTCTCATCATTAATTTTGAATATTGCACCGGAAGTTTCAGCCAATACAATAAGATTTAAAAATAAATAAATAAATAAAAGGGTTACAGATAGGGAAGAAAGAAAGAAAACAGGGGACATGATTATCTATGTAGAAAATCCAAAAAAATTCATTTAATAACTGGAAATAATAAGTGAACACAGCAATGTTATAGGATACAAGATTAATATACAAACGCCAATCACTTTTTATATATACCAGCAATAAACAGGTGGGATTTGCAAGTAAAAATACAATGCCATTTACCTTAGAACCAAGAGCAATGAAGTACTTAGGCATAAATCTAACAAAATATGTATTTAGGATGGTGCAAAGATAATTGTGGTTTTTGCAATTATTTTAATGGCAAAAACTGCAATTTCTTTTTCTTTCTTTTCTTTTTTTTTTTTTTTTTTTTTTTTGAGATGAAGTCTTGTTCTGTCACCCAGGCTGGAGTGCAATGGCACAATCTTGGCTCATTGCGACCTCTGCCTCCTGGGTTCAAGTGATTCTCCTGTCTCAGCCTCCCAAGTAGCTGGGATTATAGGCGTGTGCCACCAGGCCCAGCTAATTTTTTTGTATTTTTGTAGAGATGGGGTTTCTCCATGTTGGCCAGGCTGGTCTCGAACTCCTGACCTCAAGTGATCCACCCGCCTCACCCTCCCAAAGTGCTGGGATTATAGGGGTGAGCCACTGCACCTGGCCAAAAAAACTGCAATTTCTTTCATATACATGTTGGGTATGATATGAGAAAAGTTACAAAACTCCGATGAAAGAAGGACTAAATAAATGGAGGGAGATTCCATGTTCATGAATAGGAAGATTCAGTTATATTAATAGAGACGTTGTGAAAAGGAATCAAATAATAGCAAGATACTACTTTTTAATTCAAATTCAAAAAATACCTTTATAGAATTTCTAAAAATACAAAACAGTCCCTGAAATTAAAAACACAAGATACAGTGGGCTGCCTAAAGATCATATTAGATACTTCCAAGCTAGAAGACAAGGCTAAGATTGTAAAAGGAATGAAGTCTTAAAAAGAAAAATTGGGCCTGGTGCAGTGGCTCAGACCTGTAATTCCAGCACTTTGGGAGGCCTGGGTAGGTGGACTGTTTGAGCTCAGATGTTTGAGACCAGCCTGGGCGACATGACAAAACCCCATCTCTACATAAAACACACACACACACACACACACACACACACACACACACACACACAGTAACTGGGCATGGTGGCTCATGCCTGTAGTCCCAGCTACTTGGGGGACTGAGGTGGAAGGATCAATTGAGCCTTGGAGGTCAAGACTGCAGTGCACCATGATCACACCACTGCACTCCAGCCTGGGAGACAGACTAGCCCCACAACTTCCAAACCTGATGAAATATGTTAAAACAGATTTAAAGACTTCTTTGAACCCCAAGTTGGATAAATATAAAAAAAAACTATATACAGGTTTATTATAGTCAACCTGCTGAAAATCAAATGCAAAGAGTAAAATAAACATAGGAAAAAGCACATTGCCTTCAAAAGAAATAAGACTTGGATGCCTTTTGGCCGGGCGCAGTGGCCTGTAATCCCAGCACTTTGGGAGGCCGAAGTGGGTGGATCATGAAGTCAGGAGATCGAGACCATCCTGGCTCACACAGTGAAACCCCGTCTCTACTAAAAATACAAAAAATTAGCCGGGCATGGTGGCGGGCGCCTGTAGTCCCAGCTACTTGGGAGGCTGAGGCAGGAGAATGGCGTGAACCCGGGAGGCGGAGCTTGCAGTGAGCCAAGATTGCGCCACTGCACTCCAGCCTGGGGCACAGAGCGAGACTCCGTCTCAAAAAAAAAAAAAAAAAAAAAAAAAGAAAAGAAAAAAAAGTTAAAGTAAAAACTTTTCAGACAAAGCTAAGAAAATGTGTCACCAGAAGCCTTGTACTGTAAGAAATACTTAAGGGAATTCTTCATACTAAATGAAAATGATCCCAGTCAGAAGCATTTAACTATAAATATGTAGATAAAATAAATAAATTTTTACTGTTTAAAAACACTAGTAACAATGCCAGGTAGGGATTAATACATAGGTAGTAATAAAATGTGACAATAACATAAAGTGTATGATGGATATAAATGGAACCAAACTTGTAAAATTTTTTTTTTTTTGAGATGGAGTCTCACTCTGTCACCCAGGTTGGAGTGCAGTGGCACGATCTTGGCTCACTGCAACCTCCGCCTCCCAGGTTCAGGCAATTCTCCTGGCTCAGCCTCCTGAGTAACTGGGATTACAGGTGCCCACCACCATGCCTGGCTAATTTTTGTATTTCTAGTAGAGACAGGGTTTCACCATATTGGCCAGGCTGGTCTCAAACTCCTGACCTCAGGCGATCTGCCTGACTCGGCTTCCCAAAGTGCTGGGATTACAGGCGCGAGCCACTGTGTCCGACCAACTTGTAAATTTTTGGCATAGTTCAGAAAGTGGCAAAAGTATTCATTTAAGGTAGGCTTTAATAAATCAAGGAATATGTTGTCATTTATTTGGTAACCACTAAATGATTAATAAAAGTATACATTACTCGAAGACCAAAACAGAAGAAAAAGGTCATAAGAAAAATATTTTGTTAATCCAAAAGAGAGTAAGGGAGGAGCAAGGAAGAAACAAAGGAATAGAATGAACAAATAGAAAATGAACAGAAGGACAGTAGACCCAAACTCAATTGTATCATTAAGTATAAACATTAAATATAAATGGGTGAATCACTGCAATTAAAAGATAAATACTCTGAGGTGGGAACATCACTGGAGATCAGGAATTCAAGACCAGCCTGGGCAGCACAGCAAGACCCTGTCTCTTAAAACATGGAAAAAAAAATTAGCTGGGTGTGGTGGCATGTGCCTGTAGTCCCAGCTATTTGGGAAGCTGAGGCGAGAGGATAGTCAGAGCCAAGCCTTCAGTGAACCATGATCCGGTCACTGCACTCTAGCCTGGATGACAGAGCCAGACCCTGTCTCAAAAAATATATATTTATACTTTTTTAAAGGTCAACTATACGCTGTTTATATGGACCTGGCACAGTGGCCCATGCCTGTAATCCCAGCACTTTGGGAGGCCGAGGGGGGCGGATCGCCTGAGGTCAGGAGTTTGAGACCAGCCTGGCCAAAATGGTGAAACCCGTCTCCATTAAAAATACAAAAAAATTAGCTGGGCATGGTGGTGGGCACCTGTAATCCAACTACTCAGTAGGCTGAGCCGGGAGAATCGCTTGAACCCAGGAGGTGGAGGTTGCAGTGAGCCGAGATCATGCCACTGCACTCCAGCCTGGGCAACAGAGTGAGACTCCGTCTCAAAAAGAAAAAAAAGAAAGAAAGAAAAGAAAAAAAAAAGCAGGGGGAAAAAAATCCTTTTAAGTATAAAGTTAAGATACATTGAGAGAAAAAGAAGAAACATTGTATTTTGGTGTATGTTCCCTATACACTTGAAAATAATGTGCATTATGCAGTGGTTGGCTGTACTGTTCTATAAATGTCTATAAAGTCAAGTTGATTAATTGTACTTTTCAAATCTTTTATATCCTTAGTGAGTTTTTATCTGCTTGTTCTATCATTTCCTATAAGAGCTGATACCAAAGTTTTCAACTGTAATTGCGGATTTGCACAGTTCTCCTTTTACTTCCATTAATTTTTGCTTTTATATTTTGATACTGTCATTAAGTGCATAAATGTGCATATATACATAAGTGTATATATATGTTCATACATATATAAAAACAAAATAAGACACTAATGAAAGAAATATTACTAAAGTTAAAGAGATTTCATGTAATAAAAAGAAATTGGAAGATTCAACAACTTTTAAGCTGGAAATTTTAACAAGTACTTTGAATAGCAAAAATATAGACTATATTTGTTGAACATAGTAGATTTCAACTATAAATAAAATGTTAAAAGATTCCTAGAATCCTTAGATATTTTGAGATTGGTCACTTAATTTTGAATAGCCCATGGGTCATAGAATTAATCATAATGAATATCAGAAAATATTTTAAACTGAACAAACAGCAAAAAATTTGCTACATATAAAAATGTGTAAGAAGCAGTTACAGCAGTGCCTAGAGAGAAATGTAAAACGTTCAATGTATGTATGAGAAAAAGGAGAATGATTGAAAATAGATTATGAAAGTCTCCAATTTAGGCTAAAAAAAAAACAGGAAACAACCCAAATAAACTAGGATAGATAAGATCTGAAAACAATGAAAGAGAAAGTGAATATACAATATAGAAACTTAACAAACAAAGCCTAGAGTGGTTCTTTGAAGATATTATTAAAATCAATAAATACATAGAAAAATTGATGAAAATAAGGGAGAGAGCACAAATTATGAATTTCAAGAATTCTACAGATAAAAAGATAAAATGATATTATTAAATAATTTAGGGTAATATTTTGACAATTGGGATAAAATAAAATAAATTATTGCACAAATAAAAATATTGAAATAAAAAATACAAATTCTCAATAGTTCCATATCTACAAAATAAATTACATTTGTAATTTATAAACTTTCTCCAGAGAAACCCTCAAACTTAAATGTTCTCACTCTTGAGCTCTTCTAAATATATAATTGAAAAATTATTAATTTTACAGAAGCTCTTTGAGATCATAAAAATTTGACAGCATTTCCCAATTCATTTTATGAGTTAGCCTAATCTTGATACCAAAACCCAAAGAGGACATTCTAAGAAAGGAAAATTATAGATTACCATCTCTCATGAATCTAAACACAGTAATTCTATATTTAAAAATCCAGGGTTATGTAAAAAGAGTAATATATAATGACCAATGGGCTTTTTCCACTAATGCAAGTATATTCATTATCTATTACTGCATAATAACTTACTTCTTCTTCTATTTTTTTTTTTTTTTTTGAGACGGAGGCTCACTCTATCACCCAGGCTAGAGTGTGGTGGTGCCGTCTCAGCTCACTGCAACCTCGGTCTCCTGGGTTCAAGCGATTCTCTTGCCTCAGCCTCCCTAGTAGCTGGGACTACAGGCATGCATCACCATGACCGGCTAACTTCTATAGTTTTAGTAGAGACGGGGTTTCACCATATTGGCCAGGATGGTCTCGATCTCTTGACCTCATGATCTGCCTGCCTCACCCTCCCAAAGTGCTGGGATTACAGGCGTGAGCCACCGCGCCCGGCACTTCAATTTTCATGGTTTAAACAAAAAATATTTATTATCTCACAGTTTCCGTGGGTCAGAAGTTTGATAGTTGCTCAGAAAGGTAGATTTGGCTCTCAGGGTCTCTCATGAGGTTGCAGTTAAGATGTCAGCTGAGGCTGCAGTCATCTGAAGGTCTGAAGAGAACCAGATAGTTTTGCTCCCAAGATGGCTTACTTACATGGCTGTTGGCAGGAGGCTTCAGTTGCTTGACATGTGGGAAAGGATGTATATTTTATGATTTTATTTACATAGAATTTCTAGAAATGACAAAATTATACAAACAGAACAAACAGAAAACATTTCAGAGATTGCCTGGGGATTCGAAAAATAAGAGCAATGAACTGCATAGGGGAATAATAAGGAAAATTTTGGTGTGATAGCTTGTGATAGTAATTGCACAACGGGATAAATTTACAAAAACTCATCAAACTGTACACTTGAAGTTGGTGAATTTAAGATATGTAAAACACGCCTCAATAAATTTGTTAAAACATCAATCAGTATAATTCACCACATGAACAAAATAAATGAGAGTCTTACAAGTGTCTTACGAGATGCAGAAAAAGTATTTGATAACATTTAGCTCTCATAAACAATAAAGTCTTACAGTAGATTAGAAATAGAAGAGAACTTTCTTAATCTGCTGAAAAGGTTGTTACCAAAAAAAAAAAAAAAAAAAGCTAAAATTTAAAAAGGCTAACAACAAATGCTGTGGAGGATATAAAACATTTGGTACTCATATATTGCTTGTGGTAATAGAAAACAGCTCTATCATTATAATAAACTTTTGAAGTTTCTTATAAAGTTAAACAGACTTAATCTATGACCCAACAGTTCCTATCCTAGGGATTAACCCAAGAGAAATTAAAACTTAAGTTCACAAAAGGACTTGTATGGAAATATTTATAACAGCTTTATTTATAATAGCCCCAAACTAGAAACAGCTTAAATGTTCATCAAACAGGAGAGTGAATAAAAATTTATGTCATGCTAAAAATATTTTGCTCAGCAAAGAAGCCAAACACAAAATAATTCATGCTTTATGATTCCATGTATGTGAAATTTTAGAACAGCAAAACAAAAACATTAATAGAAATCAGCATAATGTTTGTGTATGTGGTGTGAGTAGTGACTAGAAGGAAGCAAGATAAAATTTGGGAGAATGTAGAAATGTTTTGTATGTTGATTGAGTTACTGGTTACAAGGATATACTAACATTCATAAGATCTGTTCATTTTTACGTATGTAAATTTTACCTGGATTTAAAACTCCTCAAAAATTTTATTTAAACATTTGCTACCTTCTCAATTCCATATTCAAAAGTAGGTTACGTTGCTTTTTCTTTGTTAATTATACTTTACAACATGCCTCTAAGTTCACAGTACCAAGTCTTAATAACTTATGTGGGACTAAAGCAGTGGTCCCCAACCTTTTTGGCACCAGGGACCTGTTTTGTGGAAAATATTTTTTCCACAGACCAAGGTAGGGGGATGGTTTTGAGATGATTCAAGCACATTACATTTATTGTGCACTTTATTTCTATTATTTTACAATGTAATATATAATAAAATAATTATAAACACCATAATGTAGAAACAGTGGGAGCCCTGAGCTTGTTTTCCTGCAACTAGATGGTCCCATCTTGGGGTGATGGGAGATAGTGACAGATCATCAGGCATTGGATTCTCAGAAGAAGCGTGCAACCTAGATCCTTCACACGCACAGTTCACAATAGGGTTCGCACTCCTATGAGAATCTAATGCCGCCACTGATCTGACAGGAGGTGGAGCTCATGCAGTCATGCAAGCAATGGGGAACCACTGTAAATACAGACGAAGCTTCACTCGCTGGCTCACTGCTCACCTCCTGCTGTGCGACTCATTCCTAACAGGCCACATACCTCCACAGGTATGTGGAGACCCCTGGGCTAAAGGATGTTTTTAAAAAAATTAGTTCTGAATTTTGCACATGTAAAACAAAATAAAAGCCTACAATATTCTATAGCTGAAATCCTACACAAAGGCAAAGTATTGAATATTCCCACTGATTTCATATAAGATAGGATATTCACTGTCACTGGTTTTATTCAGTTTTGTGCTGGAGATCTTAGCTCATATAATATGGCAAGAAAAATAAATAAAAATAAAGAATAGAAAAGATTAAAGAACTGAAACTGTCCTTATTTGCAGGAATATGATTAAGTACATAAGAAATATAAATGACTATTGAAATACTTAAGTAAATTTAGCAAGTTTGTTGGATACAAAGTCAATACATAAACAATTTTATTTCTACATACTAATAATACTTATAAAATTAAGGAAATAATTTCATTTACAAACAAAAAGTATTAAATACATGAGAATAAATCTAATGGAAAATGTTTAAGATCTTTAAATTGAAAACTACCAAATATTTCTAAGAGAAATTTAGGAAGACATAAATAAAGAGTCAATATTCAAAAGTCAATGTGATTCACCATATTAATAGGCCAAAGAAGAAAAGCTATATGACCATATCAACTGATGCAAAAAAAAATGCGCTTGACAAAATTTATTTTCTGTTTGTGATAAAAACACTCAGCAAACTAGAAAAAGGGGCCCCTTACCTTGATGAAGAGCATCTGCAAAAAAAAATAATGCTAATATCACACTTAATGATTAAAGACTGAATGTGTTCCCTCTAAATTCCAGAACAAAACAAGGATATTAGCTCTTATCACTTTGGTTTGACATAGCACTGGAAGGCCTAGCCAGCATGATAAAATAAGAAAATGAAATAAAAGGCATATAAATTGAGAAGAAAAAAAAACTGTCCCTATTTACAAATGACATAGCTATCTACATTAAAAAATCTCAAGGAATCTCTTTTACTTTTTATTTTGAGACAGGGTCTCAATTTGTTACCCAGGCTGGAGTGCAGTGGTGCAAACGTGGCTCACTGTAGCCTTGATCTCCTGGGCTCAAGCAAGCCTTCTACCTTAGCCCCCTAAGTAGCTAGGACTACAGGCGCACACCATTACACCTGGCTAATTTTTGTACTTACTATTTTTTTGTAGAGATGGGGTTTCACCCTGTTGCCCAGGCTAAGAAATCTTTAAAAAAACAAACAAACAGACTGGGCACAGTGGCTCACGCCTGTAATTCCAGCACTTTGGGAGGCTGAGGCAGGTGGATCACCTGAGGTTGGGAGTTCAAGACCAGCCTGACCAACATGGAGAAACCCTGTCTCTACTAAAAATACAAAATTAGCGAGGCATGGTGGCACATGCCTGTAATCCCAGCTACTTGGGAGGGAGGCTGAGGCAGGAGAATCGCTTGAATCTGGGAGGTGGAGGTTGTAGTGAGCTGAGATCGCACCATTGCACTCCAGCCTAGGCACCTGAGCAAGAGCGAAACCCCATCTCAAAAAACAAAAACAAAAACAAAAACCACCACCAAAAACAAAAAAACTAGTCTCCTAAAATTAATCAATGATTTCAGCAAATCCTCAGGATAGAAAATCAATACATAAAAATCATTTTTATTTCTATACACTAGAAATGAACAAGTAGAAACTGAAGTGAAAAACATAATGTTAACTATAATCACTCACAAGGAAAATTTAATAAGCTGGAATTCATTAACGTTAAATATATTCAATTAAGAGAGTGAAAATGTAAGACACGGGCAGGGAAAAGATATTTTTGGTGTATATATCCATCAACAGAATCCTAAACAGAATATAAAATGTTTTGGCAAAACACTAAAGAAAAGTTAGATGACCTTCACAGAAATGGGCTAAAGATGTAAACAAACACATTACAAAAAGGATCACCAATAACTGAATGAAAATTTGCAGAGTATTATAGAAAATCTGGCAAATGCAAAGTAAAACCATAATCAGATAGGACTGCACCTATATTGCTCTCTGAGAGGACTGACAATATCAAGTGTTGATGCTAATGTGGAGCAACTGGAATGCTCATAGGAATGCTCATATATTATTATAGAGGAAGTTTCAATTTGTATAATTACTATAAAAATTGTTTGAAAGTATCTATAAACTCTGAACAAATTTATGTTTTATGACCTTGAATCCCTGAGTATATACCAAACAGAAATGATTGCTTATATTTATCAAAAACCTGGCCAAGAATATTCAAAACAGGTTTATTCACTGTATTCTCAAATTGGAAGGCACACTAATGTGCATCAATAGTGAAATAGATCAGATATATATACATATATGACCATTATATATTAATAGATCATATATATAATAAAAGTATAAAAAATAGCTAGAACTATACACTGGAAATTCATGATTGTGGTTGCTTCTGAGGAAGTAGAAGGGGGAATAAAATTGTAAGGAGGGGTCAAAGAGAGTTCTGAATTGGTCAGTAATCTTTTGTTTCCTTCATTTAGAAGATAAACAAAAAAACAGTATCACCCTTAGATCTAGGAAACAGTCATCTCTCCTCAGCCCTGAACTTTAAACTTTTTTACATAATCACAAATGCTCAAAAATATTTTATTTTAAAAATAATAAAATAATAATAAAACTCTCAAGTGTATTTTTAAAATGTGCACAACTCTTTTCATTTGCCATTACATTATTATACGATAATAATATTTTATGGGACAGAGAGAATCATAATTTGTAAGTGATAGTGGTAATTAATATGATGAACTTAAAATATTTTGTAATACATTTTGTGATAATGATTATTTCTCATATAAACAGAAAGATATCTTAAGCTCTGAAAATGTAAGCAACTGTCTAGAAGTAACTATGACAAAATGTTAGCAATTTTCAGTTCTGAGTAGTGGAAATACAACTGTTTTATTAATCTGGTTGTATTTTAAGACAGTTTAACATTTTAAAAAATATTGAGTGGTTAGTTTTATGACATGATACAATGTGTGTTAATAATTTTCTTCCTTATGCTCTTACTTTTCTTTTCTTTATTTTTTCTTTTTTTTTTTTTTTTTGAGACGGAGTCTCGCTGTGTCGCCCAGGCTGCAGTGCAGTGGTGCAATCTCGGCTCACTGCAAGCTCCGCCTTCCAGGTTCACGCCATTCTCCTGCCTCAGCCTCTCCGAGTAGCTGGGACTACAGGCACCCGCCACCACGCCTGGCTAATTTTTTGTATTTTTAGTAGAGACGGGGTTTCACCGTGGTCTCCATCTCCTGACCTCGTGATCCACCCACCTTGGCCTCCCAAAGTGCTGGGATTACAAGCATGAGCCACCATGCCCGGCCTGTTCTTACTTTTCTAAATTTTAATATAATTAACACATTTCATTTTATAATCAAAAAGGAAAATAGCATTCTAAAATTAAAAAGAACTGTTTGGAATAAGGATGATTTTAAGAACCTGATCCTTGCAGGGGCCTGATTAAGCCTTTTAATACTTAAAGAAAAAACTGGCCAAACAGGCCTTGTTGGTCATTCACAGACATCCACCAGTAGCAACTAGGCAATGGAGGAAAGTGTGATGCTGGCGGTGCTGGGTTGGGGGTTTGGAATATAGAAGTTAAAGGGAGAAGGTTAGAATGGATCTGATTAAATTAGTGCAAAATAACCGCATTATCTAATCAGAGTGGATACTGGAAGGGATGAATTGGCTGTTGGGAGACCAGCAATAAAGGACCTTAGGCTCCACGGACTCATCCCCTACCTTGTATGATGTTGTCATCTAGTATTTTAATTCTAGGCCAGGATTCCTCCACAAACTGGACATTATTTCTTAAATTTTATACCATGTTTGTTTAGAGTTTGTGACATATTTACAAATATATTTGTTCATCATTCCTTCAAAAATTCATTCAATCTATCATCCAGTTCACTAATTCTATCTTCAGTGGTATAACCTGACTTTCTTCAAATGGGATTTGTATTTTCAATAATTAAATTTTTATTTTTGAGAATTTCTATGTGAACTTTTCTCAATTCTGCCTGGTTATTCCATGCTAATACTTTAAGCTGGTCTTATATTTATTTAACTATATTGTATTAGTCAGTTCAGACTGCCGTAACAAACACCATAGACTGGCTTAAAACAACATACGTTTATTTTCTCACAGCATGAAGGCTGGAATTCTAAGATCAGGGTGCCAGCATTGCTGGGTTTGTGATGAGGCCTCTCTTCCCAGCTTGCAGGAGAAACTTTCTCACTCTGTCTTCATTTGGCAGAGGGACAGAGTGAGTTCTCTAGTGTCTCTTCTTAGAAGGACACTAATCCTTTCAGACCAGGGCTCTATCCTTATAACCTCATTTAACCTCAATTACTTCCTCACTCCAAAAACAGTCAAGTTAAGGACGGGGGCTTTGACATATGAGTTTTGGGGAGATGCAATTCAGTCCATAGCACATATTAAATTTAATTACTTCAGTGTCCATGTCTTATATTCCAGTTATCTGTAGCTGTAAAGTTCCTATTTCTGTGTTCTGTTTTCTCTGCTGGTTCCTGTGGATGATGCCTTGCTTCTTAGTACATTTTGTGATTTTGTTTTACAGTGAGTTACTCATTTTTGTTGGAACTTTATCTGTGGGAGTTCTTGGAGGCCTGGATTGAGTATGCATTATTTCAGAGAGGATTTATATTTATGTCTCTCAGTCAACTAGCAGCCTAACAAGCAACCACTTTAAATAGTATCATCAGCTTGCATTTTTCATTTTTTGTAGAATCATTGTAAAATCATTTGATGATCAGTTTGCGGTTACAAATTTTCAGATGATTATTTTCCCTGACACCCAACACCAAGGTCAAGACCTGTATACAAGTTTTTTGTTGTCTCCTTTTTGTTGAGACAGGGTCCCACTTTGTCACCCAGGCTGGAGTGCAGTGGCACGATCTCGGCTCACTGCAACCTCTACCTCCCAGGTTCAGGCGATTCTCCTGCCTCAGCCTCTGAGTAGTTGGGATTACAGGTGCGCGCCACCACACCCAGCTAATGTTGTCTCCTTTTTTTTGCAGAAAGTTTGTTTTTCTCATTCACCTTGCCCTTAGAGTGGGGTCTCAGCTTTACATAAGGGTCTCAGGTTTGATTTTTTGCTTTTAGTGGCCTTCGGCTTTGCTTTCTATTCTCCGTGCATCACATGGCTATGAAGGCAGGAGCCCCAGTTCTCTAGTATTTGGCAGGGTTTTCTAGGAGCTGCTCATCTCTCAGGGTTCCTGCTTTAACATCATTTATGGCTCTGTAGATTCCTTATAGTTTTTCTAGTTCAGAGAAATAATTAAAATGATGTGTGTTTTTAAAAAATATATTTAAAATTGCCTTTTTATGGCTCAGTTGGGAAAGTATGGTAAATTATTACACTAATAGTCCCCAGTGAATTATGTTTCCCTATGTCAGTGCTCCTTTATAATGTGACTTGGATGTTACAGCTCTTATCATCCAGAGGTGTTGACAATTTCTCCACCCTTTGAATCAGGGCTGATCTTTGACTTGTTTTGACCAGTAGAATGTGGTATAAGAGACACTGTATGACTTAAGAAGCCTTTCCGCTTCATTTTTGCTTTCCTTGAAAACTTCCAACATCATATGAACAAGTCCTAGATTAAAGACCACAGTCTAGAGGAGCGAGGCTGAGCTATCCCAGCCATCCCAGCTGAGATCTCGGACATGGGAGTGATGGCATCTAAAAATGGCCATTCTCCCTGCAATCTATTAACTGAATGTAGCTCCATGAATAAACTCAAGTGAGAGAAGCAGAACCTCCCAGCCAACTCACAGAATTGTGAGAAATAATAAATCATTATTGTTTTAAGCCACTAAGTTTTGGGGTGGTTGGTCACACATCAATGGAAACTGATACAAAGGGTCATTGCTATATGTATCCCCCCATATTGCTGGAAAAGGATGTCCCCAGTGTGGATATAAGAACTGAAGAGGGGTAATGATGGCATCCTTGTAGGGGAAGCAGGGCAGGGTGTGATGAAGAGAAATTGCTTATGATAAAGACATTTATAAAATACATATTAAGAATAATGAGGCTAGGCACAGTGGCTCATGCCTGTAGTCCTAGCATTTTGAGAGGCTAAGGCGGGCAGATCATTGAGCTCAGAATTCAAGACCAGCCTGGGCATCATGGTGAAACCTCATCTGTACAAAAAAAGTACAAAAATCAGCCGGTTGTGGTAGCATATGCCTGTAGTCCTAGCTACTTAGGAGGCTGAGATGGAAGGATGGCTTGAGCCCAGGAGGCAGAAGTTGCTGTGAGCTGAGATCATGCCACTGCACTCCAGCCTGGGCAGCAGAGCTAGACTCTGTCTCAAAACAAAACAAAACAAAACAAAAAAAGAATAATGGAAGTTTTAATCATAAAGGATGCTGGATTTTGTCTAATGCTTTTTCTGCATCTATTGAGATGATCATATGATTTTGCTTTTAACTCTGTTTATGTGGTATATCACATTATTGACTTGCATATGTTAAACCATCCCTTCATCCCTGGTATGAAACCCACTTGATCATGGTGGATTATCTTTTTGATATGTTGTTGGATTTGGTTAGCTAGTATTTTGTTAAGGATTTTAGCCTCTATGTTCATTAAGGATATTGGTCTGTAGTTTTCTTTTTGGTTATGTTCTTTCCTGGTTTTGGTACTAGGGTGATGCTGGCTTCATAGAATGAATTAGGGAGAGTTCCTTCTTGTTCTATCTTGTGGAAGAGTGTCAAAATGATTAGTACCAATTCTTCTTTGAATGTCTAGTAGAATTCTGCTGTGAATCCACCTGGTCCTGGTCTTTTTTTGTTGGTAAATTTTAAATTACCATTTCAATCTCTCTGCTTGTTATTGATCCATTCAGGGTATCTAATTCTTCCTGATTTAAGTTAGGAGGGTTGTATTTTTCCAGGAATTTATCCATTTCTTCTAGGTTTTCTAGTTTATATTAATAAAGGTGTTCATAGTAACCTTGAATGATCTTTTGTATTTCAGTGGTGTCGGTTGTAATATCTCCTGTTTTGTTTCTTAATGAGATTATTTGGATTTTCTCTCTTTTCTTGGTTAATCTTGCTAATGGCAAAATCATGGAATCAACCCAAATACCCATCAATCAACAAGTAGATAAAGAAACTGTGGTATATTTATACGATGGAATACTACTCAGCCATAAAAAGGAATTAATTAATGGCATTTGCAGCAACCTGGATGAGATTGGAGACTATTATTCTAAGTGAAGTAACTCAGGAATGGAAAACCAAACATCATGTGTTCTCACCGATATGTGGGAGCTAAGCTATGAGGACACAATGGCATGAGAATAATACAATGGACTTTGGGGAACTGGGGTGAAGGATGCTGGGATAAAAGACTACAAATAGGGTGCAGTGTATACTGCTCAGGTGATGGGTGCACCAAAATCTCACAAATCACCACTGAAGAACTTACTCATGTAACCAAATACCACCTGCACCCCAATAACTTATGAGAAAAAAAAAGAATAATGGGACCCAGTTTGTTCTCTGTTGGAGAAGGGAATTAGACACAACTAGAATGAATCCAAGGTTTGGCCGAATTGTAGGTACCAACATAAATTTATGGCTGTTGATATATATGGATGTATAGAGAAAAAAGTGGCCAAATATGGCATGATTTGATTATAAAAATAAATAATGATACTAATGGATTATAACCCATTGAATAAAATATGAGTCCAAACATTTATACAGATATAAAACAATGAATAGGTCTGACAAGGTGGCTCGTGCCTTTAATTCCAGCACTTTGGAAGGCTGAGGCAGGAGGATCCCTTGAGTACAGGAGTTCAAGACCAGCCAGGGCAACATAGTGAAACTCTGCCTCTACAAAAAATTTAAAAATTACCTGGGCATGGCATTGCATACCTGTGGTCCTAGCTACTTGGGAGGCTGAGGCAGGAGGACTGCTTGAGCCCAAGCAGTTCAAGGTTACAGGGAGCCGTGATCATACCACTTCACTCCAGCCTGGGTGACAGAGTGAGGCCCTGTCTCAAAAAAAGTGAATATAGTGAAAATTTGATAAGACACAGAACAGTTACACAGTGTCAATGTATTTCCCCACAAATTGCTTATTAATTACATACATAGAAATAGAATAACTTTCCGACTCCACAGCATGACACATATTCCTTTAATCAAGTAATCAAATTTAACATCACCAATACTGTGACAAGGTGAAATCATGCAGGACGTGATAGAAAGCGATCAGAAGAACACAGCATCATTACAGCAACATGCCTGGCAAAGATGAGGAACTTGAATGCAGTCAGTGAGAAGCAGATAAGCCTGTATTTGTTAGCAATTGCCAAGTAAAATGGCCTCAAAACTTCATGGATTAAACCAATATTTATTCTCTTTCACAGTTTCTATGGGTCAGGAATTTGGGAGTACATGAACTGGAGGGTGGCGGGGGCAACCTCTCTTGAGGTTGCTGGATCCACTTCCAAGGTAGCTGTCACATGGCTTGCAAGTCAATGCTGACGGAGGACGGGAGGCTCTGGTTTATCTCCAGGTGGGCTTCTCCACAGAGCTGTTTGAGTGTCATGATATAATGCCTGGCTTCCGCCAGAATTCTGCTTTGGATTTTGCTTAAAACTGCTTAAAACAGGCCAGGAACGGTGGCTCACATCTGTAATTCCAGCACTTTGGAAGGCTGAGGTGAGTGGATTGCCTGAGCTCAGGAGTTTAAACCAGCCTGGGCAACATGGTGAAACCCCATCTCTGCCAAAATACAAAAAAAATTAGCCAGGCATGGTGGCATGCGCCTATAGTCCCAGCTACTGGAGAGGCTGACGTGGGAGAATCACTTGAGCCTGGGAGGTGGAGTTTGCAGTGAGCCGAGATAGCGCCACTGCACTCTTGCCTGGGTGACAAAGTCAGACTCTGTCTCAAAAAAACCCAAATCAAACCAAACCAAACAACCAACCAACCAATCAGACAAACAAAAAACTTGCTTAAAACATAGATACTTAGGGGTTTTATAGTGCAGTTATTTAATACAGATCATTTCTTAGCTGACCTTCTCTATAAAAGTCACCATGCTTTATATTTATTTCTTTATTTATTTCAGACAAGGTCTCCTCTGTCACCCAGACTGGAGCGCAGCCGCGTGATCACGGCTCACTGCAGCCTCAACTTCCTGGGCTCAGGTGATTCTCCCACCTCAGCCTCCCAAGTAGCTGGGATCACAGGCACATGCCACCATGCCCAGATAATTTTTTGTATTTTCAGTAGAGATGGGTTTTCGCCTTGTTGCCACTCCTGACCTCAAGTGATCCACCTGTCTCAGCCTCCCAAAATGTTGGGATTACAGGCATGTGCCAGCACACTTGGCTCATGATGCTTCAAACTTCAGAAACACAGAAAAGGACCAAAAAAAAAAAAAAATTAAAAATCACCTATTATCTAATTACCTGTCAATATGTTGGCATATAGCTTTCTGGTCCTTTTTCTGTGCATATATATCTATGTACTGTATATTGACACATACTTAAAAAATATATAAACAGACTATTATATTAGTCATATTTTTATTTTAAATGCCCATAAACAGACCAGCAATATTTTTCTACAATATGAAAATAAATTACTTACCTGCTTTTACACATCAAGTAAACAATGAGGCTGAGATTCAACCCAGTCTTGCTGAGCTCCAAAGCCTTTACTCTTGCTCCCTGCCCTTCTCTTCCTCCTAAATCAGGAGAAAAAAAAAGCATGGGTTTTCTCCCCTGACCCATCAAAATGTATGAATAATAGCCATGATGCTTGCCAGCTGTGCAGCTCTTTGCAGTTCTGAGCACCCATTCACACTGGTCATCTCTGGATCTTCCAAAGAAGTGTACTTTTTTTTTTCAATCCTGAGATGGAATCTTGCTTTGTTGTCCAGGCTGGAGTGCAATGGTGCAATCTCAGCTCATTGCAACTTCTGCCTCATGGGTTCAAGGAATTCTCCTGCCTCAACCTCCTGAGTAGCTGGGATTACAGGCGTGCGCCACCACGTCTGGCTAATTTTTGTATTTTTAGTAGAGATGGGGTTTCACCATGTTGGTCAGGCTGGTCTTGAACTCCTGACCTCAGGTGAACTGCCCTCCTTCAGCCTCCCAAAGGGCTGGGATTACAGGCATGAATCACCGCACCCAGCCAGAGGTGTACTGTTTTTTATGCACCACCTTCATCCATAGGGTACTTACATAGCTAATGGTGGTGACAGTCTCTATTTTATAGCATTTCTTTAAGGGGTTTATTTAAAATAGTGCTACATAGTTTACCACTGGCCCCTTTGGAAGTGATGTTGGGATATGTCAGTGATGCTGAGGTATGGAAGTGATGTTGGGATATGTCAAACTCCATGTCAGATGTTGGGATATTCAATCATTCAATATTTGAATATCCACTCTGCATAAAGTTCTGCATCTCAAGTCTCTTGGGAGTGCAGAGATGTGAATGCTAATTTCTTTCAGGAAGCACTCTGAAATTCAACTAGGGAGAGAATATAAATAAACAACACACAGTAGCAGCAGGCAGTCTGTACTCAGTGATGGTAGCCAGGGGAAGCAGAGAGCATGACGGGCTTTATCATCAGAAAGACTTCATTGAGAAGTAGGGACTTGAGCTCATCCTCCAATGATGGATGGAATGTACATGCAGCAAGGATTTCTGGCAAAAGAAATACTTTTAATAAAGATGCCAGGACAGAATGCTTTAGATTTGTGTGGTAGAACATGAAGAGATCAGGTAGCTAGAAGGTGACAAAGAGAAACATGGATAAGAAGTTTGACCAGGTTGGGCATGATGGCTCACATCTGTAATCTCAGTGCTTTTGGAGGGTGACACAGGAGAATTACTTGAGACCAGGGAGTTTAAGACCAGCCTGGACAACATAGTGAGACCCAGTCTCTATAAAAAAATATAGCCAGGTGTGGAGATGCATGCCTGTAGTCCTAGCTACTCAGGCTGAGGTAGCAGCATTGCTTGAGCCCAGGAGATTGAAGCTGTAGTGAGCAACGATCATGTGAATGCACACCACTCTGGGCAACAGAGAAAGATCCTGTATCCAAAAAAAAAGAAGAAGAAAGGAGAAGAAAGAAGGAGAAGGAGAAAGAGAAGGAGGAGGAGAAGAAGGAGGAGGAGGAGAAGGAGGAGGAGGAGAAGAAGGAGGAGGAGGAAGAGGAGGAAGAAGGAGCAGGAGGAGAAAGAAGGAGGAGGTGGAGAAGAAGAAGAGAGAAGAGGAAAGAAAGAAAGAAAGAAAGAAAGAAAAAGAAAGAAAGAAAGGAAGGAAGGAAAAGAAGAAGAAGTCGTCAGACCCAGGACGTGTCGTGGAGAACCCTGAGTGTACATCCAGAACAAATTTTATTAAATGGGATGAAACTGAGTCAGATGAGAGCCAGGTTCTATATGGGAAATGAGGATTTAGAGTCTTTTTATAGATAACTCCCCAGAGCCAATTGATAGGGAAAAGAAGAAGAAATGGGATGGTGACCCCAAAGGGTCAGTTAAAGTTACTAACAATATTGGAGACTTATGTTGTGCAACAAAGTTACACATACTTGAAGGCTGAAGAGACAGTCCTAATGGAGAGAGAAAGATGGAAGATGATACACAGGGAGAGAGAGAATAGTGAAGCATTTTCCAATGAGGTGAAGAGGGCATAGAATCCAGAACACATATGTTGATGGAGAAGTTGGGGGAAGAATTACCTTTGAGAAGGAGGGAAATCACATACTCTGAGACAAGAGGAATGGAGCCTGGCCTAAGGGTAGGGATGGACTGGTTAGAAGCAGAGAGGAGGGTAGATGATGCATTTTCCTGGTCCTGGGCTAGGCATGGCTCAGTGGGTTCAGGACAGGAGATGATGAATAGTCTGGTTTAGAGAATTATGGTAGTTATTTAAAGTGAGGTTGATTGGCCGGGCATGGTGGCTCACACCTGTAATCCCAGCACTTTGGGAGGCTGAGGCTGACGGATCACTTGAGGTTAGGAGTTCCAGACCAGCCTGGCCAACATGGTGAAACCCTGTCTCTACTAAAAATATAAAAATTAGCCAGGCATGGTGGCATGTGCCTGTAGTCCTAGCTACTTGGGAGACTGAGGCAGGAGAATCACTTGAACCCAGGAGGCGGTTCAAGAGATTACAGTGAGCAGAGATCATGCCATTGCACTCCAGCCTGGGCAACAGTGTGAGACTCTGTCTCATAAATAAATAAATGAAGTGTGATTGATTGCTCAGAGGACAGATGGAAAAGAGGCAGAAATCTTGATGAGAGAGCACATACCTGCAGAAGTGAATTCATATCCAGAACTCCCAAGGGACCATTTTTTACAAGTGAGCTGGGTTTTTTTTGTGGGGTGGATAAGTCCCTCCCATTCATAGAGAAGATGGTGACTCTCCAGCTCTTCGTTTTGCCTTCCTTCATGACACTGAAATTTTCAGGGGCTAGGATTACCTTGGTTCTTTGGCAGCACCATCCAGTAGAATTTTCTGTGATGATAGAAATGTTCTGTATTTGCACTTTCCAATATGGTAGGTACTAGCTACATGTGGCTTTTGAGCACTTTAAGTGTGGCTAGTGTAACTGAGGACATGAATTTTTAAGCTTTATTTAATTTTAATTATTTTAAATTTAAATATCCACAAGAGACTAATGGCCACATTCAATAATAGAACAGCTCTTGAATGGTCTCTTTCTCCTTAGTGAGGAACAAGATAAGAACTTCTACAGGAGAGAAGGATGCATGAGGCCAGACAGAAAATTTTGCTGTTGAGAGGCACCAGCTTTCCCAGTGACTACTCTGGTGGACCCTGACAAGAGTAAGTCTGTAGTTTCAGAAACTCCACACTCTCTTCTGTTTGCCATCTTTGTGAATCTGTTCACGAGGAGACGGTTTTGGAGATTTTTTTTTTCATGACTAGATTCTGAGTATTCTCTCATCTTAAGGACAGTCCTGTCCTTAAATCCACACATCTGGAAAGCAGAATTAGCTCCCAAGGATGCTTGATGAGGAAATATGGAAACACAGGAGACCATTTCACCAAGGCCAAAGCAGCTCCAGTTCCTCTTTTGTGGTCATAGAGAGGAAGTCCGGAGTCATAGAAATTATCCTGGCTTAGAATCAGAGAGACTTGGATTCAAATTTTGGCTCAGAAACAAGTTATCTAACCATTTTGGCTTTGCATTTAACATTTGTAAAATGGAAAGAACAATATCTACCTAAAAGGACTGTTCTGGGTGTTATACATAGTTAATAACTTATTTATATTTATTACACATGAATGTATTAATACCAGGTATTATGTTAAATATTGGGGATGAAATTGTGGGCAAAGCAGATAGGAGTCTTGTTTCAAAAAAGCATATGTTCTAGCATGGGAAATGTCTTCGTTCATTTTGTGTTGCTGTAACAGAATACCTGTGGCTGGGTAATTTATAAAGGAAAGAGGTTCATTTGTCTCACGGTTCTGTGGGCTGGGAAGTTCAAGAGCATGGGTGCTGGATTCTGGTGAGGGCTTTCCTGCTGTGTCATAATAGTAGCAGTTCAAAGGGGGAGTCAAATTTGAAGGGGCCCAACATTCAAGGTGTCCTTGCTTTATAAACAAGTTGCTCTTGCAGGAATGGATCAAGTCTAATGAGAGCAAGAACTCATTATTGCGAGAACAGCACCAAGCCATTTATGGGAGATCTGTCCCCATTACCTAAACACCTCCCATTAAGCTCCACCTCTTAAAGGTTTCACCTCCTAACATTGTTACCTTAGCAATTAGATTTCAGCATGAGTTTTGGCAGGGACAAATCACATTCAAACCACAGCAGGAAGACAAACATTCATCAAATAATCACATGAGTATATACTATATCTTTACAATATAATTACATGCTATGTAAAATTACAGACTGTGATAAGTTCAGGAAAGGAGAGTAAAGGTGAGGTGATTTTTAAAGTATACTTGCATTTTTTTTGATGCTGTTCCTCTCCCTCTTTTTAGAATAAGGTAGAATCTAATTCCTCTCTGATTAGATATGATCCAGTCTTAGTGTCTCACTTCTGACAAATAGAATATGGCAGAAGTGGTGCTATGTGGCTTCTGAGGCTAATTCATACAGAAGGATACAGCTTTCTTCCATGCACTCACTTGCTCCTCTCTCTCTTTCTCTCCTTCAATGCTTAACTGTGAGATCAAGTCAACAGGTTGTGAGGAAGCCTAGGAAATAAGGAGAGTCCTATGTAGAGCAGAACTGAGGCTTCTTGACAACAGCCAACACCAACGTGCCAGCTACATGAGTGAGCAGTCTTTAAGTGGAAACTCCAGTCTTAATCAGACCTTCAGATAATGCATTCCTCGCTGACCTCTGCAATCTCAGGAGAGACCACAAGCCAGAACCACTTAGCCATGCCATTCCCAAATGCAGAAGCTGTGAGAAATAATAAATGATTATTACTGTTTTAAGACATTGAGTTTTAAAGAGATTTGTTACCCACCATTAGACAACTAACACAATAGAAAACCAGGAGATAAAGTCTGAGGGATCAGTAAAGACTTTCTTGATGAAATAACATTTGAACTTATAACAGGAAGAGAGGAATTAATTAGCTCAAGAAGAGGGAGAAGTATTCTAAGGAGCTATACCAACACAAACAAGGGCCCTGTGAGCAAATGATAAATTTGAGAAATTAGGAGTTATCTAGTTTGGGAAGAACACAGTGTTGGGAGGGAGAGGTGCAAGATGCTTGAAAAGGTGTCAGGGGTAGGGGAGGGTTAGATCATTAAGGGCCTTAGAAAGGACTTATTTTCTAAACATGATAGAACACTCTTGAAGGGTATTTATCAGGTAGGGAGGTATCAAGCCTAACATTCTAGGTTTCTGCTGATTTCCCAGAGATGGAAACACTGGATGAGAACCAAGTTTACAGTGGAAGATTATGGTTTTGGACAGGTTGCTTGAGATACTTTTGAGATACCCAGATGGTGGTATCATGTAAGAGATCAGATATACACATCTGGAGTTCCAGAGAGAGAGAGAGAGAGAGAGAGAGAGAGAGAGAGAGAGAGACAGATGGATCACATGTGCATGTTTGGAAGACAACAGCGAAAAAATAATAATTGAAACCAATGGAGTGAACGAGCTCAGCTGGAGACAGGATATAAAGTGAAACTAGAAGAAAGCCTAAGATCCAGAATTACAAAATTCATGGCTCGCTAGAGGGGACCAGGTCAGTTAAGCAAAATGAGACAGAGCAGCCAGAGAAGTAGGAATTAAATGAACAGAGTGTCTCAGGGAGGTGGTGGTTAATAATGTCAAATAATACAAGTAAGATGGTAGATGAAAGGCCTACTGAACTAACTACACTCATGAAAGGCTAGAACGACCACTGTTTGAATGCAATTCCTGATGGGTGCAGAAGCCCAATTGGAGAGGGTTGAGAAATAAGTAGGAGGTAAATAAATGGAGGCAATGAGGCCAGACAATTCCTCTCAGACGTTTTGCCATGAAAGGGAAGAGAGAGGACAGTAGCTGGGCATGAGGCCAGAACAACAGAAGGTTATTTTTTGTTGTATTTAAGATGGGAAAGAGATTTATTTAAATGCTGATGAAAAGGATCAAGTATAGAAGCTGAAGATCTGGAAGAGAGAGGAATAATGTGTACAGAAAGGACTATGAAAATGTAAGAAGGGATAGGACTCACAACCAAGTGAAGTCCTTGATGCATGGGAGGTATGTGATTATTGATAGTTGTCTTTAGCATGTATTTTTAACTTTGAAAAAAAATTGTGGCTGGGCATGGGGGCTCATGCCTGTAATCCCAGTACTATGGGAGGCTGAGGCAAAAGGATCACTTGAGCCCAGAAGTTCAAAACCAGTAGGGGAGCACACACACACACACATGAAATTGGCCAGGCGTGGTGGTGCATGCCTGTAGTCCCAGCTAATCAGGAGGGTAAGGTGGGAGGCTCACTTGAGCCTGGGAGGTGGAGGCTGCAGTGAGCCAAGATGGCGCCACTGCACTTCATCCTGGTTGACACAGTGAGACCTTGTCTCCCCCTCCCAAAATTGTGAAATATTAATACAATAGTAGAAAAGCGTGTTTAAAATAAATACATAGCTTCATGAATCACAGTGAGCATTCATGATGCAACCAGGCAAAAATAAACATTGCCAGCAGTTCAGAAGCCTCCTTCCTGTGTTTTCCTTCTTCATCACAACACCCTCCCTGTAGTGATGACCACTACCCCAGATTTGTTGGCCATTCTTCTTGTTCTTCTATTGAATTTTTTTCTTCTTTCTAAATATGTATCTTTAACAATGCTGTTAAATTTTCCTTGTTTTTAATCTTTATATAAAAACAATTGTACTATATGGATTATTTCATATTCGTTTTACTCAGTATATTTTAAGGATTCACCCATGTCATTGCATGTAGCTGTTGTTCATTCATTTTCATCACTGTATAGTATTCCATTGTATGATTACATCACAATTCATTTATCCTTTCTGGCACTAGTGGACATTGCAGTTGTTTCTTGTTTGGGGTTATTACAAAAATGTCCAGTGAATATTCTTGCACATGTGTCCTGGTGCATATGCATCTGAGTCTCTCTTTGGTGTATTATTAAGAGTGGGACTTCTGCCGGGTGCAGTGGCCTGCGCCTGTAATCCCAGCACTTTGGGAGGCCGAGGCGGGTGGACCACGAGGTCAGGAAATCGAGACCATCCTGGCTAACACGGTGAAACTCCATCTTTACTAAAAATATAAAAAATTAGCCGGGCATGGTGGCAGGCGCCTGTAGTCCAGGCTGCTCGGGAGGCTGAGGCAGGAGAATGGCATAAGTAAACCTGGGAGGCGGAGCTTGCAGTGAGCCTAGATGGCGCCACTGCACTCCAGCCTGGGTGACAGAGAGAGACTGTCTCAAAAAAAAAAAAAAAAAAGAAAAGAGGTAACTAGTATCATCCTTATTAATACATCTCTCCTTGTCTTCCAAAGCAATATCTTCTGGAGCCAGGTACAACTTTAGGGTCAATTCTAACCCATTGGCTCTGGCTCTCCTTCCTAGCTTCAGGCTGACTCAAGAGTTTGTCTCAGCATGATTTGTTACCACTCAGTAGACCACTGTTTCAGCTTCTTTCTTGGTAAGAACTGGTGGGGGGAAATGAACCCTTTTGTATCATTAGTGATATACATGATTGTTACATCTCCAGGTAAGTCACCCCTGTGGACGTTGATCTTCTGCCTTCATTGCAGTGGGCAGCTAATACAATAGCTAAGTGGGAGCAGCTAATACAATACAGTGGGAGGCTAAGGGCATGAAATCTGGAGCTGGACTGCCCGGGTTTGAATTTTTGCTTTGCACTTACTAAATATATGACCCTGATCGAGTTATTTCATCTCTCCGGTCCTCGGCTCGTTCATCTATAAAATAAGACTAATAATAGTAACCACCTCATAGGGTGGCTGTGGGGATCAAATGAGGTAATATCTGGAAAGTACTTAGATCAGTGCCTGGCATTCCACTGCTTTGATTTATATTCATTTCAGCTTTGGTGACAGTAGAGGTCAGGGGTTATGAATACAGGTTATAAACATGAGTCGGAAGGAATTCAGGTTCTGACTATGTGACCATGGACAAGTTATATAGCCTCCCTAACATCTCAGTTTTTCCCTTGTGTAAACTGGGGGTACTAATTACTACTTTACACAGGTTCTGTGAGAACTAATTGAGATGGCAAATGTAAAATGCCAAGTGCTAAGCATGGACGCAGTATATGGTATCTGCTGCCATTTTAGCGGGTTGCACTTAATGTTCCTGCCCTTAGGTGCTGGGGCCCTAAATCCATGCACTGGTCCTATGCATTGATCAAGGTGGCTGAGGAGAGTGAAAGCATTTGGAAGAGTGGAGAGATGACAATGAGAGTCACTTCCCATTTGTATGTCCTGGGCAGGGCATACTTAGCTGCATGAGACCCAGACCACTTTCCAGGGGCTCAGATAGGTAGGCATCACCATATAACACCAATATAACACCAATAACACACATATGCTGGTAACTAACAGAATACAAGAAGCATATCTGGAGCAAGGAGCTTCAAGGGTCCTAGAGAGGAAATATTTAGTTTAGCAGTCTTCCCGGAGGAAGAGGTTTTTAAGGTGAGTCTCAAAAAATTTACACACGGGAGAAGTTGGAGAAAATACTGGTCAAAAAGTCACTCATGTCATAAAGAACTTTGGATTCCAGGCCAAGGAATTTTTCCTTAATTCAGTCTGGAATGAGGGAGATATTGTATTGCAAAGTGGCTATAAGACAGGAACTAGTCTGAAAGGTGCCCAGGTATACTGGGCCAACAAATAGTGGTTTAGAAACCCTACTAACTGGTTGGCACTGCCATCGAAATTTATCTGGTGCTTTTAGAAGATGACATTTGGAGAGAGATATGCCTAGTACAGTTTTAATGCCAAATTAATTATGTGTTTTCTAACACATTTCCAAAAACCAGTGCCAAGGTGGTTGGGTTCATTATTGTGAACCTCACTGTATTACCTTATCATTGCCTATGAATTAGAAATAAAATGCACTTGTACTTGACTGTGGTGGTACCTACACAAGTCAGGAAATTGCATAGACCTAAACACAGGCACGTACGAATACGTACAAGTAAGACTGAGGAAATCTGAATAAGATGGGTGGATCGTATCAATGTCAATATCCCAATTGTGATACTGTATTAGAGTTTTGGAAGACATTACCAGTGGGGAGAACTGGGCAAAGTGAACAAACGATTTATTATTATTTTTTACAACTGCCTGTTACTCCGATTACTTCAAGAGTTGAAATTAAAAATGTATTAATAAGACTGGGTGCAGTGGCTCACTTTTGTAATTCCAGCACTTCAGGAAGCCGAGGCAGGAGGACAGCTTGAGCCCGGGCGTCTGAGACCAGCCTGGGCAGCATGGTGAAACTGCATCTCTACAAAAAAATTTTAGAAATTAGCTAGGCGTGGTGGTGCGTGCCTGTAGTTCCAGCTATTCGGGAGGCTGAAAAGGGAGGATGGCTTGATTCCAGGGAGTCGAGGCTGCAGCGAGCCCAGATCGCACCATTGCATTCTAGCCTAGGTGACAGAGCAAGATCCTGTCTCCAAAAATAAAATAAAAAAAAAATTAAAAAAAAGGAAAACAATGTATTAGTAAAAGTTATGTTTTGTAGAAATGTGTTGCACTCAGTCACAGTCTAGTCTCCTCAGTTACCCATATATAGGGATATAGGGATTCCTCGGGCACAAAATATGTTGTTATTTAATCCTGAGGCCTCAGCTGGAAAAGAGAGCCAAGTGCCTAGAACGAATGAGGTCCACTGTGCGGGAACTGCTTTGCAGTTTGTTAAATAATTATAACAATCACCCGAAACTTTAGACGGTTCTGTCCCCAGTGGGTCGATTTTACCCGTTTTCTGATTTACCGACTGCGTCTATGTCACTTTTGCGTCACTACCTCCAATGGCAGGGTTAAAATGATTCCTTTAATAATGAAATGAAGTTTCTCAATAATGAAAGGGCTAACTTAAAGTCGCCGGATGCAGCATTTCAAAGTTTAGGAAGTTACTTTTGAAAAGTACAACCGGCAGAGATGAGTGAACTTAGTTTTTTAACTGACTTGGAGAAGACCTTGCTAGCAGGGCAGGTTTATTACGAACTCTGTAATTATCCTTCTTTGCTAAGCTAAAGGTTTTCCTTTCCCAACCGTAAGACAGATTTCGACTTGAGTGAGAGCTGTGAACTTTTATAAAAGTGAAAGGGAAGAGAAGAAATGGCAGGCTGGGAATCTGGCCCGGAGACGGCGTCCACCGCGCTCGAGAGCAACAATCTGCATCACCAGAAAGGCAACTTCTCTACCCTACACTTGCAGACTTCCGCGAGTCCGGGAGCACTCAACGCAGTCACCCGCGCTTCCGCGTCCCGGACTAGGGAAACTGAGGCACGGTAGGCGCGTCGCGCGCAACTCCCGCCTCGGCGCCTGCCCCCTGGAAGAAACCCAGGCTTCCAGAGTTCTTCGCGCGAGCGCAGGGACTTCCAAGCCGCGCAGCTCCCGTCCGCCCCGCCCCGCCCCGCCCCGGCTCGGGACAAAGCCCGGAGCCCGCGCCGGGAGACGGAGGGCGGCTCCCGCGCGAGCCACGCTCCCCCGTGGGCGCGAGACTCCGCCCAGCTGCCGAAAGCCCGCGCCCCAACGGCGAAGCAGCCGCGCCGGTCCGCCCCGATTCCCCATGACGTCACCGGCGGCGGCAGGCCCCGCCTCCAGCCCCGGGCGGCAGGCCGCATGACGTCACCGAGGCCCCACCCCTCCGGAGCGAGTTCGGTCCTGGCGTTCATTTCATTCCTGTCCTCATTCCGAACATTCTTAGCATCGCTCGCGCCGCGCCGCGCCGCCTGAGCCGAGCCGAGCCTCTGCTGCCGCCGCCGCGGCCCCGCCGCCCGCCGCGGGCGCCCACCAAGCACTTTGCAGACTCGCTTCCACCCTGCGGGCCATTCCGCGCGGCGGGGCCCGGGCCCGGGGCGGCCGCGTCCAGGCACAGGCCATGCAGTGACGCCCCCCCACCCCTCCACCTTTGCCCGGAGCGCGGGCAGCAGCCCAGCGCGCCAGCCGGCCCCGGGGCAGGAGCGGTGCTAGGCAGGGGTGGGGTGGCCGGGCCCAGGGACCGGGAGCCGGGGAGGGAGCCGGGCACCGAGCAGAGGGCGGGGGAAGCGGCGCCGAAGTTTGCCTCGGACTCGCCGGGCGCTGCGGTGGCTCCCTGGGCCGAGGTAAGTTGGCGCGCGGGGCGGATGCTGGGGTGCGGGGGGCGCACGGGGCAGCGGGGGGCCGGCGGCGCGTCCCTCGCGGGCCGCTCTTTCTTTGCGGGCTCTGCTTTGTGTGCGACGGCGGGCGGGCACGCGGAGGGCCGCGGCCGGGCCCCCACACCCGCCTCCCCGCGCCCCCTCCGAGGTGAGCGGCCGGGCGCCGCCGCGCGACTTGCCAGGACGCCAAGTTGGGCCGCGCGCTGGGAGCCCGCGCGGCAACAGGCGGCCCCCGGCCGGCCGCGCCGCGCCCCCCGCGCGCCCCCTCTCCCGCCGCCTGCACGCGCACACACGCACACACCCTCGGGCGCCTTGGACGGGGTGCGCTGGGGAGCCAGAAGTTCGGAGCGAGCGCGGGCGGGCAGAGCCGCCGCCTCGGAGCCCGGAGCCGGCCTGCACCCCCCTGCTTTCGCCGCCGCCCCCCGGCGCCGGGTACCCCCGAGGCCGGCCCGGGTCTGCGCAGACTTGTGCCGCTGGCGGGGGGTTCGCTCCTTCTTCTCAAAGATGAAAAAGGGCACGGTCGTCTTTGCCGCTTCTCCAGGACTGTTGCTGCCGCTGCCGCCGCCGCTTCATTGCACATTCAAGTGGAAAATTTTCAGGAGTCAGCAGAAACATTGTGTCCAAAAAAGACTGAGTCGCAGTTACCACCAAACCCAGGAGGAGACTCTCCCTGGAAAACTTCCCTTCCCTTTCGGTAGGAAATACTGGGGGATTTGTTTGTTGATTGGAAGAGAAATGATCCCCGGGGGGGAGAAAATCTGGGTACACTTCTAGTCTTTGTTCGTAACAGCAACACTTGTTTTCAAAAGTCCAGAGTCCCGCTTTAAAGAAAGTTTAACTTCTGTGACTTTTCTTCTTTTTAAAAAAATAACTTTTGTATTTTTAAAAAATCAAAGCAATATTTTTAATGAGTCGAAAACAATGAGGACTCACACCTCCCCTCTCATGAAAATAAATGAAATCCAGATCAGAATTTTCTTTGCTTTTAAATTGCCTTTTTTAAAAGATTTATTTAAAGTTGGATAGTGTCACTATATAAAAATATTTATGAAACAATGAAATACCAGCCACCAGCGTTTCTCAGGAGGCTTGTTAACTTCTTAGAAGCAAGTGGCTTCCTGTGATTTGCAGAAATGAAAATTGACCTCAGTGAGCCCTGGAAACTTAGAGACAGATGATGTTCCAGGAGCAGGGAATGTAAAAAGGCCATGTTTAAAAACAGTGCGTTGGAAGGAGCCCAGGTCTTGGGATAGAAAGGTCTGTTAAGCCTGCCACATTTCAAAATAGTAAAAAGAAATACTAAAAACACTACACGTATTGCAAAGGAGCAGAACCTTATCAGTTCACAACAACCACAGATTTCTTTCTCCCCGCTTTCCACCTTGGTTGTTTTTGGAAGTTCAGGTGGTCTGATGGCTTGGGGTGCGCTGGTTGCCTGCAATGGTTACCTGAGTAGACATATCCCTCCCTTCAGGGAGATGTGATCCACTGTGTAGTCACAGCCGGGAGTGGGCTCCTTTCTCTGCAGGCTGCAGTGAATCTTGCTGGTCTTCTACGGATAGGGGCTTCTCTGAGGCACAGATTGGGGAACAGTCTTCAGGCTACGCCCGGTGCTTCACCCTTTCACTGTTGGGTTTGTGCCCCGCTTCTGTAAACAGCAGGGTCTTCGGGTCCAAGCATATCTGAATGCTTACAAGGACTAGACTTAAATCCAACTTCCTTAGGAATCTTTTCCTCTTTAGAAGGAAATAGTAGAACTAATTACAAAGTGACTCAGGAAAGACAAATGGATTCGTTGAACCTTTTGTCAGTAGTGAGGTTTTGAATTGTTGAATTTTTGGGGAAAGGCTTATTTTTCTAATCTCACTGTTTCCATAAATGGTCACAGATATTTTTCTTTAGTGTTTCTTTGTGCAACTCTATGTTGAACTCTCAGGTTTCAGGTTTTAAACAGTTAACAATTCTTTTATTTATTGTTGGTATAAAAAATGAACTGATGATAAGCTATATCCATTACGGGTTCTTGCTGATGGTATCAAAATGCCAAGGTAGACTATTTTATTTTTACTTTAATGGTAAATATTATTTGATCTGCAGTTTTAGGGGAATATTAGAACTTTTTTTTTTAAAAACGAGCTTGAAACAAAACCAGTATGACACTTTGCTTTGACAATATGGGTAAAGAAAATTATAGGGAAGAATCTGTAAATTCCTCCTCTGTGTGATCCTTTATAAAGTAATGAACTGCGGGGAACATGCCTGAGAGAGATTATTGGAGGGTTGGAGGGTTTTTTTTCTTTTCTTTTCCCAAAACAAAAACCAGGACTCACCATGACATATACTTAATTAAATTTAATTTAAAGGGGGAGGACATCCCAATTTAGTTTGAGCCAGACTGATAGGAATTTCTCACTGAGAGGCTTTTCCTTGCCTTGTGGTACAATGTGTGCCCAGGCCCCAGCAGCAAACTAATTACACATAAGGGCGGGTTTGGGAGGGCAGCCTGGGGGGAGTCGGCTTCCTCCTCCCTTTCCCATTTCCTCTCTCCCCCCACTTACTTTATACAGCAGGAATTATATATTAGTATACTCACTTGGGAGACTGGAGTCCCCTTTTATTTAGAAAAAGGAACAAATAAGTCATAAGGAAAAAAATGTTCGAGTTTTTTTCCCTGCTTGAGCTTCAGCAGTTTATAAACAATTTTGTGTTTTGTTGGTTCTTAGAATACAGAGCAACAATTATGAGGGCATTTCTTAACGGGAACGTTTGGGAAGAATATACTTTTATCATCGGTGTTTAGATCATATTTGTCCTTACATTTTCAGCAGAAAAGTATATAATACGAACAGTTTAAAGCATGTAGATCCCAAATATTAAATAGACTTTTGAAGAAATGAGCTGTGACATTAACAATATTTTAAGGTTGGTTGCTTCAGAAATGGATTGATCTCTCATACGTGGTGGTCATACAAGAGCCTGGGCATTTGTGGGATTACTTTTCTCTCTAATCTCATGTGTTATGTGTTAATTGTGAGCATAATTATGCTGCCTGCAAATGAAAATTGTGTCTTATCACTCAAGGTTGGTGCAAATAACTGTATGTATGATCTGGTGGACTTAAAAATGACCATATTCACATACAGACAGTAGGTGGATAACACTTTTAAGCTCCATTTTAGGCACTTGTACCCAGTAGAGAGATTGTGAAAGGGAAAATAAATAAATATGAAAGCTGTGTTTAGAGGTCGAATCTGTTTAGTGGTAAAACTTTAGGGTCTGTTTTCTCCAAAGACTGAAGAATGTGGCCAAAAGAAGTGTCCAGATTTCTCTGTAGAACTGCAAGAAAATGCAAGCCAACCTTGTTAAATGCGAGCGTTACAGCTGCCCCTTTGGAGTTTAGTGACTGGAACTGCAAACTGCTAATGTCCAACTTTTGGACTCAGCCAGAAAAATATATTGTAAGCTTATTCCCCTTTGACAAACCTAGGCTGTGCTGCTGCTGGGCTGCTTGGGGACAGATTGATGGCTGGCACAATCTTTTATAGCTGCATGGTGCTTTTTCTTATTTTATAATAAGGCATAGATTACCTTGTGGTATTTAAGTTGCATCTAGAGTTGTGTTTGAACCACATCAGTGATACATTTTATTCTTTCATATTCATAAAAGTGATAAAATCAGGTAATTCAGGTCCATCCTACGCACTTCATATTCATGGTTGAGCTTTTTGACAGACACCTTATTTAGACCTTGTTGTATTGCAATTACTTTGTACCTCTGAAATCAGGGAAGTTCTGGGGCTTCCCTCTTCTTGGGATAGTTTGTGGAGTGCTAGTATATTTGGATCTAAATACTTGGAGTGTTTTTCTGTGGGTTTTTATTTTTTGTTTCAAAGCTGTGAACTCTTGAGTGTCCTCAATCTGTAAGATTCTCATTATGAGCTTCGTGGTCCATATTTGAATTTGGAATTGAAATTTGACCATTTTTTCAAATACATTCCAGTTTTGTAGTGGTACAGAATAGGGTAGCTTTGAAATATGTGTTTTATTTTAGTCAAAGTAAAAATGGGATGCCCTGGTGGGTGGGTTTTCAGGATGATGTTTCTTACAAGGGTAGGTTACTCTTAGCTTTTAAATTCTCCTTTGGTCCACTGATTTTTTGCATAGTTGAGAGGATTCTCAAAAAAATAGTTTCCAATAGTCCGGGAGTCTTGGCTAACTGTGAAACTCACTCGTTTCCTCTTCTTGATTGGATAATGGTAGTAGTGGTGGTGGTGGTGGGGAGTAGGGGGAAGGTCCTCGTAAAAACCTATCTTTTTTCTACCTTTGTGGCAGGCCAAGGGAAGGGTGTGTTACATGCACTACACCCACCCCGCCTTGTTTAAAACTGGTCTTTACTATCCTAATGCAATGCTTTCTATCCTTTTTCGTGATTCACATTTGTTTTGAAGGCTCTGTCCTAGGATTTCATTAGCAGTTTTAATTTGCAGGCATGGGACCCTGGAAAATGGGCTTAAAAGAAAAAGCTGGCTTATTGATGAACAAGTTAAGCATCCGTCATCTCTAATGGGAAATTCTGGTTGCTTTTAGGCATCTGACAGGTTTAGATGTATGTGTAAAGTGACTGAAACACTCTTGACTGGGAATATACAACACTGTTGTTCTTACTGATACATAAACTGAAAAACTGCTGCTAATGGTGGGAAATGTTAATTATGTGAGAACATATTGAACTTATATTCTCTGGCATGAACTTTTTTAAAAAAATGCATCAACTGTGCTGCTTTTTTTTTTAATAGGCACAGCTTTCTAATTATCATAATTCAGTTCAGCTCTGCTCTTGGATGGTGTTCAAGTGCAATCTCAATTTAACTTGAAAGGGGATTTTTTTTTTTAAACTTGGAATGTTTAAGAAAATTTGAAAAGTTCATCCAAGAATGTTGTCTGCTTAGGTGTGAGTAAATCTAGGGGAATGAAATGAGTGCCTTTCTGTAATAATTCAATAGATCCGAATATTAAGAAAGAGACTGTTTTTTTGCTTTGCTCTGTATCCAAGCATTTTTGTATAACCTGATGCTACACACTGCTGAGTTCTCTTTGAAAACCAGTGTTTTTCTAATAGATAGTAAACTAAATAAATGAATATTTTATTACCATCTGCAAAAATGGGAGTCTTCTAAGAGAGAAATACGCAATTGTTATGAATGTATTTGACAGAAATCATTGTTAATCTTTTATACCAACCAAGCCTTTAGAAGGTAATTGCTTTATCTGTTCCTTCTTTACTCTGTGACTTGATGGCATTTTGTGAAGGGAGTCGTCTTTGACGGCTTTCATCCCAGTGTCTGTATCCCTTAATTTTTCTTTGACTTTAATAGCTTTTCAAAGAAAAAAACTAAATGAAGCCCAAGCGCCTAATCCTCCAGGAATCAATTTTAATTGTAAGAAAGAACAACTTAGATGGGCCTTCCGACTTTCGTCCAGCCTGACTCCTTCTGCTGAGATGCGGAGAGCCCGCGGAAACCAAATGACTTCATTTGCTCTGGCACTTAAGAACCGAATTCACTTCCGTGGTGGTGAAATAAAAGGAGCCAAGTGTTTTAAATAGCCACTCCCCGAGGCCCGCCCGCCCGAGCCTGTTGAGAAAAGCGCATTGTCTGCTTGCAGCTCTAGCTGGGAGCCTGCCTGGCTCGCCCTCCCCCACTGGGCAGCTCCATTTCTGAAGTTGACATCTGGTTTTCTCTCTGTTCACCTGATCTATCCCCGTACACGTGCTCACATGCAGACTGCATGCATGCATTCTGCAGGTAACAGGGATTTGTGACATTAAGTGTGTGTGTGTTTCAAATCCCTACTGGGATAGGGGGAGGAACAAAGCTAATGGCACAAAATAAAATGTAAACACAGTAGCTGCCCCACATGCCGCCGCTGCTGGGTTTCTGTCTGATGGTGCTTTCTGGGTAGGCGTGCCTATTGTTATGGCAGCAACAGGCGGCAGAACTTGGGGCACCATATGGCGGATGTGGGCCTCAGATAAGCTGTCTGGTAATTTAGCTTATCAATAGCATTTTGATATGCTTCATTTTCAGATCACCCATTACTGTGGCTGGGGGTGTCTTGGGGGCTAACTGATTCTGAAACCATTGTGAGCCGATGCTTCCTTTGGTGGAATCTCTTTCAATCCTTTCTCCCTGGCTGCCTTTTCATCTCAAAGCCTTTGAGAGACAATGCTGGTTAGAGTTAGAGCTCCATTAGCTGAAGGAACCATCAGCCCCATCTTGAAATCCTGGGCACTTAGAAGACCTTGTCATGTATTGTCATTGAGAGAAAAACAGAAAACAGATACTTAATAGCATTTCATATTGTCTGAGCCGAGAAATTCTCTTAATTCAAAGTTGCTTTTGCTTTAAATATTGAAGGAGTAAGTTTGATACTGTTTTTAAATTTTGATGAAAGGTTTCTAGTTTTGTTATGCATTCAGAATACCTCCCTCATTTCCTTTCATCTTTAAATTTTACCTTAGCCGTAAAATGCAAAAATTATTACCATTTATATAATTTGAAATCAGGGAATGTGCCATTTGTAATTTGGAGGCAAGAAGCAGCTTCCTTCATGCTTAGAACTTGTGAAAGTGGAAAATGCTTCCAGAACACCACTCAAGTGTCCAGTGAAGCTGAAGCAAAACTAAAATCTCCCCTACTGATGGATTGGTAGGGGAACTCTTGCCTCAGCTGGAGCCAGCTTAGGGAATCTGCACTTAGTAGGTGGCTCAGTGGAAGTCTGATGGTGTGCATGACCATGTGCTCATCACCCATGTGACCCTCATTCACCAAATACTTGTGTCTCTGATATGTGGCAGGCATGGGGGAAGCTAGGGCGAGGCTGTCTGCCCCGCTCCTGTCTCCCGCTGCCTGCGTGTTCTCACTCACCTTTCCAGGCCCTGCACCTTTTCTCACATTTTGCCTTTTGGGTTTGTCATTCAGGGCACATAGATCCATTTACATGGCTAACTCAGGATGGTTCTGACTGAAACCCAGGTCAGCCTCTTTCTGTTCCTGCTCCAGGAAGCTCCTGCCACATCAGTGGTTCCCACCTTAGCATGTGCACTGCAGCCTCCATGGAGCTTTTACAGCCTGGGCACCACCTGTGTAGGCTTAGGTGCGTTGTGGTAGGTGCAGTGTGTCTGTATTTCTGAAAGGCCCCATCATAACATCCGCTCCTGGCTGGGAACCATTGATCTAGATATTCTAATTTTTGTCTGCAGATAGAATCAGGTTAAATTTGGCCACTTCAAATTCTGAATGTGATTTTCTTCCCTCAATATTTGTGAGGCAGTGTACCTAGGAACATAGGCTGAATCTTTATGGAATTCACTAAGATGTTCTTCATTGGTTTTAAAGATAAGCCTGCACAAAACTAAGGTCTCACCTTTCGATCCAGGGGAAGCAATAAAATGAACCAGAACCACCTTCTCTGCTCGGCATTCATTTACCTCGTGGGAGTGTAGCAGTTGTTTCCAGATGTGATTGTAGAGGTGTGTGTCACGGTTACTGGTGAGGGGCTTGAGAATGGAGTTCTGTCTGGCTGCTTATAGAGGTTTTGCTTTCTGAGTAGCAGGGATGCTCCTAGAGGTCGTTGGGTGGTATGCCTGGTGTTGGGAAATGAGGGGTAGGAAGGGTAATCCTGACGGCTTTCTGGAGATGAACTGTGGATAAACCACCCTGTTGTTCATTTTTTCCTTCCTTGTCTCTTCCCTTCACCTTGGGCACTTTGAAATCCAGATGCTCCTGGTTTTCACGGAGCTACTGCTTGCCACTGAGCGTTTAAACATTTATGGGTGCTACTGTGTGCCAGGGATTTAGTAATTAGGAAAAGGTGGCTAATGAACAGCGATCAGTAAAACTCCCCTGCCCGGCAGAGTTTACAGATTAGCAAGGAAAACAGGCATGTACAGAGGTCATGGCAATCCAGTGGGAAAGTTGTGTGTATGGTATTTCGTGAGTTCCAAGGTAACACATTTTTAACATGCTTGAACATTTTTGAAATTGGGATGTGTTTGACAATCATGGCTGGCCAGGTGGTGGTAATGACCCTTGATGTTGCATGCGCTCACCAAAGCCTGTGGAGTGAATGCAGCGGAGAGGAAAAAAATCCCAGAGTCAGTAGTGAGCATTCCTAAGAATACTCTTGTTGTTACAGAGGGTGGTAGTGTATGGACACTGATCACTCTGAGAAGTTACTTTAGCTTATGTTACCCGATTTATTTAGCTTGTATTTTCCTTTTTATGTAGGCATAAGATTGATAGAGAGTAAAAAGTTTCAATATGTATAAAATAATATTTCTAAGTGATAAGCATTGTGACATCATTTGTTTCACAGTAGTACGTCTGAAATAAAATCCTGCTGCATCTTATCGGCAGTCATGTCTTAGGGTTAGTGAAATGTTGAAACAACACGTTTGCATCTCTAGTCCTAAGGATCTGGGAGGTTATACATTGTGGATGGGTGTTGCCTTGAGGGTTGCTTTGAGGGAGTGGGGTTTTTTACACGTTTATATTTTTTAGGAGCATGGATTTCCTTATGTAACATCAGAATAAAGGGGAAACACACTCACTGGGGTAAGCCCTCATGATACATCCGAAGAGCTGTGTTGCCCTGTGGTAGGAACTGAGGAGGGCTTTGCGGAGGAAGTGATGTTGGAGTTGGGCTTTGAAGGAACAGGGGGATTTTTTCCAGATGCCATTTTGGGGGGTGAGTTGGGAGTAGGTTGTTAGAAAATAAACAAACCTTGTGAAATATTCTCCTGAGTAATGAACTTAACCCTCGCATATCGATACGGTTTGTTGCCAGTAATGGGCTACTACAGATTTGAAACTTGGCTGTGAGGAATTAATTGAAAGGAGTAGGAGGGGGGAACTGATTGACATGAACAGTGGGCTGTTTCCTGATTTTGGTTTGGAAAAAGGATAATGTGGGTTCAAAATCACAGATTTGGAATTGGACACACGTTGGCTCAGCTACTTGCTAGTGTGGCCTTGCACAAATTACTTGTTCTCTGCAAGCCTCGGTGTCCCCATCTATAAATTTCAGTTGTGCCCACTATATACCAGACACATGGTGTGGTGAATGCTCAGTAAATAGCAACTTCAAATGTCATGTTGCATAATAGATCTTTAAGGATTTTCTGCCAAGTCACCCTGGACAGTGACCCTTGAGGAACACCCAAGGCTGAGGCATTTACTTAGAATCTGAGCCGGATTCCTGGTCTCAGGCAAACAGATAGAAATCTAGGAGAGGCTGAGGCAAGCCCATAAAGCCCTTGACCATTAATCGCTTTGAACCACACGTCCCTTATTCATAAAGTGGAGGAAATCCATCAGTAAATACGTAATATTTGAGGTCATTCCTTACCCAGTATGAATTAAATGGAAATGCTTCAAAAACTGGATAGCATGGTGCAACTTCATCTGTCTAAAAGAAAACCTTTTCCTTAGCTTCTTGCTTGAAAGCCACACTCCTAACATTGGGGTTGGGTTGTAAAAGTTCTTTTGTAAGTGGTTGAATGGAACTCATCTTTTCATAGCAAAACAATGCTTAGGGTCTTCGGCCTTCTTGTAAAACCATTGCATAATCCCCCCTGGGGTGCAGAGGGCATTCAGCTTCAGGTGCGGAGAAGAAAGGTACTTTTGCTGCCCTCATTGCACCTCTTAATACCTGCTTTGGGCTAGCTGCTTAGCTTCTCTGTGCCCGCAGTTTCCCCATCTGGAAAATGGGGATGATGTTATCTACTTGGAAGAGTTGGAGTAAAGTTTAGATTAGGTAAGTGCTGGCTCGGTAGGCTAGAGCTGTAGGTGTGGCTGCTGTTAAAACCTAGGCCATTTGTTTCTCTCAGTACTGCAAGCTCCAGAGATAAATCTTTGCCCCTCTCCTAAGACTCGCTTCCTCTGGGCCTTAAATGTCACTCAAATAATAATTCACACTCATGTGAATGAATGGTTGCCCATCTCTTTAGCCAGTGTATTTGCATGTTTAAGAGGATGGTTGTGAATTCCAGTGCCTAACTCCAGGTACTTCCTGGGTAGATGAGCTGAGTTCCTTCTGGAAGCTGGTGATAGAACCTTGTGTTTTCGAAGTCAGCTGGCTTAAGCTGGTCCTGCTCTGCTCACATTCCCAGCTACACTTCTGGGTGTGTCAATGTCCCTGTGTTTTTAGATCTGGGCCACTCCTGGTGACTGGTCTGAGCAGTTAAGATTGCTTTGTGTGAGCCTGGGCCAGGGACCACCTGCATTTTATTGACATCTTTTCCTTTTGTCTCTTAAGCAGTGTATAGACATGTGTGCTAATTAATCTGGTTTCCCAGTTCTTTAAAAAAATTAAAATGAAGACTTATTGAGGGAGGAGAGTAGTCTGGTTGAGGAGAGAGACTTAGATTCAGGCAGGCTGACAGTGGATGAGGGGAGAAAATATATTTAAAAGCACTTATTCACAACCCTGGGAGTCTACTAAAATTACTGAATTACATACTTCAAAAGGGTGAACTTTATGGTATGTGAATCATATCTCATAAAGAAATAAAACCCTGGATCTAGTCACCACACAGAACAGCATCTTGTCATGCTCACCATGGTATCCCCAGCACTCTGGCTGTCATGTTTTTCGGTGATCGAGTGATTAAAAACTGATAATCAGACCTAATAAGAAGAGTTTCTACCAGTTGGTTTTAGAGAGGAGCCAGGAAAAAACATATAGTTCGTTTCAAAGATAAACAGTAGTAGTATTTAAAATGAAACTTTTTTACTTTAGAAATAATCAGTTTCAATAATGTGGAATGATGTGCTCCCTAATGATAAATGTTTACCATGGTAACCCATCCTTATGGATTGTACTTTTAAACAATCCAGTAACTAAGTCATAAAGGATAAAGTGGGAGATCATGAAGAGGAGACACCTGGAAGGCATGGGAGGCCACAAATCAGTCATTGAATCTGATTTGCAGATTGACTTAAGAATGGGAGAAAATGGACCTAGAATCAGGTTAATGTGTACCTCAAGTTTCAGGCTCTGCTCTACCTAGCTTTTTTCTTAATTTTAACCTGGTCTTCCTTGTTCCTGTGTCCATCCACCAGATCCTGGCTGCCTTCCTCCTGGTTACTGTTTGTGGCAGTTTTGCCTATTTGTATTTTCGACAGGGCTGCCCTTTATGGTTCCCCATGGCTGAGTACCTGTTTGCCTGGTATAATCCTGGTTTATGTTGCTTGTCTTGGCATAATCCTTAAAGAACCCTCCTTTACTATCAAAATGTCCCAGTTTGGATGATAAATTATATGCCTATGGTACTAATAGGAAATTGTCAGGGAAACTGGCAGACTAGACTTTTCTAGAATGGAGAGAAAATCCCAGGCAGGAGGGCTTTGTGGTGTCTTGGTATTGAGCTCATGACAGTATTACTTTTGAAGGATTGTCCCAGGCCATTTCTGAGGCCACAGCTACAATAGAGGGGAATTTCAGGAAACAACTTTCCCTTCAAACCTGTGCTATTTCAACCAAATTGTTTCAAACCTTGTTCTTTTCTGTGGATGCACTCATAAGTATTTTTTTAAAAATAATTCTCATCATTCATAGGAATGATTCAGCATTGGTTCATTTCCTTTTAGACCAAAAAAGTTTAATTTAGAAAGAAGTTTTTTTTTTAGTGGTATTCTGAAAGGTTGGTTTGTACTGTATGAAATTGGGGGATTTCAGATTATATTTTAGAACCTGTGGTCTTGGCACTCTTGACATTCTTAGGTTTCAAACTCACTTACCTTTGTTCTGAGGGAGACTGTGTAATGATGTCCTATGATGCACCTAAATAGATAAGCCAGAGAACATTGAGTGGAATTTTAGAAATTTTAAAAGAAATTTTAGTACTTTTAGAACTTTGCCTAAAACCAAAAGTAATTGGAATGACACTGCTCAGTTCCTGGTGGTTCTTTTGACACCACTGTTTAGTTATTTTGTGATGTGCCTTAGGCAGTGACTTCGGGCAGGAGTGGAGGTGTTCAGTCCAGTGTTTCAGCTCTGACCAAAACAATGGCGTCTAGACTTTGTTGTTGAGAACTCTGGTGGAGAACTGTTACCTTGTTGGGGTGGTTCACTGGGAGAAGGCATTTGAGGGTCCTCCAAGTGCTGGGTCTTGGTCTCTCCACTTCTAGCTCGTGTGGAAGGAAGTCCTGGTTGGGAATCCTCTGCTATGGCTCTTCCTGTGACCTTAGGTAAATCATTTGAAAATCTTTGGTTTATCTTTCTGGGAAGATGATGCTGTACTGCCTCTTGCCCCTCTAGCTGTTTTTTGTGCTGTGCTTTTGATTAAAGAGAGAAAATGTGTGAGCCCTTAGGCAGAAAGGTCCTGGAAAACTTATCTTATCATACCATCCATAACCCTCAAAGACAGGTTTTGTGGAGGAGGAGCAGTACTGCTGAGTTCACTTTTAGTTGTGCTCATTCCTGGGCTTCTTGGATAGGAAGGGAAGGCTGACAGGCCAGGTTCTGTCTCAAGCCCATATAAGAGTTGAGTTGCAATTGTAGTTGAAGAAGGTGAAGCTCAGAGAAGTTTAGTGACCTACCCAACATCACACAGCTGCACTTTAAAACCAGTTCTTTATCTGTGTGACTCCACAGCTGTCAGGCTAACAAAGGACTGCACATCAAGTCACCTATCCGGTTTTCTTGTGGCATTTGAAGGGAGTTAAGATAGATTGTGACATTGAAACAAAGGTAGGCTTCTCATTTAGTGTATTTGCCCAGAAAAATGAGGACACAATACTTGTGTTTTCTTGGTGGCCCATTTTACTCCCTCTTACAAACATATGGCTAAGGTCTTGAAAAGTTGGGTGTGTCTCAGTTGAGCCTTTCAGAGATTACTTATCCTGCCCCATTCACCTCTCCCCTGTGGTTTCAGTCCTCCAGGACTGTGGGGACCAGTACCCCTCACCCCCGTGACTGGTTATACTCACCGTTGAGAGAGAGGGGGCAGGACTCCTCCGGGCCAGGCTAATCCAAACTATTCTCTAGGTGGGTGTAGTGGGTAGGGGGACTGCTGTAGTTTGGAAGTTTGGAACTGGACCTGCCAGTTTATCTGGTTTTGCTTTGGAATGTGCTGTGTTGGCAGGCAGGCAGAATAAGTTAGCCCCCTCCATCACCCTGTAGGCCTGGATATGGAAATGGCCTCATGCTGGGGATAGGGTTTAGGCAGATGACCTTGACTTCACTTTTTGAGAATGGGAGTGCTTGGGAACCTGCTGAGATGGGGTGAATTTCTCTCTTCCCACCCAGGTGACCAGCTTAGCCTGTGATAGGTGATGGGCAGTGATGGGGGCAGCTGGCAGAAGAGAGTTAACTGTGCTTGCCCAGAGCCCTTCATAATCAGGACTCTGAAAAAGACACTGGGTCTTTGAAATGGGGTTGTTTACAGGGTTGATACCCCTCTTTGACACCTTGGTTGGTTTTTGGTGGGAGGCAGTGGGGCTGGTTGATACAATCTTTTCCTCCTGTCTACCTGTTTCTGGTGTCTCTCAGCTAAAAGGTGTGTGATCACTGATTGCCAGTTTTTAGGACTCTGTGCTCATGACTTTCCCCGCTTCCCAACTTGCTTGTACCTTCTTAGTCTTCATGCATTTCTTAAATTCTTCCTAGGTGGTTCTGTTGGCTGTTTTGGTGTTGTCCTAACTGTGCAGTTCTTACTAGTGCTTGGTGTATTCAGTAAGGTAGCCGGAAAGCATGGCTTGGAGGTCAGATCTTGGTTGCAGCCCCAGTTCTGCCTATTGGCTGTGTGATTTTGAGTAAGTGATTAACTCTATCTCGGCTTCTTGTTTCCTCCTCTGCAAAATGGAGAAAATAATAGTACTTCTCCACATGTGAGTTTAAATGAAATATAGCGAATGACCCACTGTCAGCCTCTCTGTTGGTTCCCCCAACCCATTGAGAAGTCTCTTGCTTCCTCCACTCTCCAGTTTCTCAGTTCAGGGTCCTGAGGTTTTCCTCCCGAATAACATAGGCTGGTCTGACTGGGGGTCATTTATTTGCCTTTTCGTCTTCCTCCTTTGGGTTTAGTTTTAAGCTTTGCCCCAGCTTCCCCTCTTGCTGGATTTCCTGCTTTGTTGTTTTTCTGTTTTTTTTTTTGTTGTTGTTTATTTGTTTGTTTTGTTTTTAAATTTTTAGTTTGACAGGCTATTTCCCTTTTGTTTTCATATTTTCTGTTGTCTCTCCCTCCTCCCTGGAAAACACATCCACCCTTCCTGCCTCCACTTTTCACCCTTTCTCCTCTGCTCTTATCACTTTAAGATCTCAGAGACTCTACCCTGCAGTTCACTACATTTCACCAAAAATGGTCATCAGAAAAGCACCACTTCTGCTCTCTTTAACACTGGATTGAATCTGTTGGCTTATAGAGTTCCCAGCACTCTTGATAGTTGTTACTATTTTGGAATAACATAACTCATTCTCATCCGCATTATGCTTATGAACTTGTGGAATGACACAGGTTTCCTTCACTTATCTGTTTGACCTTGGGCAACCTCTTTATCCTTCTGAAGCACAGTTTCCTAACCCCTGAAATGGACATAGAAGTGCCTTCCTTATGGGTTATAGTGCAGGTTCAGTGAGGGTGAGCACAGTGCTGACTCGCGGAGAAGTGTCTCATAAATGTTAGCTGCTGCTGCTAATTATGATTGTGACTACCATCATCCAGCAGCTGTGAAGTAGAGTGCCAAGTACCTCTTCTGTAGCATCTGTCTCTCTTTTTGAAGGAGGGGGTCAGGAGCAGAATCTTATTTTTATTTTAGATTTTCAGTGTCTTTGCTTTGGGAAAGTTTAGTACAGTAGAGGGCAATTGAACCCCTGTGCACCCATTATCACCCAGCAGCAATCATCACCTCATGGCTATTCTTGTAAACTCCTGGCTCCTCTCCCACCAGATTATTTGGAAGCAATCCTAGTTGTCATACCGTTTCATCTGTAAATTAGTACATATTTTAAAAATATGACTCTTTTTAAAAAAAAACAACCAACTATTGATACCGTGATCACACCAGCACTGTAATAACTCCTTAATGTTGGCCGGGCACGGTGGCTCACTCCTGTAATCCCAGCACTTTGGGAGGCCGAGGTGGGCGGATCATGAGGTCAGGAGATCGAGACCATCCTGGCTAACATAGTGAAACCCCGTCTCTACTAAAAAATACAAAAAATTAGCCAGGCGTGGTGGCGGCCGCCTGTAGTGCCAGCTACTCCCGAAGCTGAAGGCAGGAGAATGGCGTGAACCCAGGAGGCGGAGCTTGTAGTGAGCTGAGATTGCGCCACTGCACTCCAACCTGGGCGACAGAGTGAGACTCCGTCTCAAAAAAAAAAAAAAAAAAAAAATAATAAGCCCTTAATGTCAAATATCTAGTCACTGTTTGGATTTCCTTGATTGTCTCATAAATGTTTTTTCATAGTTGGCTGGTCTAGATGAGGGTCCCAAACCAGATCAACAGGTTATATTTGGTTGCTGTGTTTCTTAAAACTCTTTAAATCACATCCCCACCTTTCTTGTAATTGATTTGTTACAGAAGCCCCTGTGTTTCTCTTCTAGACTGCCTCGTTCTGGATTTTGCAGTTGTATCTCCATGGTGCTGTGTATTTTATTCTCTTATCCTCTGTATTTCCTATAAATGGGAAATTTAGATGTTGACATTTGATCTAATTCAGGGTTTTTAAAAACTTTTTTGATGCAAATATTTCATAGCTAGTATTCTACCAGGAGGCACACAATGTACAGTGTCACTTTTTCTGTGATGTTAGTGCCATTGATTGATGATCTCTGCCTGTATCTATTATTTCATGTAGTTTTTGCAAACTGGTGGTTCTCTGATACTCTAGTTCTGTTTTTGGAGACAGGTCTCACTCACTGTGTCACCCAAGCTAGAGTGCAGTGATGCGATCCCGGCTTGCCGTAGCCTTGACTTCCCGGGCTCAGGTGATCCTCTGACCTCAGCCTCCTAAATAGCTGGGACTGTCAGTGCGCCACCATGCCTGGCTAGTTTTTTAGTTTTTTGTAGAGACAGGGTTTCATCACTCAGGCTGGTCTGAAACTCCTGGGCTCAAGCGATCTGCTCACCTCGGCTTCCCAAATTGCTGAGATTACAGGCGTGAGCCATCTCACCCAACCCATTCCTCTTTTTATGGAGAAGGTTTCTCTTAGCAACTATATGGTTAACCTAGCATATAGTTTGTAAAGGAAAGATAGTTTTTTTTTGTTTTGCATATCATTAGGCAATCACTGATTTTAAATTATTGAATGCGTTTCAGTCCATTGCAGTTCCTCCTCTTACTGATGCTCAAATTGTTTCATCTTTGGCCAGTGGGAATTTCTTTAGTTGGCTCCTGTGGCCTTTTGATGTGACCCTATTAATAGTCTTTTATAGTTTCCTTGCTGTCCAACCTCTTGTGTATTCTGGGAGATAGAATGAACCATTTCTGCAGAGTTTGGGTTCCTTTTAGTGAGAAATGGAGTTTCTAGGCTATGATGTGTGTGCTAGGTTCTCTGCTTTTTTTCTCCTCCCACTCCTTCAGTTGAATAATCTGCTCACCTTTGGAAATGGATCCTGCCTGCCATGTCAACTCTAATCGTGGTAAAAGCTTTCCTTGCACACTTGCTCATGCCTGGCCTCTTTGGCTCTCATTTGCCACTTTCATGCTTGTGCTTGTCATCTTGTCCTTTCCTCCCTTAAGAAAAAGACCAAACTGAAGAATTACCATGGATGGTTTGTGGTTTGACTTGCCTCCTGAAGGCCAAAGCTCATGTTAATGTAGGCTTCACAGAAGTCTTTAGTCATTGCCTTCATCATGTCTGCCTGATAGTTTGTTCTATTCCTTGTATACATAACCAGGACATGAGAGATTCCTTATCTTATTACCACCGTGAGCCATTCAGGCTGCAAGCTGTATTTCGATGGTATTGTTGGGTACGTTTGTACTCATCTGTTTCAATAAATATTGATTGAATTAAGCTTTGTACTTCTTCTCCAAAGTGTTTAAAATAGAATGTATTTAATGTCCTAGTCATTTAAAGAATTTATCACTAGTCTATTATTTTTATAAGCTTAAATAAGTTAAAGATTTGTAGTTTTAGATAGATTTATGCATTGGATCCCTAGTTGTAACATAGCTATTGTTTTAGTGCTGCGGGCCTATAGTAGTAGGCCTGCAAGTCTAAGATGAGTGTTTTTTATTTAACAAGTCTGCTATTAAACTTATTTTTAGTATTATAATTTCTGTCTTTGCTTCTTGGAAATTGTTTTATGCCCATGTTGGTGCATCATAGACTATGCACTTAGGCCAACCACCCCCCAGTCCCCCCAGCAAAGCAGGGCTCATTTTAAAGACACGCTCTAATGCTTTCTTCAGAGTTTCCATTCAGACCTACAGTTTTAGCTTCAGTAATACTTTTTTGTTTTGTTGGTGAAACAAAGCTGTATGCGTTCACAGTGCAGCCAACACAGTCTCATGACGGCACAAGTGAATAGTCCTGAAATTATCATCATTCTCCACACCACTGAGAAGTTAACCAGCATCCTGGCCTGGGAAATTTTGGATACACATTTAATGCCCCTCACCCACCACCCCGGCTTTTTTTTCTTTTTAAAGCCGCAAGCTTAATGTAATGGTTCCTCTGTATTAAAGGAAAGTACAGTATTGTAGGGGTTTATTTCCCCCCCGCCCCCGCTTTCCTCCGTGGGCACTGAGAGTAGGGGGAAGAGCCCCGTAATTCACAAGGCAGGCTTCTGTGCCCCGCGGTAAACTCAGTTTCACAAAGGGAATTTTCATTATGGTCCTGTGGCTCCCTAACATAGTGGAGGCTTCAGGAGGCAAGTGGTAAAAGCTACCAAAGAAAAAGCTGGACTGGAGCCACTGACGTCATGTCAGTAAATCTGCTGGAGGAGCCCAGCCATGCAGCGCCTGCCAGCCGGCCCCTGCACTTTGGCCTTGCCTGGTCAACTGTTCTTACTGCTTCCTCCACCCCCACCCCACAGAACAGCCTGTGTTTTTTGTGTTCTTTTCCCCCTTTTCCTTCTGTGCAACTGGGCTGTGTTGAAACCCATAAAGGCTTTTGAAAACCACCCCTACTGGTCCTGTGCTTAATGTCTTGTGTGGGGATAGTGGGGAGAACCCAACAATCCATGAATGAGGGAGGCTTTAAAAGTTTTTTCTAGTGGGGACCTCTTTGTGATGAATAAATCCACAGGGAACATCATGGAAAGCAGCCAGAGGTGCGAGCCCCTGGTGCTTAGTACTTTTAAAGAACTTCGCTTTTAAGTCCTGGGCTGTGTGCACATGTGTGTGTGCGTGTGTGCATGCGCACAGTAAAGGACAGAGAAGGCCAGTCAGCACATGGGTGGAAATACAGAATTTCAGCCTTCTAGCAGAGGATGATTTAAGAGAATGAGTTCCAATGCGAGTCCTTTATTACCCATTAATCATTGGTCTGCTCACTCTGAACTCTGGTTTGCAACTGGAACAGTTAAATCTTAAGCTACATGCTTCTGTACATCCTGGATATTTAGAGTCACAACCCCAGATGGGCCTGAATTAAAATATTGCTGTGCTAAATCTATTTTTACATCTAGGGGAATGACATCTAAAAATAAACCTTATCCCACCTGTTATCCACTTTTGGGAAGTTGAAACGCTGTTAAGTCGCAGCCCATGGATTAAGCTTTGATGACGGCTTCCCATGTGATGCCTGCATTCCACTTTTCCTGCCACTGGCATGATGTTTTCATTGTTTCGGTAACCGTTGTCCTCCTGTTTATTTTGCTGTGAATATTCATTTGCAAATAAGAGTGAAGCATAGGTTCAGACTGGTTTTGATTTTCCTGAATCTTAGGGTCAGAAACATATTAAAAGCAGTATCTTATCCATGAATCATGAGATGAGTCAGTTCCTGAAACCACTACAAGCCTCATAGTTCTTGGCTACAAGCAAAGGCAGGAAATCCAGGCTTCAATAACTTCCTTTCCCAGTCCTGGCTATAGCCGCGTTGGTGGTTAGGTTCTGCTGCCTGCCTTTGTAAGCGGTAGGAAGATGTATGTCTGAGGAACAAAGGCACTTGAGTCAATTTACTGAAACTGTTTATAATTTGTGGTCTTGATCTGAATGTCAGGCTGCGTTGGCACACCCTGCTCTGCTGTGCGGCCCGGCACAACTCAGCCAGGAAAGGCGGCAGGCTGAGTCCGGGGAAGTGCCCCAGCAAACACATGGCAAATGTTTCAAGGGGCTTTAGTGTTCCAGTGAATCCTAAAACTAGGGGACATGCAAGCCGACACTAGGCAGAAAGCTCTGGATTCCATATGTATAGTTGAAGTATCGACTCTTTGTTTGTTCTTCACTTGAGAGAAAGGAGAGAAAAAAGAGAGAGAGGGGAGAGAGACGAGAGAACAAACTAACACACTCGCCAGCCTGCCAAGCTCTGGCCTGTCTCTTGCTTTTACTTGCAGTTTACTTCCTTATATACAGGGTCCTCTTTTTTTTTTTTTCCTTTTGCAGTGTTTCACGCCAGTCTTCCTGACTTCAGAATCAGTTTTATAACTGTTTTATTAAATATTTTAAAGAGTAAGGGAGAAACACGAAGTTGTCTCCCAATGTTGGGTCTGCTGTGACTCGTATTTATTTTTCTCCTTTATGAGCAGTGCCCACTTTGTGTACGTACCCAAGTCAGAGCAGAGTTGGGTTGGTGTTTCTGTGTGAAGTTGGGACTCACTGTTGCTTTGTGCTTTACTTGTGAATTTATGAGCTTTTTCAATCTTGAGAAAAATTAAAATTGAGTGTGACTCATTTTCATTTACCAACTCTTACCTTCTTTTTCTACGCTAATTGGTGTTAGCTAGCGTGGGATTTGAGAAAATGGGACTGAAATGAGACCCTTCTCCCCCCTACTGTAGGTTTATATGGAGTCATTGGAAGTTCTGATAGAAGTCTAAAAATAGCATGGGTAGACAAACCCTGTGAAAAGACACTGAGGAAGATGGAAAAAAATTTGAGATGATGAGCAGTTAGATATTGATGCTACCTTTTAAATTGAGCTTGTTTCCAATTCATAGCTGGCAATAGCTCAGAAAGGTCAAATTCTATTTCAGCCTTTGTAAAGAATAAAATAAAAGCAAATGCAAAAGTTTGCCTGGCTTTTTAATCAAGTGTGGCTAATTCAGCGCACAGCCAGGCTGGCGAGGGCCACTTCGTTCTTACTTGTCGTTTGTATTTTGTGTTTGGGTAATTTTCTGTTCAACTTCAGGCCTCACTAAAAGGCTCTGATAAGCTGTTGAGAAAGTCGGGCTCATTTTGATTTTAGAGGCTTGACTGAGAGTCATAATTTCTGGCTGTGGTTCTCCAGATTTCAGGCTGGTACAAAAACTCCTTAGTCTTAGGTGAGTTTCTTTGGAAATCACTGTGAAAATATATTACTCTCATTAACATGTAAATAGTCACTGTCTAAACTTGGAGGAGATTTTTCCTTATGTTAAGAGAGGTACAAATCCAGTTATTTTTATTTGTCCTTCATTGATCTGACAGTTAACTTCTTTTTCATGTAGATTTCAGGCTGGGATTAGAGACTGAATCTTGAATTGCTTATCGTCTCTAGACCAAGTTGTTCGGGGCCAGGGATTGATTAATTAATTAAAATCAATGTAAATGGATTTGTAAGCCTCCTGTAACAGATTATCCTATTAGCAACCACACAGAGCACAGCCCATGATCTGTGAGGAATGTTTGTTGCCTTAAGTGAAATGGACCCAGACTGATGGACTCTTTGGGGTTACTTTATGAAAAACCCAGTGGCTTTTGTAAGGAAGGGGCCTCACTTAACCTTTACACTGAACAGATATTTCCTATAGATGGCAGATTATTTTATTTTCTGAGCCTGCCCCAGAAGGCTTGAGTTCTGTTTGTGTGTTGTGTGAGTTTCTACTGTGCCTGTGTCTCCCCAACCCTTGCATTCATGCCGTCCAAGACCTTGCCATATTTTAGCCAGGTTCTGCCCCCTTTCAGGTGAGATTCCTGCTAAGAACTCTTCTCTGAAGAAAAAAGGAGGAACCAGAAATACATTCCTATTTGATAGCAACAAAGTGGTTTTTTCCTCCAACCCAGGCAACCAACAAGCAAGCAAGCTACAAAGAAGACAGTTGCTTGTTATTTGAGGCTCTGACTGTACAGCTGTGCCTCCTTAGAGTGGTTAAGAAGACAAGATGATACTTTAGGAAAACTTTGTGGATTTAACAAAGGTCGGAGTTCATTCAGTGGCTGTCATGTACATTGTGTGTGTTTTTTTGTTTTGTTTTTGTTTCGTAATTGTGTTGGACAGGTAGATACTTTCTATAGTAGGACCAGCTCACCCACCTTTTCTTGGATCAAAGTGGGGCTATCTGAGCCAAGTTGAGTTAAACTCTGTCTCCTGCCTCTTTTGGGATTGAGATAGCAATCCCAGTTTGTCTTTGATGCTCACACTGTAGTTCAGGGAGACCCTAACTGGGGAGTAGATGTTTGACCCATGGGTATAGAGAAGTGTGGAATAAAGCCACTTTGCAGAGAGACAAGGAAACACAGTTGTGCTGAGGACGAGACAAGAGACCAAGGGAATAGTCTCATTTCCTGATGGTTTTCTATTTCCTGGTTTCCATCTCTTGTGAGGGTTGGCTGCAGTTTCTGATTCAGGGGTCTTCAGATGGACGCCTTGGCCTTATAATGAACTCGTATTCCCTTACCGTTTTTTCCTACCTTAGGTTAGTGGGAGTGGGTTTCTGTTAATTGAAACCAAATGGTGTTTGGCCGACTAGTTTGTTGGGAAATACACCCTGCGTGCTGTCCTAGGGAGGCCCCGTTCAGCAAAGGGAGCTCCATTTGGTTACATGTGCCTTCTGCTTGGTCAGCCATGCAGGGCTGCTCCCCTCAGCAGATAGAGCTGTCCTGGACCCTGTGCTCTCCTGTGTATTGGGTTTGAGGGAACTGACTCCGGTTCCTGGACTGTCTAGCTAACTGGGGAACAAGAAGGGCTACCCACTTCCACCCTGTCTCAGACTGGAACATTTCAAGGCTTGACTTAGTCCTTTCTGCTGCCTGGTGTGCCCTGTGGATTTAGGCTGTGTGGTGCTAGGTTCAAGCATGGCAGGTGAGGAATTTTCCCAGTCGTGCCTGGGGGCACTGAAGAGTTCTGGTTGGCTGAGCACGGGGAAAGCAAGCCAGGTGTGTCATTAGACCTGAGTGTCCTGCCTGGTGGTACCACCCCTCCCTGCCCGCCCATCCCTGAGCAATGTGGAAGGCATGCTGTCAGTGGCCTTTGGCAAGTGCTTCCCTGTGATAAATCTGAAAAATAAAAAGTGCACAGGTGAGTACTTCCTCTGTTAGGGAATCTCGAAAATCAGAGGATTTTATTAGCAAATGGATTATATAGCAAATGCCTTTCTCAAGGAGACCAGTATGGTTGGGGACCCAAAGGGGTGGTGTCAGAATAAAAGCCTGCCCAGAAGGGGGTGCGGTGGCAGTGTCAATAAGCAGGGAGGAAATTTAGATGAGACTTGAGAATTTTAGATAACAGAGTAAAAATTATTTTAGAGGATAGATTTTTTTGGGGAGGAAAACCCCTACAAGTACATTAGCAGATGTACATACATGCAATATTAGTTTGTTGGCATCTTCTACAAATTTGAAGCCATTTTTACTTGAGGCTCAATATAACATGTTTTACTTGTTTTGTTGGTGAAGTTTGGTTTGTATATTTAGGAAGTGGAAATATGGAAACTCTGTGCTTTAAATTGAGAGGGGTACAGTGAAAGAAGGGGGGTATGTAGAAAGTTCTCAGAATAGAGGGCTGGGCGTGGTGGCTCACGCCTGTAATCCCAGCACTTGGGAGGCCGAGGCGGGCGGATCACTAGAGCTCTGGAGTTTGAGACCAGCCTGATCAACATGATGAAACTCCGTCTCTACTAAAAATACAAAAATTAGCCAGGCATGGTGGCAGGCACCTATAATCCCAGCTAGCTGGGAGACTGAGGTGGGAGAATCGCTTGAACCCAGGAGTCAAAGGTTGCAGTGAGCCAAGATCACGCCACTGCACTCCAGCCTGGGCAACAGAGCGAAACTCCGTCTCAAAAAAAAAAAAAAAAGGGCCCTCAGAACAGGGACCAGAGGGGTTTAGACTTTTATAAGTGTGTTTCTTCTGGTCATCACAGATCTAATAAAAAATAACATGTTCATATGATGCTTTAGAGTTGACAGAGCTTTTTCAGTCGGGTAACTCTTTGATCTCTCACAACTTGGTTTGTGCAAGTGAGGAAGCGGGGACCGGGAGGTGAGGAGCCTTGCCGTGAAGCCATGGCTGAAATGCTTCCTGCCATGCCTGCTCCTTCCTTGCTGCGCTCTCTCTTTTTTGGTGGGAGGATTATGTGTTAGGACAAGGCTAGGGGAAAGGTGAAGTGGGGGTGGAGGATGGAGGGCAGGTGGGGTCTGGAGATGGTAAAGGAATTGTTTAAACTACCAGAGCAGATGGGTCTCTCTGCAGTATTCAGAGCACAGGCAGAGCAGGAAGGGACTCAGATGTGGTTTTCAGACCAGTGAATATTTTTGTCACTTAAAGAGGGTTTTTTTTTTTTTAAATATTGATTCCTGCTGTTCATCCTGGATCTTCTAAATCTTAATCACTCATGGTGAAGCTTGGGTGATTGAGTGCTCTGAAACCTTACCAGCTGATCCTTAGGAGTCCCATTTGATTCTAGCCCCGTGTCTCTTTAACTAGAAAAGTTTGAGAATTTAGGTCTCAGCATGTCCTGGGAGCTTATTAGAAATGCATAATATGAGATCCCATCCCAGACCTGCTGAATTAGAATCTGCATTTTAATAAAATTCCAGGTAATTAGGGCATGCGCATTAAGTTTTGAGAAGCATTGCTATAAGATGCTTCAGGGAAACTTCAGGGAGTGTAGCTGGGGTAATTTCACATACTCTTTCCAGGTTTGTTATTTGCCTTTTGACTTACCTTATATAACTTTTTCATGCAGAAATTAGTTGTAAGTTGGATTTATCAGTACTTCCTTTATAGTTTCTATGTTTTTTATTTGCATACTAAAGACTTGCCTATTCAGAAATTACTGGAGAAAAGTCCTCCAATTTAAAAAAATGAAATCATGGTATATTTTATATAATTGGATACGTCTCCAATTTGTTTGGACTGGTATAAGGAGCGAGGTAGGAATCTAGACCCAGTGGCTGGTCACTTGTCTCATCACTGTATCTTTCACCATTTATTTTTTTTCATTGGTTTCTTCATGGATCCACACACTAAATTCATACATGTTTTATTATCCACATGTTGAATTAATTACTGTAGCTCTATAATGTGTATACCTACCTATTTCTCATTACTCTTCTTTTAAAGATTTTTTTTTCCCTAGCTTTTCTCATCGGTTTATTTAATGAATTGTAGAAACCGCTTGTCTGGTTAAAAAAATTCCAGAAGCTGTTTTTACTGGAGTTGTATTACATTTGTAGAATAGTTTACCTCATTCTGTTTTTTAAATAGTTTTACCTTTTCTAAATTATATACACCAATAGTACTTCAGAGCATTTTTCAGTTAGAGTCATGCCAGCCTTTGCAATGGAATTTTGAAACTTATATCTTCTGTGGGGTTATTCATAGAGACTTTCCACTTATTCTGTATCACTGCATCCTGTTTATTTCTCTCAATAAAACTAGTGTATCTGATTTACTCACTAGATTATAAGCCTCACAAGGGAAGTTTCCATGTCTCTTTATTTACCAGTGTAATTGCTCAGTGTCTAGAAAACCTCTGGTACATAGATGCCCAATACATATTTGTTGAATGAATGAAATTTCGGTAACCAGAGACTCTAGCATTGCAGTTGAAGATCGATGACATGTCGAATTGTTTGGATTTGGATCCCAGTTTGAATTCAGTGCACCTTTTGAGATTATTGTGCAGTCTTTTGGGGGAAGTGTTCCTTCTCTGCCATTGAATTGAGGATGGACCTGGGAATGTTTTGGTCTATGAGACTTGACAGTTGGTGTGAATTCATTGTGAAAGTGGAGACTGATGACCCAGCACAGGCGTTGTCAACCCACACATTATTTGGGAAATAATGCTGTGAATCAAATCCCACAACTTTGATTCAACAGCATCTCCCTTTTAGGTCATTCTGGTATTAATTTTTCTTTTAATTAGGAAAAATAAAATATTTCTGCAAAGAACTTTGTACCTTTTTTTCTATAATTAGAGATCCCTTAGATAAATTAGCATCACCCATTTAAGCCCTTTTGTTTTAGGCACAAATACCCAACCTGTGTGCTACTTATGGACAGGAATGGAATCTTCATTCATTTTTATAACTCTTAACAACTTTGGACTTTTTCTTCCATAACTAGAGATCCCTTAGATAAATTAGCATCATCCATTTAAACCCTTTTGTTTTAGGTACAAATACCCAACCTGTGTGCACTTTATGGACAGGAATAGACTCTTCATTCATTTTTATAACTCTTCACCAGGTACTCAAGGTTTAAATAATAAGAGAAACCAAATCATAAACATACAGTACATTCTAAAATTATAAATTAAAAAATGATGTTATACCTGTGGGGTGCAGTGGAAACGAGTTTTGCGTATATTTTAGTTTCTGCTACCCTTTTAAAAGCCACATTGATCTTAGAAACTTTTTTTTCTATGATAGGAGGATTTCTAGAAATTATGCTTCTTAACTCTCATTTATTTTCCCTCACCGTGGTATGAGAAGTGTGGGATATTTGAATGGAGTTGGTCAGTTATTTATAATACTGTTGCTTTTGCTTCCTAATTTATTTCAGTTTTATATTTGGTGTAAAATGAAACTCCCCTAATATTTGAGGCCTTTAATGCATCTGGTGCCAAGTGACTTGATTTTGTAGATTATAAGTAGTTCAGTCGACTGCTTCTTCAATAAAAATTGTTTTGAGAACGATCACAGTCGCTCCACTGCAGATTTTGTGGTCCTCCCCTTAGCTCGCTGTGATGGTCGGTGAGAGAGATTATTTTGGGAAAGACAAAGCACAGAGTCTCCTCTGCTCTAGCACAGTCATGCTTTAGAGTTTAGATTTTGAGCAAAGCCATAGCAGACCCCCTCTGGGACCCCTTTGAATTTTGTGTTTGATTCTTCATGTGTACAGTGTACAATATTTGGAGAGTGTTTGTAAGACCGTTGTGTTTTCTTTAATAAAACTGCATTTATCCTTGTGTGGACAGATTGTGTTCTTAGAGTCTAATTTCTTAGAGAACACTGGGAACTGTTTACTTAGATTTTTTTTTTCTTTCTTTAAATAAAGGCTTCCTCTGGTTATCAGCTTTAAAACTATTGAAAGTCAGCCAAAAAAGTTGGTTGAAGGGAAAAGGCACTATTCTGGAGTGTCTTAAATTTTAGTCACTATATGTTGGGGGTGATTAGGGCTTTTACTTTTCCAGAACCTGTAGCAAACAACAAAACAAAAACTTAGACGTCAAGCCTAAATTTTGCCTTTCTTTTGATCTTGGAAATTGGAGTTTTGGAAAACCAAGCAGGGTAGGCTTAATTAAAGGAGATGCTGTTATCTTGAAGTCTTACCTGAGTGAAGGGGAAAGTTGAGTAATCGGAAGGGTCATGCCGGTGGGTTTTCACTGTCTTTAGTTTCCAAAAGATGCTATGAAATTTCAGTTCATTGTTTGCGAGTGTCTGTGTTGGGTGGTGGGGATTCAGAGAAGAAAAACTGCAGGCTAGTGGGAAAAGGGAGTTGTGTTAAGGGGACCATTCCAGTCTAAAATGGTGAGTGATGTACGGGAGGTGTGGGGCTCACCAGATAAGAGACTTTAAGAGACTTAGAGCTGGGAGTCCTGAGTTCCTTTTGAAGCTAAAATAAATAAAAATTATATAGGGAATAGAAGCTGCTGGTCATTATGATCTCCTGGACTACACTGGGCATAAAAAAGATGACTTTCTATAAGAAATTCTATCCAAAGAGTGGCAGGATTATGCAGGAAATGTCATTTGGTTATAGCCGAAGGCAAACTGATGCAGAGCTGCCTGCCACAGCACTCGCAGGCTGCTTGTCTCATCCCCAGCCCTCTCTGGCTGGCTCCAGGGCCCTTTGATCTGCTCACAGACTGTGTAAATGGAGAGCTGAAGGAGATAGAGCCAACTGATGTTACTTTTCTGTGTACTCCCTTTATCCATGGTGTGCCCAGAAATGGTCAGTTTCCCTCTCAGCACTCAGGGGCCGCCCCTTGAACCAGATCCTCTCTGCATTCAACCCTTGGTGCCATGGCAGGCTCAGGTGTCAGTGGTCCTAGGCTGGTATCAGGCCACAGCGGTGCAGGGTAAGAATGTTGGAAATTGACCCTGCGTGTTACTATCTGAGAACATCGTGGACAACGTTAAGTGGAGTTTGTCTCTCTGGCTCACTGTCCAGACCAGTCCCTCGACACCACTCCCTCTTTATAGCTTCATGACTTCCATCTGTAGAATGCTTTATGTCTTAAATGTACCGTAGCCAAGTTCATGGTCTTATTTGAGCCTCAGGACAATGCCGAGAGTAGAAGGATAAGAATCGTTAGCCCCATTTTAGAGATAGAAGAATTGAGGCTCAGAGAAATGCACCTGGGTGTGCATTTCTGTCTTCACTGAGTGCTTTTGTGGCTGAGCGGCTCCTCCAGCAGCACTGCCTTTCTTCAGGCTGCAGGCTTCCGTGAAACATTTCCCTTTCCCTTCCATGTTCTCCCAAATCAGTTACTTCCTTCCCATTCCCTGGAAGCTACTTCCGTCCTTCTCTCGCCCGGATTACTCTGGCAGCCTCTCAGGTAATCTTCCAATGCCATTGTGTCTCAGCAGGTTAATTAATTTGCTGCATCATCATCACCATCATTATCCGATAATGCACTTACATAGCCATTCTTGTGAACTGGCACTGTTCTTATTGCTTTGTGATTCATTTAATTTTCACAATAATTCTGTGAAGGAGGTAGTAATATCAGCCTCATTTAATGAGGAACTGGAGGCACAGAGAAGTTAAGTACCTTGTCCAAAACTGCACAGTTCTTAGGAGCCACAGCTGGGATTCAAGCCCAGGCCTGCCGGCTCCAGGTTACTTGTTCTGAGCCACTACATCTTATCCTGGGGCTCCCATTCTCAAAGCCTCCTCCCTACCTGCTTCATCACCCAACCAATGAGCGCATTCCCCTTAGCCTGGTGCTTGAGACCTCCCACAGTGTGGTCTCAGTATCAGTGGAGCATAGCATCCCACAGATGGAATCTTTGTCACTTCCTAAATGTGCTGCCCTACTCATAACATTCTCTCTCCCAAAAAAGCTTCCCTTAGCAGAGGATGGGGGCTTTGGTTTTTGGCTCTGCCACTGACAATACATGTAACATAGGATGAGTCAATCCACCTCCCCTAGCTGGACTCCCCTGCTCGGTACGTGGAGATATTATCATAACACTGGTTGGTTGTGAGATATGAGTGACACATAGCAAGTGCTCAGAAATGGGGATGACCTTTTCCATTTGTTTTGCCTGCCCAAGCCTCCCTATATTTTCTTAAAGCACCTCCTTTAGGAAGTTGTCTTGGAGTTCCTCCCTCCTTTACCTGGAGGGATCTTTGCTTTCTTTAGCCCATAAGTGTCTTACAGCCACTTTCACCATCATCCTTCGTTGTTGTTCTTCTTCCTCCTAAACTCTGAGCCCTTGCGGGATACAGGCTGTGACTTGCACATCTTTATATTCTCAGTGCTTTGTTTATAATAGACCCTCAGGATATATCCATTGGAATGAGTGAATTTGGGGCCACTGGAATTCAGTTATTGCATCCCTTGGAAAGCTTGGTGAGTGGTGCCCAGCATGAATTGACCTGCAGGAGCAGCCATCTATTGCCTGTGCTCTTGAGTTCTGCTTTTTATTAAAATTCTTCCCTGCTATAGTTGGAGATCCCCCTCACCTCTTTTTATAAAACACAGGCTCATGGGGTAGTGTAAATTTGCACAACCATTTTCTAAGCAAATTGGCTAAAACCCTAAATTCCCTAGAAGCAGAATGGCCCTGGATGTGCTTTTAAAAAACAGCATGGATTTTAGAACATGGAAAAAGTTATGTTAGAAGAACTAGACTCCTACCAAGTCAGAGATACATATATTTATTTCTTTTTATGGTTATGTTTATTTTCTTTTTATGGCTGAGTTGGCGTTGTGTTTGGTTTGTGTTGGGAGCTCCCCTCCATATACCTAGGCTAGAGGAAGATGACGAATGTATTAGACAAGCCTTCTGCCAAGCACAGGAAGAATGCATCTTAGCCGTTCAGTTTGGTATGTGAAATTTGCCGGAGGGGCCACTGTTTTCCTTCTGAGAAGTTAGACAGAGTTGAAGTGTCTGAGGCCAGTTCACCCCAGTCATAGTAACTGTACAGCTGAGAAAGTCTTGGTTCTCTCTTCCAGCCTCCTGGCCAGTCAACCATGTTCTTCTGTCTCAGCCACTTGCAGCAGCCTTTTTGCCTCTGTGCCTTTGCTTCCACCGGCATCTGCCTGGCGTGCCACTCCTGACGTTCCCCAACTATTGTCCAGCTCTTGCTTCTTTCTGAAGAGAGGAATGTACATCATTTTACAGAAGCCTTCCCAGCTCCAACAGCATAAGAAAACCAAGCCTTCCTTTTATTCCCTTAGTCCTCCATACTGCTGCTCTGTGTTGGCATTAATCACGTTGTCGTCTGCGTGTTGGATTTACCCTATTGTCTCTCTCTGAGCCTCTTGAGGGCAGGAACTGGATTTTATCTTTGTATCCTGCTTGGCATGCAGAAGCTCTCAAAGTGTGCTTGCACAAGTCAAAGGATTGGGATGGGATGATAATAGCTAACATTTACCAGGTGCTGTGCTGTTTTATTCATAGAACTGGGTCTTGGTTCTGGTATTGCTTATTCATTTTTGGCATCTTCAGATTAGCTGGAAGGGTATTGCTACACTGTCAAAAATAAAATACAGTGAAATTTATGCTAATGAAAACATACACCGTGTGTATGCCCAACTCTGTGCTTTGCAAAGTAGACATTCAATGGCTATCTCTGGAATGACTGGATTAATGAATGAGTGAGTGGATGATTGAATGGAAAGAGACTCCATCCTCTGGGAAGGAAAGAAGAATGGAATGGGCTTGACAGCCATACTACTCTTAAAGCTGAACTTGTTGCTTGGCTGGAAGGAGGGATGAGGCAGGAGCTAAGCTGACAGAAGCACTCAGGGAATTCGCATATCCTCTTTCTTGTGATTTCTGTTTTAGGGAACCAACAGGTCTTTGGTACCATCTCCCATTTTTCCAGACCACAAGCTTTTATCTTGTTCTTCAGAATCCTAGAATTTTGCCACCAAGTTTCAGCCTAAAGGAAAATACACTTGTAGCATGCAAGTTCTCACCTCAAAACCTGCGTGAAAATAGTCGGTGTCATTGTAGAGTGATGCAGTGCAGAAAGGGGCCTGGGATGCTTCACCCGGAGAATGAAAGTCCCAAATCTGGATCCCATTTGCTCTTACCATCCACCTTGATAGGAGTGTGGGTGTGGCACCTGTCACCATTCTGCTTGCATTTGTGTGAGTTTATGCCAGGCAAACATGAGTAAAACCAATTCCTTCCAACACTTGACACATAGATAAGTGAAGAAAATTTTATCTTACATTGTGAACACAATGGCAGGTAAGATTGCAGGAATGATGGTTTGTGTACAAGCTATTAATAAAAGTTGTGTGTTGCATATACAAACTTTGCTTTATTGTAGATGGCCTTTTAGTTCGGTGCTATACATGTAATATTCAAAGTGTACATTATATTACCATGTTGTCTTTTTACTTTTATGAGTTATTTGTAATGTGGATAATAATTCTTAGTTCACATCACATTTTGCTGACCACTCAAGGAAAAGTTGAACTACAAATATTTCAAATGAGGTGATAAATTACTGTTGGGTTCTTAATTGTCTGACAAAGAAACTCCATTGTTCTAAACCTTTCAAATATAGTGTGATTACCCTCGTTTGTGTGTCTTGCTCAATTTTAAAGTATAAATAGAGGGAGTTCCATTAAGCAATACAGGCTGTTTTCTTACCATGCTTACAAGGGCTGTTAGAGTATCAATGATGAAATTGAAACTTAGTTTGAACTTGATATGCAAAACAAAATAAATTTGACTCGTTTGAAATATTGCGTAAATATGTTCCAGAGCCTGGCACCAAGTATCTGGGGATTTTTAGAGCTGACCTCACTGAACATTGAATTATAAGATACATTTTAACAGTGTTTTTGAACTGGTTGAAGAAACCCCTCTTCCATTCCCTTCAAGTCAAGTATTTCCTGATAAGAAATATTCTACATTAAAAGAGAAGTTTCCTGTTGCACTTCTTCAGGTTTCTGGGTTAGTTTAATTCAATGGATTCCTGAAGCTGCAAGTGAAAGGTTAAATAGGTACCATTTGCAACTACTTATCTGTGAATCAGAATTTTTTGAATATTGTGTATGCAGAATGAAAGAGAAACATACTTCGTTTGTGATTTAAACTATGTTCTTGAGAACATACTGTAATTTACATAATTCAGATAAATTATCTGTTTTGTATATTGTGGTTATATATAAGGTTTCCTCTGACAGAGGGTGATTTCTGCTGCTAAAGTTGTTTAAAGACATTGCCCTTGATATTTCTAGCTAACAGTGGAGCTCCCAGGTGCAACCTGCTGTGGTTGAATTGGAAACTTGTCACTGAGCTCTTTTCTTACCTGGCTCCTTCTAGGACTTTCAAGATCCTCTGGTGTGGCCGGGCCAGATGGGCTAGCCCTGATGCACATGTCCTTCTACGGTTCATGAGCGTTCCAAGCTTGAGTGGGAGAGTCAGCTTGGGCAGTGGGGGTGATAGTCATATCCTCTCACCATCTCCATAATGGGCCTCTTCTTCCAGGCAAGAGCAGGTGTTATCCCCATTTTACACTGAAGAGAAAACCAAGCTGAGAAAGGGCATGTGATAGGCCCAAGGGCATCTCCTGACCTTGACTAGCACTCTTTTCACCATGCTGTTTTACCCTCGTATGTCTCAGTTGCTGTGCCTAGGAGAAGAGTTCCAGTTTGTAAAACTCTCTCCAAATTGATGGCCAGTTGGAGATTTTTCGGAAGGCTTAAGGGAAAGAAATAGCACTTGTGGGACTTTTTTTTTTTTTTTTTTTTTTTCAGAAGCATGATGCCAGCAGAAGACTTGTTTACTTGTGGTGCTATACTTGTGCGGCTGGTGTTTATCTCACTTTCTATAGAGGAACGCAGTTGATGTCTTCTTTTAAAAACACTAGACCCGAGACCTGGGATCACCCTTCCACTCCTCCTCATGCTGTTTGCTTTGGCATTCAGCCAGCTGCCTGCCTCTATGTGTCAAAAACAAGATCTCCCCACCCAAGGACATGATAGAGCTATCTGCAAGCCATTTTAAGGCACATATTCACGTTTAATGGTGGCACTTGAATTAGTTTTCACAAAGTCTGTGCACCAGAGCTTAACTACCTCACTCTCAGGCCACCTTCTGAAACTTAGTGACATCATTCCTAGGTGATTCTCTCAAGGCTCTGCCTATTTATTCTTCATGCCTTTGCAATTCTAACCTTTTAATTTCTGCTTCTTGTAGCATAAACTGCTAGAAAGTAGGGAAGAGGGTGTCTGCTAGAGAGAGAGAGGGTGATAGCTGATAACACAGGAAAAGATAAACACTATAGTTGGCACATTTAAAAGGTATATTGAACTGGGCTCTTTAGCCCTAATTGCCTTTCTTTTTTTGGAAGGTCAGTACTATTGTCTGGCACAGTAGGACACTGGGCACAGTATGATTGTGATGTTTACAAAGCATCATACTTGTGTCTAGTCAACTCTGTTTAAGGAAACAGGAAGATTGTTAGAAATACTAAAAATTAAATGAAAAGTTGTGATGCTTGAAGTGCTGATTAGTATTCGGACTAAAGTATATGAATGAATAACAATTTTTTCTCTGCAGAGACTGCAGCATGAAATCTCATGCTACATTGACTGGTGGCAGTGGTTTTTATTTCATAGAACTTTCTTTTCTGTTGTTGAGATCTGTGCTGTTGGTGCTGGTTCTGCTTTGGCAGTTCCCAAAGTCCCTTACAGGACAAGAATGATGAGTGGGGATATAAATCTCAATTCCAGCAGCTGCTCACTCACAGGTGTCTCGGTGGAAGAATTGGGTCTTGTTGAGCCTGTAGCTTCTCTCTATATACTGCTGGGAGATGCTGCCTGTGAGTGCCTTGCTTGATATCCAGGTGCTAGGGCTAAGGACCTCTTTGTGGAATAGCCATCTTTGCTTGAGGTCTGTGCAATTGTGTATGCCTGCAGTGCAGTGCCTGGTAAGGCTTTCAAACTGTGGGCAAGAATGTAACAATGCCTGTCACTCGTGAAGAGACACAGTCGGTGAGGTGAGTATGGATTAGTGCCAAGGAAAGTTTTCTGGGTCAGAGACTTTATCCTGCTGCAGGAATTAACTCCATTGATCAAAAACAGCCTTAATTGGGATGGGGCTCGGGGGCAAATTTCATATGTGATTGGCAGGAGTCTAAACTGTATAGCTTTTCTGGAGGGCATTTTGGCAGTGGGGATTAAAGTGTCAAATGTGCATACTCTGTGACTGGACATTTTCACTTCACAGAATTTATCCTAAGGAAAGCATTGTACAAGTATACACAAAAGGGTGTTCCTCCGCACCATAATGTTTAGTGTTGCCATCACCTGGGGCTTTATTAAAAAAGGAAAAGTTACATAAATTCCAGTAAAACCATACAGTGGAATATTATAAAGCTGCTGAAGAAGATGAAGTCAACTTCTATGTACTATTATGGAATGATGGTAAAGAAATTATGTACAAAAGTCACAGATCAGCATGAATAGTGTGATCCTATTTTCAATATATATGTGTGTATTGAGTGCATATTATGTAAAGGTTTATATGCATTAATTTTGGGAGGAAGAATATCAAATGCTAATAGCGATCATCAAATGCTAATAGTGATTATGTAAAGACCCTCATTTTCTACTTCCTACTTCTCTGTATTGTTTGAACTGTTTATAAAGGTAAAACCATAGTAATTTGGGCTGGGTGCGGTAGCTCATGCCTGTAATCCCAGCACTTTGGGAGGCCAAGTGGGGTGGATATCTTGAGGTCAGTTGTTTAAGATGAGCCTGACCAACATGGTGAAACCCTGTCTCTACTAAAAATACAAAAATTGGTTGGGCTTGATGGTGTGCACCTGTGGTCCTAACTACTTGGGAGGCTGAGGTGGGAGAATTGCTTGAACCCAGGAGGTGGAGGTCGCAGTGAGCTGAGATTGCACCACTGCACTCCAGCCTGGATGATAGAGCAAGATTCTCTCTCAAAAAAAATAAAAAAAAAAAACCAGAATAATTTGATGTTTACTTTTTATAGTTTTGTTTCTTTTTTTGAATTTTAATTTTTTTTTAAAGATGTGGTCTTGCTATGTTGCTCAGGTTACACTTGAACTTCTGGGCTCAAATGATTCTCCTGTCTCAACTTCCTGAGTAGCTGATAGTTTCTTTTTCTACTTATTTATTTTAGAGATGAGGGTCTTGCTTTATCTTCCAGGTTGGAGTGCAATGGTGTGATCGTAGCCCACTGTGTCCTTGAACTCATAGGCTCAAGTTATCCTCAGCTCCCCCAAGTAGCTAGAACTACAGGTGCATGCCACTGCGCCTGGCTGATTTTTTAATTTTTATTTGTTTTGTAGGGATAGGGTCTTGCTCTGTTGCCCGGGGTGGTCTTGAACTCCTGGTCGTTAACCCAAGTAATCCTCCTGCCTTGGTTTCACACAGTGCTGGGATTGCAGTTGTGAGTTACCATGCCCAGCCCTGATAGTTTCTTTTTAGAAAGCTGATCAGCATGGGCCCCTTTTTACGTCTTTTAGTTCTTTGACTTACTGGAACTTTTCTGATTTCATTTTTTAAAAGGGACTCTTCTACCTTTTAAAAGTCCTACAACATCTTTTTCTTATTTACCTAAACAGTAATGAGAAAAGAAATAATGAAGTCTTACCAAATTGTTAAAAAAAAAAAAATGGAATTGTAGGCCAGGCACTATGGCTCACACCTGTAATCCTAGCACTTTGGAAGGCTGAGGTAGGAGGGTCACTTGAGCCCAGGAGTTTGAGACCAGCCTGGGCAACATAGCAAGTCCTTGTCTCTACAAAAAATAAAATTAGCCAGGCGTGATGCTTCACACCTGTAGTCTCAGCTTCTTGGGAGGCTGAGGCAGGAGAATTGCTTGAGCCTGAGAGGTCAAGGCTGCAGTGAGCCGTGATCACACCACTGCACTAAAGCCTGGGTGACAGAGTGGGACCCTGTCTCAAAATTAAAAAAAACCCACGAATTGTATATGTGTTCTTTATGAAAATAATGTGACAGATATCATTGGGCATCTACTGTGTGCCAGGGATACAAGGATGAATAAGATGTGGCTCCTGTTATTCAGAGTTCACAGTGAAGTCAGGAGTATAGTTATACCAGTAAATGATGGTTAAACTGGGTGATAAGTGCAAATAGAGGGCGGTACAGTACACACAGTGAGAATAGAGTGGTGCTGGTAATTCATTTATTTAATAAAGAGGGAGCATCTTTATTATAATTTATTTAATCAAGAGCAAGCACTGGCCAGACACTGTTGTAGGCACTGGGATGACACTGTTGTAGGCACTGGGACAGCAGTGAACAAGCAGGTAAGGTCCTGTTCTCATGGAGCTTCTGTTCAGCAAGAGAGAGAAATAGACATGTCATGAAGAGCGTGACCGGTGTGAAGATGAAGAGGAGGATAATGGCAGGTGGGTTGTTGTGACACGTGAGTTAGGGAGAGTAGCTCTTCAGGAGGAGGAATGATGGTATGTAGAGGAGGAGAGAGTGAGTGCTAGCGTCTCCTGGAAGGGGATGGAAGAGATGGAGATGGCATTGCAGGCAGAGGGCCCAGCTGGTACAAAGGCACAGACATAGGATATCTGGGAGGCCCCCGCCATTTTGGGTTTACAGCAAGTTGGGGATGGTGTTTTTAGGACTGTACTGTGAATACCATGTTTAGGAGCTTGGATTGATCTGTTGGTGACTGGCTGGCCTGCTGGACTTTAAATTGGGAAGAGATATGATTGGACTGGTGGTTTAGGAAGTTCCCTCTGACTCTGAGACTGGATTGAAAGAGAAAGACGAGAGTCAGGGTAGTCACTGGGGAGGCCACTGCAGCGGCTCGGGAAGAGGTGATCAGGCCGTGGAAGAGAGGTGGAATGAAGAAATTAGAATGTGCAGGACTGGGTGATTATAAGCCATAGAAATCCTGGCTAGAGCAGGAGTTGGAAGAGATTGAGGTAGTAATGACATAATTCATATTTGTTCATTTAAATCCAGGTTTGTCTAATGCCACTTTAAGATGTTCTCTTAGTAGTCACCAGTGATGTCCTGAGGTCAAACCCTGGTCTTTTAGCAGTTCAGCATCTCCCTGTTGTTTGAGATCTTGCATACTGCAAACCTCCCTGGAGCCTCAGAGACCCTTTCCCCAGGGGTCCCTGGCTGGTGAAGGCCTGAAGACAAGGCCAAGTCCTCTCTTCATTGCTGTCAACATTGTTAGTCCTTTCATGTTCCCTCCCCTACATCTGGGAATGCAGTGAGATGCAGTTTCCCATCTCCTTTCTTGTCCCATAAGACTAGTAAACAGGCCCTTTACCCTCTGGGGGTTTTTTACTGAGAATCAATAAAAGGAAACTGCTAAAGAAGCAAGGTAACGTGGAAGGTGACTGATGTAATAAAGGCAAAGTAGCAAAGATAGCAAGGTAACAAGTTAACAGCTGTAGCAATGAAGCAAGTGTGGGGTCCCTCAGGAGGTTCTGCTCCTCTTACAAAGTCACTGTCCTGATTGCTGGTCCCTGACTCTTGGTTAGGCTGTATCAAGCTTCCTGATCTCATCTTTTATTTCTCAGGGTTGAATGTGCAGAGCCTGCCTCTCTCTTCTCTACTCCTCTTCTCCAGGTCCTCTGCACCTCTTTCTTCATGAAAGCTCCTCAGTCCAGTCCTAGGCACTCAGGGAGTGTCCATTTCTGGGCCCACTTGGATAATTTGCATCTTTTGAGGGACATTCTCCATAACAGTCCCCAACCTTATGGGGCAGTCTTTTTGAAGTATTTCTTCATGGAGTCACCCTTGTCCTCAAATATCTCCCTCTTCTCTGTCCGTCTGCCCGTCCATCCATCCATCCATCCAATAATTTGAGCTTCTTATTGGAGCAAATCACTGTTCTTAGTACTCAGGATATAAAAATAAATTGCCAAGGGACTCTCAGTTTTCTTCCTACCACTCTGACTATGGCCTCTGGAATCTTTGCTGGCATTGCCTCTTCCTGTGAGAACCACTGACATTTTATGTGCACCTACACAGCTTCACCTGCTATCTGTGTGCTGCTGTCGGTGCATGATGACCGCCATCCCAGCTCTGCAATTTACCTTGCTGTGTGGCTTCAGGCATGTTCCCTAAACTCTGTTGCTGCCCTCAGTTGGTAAAATGGAAATGATAGTGTACTTATTTGAAAAGTTGCTTTGCAGATTAAGTTAAATAATGCATGTGAAGTGCTTGGCACATTGGCTGGAACAGATTAAGTACTTAAATGTTATTACCACCACCGCCATCACTACTGTTAGTATTGCTGCTATCACTACCATTCTTTCTGCCCTTGGGAAATATATCAATCACGTGAGAATAATAGGGAGTAAAATGAGAGACCAGACTTTTATCTGGGTGAGAATAAATCAAATCCAGTATCTTTGGGATTGATATGCAAGCATTATGGGGCAATTTTGAATTGACAATTGAGAGGGGAGCCTGTGGGAAGACTTCATTAGGGATAAGTGAGTCTTAAATAGTACTTGGGCCTGAATTGATAAAGAAGAGGCATCAAGTTTAGACCCAAGCTAAGTTGGAAAGGTCTTTAGCCTTCTGTCTAGTAGGAGGGTTCTCGGGTTGGTGACCAGGTACTTCTCAGGTGAACACGGTGGGGCCTGTGCATTTGTTTGTTTGTTTATTTATTTATTTTGAGATAGTCTTTCTCCATTGCCTGGGCTGGAGTGCAGTGGGATGATCATGGCTTACTGCAGCCTCGACCTTAGGGGCTCAAGTGATCCTCCAACCTCAGCCTCCCAAGTAGCTGGGACTACAGGCATGTGCAACCATGCCTGGCTAATATTTTTATTTTTTGTAGAGATGAGGTCTTGTCATGTTGCCCAGGATAGTCTCAAACACTTGGACTCAAGTGGTTTTCCTGCCTCAGCCTCCCAAAGTGCTGGGATTATAGGCATGAGCCATTGTGCCTGTCCTGGGGCTGTGCATTTAATGTGAGGCTCCTCAAACCCGTGCCCACATTGGGGATTGTCTCTAGATTTATTTAATATGCTGCATGTTTATAATTATGCCTGAGTGTTTTCAGATGTCTAAAATGCAAATCTATTCAAAACATTACTAAACATTGTATTAGTTTGTTGGCTCTTAGTCATTAGATATTAAAAGTAGGACTTCTATTACATGGGTGGCCTGTAGAACATTTTGGTGTTAGAAGGGGTTCCCAAACTTGAAAAAGTCAGGAACCACAGAATTTGCCTGATAAAACCAGAAGCAGATCCTGGCAGCATTCTAGCTGGAGGGTACAACCCAATTAAAATGGCTGTGTAATAAAGCGATCTTATATCTCATAGGACAAAAAGTCCAGAGGTACAGTGATGCTAGGGTTAGTTAGAGCAGCGTCTCAGTGACCTCATAGGACCTGGTTGTTCGCCTTTTCCACTCCGCCGTCCTTTGCGTGTCAGCTCTCTCCTCTCATGTTCAGCAAATGGCTGCAGCAGCTCCCGGCATCACATCTCCATACTAATGTCCCAATATATTTGTTCCTGGCCTCACTTCTCTCAGTAAGGAAAGCTTTCCAATTACTGGCCAGCCTTCAGACTTTTCCCTCATGCCTCACTTTGATGAATGGCCTAACTTGCACATTCCTAGATGAAATAGGGCCTAGGGAGTGGAATTCCCACACACAGGTCAGGGATCCCAGTGGAAGAGGGAACGTGTAGATTGAATCAGGATTCTGCCTTCAAGAAAGGTGGGGTGGAGTATTTGGGTAGGCAAGAATATCTGGGCAGGCAGGAACTCGGGAGGCTGCCAGGCAGTTCATCAGGGCGGTAGCTGGGAGAAGGTTCCCAAGCAGTCACATCCAGGGCTGCTCTTTGGCTAAGGGGCAGAAGCCTCCCAAGCAGTGGCCCCAGGGAGTCTCCTGGCACAAGGAGAAGTGGAAAGGTCTTAGAGTGGGATGATAGGATCTGCACCCTGTCTTTGTCCCCAGCAGCTCTGGGCCATTTATCCTCTGTATAGTGCTCTGGGGAGAGACTGCAAATGCTTCTTTTGGCTTTTCTTTTTTTTGAGACGGGGTCTCATTCTGTTGCCCAGGCTGGAGTGCGGTGGTGGACCACACCTGGCTAATTTTTGTAGTTTTTATAGAGACAAGGTTTCACCATGTTGTTTTGGCTTTGTTAAATGAGAGCCCACTGTGTCCTGGCCTAGGCACTGAAGATATAGTGAAAGACAAATAGGCATGGACTCATCCCTCTTTCATTCATTTATTTAGTCATTCATTCCAGTAGTAGTTTCCTGGGGCTGCTGTAACAAAGCACCATAGGCTGGGGATTTAAGCAACAGAAGTGTATTTGCTCATGGTTCTGGAGGCTGGAGGTCCAAGATCAAGATGCCAGCAGGTTTGATTTCTTCCGAGGCCCCTCTTGTTGGCCTGCAGTAATGGTCTTCTTGCTGTGTCCTTGGGTGGTCTCTCCTCTGTGTGTGTCCCTAGTGTCTCTATGTCCCAGTCTCCTCTTGTAAGGACACCAGTCACACTCGGTTAGGGCCCACCTTGTTAATCACCTCTTTAAAAGGCCATGTCTCCAAATGCTGTCACATCCTGAGGTACTTGGGATTAGGGGTTCAACATACGATTTTTTTGAGGGGGAGACACAATTCAGCCCATAACAATTCCGCAGTTCTCTACCAAGTGTCAGTATGTGTCAGGCACTGCCCTCTAGGAATGTAGCTATGAATAAAACACAAAAATCTCTACCCTTATGGAGCATACCATGGGGTCGGGGAGTTTAGTGGTCTTCAGTCACCGCTTCCAGTTTCTGTTTGGGACCCATCTAACTTAGTATGATTTTAGCACCCTCCTCTCCTCCAAATTCCTTATTCCTGTAAATTCCATGCCCTGAGACCATTCCTTCACCAGAGACAAAACCCAGGGATGGAAAAGCCTCGTGACCCAGTGTAACCAGCAGAACAGGCATCAGGGACAGGAGATCCTTTCTAGTTGAGCAGGACTCCTTGAGGGATCTGAGAAACAGATAAAGCCTGGGGACTGGGGAGGAGGAGAGGGTATGGGTCTCGGGTGATGGCTGGGCAAGGAGAGGCTGTGGGCAGTTTTCTTTAGCCAAGGGCTGGTTGCCTTCGTTTCACCTGGGTGGGGGGCCCAGGTGTTCTGCTCCTGGGGAAGCTTGTTTCTGGAAGCCGCAGCAGGCTGGCTGTCTCTCTGGGGAGCTGCACGTGATGCAGACGGGGCTGCTGGAGACAGGCCTACTGGCATGGAGACCTACCTTGCAGGGGCTTTGCCAGAAGGGGTTGGGATCAGGGAGTCACTTCCTGAATGATTTGGGTTGTAGATGGGCTTATCAGATTAAAAAAAAGATGCCCAGTTAAATTTGAATATCAGATAATCAGTGTATGTCCCATGATTCAAATTTCAGGTAAGCAATATTTGGGAAAAATTTATACTAATAAATTAATTTGAATGTCATTTTTCTGACATTCACATTTAAGGGGGCATACCATTTTTATTTCCCGAATCTAGCAATCTCACCTCTAGGGGTTCCCAGATTAACAGGTGGCGATGGAAGATGGGGGAAAGACCAACAAGAACAATCGTAATTCATTTTTTTACAGTAAAAATCTTGGCCAAGGAATCATTTCCTAGCTCACCCTCCCCACCTTCCCCCCAAGACTGAGACTGTCATTTGCCCCCTTTGCATGAACAGACCTCACAGAGAGGTCATAGCCTGGTGACTTAGGATGGGCTTCCTGTCCTGCGCGGGCTCTTTGTCTGTCGGCTTCCGGCCGAGGGATGGGAGGGGGAGCAGTCTGAACACTGGTGGAAACTCCGGCCAACTCTCTCCACTGCCCTCCTTTTCTGTTGCATTGGAACCACCGGACAAGCAGAATCGCTGTGCCCCAATCCAGCCTCATCTGTCTTAGAACAGGTAGGTGTCTGCGAGGGAGTGCAGCAGAGAGTGTGACTTCCTAGGAGTTCACGGGGGGGTTCCTGCAGCCCTTGGAGAGCACCCTTTTTCTGCTGACATCCCTCCCCCCTCCATTGAGGGACCTCTGTCATTGCTGCTGAATCCCTGGACCTGAACCTGTGATCAAGAAGTAATCCTTTTTATTTTCCCCCCAGACAATGTTTAGATTTTTGAGGTCTCATTTTTAGCAGTGTCCTGGCACTTGCTTCTTAGTCAGGGGTCAGAAAACTTTTTCTGGTATAGGTCAGATAGCAAATATTTTTGACTTTGCAGGTCACCTGGTCTCTGCCACCACCTCTCAGCTCTGCTGTTGTGGTTTGAAAGCAGCCATAGACAACATGAAAACCAGTGGATGTGGCTATGTTCCAGTAAAATCTTATTTATGGACACATGTGAACTCCATGTAGTTTATTATTCCTTTGTTTTTCAACCATTAAGGAATGTAAAAACCATTCTTCCTTCATGGGCCATACAAAAACAGATGGCAGACCAGATTTGGCCTGTGAGCCATGGTTTGCCAGCCCTCTTCTAAGTCATCAGCAGAGAACATTACAGATCAGAAGCCTGGCTCTGCGTTCCCGACATAGGCGCTGAATGGCTTCCCGCCCTGAGGTCACAGCTTCTGCTGCTCCCAGGTGACTGACTGAGCTGGGATCCGAAGTAGTGGGCTTGGCCTCTCAGCTGCCCACAATGTGGGTACCAACTCACATACCATAGTTTGCTGTACAGAGAAAGGTTCCTGCATGGATTTGTAGATCTTCAGAGGATGAGCCATAAACAGTCAAGTCTGGCCATGGAATGTAATGAATGTAGTTATACTGATCATAGACTATAATATCCAGAGTGATTCGGGGCTAATAAGTAGCCAGCAGAATTGAATGTGGGGCAGTTGTATGCCTCTGGTATGCTACTTTCTGCCTACAGTTGTGTGTGTGCTTGGTATTGTGTGTTTTAAGTGAAAGGATCAATTGGATTTGAATTTCTGTCACTGGTAGGGTCTAGCTACACCTGAAACATGAGTCAGGAGGCAGGGCCCTTCATTCCTGAGTGTCTTGACTGATGGAAGCTTTGTGTTTTATGGATAGAAGATGTGCTGTGTAAGGTGGACAGTGGAATTACACCTCCACAGAAATCACTCCTGGATGGAGAATCAAGTTTGCATGTGTGCCCTGTAGCATTCATTCTTGCCGCATGCTGGGAGATGGGTGGTTATTAGGTTATGTCAAAGTAGTGTTTGCCTTAATACACGATCTTCCTGCAGTAACCCAATAATGGAAGTGGAAGGGAGGGAGGAGGGGAAGGTGATGACCTGCTTATTTGAAAGTGGGAAGCATCTGGAAGTCAAGGAAGCTTTGTGTGGTGTTAACAGGGAGCTAGTAGGGGTCTGTACCCCACTGCTCACCCCAGGCCCCTGGCAGGTTTGAATTCACTAATTCTAGTCCTCAGGTGAGGTAGCATGGCTTAGCGGTCAGCAGGACAGCATCTGGGCTCAGACTGCCTGGCTCCTGGCCCACTGTTTTTCACCTCTGCCTTTGGGCAAATTACTTCACCTTGCCATTTACTGGGTTGTACAGTGGGGGTATTAATAGAAGTACCTTCCTCATAGGGCTGTTGTAAGAGTGAAATGAGTTAACGGATATGAAGGGCTTAGAACCATGTCTGGCTCATAGTGAGCAGCACGTGAATCTTTCTTGTGGTTGTGGTGGTGGTGGTGAAGGTAGAGGAGGAAGAGTGGTTTTCTTAGCCTCTAACCTCATGCTCTGAGGGTAAGCACAGCTCTGGTAGTCATCATTCAGAGTCCGCTTATAACCCTGTCTCCTCCCACCATGTCATACAGAGACATGTGAACATCTGTGGGGACGTGCCCCAGGCATTCTTTGTGAGTAGTGGTTCACGGAGGATGCTTGGCCCAGCCACAACCTAAGGTTTTCATGCTACACCTGTCACTTGCTGGTTGTGGGACCTCTGGCAGGTCCCTAGCCTCTCAGAGCATGAAATAGAGATAATCAGGTGTCCCCCGGCCCCTCACAGGATTGTCTTGGGGGCATGACAAGATAATGAAAGTCAAAGTGCTTTGCAAACTGAAGTTCCCCTGCAGAGGAAAGGTGTGATTGCTGCTGTTGGCATCATCTTCCTCATTATGTTCTTGCATTCCCTTGGTCTCTGGGTATCCTTCCTCCAGCTTCTGTGGGGCAAGGGTTTTGAAACAATATTCACAGAATCCTGGTTTTTCCATAAAGACATTTCGATGTACCGTTGCTTTTTTTTTTGGGTGAAATTATTGATGTAATTCAAGTTTGAAGTTGTGTAATAATAATGTGCTGATTTTGTATAAGGGTATTATTTCTGAATCCAGTTCCTTCCTTTTCTTTTTTCTTTAATTACACTCTTGTCTTTAGAGTAGTGTTCTTAAGTGCAGTCCAAGGCCAGTCTAGTTGTATTCAGATGGCTTTGTTAAATTGGGTTTTCTGTGACCCAGGCTTTTTTTAAAAGGAAAAATTTCATCAAATCCCAACAACTTTCATCCTAATTTTACCTGCTTAAATCTCTTCCTGCACCCTAACTTGGGTTGAGTGGTATAAATTTTACTTTCTGATGCTTTATGTATATCATCATAATTGTTTAAGGACATAATTCTTAATTAAATCTAAAGAGCTTGAAAACTTTGGGGTTTTTTTTTTAGGGGGGGGAGTCCAAGGGTCTTCTGAACAACGCGTTTTCAAATGTGGTTGGTTTCTGGGATTCCCAGGGGTTGGGAAGCTGTCTCTTTGATGGTGACATTTCCAGGAATCAGGACAGGACTCAAGTCCTGGCTTGGGTCATTCCCAAGCCCCCTCCTCCGCAGCCTGTGTTTAGCTGACTCTGACCACAGCTAAACATGAGAGCAGTTTGGGGAGGTGATGGAAGGTACCTGGGGACCTTTGACTCTGCCTAGTGGATGAGGGACTGTGGTGGCTGCATCCTGTGGAAATGATTGCGTCCTGTGGAGGAATGCTCTTGTCTCACAGTGGGAGTAGGGAAAGTGGCTTCTATATGCTCACATTAACAAGGGTGAGATTCTGTCCCATGAGCTTCCTGAGAGAGATCCCGCTTTTGCTCCACCTCATGCCTTGCTGAGTGCAGGCAGCTCAGCCACAGTCCCTAACCACACATTGCGGCTCTCTACCTCTTAAGCTATGCTCCTTGCTTAACTCCAGATGACTTTCCAGCACATTGCTGACTCTCCCCTTTCTCTTTCCAGTCCTTTTTTTTGGGGGGAGGGGGGGCGGGGGGCTGTGTCAAAAAGGTCAGGCTAGGGGCAGGGATTTGTTTTGTATTGAAAAAGACAACCAAGGCTGAGGTAAATCTTGGCAGCCTTTTCAGAATTTAATCTGGGTGAAGCCGTGGGTTGGACATGGGGTAGGGGTATTAGGATATTGGTTCAAACTGCGAAGAACTTGGCCAGCTATACAATCTTGAGCTAATAGCTAAAAAAACTCTGACTTGAAAATTATGGTTTGTGAAAAAACATTGAGGGCATAGCCTCCTGAAAGAGGGGAGGGCTGAGTAGGAGGAACATAGTCCAGGTGGCATGATCTGTAATGAAAATTCAACTTTGCAAACCGGCGTGTGTTTGGAAATCTAATGTTTTTTTTTTTTTTTTTTTTTTTTTTTTTTTTTTTTTTTTTTTTTGGGGGGGGACCCAGCCATGCTGTGTCTTGTAGATCTCATAGCCAGTAATCTGCTGAGGTGGAGCTCTGGCCTTGGTCTCTCCTGGTAGTGAGGGGCATCTCTCATTATATAATGTTGCTCTGCTAATTAAGTCAGGAATAATGTCTATGGCATATTTAATTTCCAATTAGACTACTTTATGGATCAATTTGAATTTAATGTTAAATCTAATGTGGAAATCATTAAAAAGTTAGATCTCTAGAGAGAGGAATAGGCACTTACTCTGACTATTAAAAATAACAGTTAAGGTCATGTGTTAATACATTAAGTGTTTTTATGTGGACTGGGAAGAAATTAGTAGAGAATGCAGAACATATAGATACATAGATAGTCTGCATGCTTGTGATTTGGGGAAAATTCTGGTGTTCAGATCAAATTCTACAATGCTTATAGTAACTGCTGCAACAGATATCATTTACTGCAACTTTACTGTATGCCAGGCCCCTGGTGAGTACTTTAAATGTATTATTTAATTATCAGAACAACTCTATGAGGTGAGCATTATTACTCCCCTGTATAAATAAGGAAACTGAGGCTTGGAAGGTGAAGGTCTCATTGTCAGAAAATGGTGAAGGCAGGATTTGAATCCAAGCCAATTTCATTTCAAAATCAACTCTTGACTAGATTGAGGTGCTATGGAAGGTGCCCAATAATTGTAACCAGCAGAGCTCTGTAAGTGGTCTGAGTTTAAAGCCCATTTGCTTCTGAAGTGTTTGTTGCTGCTGATAATTTGAAGAATGGCATCAGCACTGCCATTATTGCTTTAAGGAACAGATATGGGCCCCAAGGTGCCAAGCCAAGACCCTCTCCCAGCATTCCCAGGCTAAAGGGACAGTCCTCAGAAAATGTGACTCTCTGACCATGACTTGTCTGAGGTCAGCCCCGACACTTCCTCTGGGCAACTTCTCAGAAGTTAACTCATCCAGCACCTTCAGTCTTGTGTGTACCTTGGATTTCCTTTGGACCTTGTATTCTTTATGGGTTATACTTTCTTGTATTCTTTTATTTTTCATGTTTGACTACCCTGTGTTTAGTTAGACAGAAGAATGTGGTTCTGAGTCCAGACTCTCACTTACTGCCTGGTGTATTGGACAAACCATTTAATCGTTGCTAGTTACTAGTCTCCCATGCAGTGTAGTTGTGAGGTTTCCTTGAGGACGAGTGAGTGTAGAAGCACCTGGCTCAGTGCAGGTGCAGGAAGAAAGCTTCCCTTCTTGCGTTCTTGTTCCCTCCCCTGTAGGAACAGCATCCATTTACTAATGAGATGACCAGGTTCAGGAGCACCACATTTTTTCTGGCTCTTGCGAGTGCCTACTGTTCATTTATGCAACCACTGTGTATGAGGGCACAGTATCTCCAGTCCCTGTTCTAGCAGCTGGGGTTACTTTGTGGAGTAAGAAGGATGATCTGCACACACCCCTATCCCCAGCATCCTGGAGCTGACACTATAGTGGGGAGGAGAGAAGGGGCAGGTTAATAAGCAAACAAAGAAAATAAATGCTGTATATAGTTGGATGTAGATACTCTCTGTCAGCTCACTCATTCATTCATTCACCCATTATTTCAACGAACAGTTCTAAATACACATTATGTTCCCAGCATTATGCTAAGCATGGACATGTGAAATTGGATAACGTCTGTTAGCCCAGGAATTATTTCAACAGAAAAAAAAAGTCTGGAAAATATAGATCACTCTCTTGTGTTCTTCCCTTTTGAACATCCTAACTCTTTAGGGTTAAATACTCATTTGAGCAAGTACAAGCTTCTAAATATACCCACTCCTCAAGCCCCCCGCCCCACTGTCCAGCAGGTTTTCCTGTTGATAGGACAGTGGACGTATGAGTTTGAGTGTTTGGCAGATGTTTGCATGATTCTTAGATCAGTGCTTCTCAAACATCCCTGTGCGTAAGAGTTGCCTGGGAGGCTGGTTAAATTCAGATTCAGGTGCCTCACTCCTAAATATTCTGATTCACTGGGTCTGGGTTGGTGCCAGTTGTCTGAGCTTTTAGCCTGCAGTGCAGGTGAATTGGTTGCAGGTGGTCTGTGAACCACACATGGATGAAACAGTGTCATATTCACACCAGGCTGGAAGAATGTTTAACCTCTTCAGTTTAAGGAGGAAACTATTTCCCAGGGAGTGGAGGGGCTCTGAAATTCGAAGCTACAGTGACAAGATGGGCCAGGACTTTTGAACAGAACAGATCTGGGATCTCATCCTGTCTCCACATCTCCTAAACCTGGTCATCTCCTCAGTAAATGGATGCTGTTCCTACAGGGGAGGGAAGAAGAACGCAAGAGGGGAAGACTCCTTCCTGAGTGCACACCATGCACTGAGCCAGGTGCTTCTACACTCGCTGTTCCTCAAGAAACCTCATGCAGGCAGCCTTGAATAGGTCATCCGGTAACATCCCTTTCCTCATCAGCCTGCCTTGCTAGGTGGGTAATGCTGAGAGATATGGTTGGAAAGACCCAGGCAGAGTATAGGATAGAGACTCTAGGGCTAGGTTTTGGTCCATGCTAAAAAATAACATACAAATTGGTTTCCCAAATTCCTGATGGATTATTTGAATGTGAGTTGAGTCGCTGCATATATACCCTGTGATTTCTCTCTCTTTCTTTTTTTTTTTTTTTCACAAAAATACACTATAACCGCAAAAAAGACAGTCAAACAAAAGAGGGAAAAAATTCATCCAGAACTAGCTCAGTACCCTAACACAACTGTTTTCATTTTAACTTTTAGCCCTTGTCTGTATGCAGGCATGTTTCTCTGTATCTGTAATCATATGTAGGCTCAATTTTGTATTCTGCTCTTTTCAGTAAACCTTAAGTAAATGCTTTCCAAATGGTTATGTAGTCTTCAAGATGATTTTTAATGATCTTACAATCTATCATCCCACAGGCTGAATTTACTTAACCATTCATCTACTGTTGGACATCTAGATTTTTTTTTTTCTGTAGTTCTGTGCTATTATAAGTAATACTTTGGGATATGGCCTTGTGCTTATTGTGGATTTTTTCCTTAGGGTGAATTCCCAGGAGCAGGATTTCTGGGTTAAAGGGCACAATTATTTTTTTGGCTCTCAATGGATATTGCTAAATTGCTTTCCAAAAGGGTTGTACCAGTTTATGATGCCACCAGCAGTGCGTGAAGGTACCAATTTCAGCATCTTGGCTTGCACTAGATAGTATAATTTTTACAAAAGTTTGGCTCAATGGTGCACATCGTTTAATTGATATTTCTTGGATTATGACAAGGTTGAGTATGGCTTTACTTACTATGTTTTGAGATTTTACTTAGTATTTTTGTTTTCTTACAGTCAGGACCTAGCTGTGGTTGAGGTCAGATTTTCTGTGTAGAGCTTTTCAGACTCTTGAATTTTACAGCGAAAAAACAAACCAAACTAACAAAAACCAAACCCAGAATTCATCTGTAAAATAAATACTTTGGACATATTTTGTGGTTGGATTAACTGTTCGTGATTTTAACTTCCTTATAGGTCATAAGTTAATAGGGCGGTATTTGGAGAGTAGCGGGGCTTTTCCTCTTCTCCTTAGATTCTCCTTTGTTCTTTCCCTCTACCATCCCCCCATTTCCTGTTTCCCTCCTCCCCTGTAAGCCCTGTTGTTGTCTTTTTGGAGATAAAACATAAAAGGATCAGCTTTTAGTCATGCTCCTTCAACTTATAAAATGTAGGTTGCCTAAATTATGTAGTACAGAGTGAGGATAAAGAAAATCACAGTATTGTAACACATTGCCTGTAACTGCTTTGCAAAAGCAAACGTCTCCCACGAAATCTTAGAAAGGTGTGTTTGAGGGTGTAATCTTGGCTTGTGGTGCAAGGGAGCCCAACTTGTTTTTCAAGTTGGTCTTGAATAAGTTTGTTCTTTCTGGAATGCTCGCCATCCTCAGTATGACAGAGTTCGCTTGATGACAAACTCTTTTACTCTCCTATACATACCATGGCCACTGAACTGGTTTGTTTATTTGCCTGGGGTAAATGATTGAAACACATTCCCCTTTGCAGTGGTGCTCAGCATTTGATAGATGATTCTTATTCCCCAGGCTCCTTCATGGTGATGCCAAGCCCAAGTCTAGCCTTCCAGTGGCCCCTGAGGCCACACTGTCCCCTCCGCAACAAACACTGAGAAAGACACACACTCTCTTGGGTGTGCACGTAGTTTATTGAGCTCGTGGGCTCTCCGTAATGCTGCCCCACTATGCGCATAGTAGGAGAATCCGATATTGGCAGAATAACTGGGTCTATGTACATAAAGTAGAATGATCGAGGCTCGATTTCAATTTAATTTGTTAATGAAACAAGATGGATCACATTTTCCCTTCCCGCACACCTCTCGGGCTGTTTGAGATGAGGCACAATTAATTTATTTGTACTGTCTGTGGAGGCGTATGCCAGCTAATGTAGTGCAAGAGCTTTTATCTTTATGTTTGTAATGAAGAGGGGCAGGCCGCTGGCAAATTGACAAGGAGTGCTGATGACTCATCCTCTGAATGCGAGTGCTTTCTTCTGAAATCATAAAATGCGCGTGCACACGCAAGCCTAGTTCCTGTTTGAAATGGACAGAACCCCTTTGGGAAAGTTCAGGTGCCTTTGAAACACTGCAGGGGAAAGAACAGGCCAGTGAGGCTGTTTCTCCGGCTCCCTGGCCTGTCTTGAGGGCAGAACCTCCTGCTCAGTGGGGGCCCTACTCTGGGATGGGAATTCCCATCCTCTCCCTGCCCTCTCCTCCTCGCCCCTCCTTTCCTTGGAAGGCTGGCTCCTTTGTACTGGTCTTTTGTGCTCCAGTAGGCAGCCTTCCCCACCTGCCAGGCCAGGTGCCTGGTTCACCTGGCGAGGCCTGTGCTTCCGGGGCTGCTCCCTAACCTTGATCCTGGGCAGTGCCCTGGGGCTTTGCTTTATGAGGCTGTGGATTCTGGGGCCTGGTTGATTTTAGCCTGGGAGTACACATGGGATTCCTCTGGCCTTTGCTTGAGTTCCCCAGGCCTGGGCTTGGTGGTGGCTGTGTTGTCACTCTGTTGATATGCCTCAGAAGAAATAGTTTACACAGTAACTAAAGTTGGTTTGGCCCTTTACAGTGTGTAAGGCTTTCTGGCATTAAAACAACTCTGAATTGGATATATTGTTACCCCACTTTATGGATGAGGAAATCGAGGTGCACAGAGGTTAAATGGAATGTCCATGATCAAGCAGCTAGCCGGTGGAAAGGTAGTGGGGACAAAACCTTGGACTTTAGAGTCTAAAACCTGACCTTACAATTTCTTTATAACATTCATTCATTAAGGACAAAATGAAACTTTTTCTGCATAAGAAATATATAAATTCTCTTCAAGAGTCATGTGAGAGTTTGACAGCGGACTAGAGTGACTATGGTTAACAACAACGTATTGTGTATTTCAAAGTAACTAAAAGAAAGGACTTGAATTGTTCCCAACACATAATAATGATAAATGCTCAGTGTGATGGATACCTTAAATTCCCTGACTTGATCATTACATATTCCATGCATGTAACAAAATATCACATGCACCTCATAAATACGTAAAGTATTACGTATCAGTTAAAAAAAAAATTAAAAAATATGTGAGTGAATATACAGATTTCTGTAGTTCAGTAGAATAACAGGAAATTCACAGGATGCTTTCTGGAGACTTAAAAGCAAAATGTTTGCAGTGGTCTGAGAAAGAAACCCTGAAGATTGTGGTCTAAGAAGTTTTCCTTCCTGTGTCAGATGCCTGGTCGAGCTGGTTGTACAGGAAGGCTAAGTGCATATGTCCCAGTCAGTCCTGTCACCCGGGTGTAAGCAACACAAATCACTGTGCATGGTTTTATTGAATTTCAGAGCCAGAAGGAACCATGGAGATTTTACAAATGAGGAAACTATGGCCTAGAGTGAGAGATTTTGTGTTGGGAAGAATTCCATTCATTTACCCAACCATCCTTCCACGCGTCCAACAAATATTTATTGAGCCAGTTTTGGGCTGGGAGATAAGGCTTAGGCTGTGAATGAAACAGGCACAGTCCTGTCTTCAAGGAACATAAAATAGCAGATGACACGGCTGAGCAGGAATGAGCATGGCATGGTAAGGGCAGTGATGAGTGAAGTCAGGGTAGCTTGAGGCACATAGGTGGGGCACATAACTATTGGAGTGGGAGAAGGTAGTTAGGGAAGGTTTCCTTGAAAGAGTGGTACCTCTGGTGAGACTTGAAGGATGTTGCTGAATGTCATTCTAAAAATGGAGAGGCTGTGTTGGCTGAGAATTGGGACGTCATAATTCTCAAATCCAACTGAAGTTGGTAAAAGGTTGTATGTGCTTGGAGACCGCAGATACTAGGCTCTGAGACTTAAATGCATGTAAGAAGTGGTTGCTCTAGGCCTGTGCTGTGCACTGGGGGAGTCACCAACCTTGTGCGCTATTCAGCACTAGGAAGGTGGCTAATCTGGGTTGGGATGTGTCATAAGTAAACAATGACCACTGAATTTCAAAGACTTAGTATGGGGGGAAAAAAAGTAAAACACATCATGAACAATTTTGGGCTGGGCACGGTGGCTCATGTCTATAATTCCAGCTCTTTGGGAGGCTGAGGCTGGCCAATTGCTTGAGCCCAGCAGGGGCAACATGGCGAAACCTCATCTCTACAAAAAATACAAAAATTAACCAGGCGTGGTGGCATGCGCCTGTAGTCCCAGCTACTTGGGAGGCTGAGCCTGGGGAGGTTGAGGCTACAGTGAGCTGAGATTGCTCCGCTGCATTACAGCCTGGGTGACAGAGTGAGACTCTGTTTCAAAAAACAAATGTATAATTTTGTTTATATTGATTATAAGTTGGATAATTTTTGGATGTGTTGAGTTAATAAGTTATTGAAATTAATTTCACCTGTTTCTTTTTATGTCTGAGAATGAGTCAGCTGGGTGTGGTGGCTCACAACTGTAATCCCAGCACTTTGGGAGCCTGAGGCGGGCAGATCACTTGAGGTCAGGAGTTCAAGACCAGCCAGGTCAACATGGTGAAACCCCGTCTCTACTAAAAATACAAAAATCAGCTGGACGTGGTGGTGCACGCCTGTAGTCCCAGCTACTTGGGAAGCTGAGGCAGGAGAATTGCTTGAACCTGGGAGGCGGAGGTTGCAGTGAGCCGAGATGGCACCATTGCACTCCAGCCTGGCGACAGAAACAAAAACAACAACAAAAAATGAGTCTACTAGAAACTGTAAAATGACAACTGTGGTTCACATTATAGTTCTGTGGGTGGGGATGCTGGATGGAGAGACTGACGCAGGAGAGGCAGCTCCATTGTTGGAGTGAGGGGGTTTTAGAATGAAGAGCTGTGAATCGGGTCCTGTGGGCCCTGGGGCATAGTCTGTGGTAGGCGCTTCGCATCTCTGAACCTTGCTGCCCTGTTTCTGACATCCCCTTAACTAACACCCATCCCACAGTGGGGACTGAGGATAAAGTCAGAATGCCTAGGAAAAGCATTTTTTAAAAATATTAAGTATGAAGCCATTGTGATCCATGGTTCTCTTTGTAATAAAAATTTGGGATTAAGGCCATATATACCATACTCTGTACTGTATACCGATAGTTCAAAAGACAGACAAGAAACCTGGCCAGTTATAAAATAGAAGGTCGAAGTGTGGGAAATGCATTCAGCACAGAATGAATTACAGAGTGGGAGTGGATCTGTGTGAGATGCCGTAGATAAGAAAATTCCTTTTCTGTTGCACTTGGCTTGCTCTACTCTAGGAATTCCCTCACCCTTACATGCAAGTTTGTATCCAGGCTTTCATAGTCCTTGTTCCTTGTTTTGTTTAGTCTCCAAAGGCCAACAAGGAATATCCATATCTTTTTTTTTTTAAATCTTCAAGTATTTCATATTGTATTCCTGAAACTCCACACTCATTAAATGCTTGAATGAATTGCCATTATACCACTGTTTCCTGAAAACCTGGGTGTGTCAGGCATCTGCTGGGCTGGTAGGATGATGATGGGCAGGACACAGCCCCTGCCCTCAAGGTGCTCTCAGTTGGGAATGAGACAGAATGCAGTGTGACCAAGCCGTAGTAGAGGTGAGCCTGAGGACTGTGGGAGACCTGAATAGTGTTCCTAACTGCTAAACGTGATTTAAAGGATGACTGAGTTAAAGACAGCAAAGGAGGGAGCTAAGGGACAGTTGTAGCTGCCTGGAGTGCACTCTGTTGTGATTCTCTTTTGGTCAGTGAGACTGTGGATCTGAGTTTGCATAGGATCCTGCCAGTCCCCAGGGGTCTCTAACACCGTGGCAACATTCGATATTAATGTTGCACCTGTATATTAGTTACACTTTTCATTGCTGGTTTATGTACTTCAAAGGTGTAGCACACAGATAGCCCTCCCTGATAGAGAATGACCCCGGTTAGTTGGAAGGCTCTCAGAGGACCAGTGGGGCAGAGACAATTCGGCAGCACTGAGCAGGGGGTATCTGAGGGGTATAAGGTAGCTGTGACCTGGCATAGAGTTGGCAGGCAGACAGTCATTTCAGTGGGAGATAGCATCTGATACTCATCCCTTCGGGCTAGTCTTGTAATAGCGGCAGATAAATAAGCTGCCTCCAGTGTGTTTCCAGAATATCTCTGTCTGCAAAATGTCTTTGAGGAGATGTTTGACTTGCAAGCCTGTGGTTGATAAAATAAATACATTTTAAAAATGTAAACCTCTCTGAAAGAGGTTTTAGTCTTTTCTCTCCCCAGGGAAAAATAAGGCCCTTCTTTAACCTCTTTTCTTCCCTAAGTGTAGAATTCTTGCCATGCTTTATAAGAAAAAACATTTTTTGGAATGTAGCACCTGTAGAAATATAAAGGGGTTGTGCCCAAACCATTGGACCATGGCTATTGTGTGGGTGGTTTCTTGGATGTTTTGTGAAGAGGTATCAGCCCTGACACCTGCAAAGCTGGAGGAGCTGGACTTTAGAAGTGCTTACATTGTTTTTAGCTGAATTCTGAGGGCAGGCAGCTGTAATGAGTGATTCTCTCTAATATTAGAGGAGCCTTGCCATTCAGTGACATCTGCTAGAACAGGACTTGGTGCCTGGAAAAGTACCTCACACAATGTAGGAACTTCATATATAGTTATTGAATGAGTGGATAACTGAATAAGTAAGTGAATGAGTGAATGACTAGGGCCCTTTTCTGGGCTTTCAGATCATGTGGACGAGATTCCCCAGGCCTCTCTCTTGCTGCTTGAGGGTAGTCTGTGCAACAGCAGCGTCAGCATCACCTTGTTAGTGTTTCTGAATCCTGGACATCTTGTTAAGCATGCAGATTCTCATTCAGTGGATCTGGGACAGTGTCTAAGAATCTGCATTTCTAAGAAAGTCCCAGGCAATGCCATGCTGGTCTATGGACTACACTTGAAGTAGCAGGGGTCTGTTAGGGTTCAGTGAGATCATCAGTAAGTCTGTAATAGGTGCTCAGCGTGCACTAGGGATTGTGGAGAAAGATGGAAACCTAGGTTCTCTTGTTAAAACTTGTAATCATGGTGAAAAATCAAGACTCATCCTTATAAACTGGAGAAAATCCATTCATTATATTGTGTGGTATGATAAATGGTCAGGAGAAAGCTAGAGAGAGGAATGAAGGACCTTGTGGAGATGGTGCTTGGGCCATGGTGTAGAATCATGAGATGCTAGCATTAAAGTTGTGTCTGCTTCCAACCCTGTGTGATCTCTAAGCCTCCCTGATGGTTGGCTATCCGACTTCTGCTGAAATGCCCTCACGATAGAGAATGCACTGGGTCCCTAATTCTCAAGGCATGTTGCTCTCCTCATATCTTATGAGATGCCCTGAGGAAAGGGTTTGCCCAGGTGAATAATGCCTGCATGTGTTGCTTATTCCATCCACACGCTGCAGATTCACAGCGCAGCATATTAAAGGCTTTGCAATGCCTGGCACTAAGACAGCCAGTTTAACTTTGTATTACCTAAGGTAACTGGGTCTAACATAGGTGACCACAACTTCCCTCCTGTTTTATTAGTACTTATTAATACATGTTAGCAAGCCTGTATCAGGAGGTTCATCATACTGAGTTAATACAGGACTCATTTATCACTCATAAAACATTTATTAAACGGCCATGACGTACCAGTCGCTGTTCAGGGTTATGCACGGAGGAGTAAATTGTCTCTTGCTTGTATAGCACTTTATTGTTTACAAAACACTCTCCCAGGCTTTGTCTTGAATTGTCAGCAGAACCTTGTGAGGTTGTATAAATTTTACTGCCATTTCATAGTTGAGGAAACTGAGGCTTCTAGAGATTAAAGTGACTTGTTTAAGGGTATATTCTTTCCAGTGGTGCCATTGGGATTTGAAACTTTTGATTCCCAGTTGAGTGTTTTTTTTTTTTTTTTTTTTTTTTTTCCTAACGGTATTCCATTTGGCTCCAGTTTGGTGAGAGAACCGAGAGAGGTAGGTCTTAAAAACTTGATTGAGAATTGAACTTGTATGAGAGAAATAGAGGTGTTGTGGTTTCTAGAGCAGCGATGGCTCAAGCAGTGCTGAAGGAATTGGAGTATATAGATTAGAGGGAACTTTAAAGGTCTTTCAGGAGGAGCTAAGCCTGTACTCCATGACTTTATGGAGGCTTGCCTACAGTGCTTTTCTACATAGCTCTTTTTTTTTTTTTTTTTTTTTTTGGAGATAGAGTCTTGCCCTGTTGCACAGGCTGGAGTGCACTAGTGCAATCATGGCTCACTGCAACCTCCACCTTCCAGTTTCAAGTGATTCTCATGCCTCAGCCTCCCAAGCAGCTGGAACTACAGGCACACACCACCATGCCCGGCTAATTTTAGTATTTTTTAGTAGAGATGGGGTTTCACCATGTTGGCCAGGCTGGTCTCGAACTCCTGGCCTCAAGTGATCCGCCCGCCTCGGCCTCTCAAAGTGCTGGGATTACAGGCATGAGCTACCATGCCCGGCCCCTTTCCTACATAGTTCTAACGCATCCTGGAGGCACAGATCTTTTGATGAGGAGCTTACTACAGCAAAGGCCAGTTTATTTCACTTATACACCATTCTCTTATGTTGAGCTTAGATAGGGTCTCTTAGAATCTTTATCCATTAATCTGAATTCCCTACCTCTGCTGGAACCATACAGCACAAGCCTAATTCTGCTTTTCATATGCTAGCCCATTTAGGTTTTTTCTTTTGAAAAATCTAAAATAATTTTTCTTATCAGATTTGCAGTATATGTCCAATGTGAAACAATGAGAAAATGTAGAGAAGCAAAATACAGAGAAGCAAAAACTAAAATTTAGAACTATCCGTAATTTCACCACTCATAGATTATTAGTATCACACTACTACTTAGTCTTCCAAAGTATTTTCAGTAGTTTTTGATGTGGGTGTATATTGTTTTTTTGTATGTATGTTTTTTTAAAAAACTAAATTAACCATATATTTGGGGATAATATTTTGTACTTTTCTGGTAGGTGGAATTTTATTAATATCTTTAATATCAATAAATACTTACTGCAATTAATAACAATTTTAAAATAGGATATATAATTTATTCCCGCTTATCAGATATTTTGTCAGTTCCTTCTCATTTTTTGGCAGTTATAAACCATGCTGTAATAAATATCCTCATAGGTTAATTTCTGCCTTAGACTTCTTTACCTAGACTATAAGTCGAGGTAAACTGTTTCCATTACCTATTCCTAGAAATAAAAAAGTAAAGCCTAAGACTCCAGCCTGAAAATAGCTCCATGGCCCTCTTACTCATTCTCTAGCCTCACTGTCCCCATTTCTCTTAGGATATGGCTTTGTGCCCGTTTGCTGTCTTAAAATCTGCTCACTTTAAACCATTTATCTCTCTACAGTCTCTGGGATCCAGATTGGAGATCCTTTCCTTACCCTGAATGCCACATTTCTAATCAGGATAGCCTGATAGTGCGTTAACTTTTACAGGGCCTTGTCACACTGAGTCATTGAGCTTGTGGGCAACCCAATCCCTTAAGTCTCTCATATGATCTTCTCCATCCTATACTTGTGAGTTGATTTTTTTTTTTCAGCCCTAAGTGCATGACTTGACATCTATCCTTATTAAATTTCGACCTTATTAAAGTCAGCTGGTCATTATATCCTTTGAGATAGTATCAGGAATAGACTCTATCATCCTTCATAGTCACTATCCCTTCCAACTCCCAGTCACAGGCAAATTCCAGTGTCAAATGATTCAGCAAATCCCAGCAATCATTTCTATCTCTGTCTTCCTTACTGGATTGTAAATTTTTTGAGGCCAAGACCATATCCTATTAATTCTCCTTAAAAACTAGTTCCTACTTCCATTTTGTCACATGTGACATAGCGGATACCCAGGAAATGTTGCCATGTGAATATATATTTTTTTGATTTAACTCTGGGGATGAGGGCTTGGTGGTGGTGGGTATCACAGTGGTGAAGAATATAGAGAAGTCTAGGCTGGGTCTCTTGAGGAGCTTCCAGTGAGGAGGAAGAGACAAAAAACTGGCCAGACCATGGGTAATGGATGTAGTAAAGAGAAATTTAAATACTCCTCTGAGGGTACTCAGTTGACTGGAGGCTTGAGCTAATTCTTCAGATGCATTTCGATGTCCTCCAGAAAGGCAGACAGTGGAGGAATTCCTTAGTGGACAGTTGGTGAATGCCCAAGGCTGTGAAAAGTCAGAGTTGGGACTAGGGGAGTGGAAAAGGAGATGATGTTTGCTGGGAGAGTTGACCAGAAACCAGCCACCCAGCTTTTGAGAATTGTGTTGAATAGTGATTGCATAGAATGGTCTTATCTGCTTCTTTTCTGCGAGATATAGAAAAAAGATTACCCTCTCTTTTTCTTTTTACATTATTGAGCTTGAGGCTTGCAAAGCTAATACCTACTTAGGACTGATTACTCTTAGATCAGAGGATGAACTGAAACCAGAATTCAAGAGCTCTGATTTCTTCTCACTCTGTGAGTACCTTTAAGCCAGATTCATGGTATGAAGGCAGCAGCATAGCACCTCCATTGACCCACATGGGGGCCTGCCTTGGGCTTCATCAGCCCTTTGGAGTCTCAGATCCCTCACCTGTTAAAGGAGAGTAATACTACCCACTTACCTTTTTGGGTTGTTGTGAAACACACATAAGACAGTATTAGGAGAAGTAAGGTCTGAGGGCTGGGCTTTGGACCCAGCGGCCCCTAGGTAGAGGCCTGTTGAATTGGATGACAGTGAACTTTGCAGCATTTCCTAACCTCAGAAGTTCAAGAGCAGGAGCCTGAGTGTTTTAGGTCCCTGGTATGGCTGTGGATTTCCAGGCATGCAGCAGCTCTGGGGCCCCTGCTTCCTACCCGCCAGTGGTTCCAGCTCTTTGATTAACTGAAAGGGAAATTTTTCTTGAGGAAGGGAAGGAGGTTTCTTTGTGGCCCAGGTCTAGCCATAGGGAATTTGAACACCTAGAGCTCTGTCCCAGTGGCCTTGGGAATTTAACAGCTTCTTCATTGGTGGAACCTTGGTTATTTGTGAAAAGTGAGCTTGCAGGGTTCTGAGGTAGACACTTAATTGATGTCTCCTGCCTCCTGCCTGTGTGCATGGTGGTATCTGTCACACTTCCATCAGCCACGAGAAGGTGAGTTTGTATTTCTATATAGATGCATGCCCTTGTGCATGCTTATTTAAATAACACTTGTTTGTGTGAATGTATGTACATATAGTCTAGTGCCATATAATGATGTTTCGGTCAATGATAATCATATGTACAATAGTGGTCACTTTATAATGGAGCGAAAAATTCCTATTGTCTAGTGACATCTAATGATCCTGACTCTGTGTAGGCCTAGGCTAATGTGTTTGCTTGTGTCTTTGTGTGTGCGTGGGTTCCCCACCTCCCCCGCCCCCTCTAGGAACAGGGTCTTGCTCTGTTGCCCAGGATGGAGTGTGATCATGTGATAATAGCTTATTGCAGCCTTGAACTTGTAGGCTCAAGTGACCCTCCTGCTTCAGCCTCCCAAGTAGCTGGGACTACTGGCATGCACCACCATGCCTAATTTTTAAATTTTTTGTGGAGGTAGGATCTTGCCATGTTGCCCAGGCTGGTCTTGAACTCCTGGGCTCAAGAGATCCTTTTGCCTAGGCCTCCGGAGTAGCTGGGATTACATTGTGAGCCCCTGTGCCCAGTTATGTCTTTGTTTTTGAAAAGTAAAAAATAAGAAAAGAAAAAAAATTTTAAGTAGAAAGCTTATAGAAAAAGACATAAAATATTTTTGTATAGCTGTACAGTATGTTTGTGTTTTTAAGCTAAGTGTTATTACAAATGAGTCAAAAGTTAAAAATTAAAAAATGTGTAAAGTTGCAGTGAGCTAAGGTTATTTTATAATTGAAAAAAAATTAAAAATAAATTTAGTGTGGCATAAGAATACACTGTTTATAAAGTCTACAGTAGCGTACAGTAATATCCTAGGCCTTCACATTCACTCACCACTCACTCATTGACTCGCCCAGAGCAACTTCCAGTTCTGCAAGCTTCATTTATGGGAAGTGCCCTATGCAGGTGTACCATTTTAATCTTTTATACCATATTTTTACTGTACCTTTTCTATGTGTAGCTATGTTTAGATACACAAATACTTACCATTGAGTTACAATTGCCTACAGTATTCAGTATAGTAATATGCCGTACAGATCTGTATTCTAGAAACAATAGGCTATAACTGTACCAAATAGCCTAGATGTGTAGTAGGATATACCATGTAGGTTTGTGTAACTGTGCTCTGTGATGTTGATGTACGATGACGAAATTGACTGACAACACATTTTGTTAAGCAACATGTGACTGCACATAAACACCTGTGCATTCATAGGCAATCACAACTGCATATACTGAAACACACAAACACACCGCCATATATATTTTTAAAGAATTTGAAAGATCTAAGATGATATTAAATGTAGTTTAGTTTACTTTTGTGTTGATCAAGTGTTACTAAGCTGTAATTAATTTAGTAAAGGAAATTAAAATGGGGATGTGGGGAAAATGTGACTCTGCCTAATTGACAAGAATCTGGGGCCGTCCAGAAAAGCATTAGGGCCAGGCAGAAGTTGAAACCTTTGGGAAGTCTGGCCCAGGACTTTAAAAATGTTTTTTCCGGGTTAGAAATACTGAGGGTTTCCATTCTAAAGGATGAAAAGGATCTTCTCCTTTCTCCTTAGCTAGCCAGTAGATTCTGTCTTCCTCTTATGTCCTCCAGTTCCTTTTTGGTTCATTCACTCTGAGTCTCGTCTGAATAAGCATTAGGGGAAGGGCTTCCTGGAGGATTCGAGAAGGGCAAGGAAGAAGTGGAAAAAAAGAAATCTTATCCCACTGCTGTGGTTCTTTGTCATCCCTGGTCCCTGTCCTTGGCAGAATCACACAGCTACAAAGTGGTGGAATGTGTATTCCAACCAGACCTCTGTGTCATGCTCCCTACCAAACTCCCAACTCTTTGGGCTGATCTCTGCCCGCCCTCCTTGTCGCCTTTCCTGGTTCGATTTTTTTTTTTTTTTTTTGGGTGCTTACTGTGTGCTATGCACTGTTCTGGATTCCGGGGTTATAGCTGTGACCAAGGCAGACGTATGCTTGACATATGTTAACCATGAGGCATGTATCCCCTGGTCCCACCACCACTCTGCTCCCCATGATTTCTATACATATATCTTTCTATCACAACAGTTACTGGGTTGCATTAGAGTTATCTCTTGGTGTATCTGCCTCTCTCACTGGACTGTGAAATCTTTGAGGGAGGAGTTAGTTACTTTTCTTCATCTCTCCATCACAGAACCCTGCCTGAAGTTGGCTGCATGCTTGTTTAAGGCTAATTGAACAAATGCTTGCATGCCTTTTATGACACACAACTAAATTGTGAGCAATCCAGGTACCTACCACTTCTGTGTCTCAGTTGGTCCGACAGAACTAGTACATAATAGGCCATGTTTTATCCTCCAGCTAGACATCTAGAGAAGTAAATAAGCCTTCAAGTGCTTCATCACTATGTGTGAATTGTGAAGAAAAACTTTTATTAAAACGTTAATATGATTGTGACAATTGTTTACTCTGGCAAGTAGTTTGCCTCTTGGATTCCTCTCTGTGAATCTGCCCATAATGTCCTGAAATTCCAAATGGGTCCTTTTCTCTTCCTCTCATTTACTATTTCTATTCAAAACTGGAATATGTGGACATGTGTACAGCCTTTTAAGACCAAAGGCTTTACGTTTTCTAGCTTTTTGTTTTGTTTTGTTTTTGTCATTGCCCTACCTAGAACAAACTTCAGGAAAGATAGGTTTGTACAGTAGTGGTGTATCTTAAGGTAAAAATGAATTCAATTTTTTAAAGAAAAAATAGGGATTTAAAATGTTATTTGCATTTAAGCTTTTAGATATTTTGCTGAATTCAAAAAATTATTGTAAAGTGGGATACAAATAATCACCTGTCCTCCTTTGAAGATGCAATTTATTAGTGATTGTCTTTAAATCTAAAAAATGTGCGTCTATGAATATTTATTGTATTCTAAGTTTCAGTTGCAGGCATAATCCTTAAAGCTTGTGAATGATGCTTGAATATATTAAATTTAGGATTTATATGAAACTTAATGGCCTTATGGAGTGCAGTAGGCTCCAGCTGGAACCTAAGCTTTTGATTCTTATCCATTCACAAAGAAATACAGGTAAAGCAGAAATTTAAAAAGCAGAGAATGTCTCCTTGAAATGGCCAAATGAATCTTCTCTTTTTACTTTAAAAATTTACCTGTAATTTTCTTATAGGATCTCCTTTTGAAAAGTGCCTTTTAAAATAGCTGGGCAGAATTGTAATACCATCTTTTTTTATTTTGTTAGAAATAGTCTTCTTCTTTGGAAACAAAAATGGTGTTAGAACATTTGTATCTATATGTATGTATTAAATATAGTCAATAATACTTTATGGGACTTGAAGAAAAATTTAATTCTTGGGCAGTCCAGCTGTAAGCCAGGAGTCTACTTGTTCTGTTGGACAGGTGAATGAAGTAGAAATAGAATATTAATTTACTTTGAGAGCTATCTAAAAACGTCATGTTTCAACTCTCTTGTTTTCAGATGAGGAGACGGAGGCCTAGGTAGGGGGAAAAAAGGAATTGCTCAGTTACATTATTGTTGTATCTTATCTTACCTAGCCCAAGTTAAAACTTCTCAGAGTCAGACTGTGTGTTTATACATCCCTATCTTTGCAGTTCACATAAGTCCTTAATAAGGATGGTATGACTAAAATCAATGAAAGACTAAGCAAAAAAAAAAAAAAGTAATCATCTCAGGTCCTCAGATATCTTTTACCTGTGATATTTCTTGGTGAATGAGTAAGACTCAAGACCTTAGGTTTGTGCAAGGACTTTGCTTACTGATGGAGAATTCCCAGACAGCTCACAAGCAAGTGTGTGTCCTCTACTTACAACTGTCCCTTGTCATTTCAGCATTACCTGTTTGGAGCTGTTCCGCATTGGGTTTGCCCTAAAGCTAAATTTAAGTCATGTTGGCAGTCTTTTGTGCTTTTCAGTTGCAGCTCTATATTCTGGCAGCTTACAGCTTGTGGGGCTCAAGTCTGGATGTGCCTAGCTTATGCATGCCTTTTAGTGTCACTCTTACCATTTGCTTGGTAATTGGAGGGAAAAAAAGAGGAAACATTTTGCTCAGTAGCAAATCAAAAATTCTTTTCTCCTATGTGAAACATAAACCAAGAGTAAGGGTGGAGGTGTATATAGAGAAGCATCGTAAGGGTGATGTATTAGTCCATTTTTACGCTGCTGATAAAGGCATACCTGAGACTGGGTAACTTACAAAGAAAAAGAGGTTTAATGGACTCACAGTTCCATGTGGTTGGGGAAGCCTCACAGTCATGTCAGAAGACAAAGGGCAGCATGGCGGCAGGCTAGAGAGAATGAGAGCCAAGCAAAAGGGGAAACCCCTTATATAAAACCGTCGGATCTCATGAGACATTCACTACCACAAGAACAGTATGGGGGAAATTGCCCCCATGATTCACTTATCTCCATCTGGGTCCCTCCCACAACATGTGGGAATTATGGGAGCTACGATTCAAGATGAGATTTGGGTGGGTACACAGCCAAACCATATCAGATGGTTAAGTAATTTATATGGCAGAAATACATAGAATAAGAAATACTGTGCATGTACCAGCTGCCTTAAAGCATGGAAAATGGAGTAGGGGAAGAAAATCAATTACTGCCCCGTACCTTCTGAGCTGACCCCTAAGTATTGATAAAAATTTAGCATCAATAAATATTTAGCAGCCTTGAAGAATGTTTTCTAATTTTAGCCCAAAGAATAGGTGTCTGACAAATTGATCAAATTGCAATTTAAACTTCTGTTCCTGTAAAGAAGAAAATACTCCTTTGATATCAAGAGAATTTGAAGAGGTGGCGTGTCTCAGCCCTTGCATCATGTTTGACACCTGAATCTTAGCCCCGGGATACCAGAAGGCAGGCACAGAACTTTAACTCTGTACATGTGTAGATTCTGCAAATCACCTTGTCCACATATAGGATCTCCCTTTTTCTAGTAGAGGATGTGGCAAGAATCTTCCTGGGACTCATCTGTAGTTGGATGCTTTTCCTTTCAGTTTCAGATGAAAAAATCTTTGAATTTTCTGTATTTACTTGCCTTGCTAATCACTCCTTAAGACAGCCTGGCATGTGGGCTCTGAAAATCAGAGCAGTATTCCAGCCCCTCCCTTTTCATCAGTTAATTAATTAATTCTATATTTATTAAAGGTGATGTGTGCCAAGCCAGGTCCTAAAGACACACTCCAGTAAGACAAGGTTGCTGCCTTCATGGAGTTTGACACTGGGGAGATAGACTTGTTGATGGGCAGTTGGCAGAGGTGCTCTGATATAAGGGCATGGTGCTGTGGAAACAGGCACAGGGCAACTCAGCCTGACATAGGTATCCAGGAAGGCTCCATGGAGGAAGTGATAGCTCTGTTGAAATGAGAAGATGGTTGGAAAGATACAAGGGGTGACTCTGTGTATGTGTGAAGCATCTGTTGGAATATGAGTGCTCCAGCACTGAGAGTTATGTTTAGGTTACACTGTGAGTATAATTTGACTTGGTCTGATTGCTTTGCTTTGAGGTCTCATTCTTTCTATCTATCTATCTATCTATCTGTCTATCTATCTATCTATCTATCAGTCATCTATCTCTGTCATCTATCTACAATCTTTTTAATTGTGATAAAGTACACATAAAAGTTACCATCTTCATTTTTAAGTGTACAGTTTAGTGGTATTAAGTGCATTGACATTGTTTTGCTATCGTCACCACCATCCATGCACAGAACTCTTTTTATCTGCAAAACTGAAAATGTCTATTAAACAAGAACTCTCCATTCCTTCCTCCTCCTAGCCCTTGTCAACCACCATTCTACTTTCTGTGAATTTGACTACTCTAGGTACCGCATATGAGTGGAATCCTACTGTATTTGTCCTTTTGTGACCGGCTTAATTCACTTAGCATAATCTCCACAAGATGTATTCTTGTCATGGGTGTCAGAATTGCCTTCCTTTTCAAGGCTGGATAATATTCAAGGTCCCATTTTATTAAAACCTCAAGCATATGTGAAATATTCACTGATCAACACATTAACGAGCTCTCTATTCCCTTTACTGATAAGTCATTCATGCATTTGTCCCTCTCTCCCTCTGTTACTGATTACATGTTAGGTGCCAGACATCGGGCTAGTTGCTGCAAATACAAAGAACACCTGTATCTACTCCCCATCCCAAATATTGGTCCATCAGGGAGAGAAGCCCAATGAATTATTAAACAGTATTAGTGAAAGAGTAGTTGTATGTATAAAGTACTGTGGGACTTAACAGGTAACACAAACAAAAGCTTCATGGGAAAGCCAAATAAGGCTTTACCAAAGAGGTAGCTATTGAATCGGCCTCTGAAGTATTTGTGGGAACTTTGTAGGTGGCGAGGAAAGGCATTTCAGATAAGAGGAACAGCATAACAGTGGCTTGGGAGTCTTGTCTGTACACATAGGCAGTCTTATGTGGTGGTTATCAATTAAACTCTGGAGTCAGACTGTCTAGATTTAAATCCTGGCTCTTCCACTTCTCTGAGTGATGAGGCAATTTATTTTCTTACCGTGCCTTAGTTTCCTCATCTCTAAAATAGGAATAACAGTAGTACTTTTCTCATAGTATTGTTATGGGTATTAAATGAGTCAGGACATACAAAGTGCTTAGAACAGGGTTCTCTAGAAGTGTTAGCTACTGTGATTGATTATTGCTAGTGTAATGTTATTGCTAGTGTAATGTTTGAGGGAATATCAAGTCATTTGGTCTACGTAAAATAGGATATAATGTGTGTATGTGAAAATTGTCACTAGACATAAAGTTGGTGTATTAGTCTGTTTTCATAGTGCTATGAAGACATACCTGAACGTGGGTAATTTATAAAGAAAAGAGGTTTGTCTCACAGTTCTGCTTGGTTAGGGAGGCCTCAGGAAACTTATAATCATGGTAGAAGACAAAACAGGTACATCTTACATGGCGGCAGGAGAGAGAAGTGAGTGCCAAGCAAAGGGGGAAGCCCCTTATAAAACCATCAGATCTTGTGAGAACTCATTCACTATCACAAGAACAGCATGAGGGTAACTGCCCCCTGCCCCGTGATTCAGTTGCCTCCCACCAGGTCACTCCCACGACACATGGGGATCATGGGAACTACAATTCAAGGTGAGATTTGGGTGGGGACGCAGCCAAACCATATCAGTTGGCGGTTGCCTCGGTGGATCCTGATGATAAAGGATTCAAGTATCCCCATATCTGTGACTTCTAAGCTTTCTTCTTGTATTCAAGGGCTTGAATGTCTGAACTTGTATCTGATGTTTACTTAAATTTTCTTTTTAAAAATATTGGAATCCTTTCTTAAAAATTGCAAAAACAATGGAACATTAAAAAAAGTATAAGACAGAAAACTGCAATATCACTGTCCTAACTTAGTAACTATTTCCTTTTTATTTTCATTTTGTGTAGCTACATGCATAAAACTGGTTATAATCATGTAATTTTGCTTTGCTTTTAAAAATTCATATTCTATGAGAAATTTTCCCTTATGTTTTAGTTCATTTTAATTATTCTTGTAAATGAATGCCCAGATTTCCTTTGCATTCATGTACTGTTTTTTTTAAGTCATTCTCTTCTTCATCATATTATAGTTGGTTTTATAATCTACATCTTTCTGCTCATAATTTTTGTCTTCTAATGAATTTTCTCTTTTTGATAAATTTCTAGGGTTAGGATTGCTAGGTCAAAGGATTTAAGCCTTTTGAGGCTCCCAATAAAGGTAGCTAATTGGATCTTCACATCCACACCACCAGCAGCATATTTTCTATGTCATATTCACTAGAGATGTGATTATAGTCTTTAAAGTCTTGCTGATTAAGAGGTTTAAAATAACCCCTTGAGTTTGCTTGAATTTGCCATTTTTCTCCCTCCTAGTGATCATGCATATTTTCCCATATGCTTATTCTGCTCTGTAATTGTCTATTCATCTCCTCTTTCTGGTTGTGTTCTTGATATTTTCCAATATAAATCTGGATTGTTTATTTACCTTATTAGTTCTGTGTTGGAGAAAAATGCAGGTTCAGGATATTAAAGAGGAGGTCAAAAAGTCTTTTTTCCCCCTGCCTTGCAGTAGCAAGGCTCTCATCCTTGCAGTTGTGGTTCTGGGAAAGCAGAAAGAAGCACAAGCTTTTGCCGTGTGCCAGAGCTCCTGGGATCACAGTGGCCAGAGTCTGGGCTCTCCAACAGCCTTGTTTTTCAGCTGCCTTGCTTTTCAGCAGAAAAATCATGTGGCTGTCTGTTACCTCAGCTTTAATTGTGTTTACACTTTGTTTAGAGGGCCTGGCCTGCTCCTTATGTCCCACAAGCACCTGATACAGAGCCAGCACACAGTAGGCAGTTTCTTTTCACCCACCATAGATCAGAGGTTGGAATGCACCTTTCTTGACATCTTCATCTGTCTCCTGTCCCCTTTACAGCATGACTGTTTTAAGAGGTCTTGTAGCTATTCTTTGATTACCTCTAGTGATGGGAGGCTTACTGTCTCACAAATACATTTAGACTTTGAGTTCAAGGTGTGATGAACCTGGGTTTGAATTTCACCTTGACCACTGACTAGTGACATGATTCTGGACAAATAATATTTCTAAACTTCATTTTATTTATCTGAATAACAGAGATAGTAATATTTCTACCTCTTGTAATTGTGATGAGGATGAAGTGAAATAATAAAAGTAAAGTTCTGGACTCTAAAGAAGTCAAACTCATAAAAAGTAGAGTAGAATGGTGGTTACCAGAGGTTTTGGGGGTGAGAGGGTGGGTAGGGAAAGGGGAGCTTGATCAAAGTGTGCAAAGTTTCTCTTAGGAGGAATAAATTCTGGTGCATAACATGGTGACTGTAGTTAATAATAATTATGGTATATTTCAAAATGGCAAAAAGAAGAATTTAAATGTTCTTATCACAAAGAAATGATACCTATTGAAGGTGATGGATATGTTAATTCATCAGATTGGATCATTCCACAATATATACATGTATGGAAATATCACATTGTACCCCATGAACATATACAACTATTATTTATCATTCAAAAATAAAACTTTAAAAAAGGAAAGTCTTGACTCCTACTCCTCACATAGTGTCAAGTAAATATTAGCTGTGAATATTAATTTTATTTACTGATACAAGGTGTATTTCCTTAAACTTTTGCCATCTATTAGAATCTCAGTGATTTGGCAAAGAAGCCATAGCTCAGCCTCCAGCTCTTATAAGTGGCCTGGAATTTGGAGTATATTCTTCTGTAATGGAGATGTGGGAGGGTATTGTCTTTGAGCTGATTCCAGAGTGGCCCGTGGTCCAGCGGTGGGGCTGGGCAGTGCTGTAATACGTCCAGGCTAGCACCTTCTTGGTTTTCAGAGTCTGATTATAGAGACCTCTTGTTTGTCCTTCTCTTTCTTGGCTGGTGTTCTTGCCTTGGCATCCCTGATAGAAGATAGACAAAAACATTTAGAAGAAATGAAACTCTGATCCACATACTAGTTATCTGTTCCCCTCCGCAGAAAAGGGCTTAGTTTAGCAAAGAGAGGTAAAGGTAGAGATCATACTTCTAAATTCAAAGCAATATATGTCGAGCTTATTGACAGCACTCAATAAATGTTGCTTTTATTAATATTACAGGTAAACCAATACGAGGGTGGCCTGGGCATAGGGTAGGCAGGACCTAACTCTTCTCTTATCCCCAGACTTTAGTATTTCAGTATTTTTGATGAGAATCTGATTAATGATCTGAAAGTTCCTCAAAGTCTCCTGTGATTTAAGCAGATAGCTTTTATCCTTGGGGAACCAATATAATTAGTATTAGAACTAGGTTCATGAATCTTAAGATTATGGAGTTCATCTTTGTCCAGCCCATCTCACTATGCTTTGTAGAGAATAACTTAGCAGAAACAGCCCCCTGCTAGGCATCTTGGTAATTGCTTCCTAATAACTGTTAATTTTTGGTTTCACAACTAAAATATTAGGGAGTCTGGTGAATTTAAGAAATAGTGTTGAAGTGATGGCAATTGAGATTTTAAAAGTTGCCTGTATGACAAATGAAACAGATTTAAGGTGGGGGAGAAGGTTACCCATGAACGGGGTGGTATTGAAAATATTTAACAGCCAGTCCAGAAGGGCATTGGCACAGTAGAAACTACACTGCAGGCCCCTTGATTTGCCGGACACCTATCCTTGTTGAATAGTGAGGAGACCTTGGGACACTACGAAGGGGACAGAGCATTCACTGGGGCTTTGGAGCACTGACTCTTTACACGCTGTTATGGAAGTATTTCAGTATTTTAAACAACCAGTATAGTTGTACCAGTCGGGTACTGGAGGTGGTGTGGGAGAGTGTCTGAAACTGGCAGGTGTTCAGAGGTGTTGATAGATTCTTCACTTGTCATCTTTAATTCATTGCTGAGAAAACTTTAGTTGCGCTAGGCCAGATTATCCCCAAAGGCGTTTGGACAGTGTCACATTAGAATTTAGGGCTATTTAGAAAGCACTGAGACATGTCCTTTTTTTCAGAAAATACTGTGTATACAGTGTGAGAGGCGCACAGCCTCTGTCTTCATGAGGTCCCCAGTCTATCGGTGGCCTTGAAATTTTTCTGCTCTTTGACTGTAGGCTAGGAATCTGTCCTTGAGAAATGATTACAAGGATGTTTGCTACAACAGTGAAAAGTTGGGCAAAATCTAAATGTCCAAGCATGAGAAAAGAGCTAAATAATAGCATATCCACCCCCCAGAATATTATGTACCTCTTAAAAATCACAGACACAGAGAAGTTTTCAGGACTCAGGAACTATTTCTGACTGTGAAATGTTAGGTGGGCAATAAAAACCTAAAGCTGTAAGGAATAATTAGTGTAAGAAAGGACATCAAAATGCATGGGTAGCACTGATTATTATTTGATGGTGGAATATGGGTAAAGTTAATTTTCTTTGTGGATGTTTCTATATGTTCCACTTTTGGTCATCTATGGGTATTAACTTTTATAACTAGAGGTGTTCCAGAAATATTTTTAAAAACCCGATTAAAAATTTAAAAATTATTGTATAATTAGTGAGTGGGTGAACATGTTGGATTTAAACTTGGAGAAGCACATTTGGAGGTTGTATTTATCTCTTGTAAAGAAAGCTGCTGACTCGGTGGGATAAAAATAAGAGGCCTAGGTCAGCCTCCTCGCGTTGAGGCACCTGGCTCCCCCAGGCTTCCAGACTGCACGGGTTCTGAGAGGCCCTAATGGGCTTGTTGAAAGGTTCTACTTGGCTTCTTATTAATGTCCCTCCCTGAGCTGTGCTCTGCTCTGCTGGCTAACCTTGTCGGAAGGTTACCTGTGGCTCTCCAGGGCTCGGCTAATTTTAAACCTGGTCAGGGAGTGTGGTGGCATTGCTCTGCAGAGACATGAACAGCTCCCTGGGAGACACTGCTGGGGAAAGATGAGTCGAGTCTACGGTTTTTTCTCATCCTCCTGTAAGTGACCAGGCACGCTGAACAAGCAAAGAGAGCTGGGATAATAATGAGAGCTTTTATGGTAAAAACCAGGATTATTAAAGATCTTTTAGCAGTGTCAATGCTGGTTGATAATTGCACGGTGTGATGTGCCCTGCATGAACTGTGTCAATTCTGGCCACACTAGGAGTAGCAAGGTGAATGAGATCCTCTCTTCTGGAAACTAGACTTTGGCTGCTTTTAAAGACAGAATGAAACTACAGTGAATTTCACTACTTATTCGGTATTATTTTAAATTTTCAGGACTCACACTCCACTGGTGATAAGTTCTTCTATGAAATTTTTGATCAATTTGATTGGGAGAGGGCTGTTTCTGAAAAGCTAAAAAAAATTTAAAAACACAGAATCGCTGCCTGTCTGCATGTCAACTGCTGGTCTGGCTGCCTCTAAAATTGTCATTTTAAGGGGTTTTTTTTTTTTTTTTTGGACTGTTTGCAGTGGAGTCTTGTTCAGAATACGGCTGTGTCTTATAATACGTGCAACCCTGATATTGTAAAATGAAATATAAATCAATAACTGCAAAATAAGGTGACAATTGAGAACCTTTTCCCCATCAAAATTAATTGTTAAAAAAAAAAACTTAGCCCATATTTTTCTGCTTAGAATTTTTTTGTCCATCTACCTTTCACCACCTTCAGGTTGGGAATCTAAATGTGCCTGTTAGAGTTGGCTCTGTCTTCTCCTGCCAAGGCATTCACAGCTTCTTTTGCACGTACGGGATTACAGTGGGAAACCCATTCCACCCAGTGGATGGCCTGGTCTTGAGGCTTACCTGCCTGGCTTAAGGAAGTGCATCTTTTCTTGTAGCTGGGCCTGTACCCACCCACTCATAAAACAGTTGCTAGGAGCAAATTAAAGAGGCATTGTGTGTGGAGTAAACCAGGATGAAAGAACAATGGATGGAGAATCAATACCCTCCTAACTCCCTACAGTGATTGAAGTTAACTTTATTTGAAATATCCAGGCTGGGCCAGAGCACATCAAGCTAGCAGCATTCTTGCACGAGAGTAGCACGGGAATGAACTTTGATTTCATTTTAGGGAAGAAGAAAAAATAATGAATAAATGCTTTTTATTAGCCTTTTCCCTCCCCTTGAAGTCCTACCTCTTCTACATAAACCTAATTAGCTTCGACATGTTTGGATTTAGTTTTGAGAAAATTAAAGCTGAGTAATATTAGGAATTTGTTCAGTGGGAATACTTGTTAAAACCTTCATTGACCCAAATCTGACTTATAAATGGTATTAAATAAGCAAACTAAAGAAAACTTCATCCCCGTCTTGTCCTAAAATAATATTTTTAAAAGCATATTTAGAGTTAAGTATAATATAAATATGTTACCCTGATTAGGTACTAAATGAGGTACTGAAGAAGCTGTAGTGGCGGTATTGAGTGTAGTTATGAATTTAATGTTCTTTTCTTAAAAACCAAGTCCTCTTTGACACATGTTCAAAGGTCTTCCTTTTTTTTCTTCTCCTGAGCTGCTCTTTCTCACCTCTGGGGCACTTCCCTCCTACACTTGGCCCGCATGCGTGGTTTAGGCAGGCCCACTGTTATTTTTGTGGTAACCTGACACTGGGCCCAGCGCAGCCCCCTGGCTCTTGTGGGAGGTGAACTGGCTGAGAGCCAGGCTGCGTTCTCCCAGGATGAGCTGCTGCTGAAGCAGGCTGGGCTGAGGGCTGTGGGCAGGCTGCAGCAGGGGCTGGGATGCCACAGACCAGGCGGGCTGGGGGTTCACCAGTGAAGACCTCAGACTGTGCGGCTCAGCAGGTGGCAGGTCCTGCCTGAGGTTAAAGAAAGGTGGAGTTGGTTGTTGAGGCCACAGACCAGGTAGTCAGGGTGTTTGGAAACCTGAGGAAGGTTTTGAGGCCAGTGAGTCTCTTTTATCTCACTCTGTGGTTCTAGTCTAAGGTATGCCTGAGGCTGTCCTTGTAATTCCTTAGACAAGGATGAATTTCTTAAGAATCATCAAAATTGTATTCACATTTTAAGTTAAAATAAAGCAAATGGTTATTTGTTGAGCTGGGCTAGGGGGCTGGAGTGGGGTGCAGAAATGAATGGGAAATAGTGCCTACCTTTGAAAATTTGCAGTATAGCAGGGAAGAAGGTGGATATATTAGCAGTAATTATTATTATTTTTTAATTTTTAAAATTTTTGTTTTTTATTTATTTTTTGAGACGATGTCTTGCTATGTCATCCAGGCTGGAGTGCAGTGGCACAATCTTGGCTCACTGCAACTCTGCCTCCCGGGTTCAAGTGATAATCCTGCCTCAGCCTCCTGAGTAGCTGGGATTATAGGCACCCGCCACCACACCCATCTAATTTTTTGTATTTTTAGTAGAGATGTGGTTTCACTATTTTGGCAAGGCTGGTCTTGAACTCCTGACCTCAAGTGATCTGCCTGCCTAGGTCTCTCAGAGTGCTAGGATTACAGGCGTGAGCCACCACGCCTGGCCTATTAGTTTTGTTGTCAGCTATTTGAGAACCTACGGTGTGTCTGGCACAGTTAAGACATACTACCCATGCTCATCTCTAAGCATTTAGATAATATATGCATTGACTGTTGATTGAGATATTCTGTTAATACTTTCATGGATCATCTCATTTAATCTTTACATCAGGTGGCTAATAATGTTCCAGTTTTCATGAAAAGAAATGTAGGCACAGGTAGTAAGTGGAGGAATCAAAATTCAAACTCTTTGGGATTCTAAAACTCAGTATTCTCTTTATGTATATATAACTGCTCTGCCATATGGATTCTCCAGATGTCCAAGGTGATCCCTGCAATTTTTTTTTTTTTGAGACAGAGTCTTGCTCTGTTGCCCAGGCTGGAGTGCAGTGGCGCGATCCTGGCTCACTGCAACCTCCACCTCCTGGGTTCAAGTGATTCTCCTGCTTCAGCCTCCCAAGTAGCTGGGACTACAGGCACCCGTCACCACGCCCGGCTAATTTTTGTATTCTTAGTAGTGATGAGGTTTCACCATATTGGCCAGGCTGGTCTCAAACTCCTGACCTCAGGTGATGCACCCGCCTCTGCCTCCCAAAGTGCTGGGATTACAGGCGTGAGCCGCTGCGCCTGGTCTAATCCCTGCAATTCTTAGAAATACCTACCAAGGACAATATCAGCAAAAGTTTTTTGAGTTCCAACAATCTGTCAGGTATTGGGAGAGCCCCAGGCACCTGAAGGAGTGGAGTAGGTGGCCGGCTGTGTCCAGGCATCTTGGAGTGCGTGTGCAGCTAGAATGTTGGGGTTCTGGATGGGTGGCTGGAGGAGCAGGCTGAGAACAGGTGTGAAAGGCCAGGGGTCTCATAATGCACTTCAGTCCTGAGTGAGTGGGGATCTGCTGAATGACTTCAAGTGAGTGTATGATGAAAGTCCTATTTGCATTTTAGGAAAACCTTTCTGACTGCGGGATAGTGTAGGAGACACTCGCTAAAAATATGTCTCCTGGGATTCTGATTCAGGATTTCTGGCATAAAGCTGGGAATCTCTATGTTTAAGAAGCCACCCATATCATCTCGTATAACCAGGCTTGGGGACTAGGTTGTTGGCAGTGGCGAGAGTGTGGGGAGGCGGGGGACAGCTCAGCTCTGGCAGAGGGCTGAGGCAGAAATGGTGCGGTCCTTTCCTTGAGACAGGAGCAAAGTTAGTGGGGTAGAGAGGAGCAGAGGGGATCCAGGGGAGGCAGGGGGACTGGGGGTCAAATGGACGTTCTTGGTGATCATTTAGATCAGGAGGGGAGGAGGGGAACCTAGGATAATGGCCCTCCTTTTGGGTTATGCTCCAGCCAGTTTACCTGAGAAACATCATCTCTGAGAGGAGGCGGTGGGATTCTCCCAGGACCTGGGAATCCTTTTGGATTTTCATGGGGACTTTTACAGATAGATCCTTAATCAGCAATGTGATGTTGATGGTGTCAGGGCCCACTGTGCCAGAACTGTGTGTGTGTGAGGATTTGCGCTGGTTTGTTTTGCCTGTGGGGGACTTTTGGCTTCTGAAGTCACATCCCCTACGTAGAGTCACCTTTAGGCAGTTGGATTGAGAGGGAATCTGCACCTGGAAGTCTCCCTGAGAGGGAGGGCTTTAGTGGCCATTTGTACGTGTAATTGGAAATGGATTACATTTTAATTAATCTAAGGGGCTGAGAGCTCATCTTGTTCCTCTACCAGGGTTAACAGAATCTGTAGAAGGATGTAGTCTTGGAAGGAAATATATTCCCCCTGCCTGACACTCCGTCCACCTTTTTCCCTAAAGAAATTTGTGTGTGTGTGCTGGGGACCCGTAGAAAATGTGGATTTAATCAAGGTGTGGCCTTTGCATATTTTACTGAATTCAGCAGACTCATTTTGCTGGGGTTTGTCAGAGGGGAGGGGGAGGAGACTGCTGGCTGGAGAGGGCTCACAGCACCCTGGGCCATGGGGAAGTGAAGGCAGGAGAAGGCGCAGGCCTGATGTCAGACATGAGCGCATCAGACTTTCTGTCCGTACCTCTCTTGGACTGGGCGTCTTGCCCCCACTGAATGCCCTTACAGTGCTTGTGGACGGCTTAGAGTGGTCTTGTGCCCACAGCAGGTGCTCCAGTAATATTTGTTCATTTGAATGAGTGGTTTAATTGAGGGGGGAACAGTAGTTACTCACTTATCCTGCCTCAGCCTGTCTTCAGCTAAGGTGCCAAGATTCTTTCTCTTGCTGAACTTGAACTGGATGTAAACCAAGGACCAGGTTTACATTTTGAGGATTGGGATGGGGTGCGGGTGGGGCTTTAATTGGCCCCTGAATTTGCATCTCAATGTGAGAGACCTGTTTTGCATCTGCTCCATCACCATGTCATCATTAAATGGAAGATTATATTTGTCGTTTAAAGGGTGGGGACTTGCTTGTGTTGGTGATCATTGGGACCCAGTTGACATTTGTGAACCGGCAGTGTTGCGTGCTTTTGGTTAAATTCATGCATTAGCTCGTGTCGGCATTAGTTGGTGTTTTCACATTGGCCAAATGCAGACGCATGTCTCTGTATAAGCATAGCAGCCTGGTTCCCATGTTGGGCTCGAGTGTGACCCTGTTGTCAGCTCACAGCCTCTCTTTAGGGATGAGGGGAGTATGTTGAGTGCTTGAAGACAGTCTGATGAGCATTCATTAGAATGGCTGAGTGATCAGGTACCGAGCAGAGTTAATCCCATGGCTCTGGGTTGTTTAAACAAACACACCTTTATAAACTTGGAACACTGAAGGGAGACGTCACATTGTAGTATTTCAGTTTATCTAGAGAACTGTCCTGGCCTTGGACCATACTGAAAATACTTTTGATTTAAAAGTTCAGATTCCAGATATATAACATTCTCTGTTCTTCACCCTTTATCTTCCCAAGTAGACAGACAGACAGACAGACACACACACGTACACCTTCAGGAGTTGCTCACACACTCCTGGTGTTTCTGGTGTTTTCGTGCTTTTTGTATGAAACAGTCCACCTTTCGTCATGGCCTATGAGGCCCCCTGTGATTGACTCAGCTTACATTTTCAGCCTCTGCTCTAGCCTTTCTACTTTCTTGCTTGGCTCTCTCTTCCCCACATCTCCTCCACTAATACTTGGCCTGTGAGTCTGGATTAGCCTTTCAGACCAGCCTAAATGCCACCTCCCTGAGAAACTCTCATTGATCCGAGAGACAGAATAAACTCCTCCATCAGCACCCTATTGATTCCTCCATTGCATCAGGTGACATATTTATTCACCTGTTCATATTCACCCATTGACTCATTATTTCCGGCAACCATTCAGTCCTGTTTTTTGGGGAGCAGTTGCCATGTGCTAGGCATTCTGCTGAATGCCAAACATAGAAAAATGACTGGGCTGGGTGAGGTGGTTCATGCCTGTAGTCCCAGCACTTCGGGAAGCTGAGGCAGGAGAATCGCTTGAGGCCAGCAGTTTGAAATGAGCCTGGGCAACATAGTGAGGCCAAAAAACCGAAATAATTAGCTGGGCATGGTAGCATGTGCCTGTAGTCCCAGCTACTTGGGAGGCTGAGGCAGGAGGATGGCTTGAGCCCTGGAGGCTGAGGCTGCAGTGAGCTGTGATCATGCCACTGTATGTACTCCAACCTGACTCAAAAAAAAAAAAAAAAAAGGAAAAATTACTAAAGGCATGGGCCCAAACCTTAAAGATCTCACAAATCCTCAAAGGTGAGAGACGCATAAACAAATCATTCCTATGCGGTGAGTGAGTTCAGTTCATTTGTACTGGCTGGCAAAGGTGCTACCTGTGGGAACACAGAGGAGTGGGGAAAGGCCAGGTCAGGCTTCCCAGTGGAGGGGCTTGAAGTCTTGCAGGTATGTGTACTTATTTGTCTCGCTGCTGGAGAGGGTGCTTGTTGAGGACAGGGAATGTGGTATCTTTATCTCCATATCCAGTGCTTGGGACATATGGCTGAAGGGACAGGGGTGGGAGGGGCTCTCAGTAAATGCTTTTACCACATTAAATTGAAACAGATAATTAGAAAACAGAAACTTTCCCTTTCATATTTATACCCTATCATGTTTCAGAATCATTTTAAGGCAGCATGCAAGACTGTAAAATAGCATAAATAGAAGGTGGGAGAAAGAATGGAGAAAAAGAAGAGGATAGAGGTGAAGACTAAATGTGGACTTAGGAATGAAACCAAACTTGCCGACCAAAACCACCTCTGAGCACTCTCTGAGGGGCCTGCCAGTGTGGCTCAGTGCACTTTGGTGGCTACTGAGTAAAGGAAAGGCCAATGGCTTGACCACGAGGTAAAAAACACATTGTGTTTTGTTTGCTGTAGAACTTTCCTTTGGGATCTTTGTAAAGATCAGTCTGTGTGACGTGATGAGCAGCGTCTTCCACATCCTTGCATTCACTCTAGAGACAAATCCCATTGGCTGTTTCTTCTAATAACCCTTCATATGCTGATGGCAGCACATCAAAGCATAATTCAAAAAAGGCAAATGTATTCAGAGCTCCTGGAATAATCTTTCTCTAAGGTAACTGGAATCAGAAAGGCACTGAAACAGGGCAGTTTTTTTTTTTTTTTTTTTTCATTTCTTTCTTTTTTTTTAAAATAATTTTTATTGAAGTCCAACTTACATACAGAAAAGGGCACACACATCATCAATATTGAGTCCCTTGTGTTTTTCCATTTGAATGCATTGGCATCCAGAGCCATTGATCTATTGATCTGCACTGACATGACCAGAACCTCCTAAGCCTCCCCACGCTGCCTTCCAGTCAGTACTCCCAACCCTAAAGGGTGGTTGCTACCCTGACTTCTAATAACGTAGATGAATTTCGTTAGTGTTTGAACTTGGTATGAACGGACGCAGACAGTATAGTATATATTTCTTTGTATCTTTTTTTTCCTCAATATTGCGTTGGTACAATTCACCCATGTTGTTACTTGCAGTTGTCATTTATTTATATTCTATTGCTGTCCCATAGAACTTTCTGTGGCTGTGAAATGATTTTTGTCTGTGCTGTATGACACAGTAGCCATTAGCCACTTGTGAATATTGAGCTCATGAGATACAAGTAGTGTGACTGAACAACTGAATTTTTAATCTTATTAATTTACATTTAAATTCACAAATGTGTCTAGTGCCTACTGCATTGGACAGTACAGCTGTATACCATTCTATTTTATGAATATGCTACAGTTTTTTTTTTTTTAAGACAGTGTCTCACACTCTCTCAGGCCAGAGTGCGGTGGCGTGATCACAGCTCACTACAGCTTGACCGCCTGGGCTCAGGTGATCCTCCTACTTCAGCCTCTGGGGTAGCTGGGACTACAGGCATGCGCCACCAACACCCAGCTAATTTTTTTTTTTTTTTTTTGTAGAGATAGGGTCTCACTATGTTGCCCAGGCTGCTCTCAACTCCTGCGCTGAAGCAATCTGCCCATCTCGGCCTCCCAAAGTGCTGGAATTACAGATGTGTTCCACAGCGCCCAGCCTGATTATACTATAGTTTATATGTCCTATTGTTAATAAAAATTTGGCTGTTTCTGTCTGTTACAAACAATGAAAATATAAACATTCCTATACCTGTCTTTTGGTGAACATAGGCATGCATTTCTTTAGCATCTCTACCTGGGATTTGGAATTGCTGAATCAGGAGGTATGCATATAATCAGTTTTGGTATGTAGATATTGCCAAAGAGTTTTCCAGAATGATTGTACCAATTTGCGCTCTCATCAGTTCTTTGAGAATTCCATTTACTCCATCTCCTTGAAAATCCTTAGTATTAGTCTCTTTACTGTAGCTCTTCTAGTGGCTGGATAGAGGTATCACATTGTTTTAATTTGCATTTCTTTAATAACTAGGCATGTTGAACACCTTTTCATATGTTTATGGGCCATTTGGTTATGTTTCATAAAATACATTAGCTTTTTACTTTTTTTTCTATTGGGTTGTCTGATTTCTTATTGTTTGGAGTTCCTGTAGGATGAAGGATATGAGTCTCTGTTGAATAAATGTGTTGCAAGTATCTACTTTGTGGCCTGCTTTGATTTTCTTAATGGTTCTTTCAAGAAAGCGAGTTCTGAGTTGTGATTTGGTCCAGTTTATCATGTTTTTCCCTCCTGATTAGTGCTTTTGTGTTCCTTTAAAGTATCCTCGACTACTTTATGGCCATGTAGGTAATCTGCTAAGAATCCTTATAAATTCTTTACTGGTTTTTTTACTTTCAGATCTAAAGTCTATTTCAGATGGATTGTAAACTATTGTGTGTGGTGGGGTCAATTTTTATTTTTTTCGTATGGCTATCAATCAACCTGGCTCATGTATCAGGAAAAAAATTTCTTTACTCAGGGTAATGCAGTGTCACTTTTGTTACAAATCAAGTGAACGTATGTGTATGAGTTTGTTTCTAGATTCTCTAATCTGATTCCTTGGCCTATTTTCATTATCTTTGTGCCAGTACTATACTATTAATGACTAAGCTTTGCATTGAGGTTTCATATTGGGCAGTTTAAGTCGTTCAGCTTTGATTTTCTTCCTCAAGATTGCACAAGAGCTGCATTTATTCAAACAGGTTCATTTTATTTGTTGTTTTATGTTGTCTCACTTTTATCCAGCATCCCAATGTTATTTGACACTGTCCTAGGTTGTAGAGGTCACACAGGCTCTGCCTCTGCCTCTGCCCCGGAGGAGTTTTATGATCATGTTTTGGGACTTAGAAATATCCATGTGTGATTTGGGTATGCTTTGAGGATCTGTATGCTCAGATCCATTAGAAATGGGTAAAGGCAGACCAGATCTGACACCCACACAAGAGAAAGTGACAGCCTGATTTCTGATAGTCTAGAGACTATCAGACTTCTGCCTGTTACAAACAATGAAAATATAAACAGTGGGAAGGCAAACAATGTGATGAATTGTGGTTTTGGTTCCTTAGGTTGACAGGAAAGAGTTTTTTCCTTTTGGGCATGTTAGAGCCTAGATTTTGGATCCTGATGTGAGTGCTGATGAAATCCATTTGGATCCATTAGATCCTGAGAGCACTGAATGTCAGGAGCTGTGGTTGAAGGACCAGAGCAGGGCTTGGCCTTCGCAGTTTAGCTCTTTAAAATGCCATCCTGATTCAGGTTTTCCTTGTTGATTGGCTTATGACTCAATCAGGAGTGAAGTGTGGATTTCCCTATTGCTTCTCTCCCCAACCCCCAGAATGCCTGTCTCAATAATTTAGGATAGATGGGGCATGGCCAGAATGAGAGAAGCATCCAAAGTCATAGAAGCTGGTGGAGAAGGCCCTGGACTACTTTTGTATGCAAAGTAGGGAGGGCCGTTTCTGATGCAGCACAATTAGAATTCTGAATCAGCCAAGGGGGCCGCATCTGGGCAGATTGCTGCTGGGACCTGGAGTGAGGCCAGTGCCAACATATCATTTAAGTTGGCTGTCAACAGACTGTGTAACATTGGGTGAGTCTCACCTGGCCTTTAGTAAGCAGGGATGACTCTCCAGGCATTTACCTATAGACTTCCCTCTTAGGGAGCCATTTCTAATGGTATAAGACCCATTTCTAGGCATTCCATCAGTCATGCAGCTGAGGGGACTTCTTGAAATGGTGTATATACTTATATTTATCTTGTATGTTAATGTCTTTTTACTTCTACTTTTGATTTTTACTTTATGCTCATTGTCATTTAAAATACCGAGTTATAATAATCGGATGGTGAATCGTACCAACTAAGAAAGTGATGTGATCCATAGGTTAGTGGCTAAGGAGTGTTGTTTTCCTGGTGTTTTCTTTATTTTTAGTAAGCATTATGGTTGGTTAGTCTACCCCAAGTGTATGTTGACTCCACAGGCTACTGGAATTGGGGAGTTAGTCTTAAGGTTTTCTTTGACTGTTACTCCTGGGAAAAGGCTTATGAGTTTTCCTTTTGAAATACTGACAGCTCCTTACTGCTAACAGTTGGGACGTTTGCTCTCTTAAAGCAGGAAAGAAGCTTCTGTTTCTGGGGTTGAAATGTGTTTCCCGAGGTTAAGTTGTCCATTTCCCAGGGTGGGAGTGACTTGGGCTACGAGTCATGTCCTCTGGTTCACGCTCACTTTGGGCATGCACTGTCTTGGTATCAGGTCTTTGCTTTGGAATGGTCAGATAGGATAGATTGCCTGAAACTGGGTCTGTGGCCTTGTCCTTTTGAAGGAGTCCACTGATAAAGAACAACAATGATCAGCTTGACTGGTGGTAGTGACGGGAGAAAGGAAGGGGCAGGATTTCTGTTCTCAATGGCTAACAGATTCATTAAGGGGATGGGGTGGGCTATTCCCCTAAAGGCTGGTAATGCAGAGTGGTCCCATCAGAGCTGCATAGCATGAAATCAATCAGAGCTTTTCTTGAGCTGTCACCTGGGCAAGTACTTAGGGCTGATGGAGCGGAGAATTAATCAGGGATTCTCAGGAGGGTAATGCTAAGTCCTCTAATGGGATGCTTAGCATTGGGGCTTGGTGAAGAGATATTGGCTTGTTGATGGGATTCTGTTGACACGGAAGTGATTTTTGAAAACGAGAAGGAGTAATTATCCACTCCTCCCTGCTGAAATTAGAGGGAACCTGTTGGCATTGGCACCAAGGCTCACTGGCTGCTGCTGTCGTTGTGGCACATGTTGCCTCAGTTCTCAGCATCAGCATTCCCATTCCCTGAGAATTCTGCCCTGTCTCTGACAATGACATACTTTCTGTGCTTCCATCTCTTCTGTGGTTGCCTACAAAATCCAGGCTGCCAATCTTCACTTGTATTTTTCTCAGGCCACTTGTTAGCAAGGTTGGCTAGTGTCTTAAATGGTAGGAAAATAATAACACAACCCACTTTACATATGCAAAAGCAATTAACCATTATTAGTGTCTGACATTCCTCTCAGCTGCCCACAGCGGTGAGTCAGGATCATCACTATTCATTAGGAATTAATTAGACTGTCCTTGATGATATCAGTCATCTACAGAGCTAAGAATTCAGCACTGCCTACATCCTACTGTCTAGTGAGGGTATAGTGTATTTGATATTCCCATAGAATGTGCATTCTGTTTGGAAAATGACTCCTAGATTGAATCTCTGTTAAGTATAGGACTTTGGACAACTTATTTAGGTCTCTGAACCTCACAAGGTGGGGATAATACTAAAGGGGGAAGTGCAGCGATTAAATAAGATCCTCTAGGCAGAAACTGCTGGCATTATGCCTGACACCTAGTTCTGGGAGAAGGCTGAATTTGGTTTTGAGGTACCAGTTCACTTTGGAAGTAAAGCACCTTTTTTCCCCCCAGTCTTTTTGTTGGAGGGGAGCTTTTCTCCTATGAGAGAAATTTGGACTTTGACTAAGATTACAGTGACCTTCAAGCCATCAAATGTTTGGTTGAGTTGTCCACTATAAATACCATTCCAACCATGTGATTCTCTTTCTAGAAACCCTGAAGTGGCCCTCACTTCTACTGACTTCTCTCTCCTCCTGGGCTATTAGAAATCTTTTCTCTTAGTGCTCGTCCCGTTGCCACTGTCTGTATGCTGCCCTTTGCTCACCTGCTCACTCAAGTTTGCTTTACCATTTGTCACCTCTTCGAATTTCTTCCTTGGCCACCTCCTTGGCTTCTGGTCTTTACACCCTGGCTGCTCCGCCTCCCATATCTCTTTCCCTGTAGCTGTCACCTTTTGGTAATTTTCTTCTCCAGTCATCAAAAGGGAAAGGGAAATGGAGAAGGTAAAATATATTGTCTCAAAAGTTACCATTCTCCTCAAAATAAGATTTACTGATGATAAAAGATTACCTCTTAAAGGACTCAAATCTTATTTGTCCCTCTAACACAGAAGGACTATTAGTTGCCAATAATTGTGATTAAGAAATTGGATCAGCCACCCAACTCTTCGTTATTTACACTGTGCCTGGCTTACAGTCTGTCTCCTTGTGTCCTCCTAATTTGGCGATTTTCTCTGGGTCTCTTACTACTCATTGGAACCTTGGCCAGAGTCAGGAATGTGAAAGTAGCTGAAACACTTCCTTTTCTTGTGGAAACTTTGGGTGTTAATCTCAGTCATGTTGTTATCAAAGAATATTTGTGTTTTCTGGTTGTTGGTTCATTCTTTTTTTATTTTTTATTTATTAATTTTTTTGAGACAGAGTCTTGTTCTGTCACTCAGACTGGAGTGCAGTGGCCTGATCTTGGCTCACTGCTATCTCTGCCTCCCAAATTCAAGTGATTCGTCTGTCTCAGCCTCCCAAGTAGCTGGGATTACAGGCGCCTGCCACCACGCCTGACTAATTTTTGTATTTTTAGTAGAGACGGAGTTTCACTGTGTTGATCAGGCTGGTCTTGAACTCCTGACCTCAGGTGATCCTCCCACCTTGGCCTCCCAAAGTGCTAGGCATTATAGGCGTGAACTGCCATGCCTGGAGGTTCATTCTTTCTTTCATTGACTATTTATATGTCAGGTATGGTACTGGCGCTAGGGACAGTGTAAATGTTACATAGTCTCTGCCCTCAGGGAGGGACACTGGGGTGCAAATGGGAGGAGCAATGACAAACCAACTCACTAAGTTTTTGTTTTGTTTTTTTTTTTTTAATTTTTTTTTTGTGATGGAGTCTCACTCTGTTGCCCAGGCTGGAGTGCAGTGGCACAATCTTGGCTCACTGTGACCTCCGCCTCCTGGGTTTGAGTAATCCTCCTGCCTCAGCCTCCTGAGCAGCTGGTTATAGGCACCTGTCATCACGCCCAGCTAGTTTTTTTTTTTTTTTTTTTTTTTGAGGTGGAGTATCACTCTGTCGCCTAGGCTGGAGTGCAGTGGCGCAATCTCAGCTTACTGCAAGCTCCACCTCCCAGGTTCACGCCATTCTCCCACCTCAGCCTCCTGAGTAGCTGGGACTACAGGCGCCTGCCACCACGCCTGGCTAATTTTGTTTTTGTGTTTTTAGTAGAGACGGGGTTTCATCACGTTAGCCAGGATGGTCTTGATCTCCTGACCTCGTGATCTGCCCGCCTCGGCCTCCCAAAGTGCTGGGATTACAGGCGTGGGCCACCCTACCTGGCCATTTTTTTAAATAGAGGCAAGGTTTCACCATGTTGGCCAGGCTGGTCTCAAACTCCTGACCTCAAATGATCCACCTGCCTCAGCCTCCCAAAGTGCTGGGATTAGAGGCCTCACCTCATCAAGTTCTGTTATAGGTAAAGTCTGTGGGATCACATGGTGAAGAATGAATAAGTTGGCTTCCTCCAGGGTTAATGGTGGAAACTGAGGCATACTGGAGCTACAGGTGCTGTGTGGTCCTGTGTTACTCAGGGGGACAGAGCCCTAACTTCATCCCAGCTCTTCTCCTGTGACCTCATAGAATATTGAGACACTGGCAAAAACAAGCCATAATGATTTTTTTTTTTGGTGATCGTTGTGTTCAATGGCATTTCATTAATTATGAGGATTAGTTAAAATCAACCCTTTTACTTAAGAGCCTTTAAATAATCTGAAGATGGGTGAGAAACTGACATTATGAGAGACCCACAGGAATTAAGATGAAGGGAGCAGCAAATTCCTGTGTCCTATCTCATCTCTTGTTGGATAGAGTTGGTGTCAGAGCACCTGCATTGGACTGTCTTATCCCGGTCATCCCCCAGGCTTTTATAATAAAATGTGTATTGGTTGAATACACATGTGATATCTCCACTGTACTCATGTTACTCTTTTTGAAGCCTCAGTAGGTTATAGTGAAGGAATTACACATTTAGGGAATGTGGTTGTTGAGGCAGTTACCAGGATATTTGGATTCATAGAGTTTGTTTTTGGAGTTTATTGGAGTGTGTTTGGGAAAAAGTTCAGGAATAAAGGATCTTTCAGAAAAGTGTTTATGATGGAAACTGAGGCACATGGGGGCTACAAAGTATACATATTTTTAAAAGTATTTCCAGCTGGGCGCGGTGGCTCACGCCTGTAATCCCAGCACTTTGGGAGTCCAAGGTGGGCGGATTATGAGGTCAGGAGTTCGAGACCAGCCTGGCCAACATGGTGAAACCCTGTCTCTACTAAAAAATACAAAAATTAGCTGAGCGTGGTGGTGAATGCCTGTAATCCCAGCTACTTGGAAGGCTGAGGCAGGAGAATTGCTTGAACCTGGGAGGAGGAGGTTGCAGTGAGCTGAGATCGTGCCACTGCACTCCAGCCTGGGCAATAGAGTGAGACTCCATCTCAAAAGCAAAAAAAATTATCTCCAACAAAGAAGACTTTTCTATTCTCTTTCCTTGAAGGCATTCTGTGAAAACGGTTACTACCCTGAACCACACTGCCCATAAGAATCTGAAAGCTGTTGAACCCGTGAATAAATTCAGAATTAGATGAGTGTTAGAAATAAAGGTGTTGTCACCAATTTACATTTTCTATGCAGTCATTTGAAGACCTTGAAGAAGAGGTCCTTTGTAAATCAGTTTCCCAAAGTAAACCATTAGAGGAAGCTCTCTCATTTCTTCACCATCCATCAGAAGGTACATAGCATTGTCTAGAGAGGATGGACTTGGACATAAATGAACATCTGTTCATAGTTTTACAGATGACAGAGCGCCTTCACTCATGATCTTACTAAATCTTTATGGCAACCCAGTAGAATAGAGTCCCTCCATCCCTTAATCATTTTTCTGTATTGGGATGAAATTTAATTTGTTATTTGCATTTAACAAATGAAAACCTGAGCTTCTGAGAGAGTTATTAGGTTGGCACAAAAGTAGTTGCGGTAGTTTGAGTTCCATGGCTTAAGGGCGAGTAGGTTTGAAACCCACATCTGTTGGAGTCTTCATATATTCCCCTCCCTTCCTCTCCTACCTCTTGCCCCAGTACTGTGTTCTTTATTTACTGAATTTAGTGAAAGCTGACTCCTTCACTTAAAGGATATATATGTATGGGGAGGTAAAGATATCAGCTCTGCAGGTACAGACATTGTGTGCATAATTCACTCATTTAGATTTTAATATTGATTATAATCAAGTGCTTGTTGCTATAGATTCAGAATCGAGGTAATTTGCGTGACAGTTGGCCAATTCCACACATTTTTAGGGTTCTCCTACAGCGTGGTTGATACTCTCAGAGCCTGTAGATACAAGGCCAGTTTCCAGGATGAGGTGGAGTTTGAGCTGGACTGGAAGGAACCTGGGGGATGGAGTGCCAGGATGGTTATTTTGGTATCCAGTATGGGGAGCATTTCTCAGCCAGCCCCAGTCTTGTGTTAGGAAATTCTCTGCCCATATGTAAAGTCTTCATCTTATGATGGGGTTGTAAAACCAGAGGCCTGTATAACTCTGTGGATTATGTATCTGGTAGTTTCTGGGGCTGTGTCCTGGCCCATTGCTAGATAGGTAATTCCATCCTGCTGAAGTCTAGTTGACGAAAAATGGCAAGAGTCTGGATACACAGGGTCTTTTCCTTTGCAGTAAACGAATAAAAACGTGAGCATTTAAAACTGGCTGTACTTACTAAGTGGATAGATCAATTAATGCTAGTTAATACTACATTCCCCCAAACAACCAGGAAGTTGTGATTCATACCTATAGAAATAATAAGAAGAGGTTGTCTGCAAGACTCTGCTGCCTGTCTGCTAGAACAGCCTGCCCCTTGTGGAGCAGTTCAAGTAGCAGAAATTTTTTTCTTATATTGAGTTGGAATATTCTTTGGAACTTCCCAAAGTGGATCTACATCCTTCCCATGTGACAGACAGCTCTTCAGAGGTTGTTTAGTGTCTTAGACACTAAGTGTGCAGTTATGATTCAGAAGAATCTTCCCATCTTTGGGCTGTGGGCTGAGGCTAAAAATGATAGAATTCAATAGGAATAAATACAAACGCCTGCTTTTAGCTCTGACACCAGTTGCACAAAAGACAGTATTCAGGGACAACCTCTGAGGGGCAGGAGCTTAGAAGTTTAATGGAAAGTAAGTCCACCTCTGAGTGCCATTTATTGGGGGCCACTAAATGCATTCATGAGGGTGGGCAGAGGGATGATGGTTTCTAGTCTGGAAGACAATTAGGATCCTGGAGGCTGCTTCTGTCATACCTAAATGGGTATCTTAGGAGAGATTTGCTCCCCTGAAGGATGGGGTATACTCTCAAGGAATGGATGTGTAGATGTTAACCAGGAGATGGGTTTTCGCCTGATAAATGGAAGCATTTCAACATGTCAGTATGAAGCGGGGTAGTACTGAGAAGGTAATGAGTTCCCTGCTGTTAGTGGTGTTCAAGGGTAGACTGTGACCAGTTGAGTAGATTTTGAGGGGACTTTAAGCACTGAATGGGGGTGGTTGGTGTGTTTTGGTCTGGAGACTCTGGGGCTTACAGTTATATGAGAACATTCTTTTAAGGCAGTCGAAGGTCCCTCAGTCCCTTCAGCCATCCCCCACTGTCCTAGATCCCATTCCCTGCTATCCTGACTGAGCACTGGGCATAACTACTATTTATCTTAAAGTGTGGCTCCTCGGAGTAAATTCATACTGCTGTGAACTGCCCAGAGCTCAAGGACTGGCCTGTGGTTTTGTGCATGTGTGTTGTTTTGGTTTGTTTTTGTCTTTTTTTGTTGTTGTTTGGTGGGTATGGTGGAGAGGAAGAAGGTGGGCTAGCCACTGCTCAAAGAATTCATTCTTATTCTCATAATTTATCTAATAAACTACTTTGGAGCGAGAACAGACTCTAGAGTATAGTTCAGTTTGAATTTCATAAGACTCTTAGATCGTAACGAAAAAGATAATAGTTTGAATTCAAAAGGCCCACACCGCAGGCATAGTCAAGTTCATCTGGAGGTCAGTCACAAAATGCTTTCTTGTGGCGTAATTTATACCTTCACATTTGGCAATTTTGAAAGTCCTGTGTAAATGTACATATGTTGGTAAGAGGTAGTAAATATTTTGCTGACAAGTTCTTTGAATGATGGCTCAGTAGCAGCATTTAAAGGCAGACAATCAGAGGGTTTTTTGTGTATTTTTTTTTTAAATCCAGGTGCTGCCAAGTCTACAAAGCTGGAAGGGAAGAAGCCAAAAGTGCCCACTAGTTATAGTTATACCATTAATTATATAATATTCATGTGCCTCAGAGTTTCTGCACCTGGCATCTGTTGATATACACAGGTGGGGGAGGACAGGGGCACAGGATACAGTTGGGAGAGAGCAGGGAGGAAGACAGGGTGCTTGCTGTCAGGTAACGGCCCTGGAATATGGAGCAGTCCCTGGTGCCAGGTGTGGCCACCAGCACCTGCTTCCCTCCTGGGTGTCCGTGTTGTAATACTGCCTGGATTTGATGGGGTGAGAAGGGGAGGAACTGTGGCCACATGAAACCCTCCCTACTCAGGCCCTTGGCCTCCTCTTTTCGATCAATCCTTTCTCTCTCATTTTTGGGAGGCCTTTGAATTAATGATCCTATACCTTTTCAACAAAGGAATATTGATATGTTAGTGTGCCAGACAGCAGGGAGTACTGGATTAGATCATTTTCACATTGACGTTATGCCAGTTTGACATTTGTTTGGAAAGCTTATCCTTTTATGACCATAGGTTATATACATAATTTAAGGGGAATAAATCTTTCAGAGATTTTTTTTGGTTCTGTGATCTTCAGTGCTACAGAAAAAGAAATGAAATACTCCCCCACAGTTTTCATGTGATCAGGAATTCAGCATAGGCTATAAGACGGAGTGCTCCATGTCAATAGAGAATATTTCCACAGGTGTGCTAGGCACTTGTGGTAGATGTTGCAGGGAAGTCAGGACTGGGGACAGCTTGGTCCCTACTTCAAGGTTACAGTCTAGGAGCTGAGAGTGGCAAAGTGACCTGATTCTACAGGGTAAAAGCCCCAGAGATAAATGACATAGGTCCAGGTCAGCCAGCATTGCTGTCTCAGTAGAATGAGTATGTGTGATACCAAAATAATCTTCCTCCTTCCCTCCTTGATCCTGCCACCATCTTGCATCTTGATGATCTCATATTGGGATAGTGACACTAACAGAGTTTCCGAGTTATGATGCCACTTGCCATGGTGAAGTGGACATTTTAAAAAACTTTATTTTCTTATAAATTACTTGTTCTGCTTTGGAGATTTGATGATCATTTAGCAAAGTGCCCCTGGTAGATAGTAGGCACTCAGTAAATGGTTTTCGTATGAATCACTGCAAACTTGCAACTCCGAGTGAGTACCATTCTTCCATATAAATTTCCTCTCGTCTGTGAAGATTATCCAGCTTCTGCCCACCATTGCATTTCTGTGTGGGTGCTTAATATGATACTTAGATAATAAAGCCACTTGGATCTCAAAATTCCATATTCTCCAGTAGGAGTTATCCAAGCAAAGCTGGTGACTGAACCAAAATCACCACTAAAGAACTTAACCGTGTAACCCAAAACCATGTGTATCCCCAAAAAGACTGAAATAATAAAATGAAATGAAAAAAGCTGGTGACTGAAGAACTTGCACTAGAGCTAGCAAGAGCATTATGTTTGTGGTTACCACATCCTTATACTGTTTTTGGTTTTCTCTTCTAGGTTTATTTTCTTGAAAAGGCTCCAGGCTTCGGCTTGGAAAATCCCACCGCCAAAATTGAGCCCAGCAGCTGGAGCGGCAGTGAGAGCCCTGCCGAAAACATGGAAAGGATGAGTGACTCTGCAGATAAGCCAATTGACAATGATGCAGAAGGGGTCTGGAGCCCCGACATCGAGCAAAGCTTTCAGGAGGCCCTGGCTATCTATCCACCATGTGGGAGGAGGAAAATCATCTTATCAGACGAAGGCAAAATGTATGGTAAGTGGCCTGGAACACTCCTTTGAAATACTACAACCTGCAGTTGTGGTAGGGGATAGATTGTAGCTGGTCTTCCAGCAAGAGCTGTTCATTGTATGGGGTTGAGTGATATTTGTAGAATTTTAGTGGGTCATCCAAAGGACTCACCCTAAACTAAAAAGGAGAGTCAATAAAGGACCTTTGGGAAAAAGAAAAGGACCCCTGGGCTTTTCTTCTTCTACATGTGTAGTGGCATTACATCAGAAGCTCCAGGGGTCCAGGCAGGAACATAAATAGTTGCAGTGGCATGTACAGACACCAGATGGTGGGGAGGAGGTCTTCTGAACACAGACCAGATCACAAGGAAATACTGCCACTTACCTCTAGGTAACTGATGTCACTAGGAATGGGGGCCTGGTGCTCCCGAATCCCTTGATTGCCCCCAGCCCCCTTGAGGAAGAGCCAGCATTCTAGATGCTTATATGAAATCTACTCTTTTTAAAAAGCCAGCACTTTTTTTTTTTTAAAACAACTCTGTACAGGCCAGAGAAAACATGTATGTGCATGGGCTTGATCAGCCTCTGAACCACCAATTTGCTACTTTGCTGCCAGTTTGCAGTTGAATGGTCAGACAAGGCATTAGCACCCTGGGTCACTGTCACCATCTCCCCTTCTTTGGGGGTTGCCTTGAAAGGCATTCTGAAGGAAACACCAAGAGTGCCAAGGAGAGAGAGACCTGTTAACTATTTGGCTCTGGATGCCTAGGGCAGCAGCAAGGATCCACCTGCCGGTCTGGGGCTTGCTTGCTGGGTTTGGGCACCCCCTAACTTCCTTCCATAAATGCTTCCAGCTGCAGACCTGTACTTTTTGGCTGCTTACCTTTTGGGAAGCAGATGGCAGGTGTAGTTGCTTGAACATTCTGCTTGTCTAATTGAGCACGTTGAGTTGACAGAGTTCGCACTGTAGCTGAGTCTAAAAAGATGCAAACACAAATAACCTAACCTCAAAGAGAACTGGCTCAGTATTTTACCTGAGGTTGTTAACTTCTCATGGGAGTGATTATTTCTGAACAATTGGAAGTCTTTTTTGTAATAAGGTGTTGTACCTTTAATACTGCACTTCCTCTGTCAGGAGCCGTAGGAGACTGTGGCTTCAACTAGCACACACTGCTAAGGAGAAAGCAGATGGTGGTGCAGCTGCCACCAGCTGTGCCCCCACCCCGCCCTCCTCCTCTCCAACTTGGATGATGTAATGGAAACAAGGAAAATTTTGCTTTCTGCAGCATTGGAGTCTCTCAGCCTGTCACACACAGGGGAGAAGGAGACCCAGGCCTTCAGCATTTGTTTTATGCTCCCATAATATCCTTTGTAGCCAGGGAAGCCTCTTCGTATCTGGTGAAATGGACTGGGGATGAAATATCTCAGCTACTATGGGAAGAGTGTTTCAGGGCCCTAGATTTTCTCTATGTCTGGATCTTTCCTGGTCTCTTCATCTCAGCCTGGCTATTTGCTTTGTGGGTCTTATTTTCATACCTGAAAATGCAGCTCCCTTTCTTAAAGGCAGAGAAAAGCATTTTAATCTTTGAAGCTTCTTTGAAGATGATTTTATTATGGGTAGTGAAGGGTAGCCTTGGGACACTACCTTGTACAACTCTCATTTGCTTACCCAAAAATGGTTTCAATTTAAAACAAAGGCATAGTATTAGAAATCCCAATGGGGCATAACCACTGCACTTCATTTCCCACAGGAAATACTGGGAAAGGTCCTGTCCTTTCAGGAATAAGGTTTTGGGGCTGAGAACATAATTCAAAGCACAAGTTAACTTTTGTCAACTCCAATTTTGTATTGTTCTCCATTGAGATTTTAGTTTATAGACAGCAGCCCTGGTGGATTTAACCAATTTGCCTATAATTCAATTATATAAATATTTTTATGTGAAAATAATTGTATAAGAGCTCTTGTTGGTAATTGGGTCTCAGAGGCAGCAGGCTAAGAAGAACAAAGAGAAGCTTTGGATGTGAGTAGCTGTATCAACAATGAACTTGAAGATTTTACCCTTGGTCTTGGTCTCAGTTTTCTTCTGTGTAAAATAAGATAGTAAAGTAGTTGATGATGTCCATGGGTCCTTTGGACTCTTCCATTTTGTGATGCTATGGTTTTGTTTCTTGTCACTGAGCAAGAGGGTCAGTTTTGACAAATGTGGTGCTGCTTGGGAGCCTAGCCTGTCTTGGGTACCCAGTGTAACTTAAATTCTGAGTGCTTCCTGAGTGTGCATGGTTTTGATGTATGGATTCTTTTCTCCTTAACTCAGCAGCACATTTAGTGACCGTGTTGGTGGCTAACCTGATTTAAAATGGGACAGTCCTTTTGAGCAAGCAGCATTAGGAATTTTAACTCATTTGGAAGAACAATCTTACTGGTTGTGGGTTTTTCAGCAAGTGGAGTATACAGCCTGGGAGAGTGTGTATCCTAATTGGGGCTCAGAAGATGCGTTGGATGCACTGTCCTGCAGCCACCCCCACCTCCAGGCAGCTGCCTTGGGGAGGAAACATCCCCCCTGAACTCCCTGTCTCTGGTCGACATGAGGAGCTTTGCTTCTACTGCTACCTTGGAAGGGAACCATGGTGGTTAATGGGACTATTGGTGGTGGAGACTGGACCCCTTAAGAGGAACTGCCCTGGTTGACTGGGAGCTGCCTCTGACCTGCCTGTGACTTGGAGGATGAGAGACAGTTGACTTGGGAGTCTCCCTGTTGAGGCCCCAGCCACTCGAGAACTGAATCATATGAGCAGTGTGGGGCCAGAGCTACTGTCCTGGGCTTTTGGCCTGTTCCCCATCTTACCATACATGAATTGGGACACAAACCAGACCAGGAGTCAGGGTTTCTTAAGGCCTTAAAGAGCATACTTTTTTTCTAAGGGTTCTGAAAATGAAAACATTTAAAGCATTTTTGAATTCCATGCAGTAAAATAAAAACGGTTTAGTCTTTTAGTGAAATACCGAGTGTTTTTTACTTGAAAGGGTTATGGTTATTCCAATATTTCAGAGCATTTGTAGAGTGCTTTGTGATGTCACTAATCCTGAGCCATTGGAGAAACAAGGTCAAGTGATTTATTTTGGTAATGAAATTTTGTTCGTGGTTGGCAGTAGGGCAAATGCAGTCTTATAAAGGAGAAAAAAGGACAACTCTATGATGAGGTTTTTGGCCACCGGAGGAGGTGGCTTCATTCGCTTTCTGCTAACTTGGTCTTTGGGGAGCTGAGACTTTATGTGTTTGGGCTGTGTGTGGATAGGTGGCTTCTGCTGTGGGCACCCTTATGTGTAGGCAGTCGTTTTTATGGATTACTAGAAGGGGTACGAGATGTCCTTTGACCTGGTTCCTAAGGGCATGTGTGCTCAGTCCCTGGGGCTCTCTCTTTCTCTGTGCTTGTCTTTTTCATTTTTTGTTTTTACACAGCTACGTGTGACTCTTTTCCTGGTAGATCATGGGAGAGGAGATAGATAGCAGGAGGACAAGATGAGAGGGAAGTTCTTGATCAACAAACTTATCCAGAATTGGATTTCAGAGGAGCAGGCTGTAGTTTAAAACAAAACAAAATAGATAGCAAACCACGGGAACACCTGAATTTGTTACTTTTGCAACTGAAAATCCCAGTCAGATAGACCCCATAATCAAATAGGGCAGGGACAGGAACTAACCTTCACTGGTTGCTTGCTGTAGAGGCAGAGAAGTATATAACACTTAACAGTCTGGACTCTATAAATAATATGAATCCTGGCCCTGCACTTCTAGATATCAGATTTTTATCGAGTTACCTTACTTCTCTGTCTCAATTTCCTCAACTGAAAAGGAGGATTAGATAGATCTTACTGTGTAGGATTATTAGAAGAATTAAATGAACTAATTGTTATCTGGAACACCACCACCCCCTGCAATGTTTGAACTGTATCTAGCATATAGTGAGAGGTATGTAAGTGCTTATGAACTGAAAACAAAGAAGTGCTCTCTGCCAAGCACTATGCTAAAGGCTCCACATACAATTCTGTCTAATGCTCTTAACAATGCTTTGAAGCTGGTATTATCATCCTCACTGTATAGACAGGAAGCTGAGTCTGAGAGGGGTAAAATGGCTTGCACATGGCCAATATAAATGGTATAGCTAGCAGGTTTCAAATTCAGGGCTGTCTGACTCTACATCTTGGACTTTTCTACTGAGCTTTTGTTCCTTCCTTGGTAGAGACCGTTATACATAAATCCAGTGAATCAGTATTGAGCCCCAGCGCAGCTGTATTCCAGCCCTGTGCTAGGGGTTGTCAGGGATACTGTAGTGAACCAGACAGACATGGTCCCTGCCCTCATGGAGCTATCTCAAGTTCATTTGCAGGAAACTGACCTGAGGTCAGGACTGTGTGCCAAAGCTTTCTGAGAAGTTTGAGAGCCCTTTGAAGATGGTCACCTTCCACTTAGCCTTTTGAAGCCTATTCTTGGCTACCAAGGTCGAGGGCACCTGGCCTGTTGCTGGCAGGAAGAAATCATCTCAAATAACATAGCGGAGAGGATCCCAGATCACAAGCCTGGCCTCGGTAGTGGCCAGGAGGATGTCTGGAAGATTCTAGTGCCCTAGGATCCTATAAGCAGTCTGGGCAGAGCTGTTGCTTCCAGACATCTTCCTGGCCACTATTGACTTTCTCCTTTTGCAAGCAGATGTCTTCAGGATCCTTGCTTAGGTCAGCTCCAAGGAAGGACCCTTTCTTACTGGGATACCAGGACTACTGGTCAGCCCCAGAGACCTGAATTGTGAGGACCAGCGAAGATGAGGGGGAGGGTGTCTCTAGTCAGTCCTCCCCCGCTGCTGACCTGTGCCCTGCCCACCAGGACAGCATAGGACTTAGGATTGCATCTTTCTTTACTTCATAGGAGCAGAAGTCAGAAGAGGAAAGAGGGCTTTTTAAATGAGGTAGTGGCAGAACTGACAAGGGGGTATCAGAATGAGAGTGCACACAAGTAAGTGGGAGTATGTATTGATTAGTCAGTACAGCAAAGAGACTGAAACCTGTGGTCGCTACACTCCTCTGGATGCAGAGGACTGGTCAAAAAATTGCAGAATCATCCTTTTATAAGATAGTATGTTCTCATAACAGCTCTTTGAGGATCAGGGAGGTAGGCTTTGTCAGTGGAGGCCCCAGAGCCCTGGTGTGGAAATGGCCATAGACTCCCAGCCCTGGAGGGTCTCCAGGCCTTGGCAAAGTGTTCTTCTCGGAGCTCCATATGAACATCATGTGGCATCTTTGATTTCCTCTTTCGGACCTCTGATTCAGGGTGTTATTTCAAGTTAATTGGTTAGAAGCGTGAAACAAACAGCTATGTGGTAGAACAGGCTAGAAGCTCCCAAAGCCGGGACCCCACCGATCACAGGATGTATTTCAAGGCCTGGAATATAGAAGGTGTCAGTAATGTTTGCTGAATAAATGCTTATGGGAGATGAATTATGGTTCAAACAGAGAACGTAGGTGATTAAGCCTGTAAGCCCTGAGGGCCTCTCCTGTGGGAGGAAGTGGCTAGAAAAAAAGAAGGAAAAAAAGAGGAAGATGTTTATTTAATGATCTTAGATTGAGAAAGAAGAAGCCCTATTTTTTATGTTGGCAAATGTTAGTTGAAGAGATAGAAAAGATTTCTGCACAAAATATGGACAATAGCAGAGCAAGGGTTAATTCTGGAATGCTCAGAACAGATGAGTAATGGGGAATTTTTGAAATAGTTTGGTTCCTGTGAGAATAGCAGGGCCAGCGTCATCAGCATTTTGATTGGGAAGCTTAATGTGTGGGGGGTATGCAAAAGTGTATGCACAAGGTGTGAGCTCATGTGCAATCCGGGTACAAAGTAGCTAATTAAAGATGGCTCAAGAATTGGTCATAAGGGAGGTAGAAGGAAAAGAACATGAAAGTATTACCAAGTTATGCTTTCCAACAGCTTTTCTGTGGCAGTGGATGAGCCCTGGGATTCAGGAAGATGTGGATTCATAAATCATTTATTGAGGGCCTGCACTGTGCTTTGAATGTGATGGGGACAACAGACATAAAATAACTTAAAAAGCTGACCTGTGTGAGCAGTTAACATACCAGGCACTTTCCCATTGCTATAGGATGTGCGATCTTGATTATTCCTCAAAAACAACCCAATAATATAGGTACTGTAATTATGCCCATTTTGCTGCTGAGGAAAGTGAGGTCCAGCAAGGTCAAGTTATTTGCTTGAGGTCACATAGTAAATAAGCTGTGGAGCTGACATTTACAACCAAGCCAGTCAATACAAATGACTCCAATATTGATATGGAAGGAAGTATATTCTGTACTAGAGATATACCTGGTTTAGTAGTGGAGCAGCACAAAGTGTGATCATTTATGATTGGGGAATTGACTTGTATATGTTTGAGAATGAAAGAGAGCATGAGACAGACAGACTTAGCTAACTTTGAACTTTGGGAAAAAGATCATGTAGCGGTTTTTAAACTTATTTTGGATTATAGATTATTTTGGATTTCCACCCCTTGGAGAATCTGTGGAAAGCTATGGACCCTTTCCCCCAGAAAAATCACATATTTGTATGTAGTTTTAGGACTGTTGCATGTAACTTCAGGCAAGTTCTGGAGCACAGGTTCAGACTTGCCCCATTGGGGAAAAGGAGAAGGGAAGGGCATTCTGGCTGAAGGAACATGTGATAAAGGCATGGAGGCCTGGAAGGGCACAGCCCTGATGTGCTTAGAAATGAAAATATCTCCTGGGGGAGGGGTACAGGAGCCAGCATTGTGTCGTTGCGGGTCCGAGTGCCATGCCAAGGTGCCTGGCACTCATCCTGGGGGCAGACGGAAGCCATTACATTTTTTTCAGGAGAGATGACATGTCTCAGCCTGTGTTTGACAAAACTAGATCTGAAGGCGTGAAGACAAGTTAGATGGCTGTTACAGTAGTCCGGTAGGAGAGCCTGAGGCCTGCACTAGGATGCAGGCGGTGCTGGTAGGAGGAGGGAGTTTCAGAGATAAAACCAACAGAATTGGCTGATGGGATGAGATTTGTGAAAAAGAAGGAGTTTGATTTCAGGTTCCACTTCTGGCTCATTGGGAGGATGGTGGTACTGTTAAGCGAGATGGGGAGTGGAGGCAGGAGAAGCAGGTTTGTAGAGAAGAGAGGAATGAGGAGTTAAGTTTTGTCATATGCTTGATGTACTGGATGACCATCCAGATGGAGATGACCTGTAAGGAGTTGGAAATTCCTGCCTAGAGCTCAGTCAGATTGAAGTTGCAGGGGTAGTTTGGAGCCTCATCATCAGAGAAGTGATCTGATAATGGCCTGTGATGCCCAGGCTCACAATTTATCAAGGGCAAAACTGGCATGGATATTAAATGGAATGTCTGTAGCACTGGGAGAGTAAAGTGATTGCCTTTTTCAGAAAAGGGAAGACAGATTAGTGGTTCCCAAGGCTCACTATCAACAGAAACACTCAAAGAGCTTAAAAGACAAAACAACTACTGACTAAGAATATCTGGGAGTATGGCCTGGGAAACTGTATTTCTAAATGCTCCCTGAGTCATTTGGGTGATCAGCCAGGTTTGAGAGCTGCTGGGCTAGCTGCAGTCTGGGTCCAAGAAGACAGGACCACATTTTTAGAGTGATAAACAAGTGAGCAGAGAATGAGGCTAACATTTGAAGCAGTCTTTATGAGGTTTTGGTGCAGGAAATGAATGACGCTAGTTTCATTCTTCAGTTTATGTTCACTTTCTACCTAGAGGGAACATTACCATGACCAGGTCTTCAGAGAGTTTGACCATGCATGGAAGGAGACACGGTATCCTGAAGGGCAGAACAAATTAAGAGAAGACTTTTTCTAGGACAGGGGAGACACTTGGCCATTTGGTTAGTTGGGGAAAAGAATTTATGAGTTGAGGATGTATTTGATGGAGCAAAACCCAGAAGAGACTTTAAAGGGAAAGGAGCCTCTTTTCCTCTGATGCAGAATGGAGGAGGATGGGGGGAGGGCCGAGAGGGGGCCTCATTGCTTCTCTCAAATGAAGGTTATTGTGGGCTTTTGAAAAGTAGAGCAAGCTTAGTACAGATGTACAGTATAGATGTTATCATTGACAGACAGGGATGATTAAAAGAACTACTCAGCAGTGAGTATTAGCAGAGAGTATTACTTTCTTTTTTATTTGAAATTTTTGTTGAGATACTGTAGATTCACATGCAATGGTAAGAAATAATACCCAAAGGGATCCTTTATGCATGTTGCCCATTTCCCCCCAATATGGTTACATTTTGCAAAACTGGAGTGTAATATTGCAACAAGCGGGATATTGGCATCCACACAACCCAGTGATACGACTCAGATTTTCCCAGTTTTACTTGAACTCGTTTGTGTGTGCGTACTAAGTTGTGTACACTACTTGTTGTGTGTTAGTCTTGTGCAGGTTCATGTCTCCACCGCCACAATCAGAATACAGAACAGCTCCAACACCACAGGACCCGGGTTGCCCTTCTCCCTAACTGCTGGCAACCACCGATCTGTCCTCTGTTTATAAAATTTTGTCATTTCAAACATGTTATATAAATGGAATCAGACTACATGAACCTTTTGGGATTGGCTTTTTTTCAACTCAGCTTAATTCCCGGGAGATTCATCCAGGTTGTGTGTATCAAGTTTGTTCCTTTTTATCATTGAGTAGTATTCTGTGGTGTGTATGTACCACAGTTTGTTTAACCATTCTGCTGTTCAAGGGCATCTGGGCTGATTCCAGTGTTCAGGCATTTCAAATCCACTGTGAACATACACGTATAGGTCTTTGTATGAAACTAAGTATTCACTTACATGGGATAAATGCCCACGAGTGTCATTTGCTGGCTCATATGGTATTTGTACATTCAGTATTTTTTTCTTTTAAACTGCCCAAGTGTTTTCCAGAGTAGTTGTACCACTTTACATTCTCACCTGCAATCTAGTTTCTCTGCATCCTCACCAGCATTTGGTGTCATCACCATTGTTTATTTTCATTGTGATAGGTGTGTAATTGATACCTCATGTGGTTTTAATTTGCATTTCCTTAAAGACTAACGATGTTGAACATCTTTTCATGTGCTTATTTGCCATCTGTATATCCTCTTCAGTGAAATGTCTGTTCATGTCTTTTGTTCGTTTTCTAATTGGAGGGTTTATGTTGTTACTGTTGTGTTTTTGGAATTCTTTTTTCTAGATACAACTCCCTTTTTTGGATATGTGGTTTGCAAAGATTTTCTCCTTATCTGTAGCTTATCTTTTCATCTTTTCTCATGGGCAAAGCAAAAGAACTTTTAGCAGAGCAAAACTTTTAACAGCGAAAGTTTTAATTTTGATGAGGTCTTATTTATTAGTTTTTCCTTTTGTGAGTCATGCTTTTGGTGTTGAGTCTGAGAACTCATTGCCTAGCCCTAGGTCCTGAAAATTTTCTCCTGTGTCTTGTTCTAAGAGTTTATAGTTGTATGTTTTAAATGTAGGTCTGTGATGCATATTACTTGTGAGGGAACCCATTGTCATGATTCTGTGATTTTCTTTACAAGAAGGTTATTGGGTTTATTCATATTTTGACAGTTGTTATGGCTTGGTCGTAGGAGTCTAAGTTGGGAAAGTGACAGGGTGAAGCTGGAGGGGCTGGTAGGCCATGAGGCATGCTGTTCAGAGGCTCTGGTGCATGTAGGAGAGGAGGCAGGACAGGAGGCTCTGGTCATGCATGGGAGAGGCAGCACTGAGATTAGAGATGGAAAGATTTCAGGGGATGAGTTTCGAGGTGTGGCCACAAATACGGTCAACTGATGTGAATGTGGGCGATGGACATGGGAGATGAGGAAGCAAGGCACTGTGAAGCTCATCCACAGTGACTTGATTAATCACTTAGATGCTGAACTTCACAGTGGTAAAGTGTGCATTTTTAAAGAAGGTACCGAAGTAAACCAGGTGCTGAGGGATTTCTTTGAGGAGTACATGGCCCCATGGATATGCATGGAAAGATGTTGATAGAGTGTAAGTGGTGTCTAAAAGCAGAGAGCAGAACAGTGGGACAGGAGGTATATCAAGGTCAGAAGAAAATGCCAACATTTCTACCTTCCTCTTCCCAAATTCTTCAGTTGGTCCAAAACTATACCTGTTTGTGATGTATAGTTATAGTTACATGGGCCAGCCATACAAGCTCTTTGAGCCTTGTTGCCATCACCAGTAGAATGGGGCTGGTAAGTCAGCATGTTTCTTTCTACCTCTCAGCAATGTTGAGAGAAAATGTAATTATGTATGAAGAAGTTCTTTGAATTCTTAAAATTAATGGTTTAATTAATTTAAACAGAAAACCAAATATCGCATGTTCTCACTTGTAAGAGAGAGCTAAATAAGGAGAACACATGGACACCGACACATAGATGAGAGCAATAGACACGGGGCCTGATGGAGGGTAGGAGGAGGGAGAGGATTGGGAAAAATAACGAATGGGTACCAGGCTTAATACCTGGGCAACAAAATAATCTGTACAACAAACTCCCATCACACGACTTTACCCATATAACAAACCTGCACATGTACCCCTGAACTTAAAAGTCAAAAAAAAGGAAGTTATATCATATTTTAAAAAAGTAATGCTTTTAGAAGTTAAGCCTGTTCAGGACTTGTTGGAAAAGTAGGAAAGAACACTATGGAACCATCAAACAGAGTTAAGCATCCCTAGTTCAGTTAGAGGGCTGTGTGGTTAAGGGAGAAATTGAGCTGAGCCCTCCTTTCTTAGGGTTTCTGTCAAAGAACAGGGGGACGGGGAGCTCCAGGGCAGACTTTTAGAGATCAGAGCCACAAATGATGGAAGGGACTGTTGCTGGGCAGAGGTTCATCAGGCCTCCCTCACAGTGGCCCTCCGCAGCATCAGAGGGAAGTAGAGAGTGGGTGGACATTTGTGTTCTTAGCAGCACAGGCCTGGATTCAACGATGTTTCTCTGTTCTCATCCCCACCGGACCCCCACCTCTAGAGCTTCAGTTCCTCACTCATCTGCTGCTGTGGCCTTCCATTTTACGTGAAAGCGTGTCTCTGATTTATTATTGTTGTTATGTATTTTATCCCGTTCCAGTGATAGTATGTGTTTAAAGTGGTCTTTTTAAAATAAATGATCATTATTGATGGTAGTGTTCTGTTGGTCTCTCACTAAAGGTGCTATTTTAGAGACTGTTCAACTTGATAAATCTAAATATAGAAGTGTGTTCGTTGGGAGGATCCTAGAAAAAAATCTGGAGGAATTTACAGTCTACTAATAGTGGTTGCCACAGGGAGATGGGATTATAGGAGACTCGGTTTCTATTATGTTTCTGTATTAATGGGATTTTTTCAATCGCAAACATATGTTACTTTTGGAATCAGAAGAAAAAAGATAATTGTGTCAAGTTTATTTTTTCCTCTGGTTCTGAGTAAAGGATATTCATTAAAGAAAAATGTGGAAAATAGCAAGAGTTAGAAAGCAAACCATATTGCCTGGGTCCACTGTGGTGTGGTGTTTACTGGCGGCGGGGGGTTCACCCGGGGAAGTTACGGCAGGGTCACAGTGGGCAGGGAGGGGTGCAGGGGTGTTTGGAGAGCATCTCTCCCTTCCACTTGTGGGTGGCTGAGGTATCAAGCTCAGGGGACAGGTGGTCAGAGAGTGGCAGTGCTAGGGCGGGGGAGGAGAACAGGGCATTCTTATTATAGGTTTTAGGACATTGGTCCGGGACTTCAACAGGTGCCCTGGCCACTTGAGTGTGTCAGTCAGCTGGCCCAGCTCAGAGACGCATAATTCCAACATTCATGTATTATGGTAAGATGGTGATGGGAGAGAGAAAGGAAGACGTCCACATCCATTCCTTGAATGTGCATAGGCTCACACCGCAAATAGAATGAACGGGATCCACATCTCTGCTGAGTATTTTTCGTTCAGCTTGTACATGAGAGTAGACGTGGTTTATTCCTAGAGGGTTGGGGGCTTCTCTCTGCCAGTAATGTTTTTGATGGCCATGTTATCCTTTGTAATAGATTCCTGGCAAGTAATCTTGTATTTGTGCTGCCTTTGGACAGAGGTGGGTAGATTTTAGAGAACAAAAACACTGGGTACTTTACAGTGTGCTACAGATTCTCATTTAATTATAATTTTTAATTATAATAAAATAAACTTGCAATCCGAATGTGTTTGATCGGCTTGATAGTGACCTGCTATGCATACCCTGCAGATAATTCTGTCTGCCTACCTTCCCTTTCCTCATGTTTCAGTTCTAGCTAAATAATAAAATCAAATTTGTTCTTCAAAGCCCATTTGGATATTTATTATTATTATTATTATTATTATTATTATTATTATTATTATCATTATTATTATTTTTGAGATGGAGTTTTGCTTTTGTTGCCCAGGCTGGAGTGCAATGGCACCATCTCACTGCAACCTCCACCTCCCGGGTTCAAGTGATTCTCCTGCCTCAGCCTCCGCAGTGGCTGGGATTACAGGCATGCACCACCATGCTCGGCTAATTTTGTATTTTAGTAGAGATGGGGTTTCACTGTGTTGGCCAGGCTGGTCTCTAACTCCCGACCTCAGGTGATCCTCCTGCCTTGGACTCCCAAAGTGCTAGGATTACAGGCGTGAACCACCGCACCCAGCCTTATTTTTTTTTAAAGTTTGTTCTTGTGTCAATGTACTCTCCTCTCCCTCTTAGCCTTTTAGAACACAGTCTTAAAGGTGTGATAGCGAAACCTGCTGCCCAGGATGTTTAATTTGTTTAAAAAATTTTTTCTTTATTGCATTGTAGTCCCCCCGCCTTTGGGGGAAATATTTGTCACCCCAAAGTTTTACAGCTTCTGGGGTAATATTTAACATATGTTAATAAGCTGAGTTTTTTTGGCCATTTACAAAGGTCCCAATTGCTCACTGTATGCCTACCCTCTTCCCTGGGTCTGCCTCTGTGCTCTGTGACTTGCCCGATATTTTGTTGAGACGGGCTTTGGCAACTGTCTCTTAGATGAATGGTTCTATTACAAACACAGTAGCTTCCATGACCGCTTAGAAGAGATTGTTGTTTATGACAGCTTTTATTGAGAGAGGTTTGGTGCATGATAATGTCCTGATAAGGACATTTGTACCTATAAAGTAGCCACAGCCTTAAACATATTTGATTGTCAGTAAAATATTGGGGATGATGACATGCCAGATGTGAGGTATCGGATTGCATGTTTATTCAACTGTTACTGCAATCTCTGTACTAAGATGTGCCCTTGTATTTTCTGTCTCACAGCAACACACAAAATGCAATGGTGATATGATCCTGATTATGAAAGATGCTATTTAGGTTACTTGGATTGTAAACCATGTGTATTAGGAAGCATTCTCTCAGTCCCCATATGTCCTTAGACAGCAACCACAAACAGTTGTTAGGTGAAGGGAATTGTCAAGTGGGTTGAACATACGCATTGTGATAGGGACCTTTTGAAATGTATGAATCTTAGTAAGGCCTGGACTGACCAGGGCAGGTGATGTGACAGTCAAAATAATAATAATGAATATTTGTTCTTGCAATGAATTTTTGCAATAATGAATATTTATGCTTGCAATGTGCCAGGTACTGTTCTGAACACTTAGCATTAACCCATTTAAACCTTCTAACAAGTCTTATGAATAGCTACTATTATCTTACATTACAGATGAGGAAACCATGGCCTAGAGAGGTTTAGTAAGTTGCCCTGGGTCAGATTCTCATTTGATTGTAATCGTTGATTATATTTAATCATGAAAGTAGTGGTTAAGAGCTCAGGCTCTGGGGTTCCTATCCTGGCTCCAGTCCTGGATGTTCTTACTGCTGCCTGGCTAGGGTGGAAGAGAGTTTTGGTTCCAGGTAAACAATAGAAAAGAAAGAATGGGCTTTCCTGGTGTCTGGGATACCGTTCATCCTGTTTTTTGCTTTGTAAACTCCTACTGGTCGTTAAAAAACACTCCATCCTCTCTGAAGCCTTCCTTAATCTCCACAGGCAGAGCTAATTTTTCCCTCTCTTATGTTTCCAAAGCACATGACTTTTAACTGTCCATTAAAGGCCTCATCAGACTCTTTTTTTTTTTTTTTTTTTTTAAACTGTAGTAAGCACTGTCAGGCTCTGTTTCTGTGGGTCTGTACCCACTGAGAACTCTTCAAGGGCCAGTGCTGCTCAGCCTCCAGTATGGTCCCTGGCACACATTAGGCCCCCAAAAAATGTTTGAATTAGTGAAAGTTGTTGGTAATAAAATTCCATCTTGTGCCTCTCAAGAGTTTTCTTTCCTACATTCTTGGCATTTTTATGACATTTACAACATTTTAATGAAACAACAAGGGCAAGAATTTTGATTTCATAAATAAGAAACTGAAGCACAGAGACCAGGATGTTTTCTGTTAGATTGTTTTATCTTGAGAAACCACCTGGTGAAACAAAACTTAGGAGAATTAAGTCATTTGCAAGACCCCACTCCCCTGTTTACACTTTTCCATCATAACCATATTGATCTTACACCTGAGATGTTGTGAACTAGAGTAATTTGTTCACAGTAGTAAAGCATAATCCTAGAAAAGTTAGTCTTTGACCATTTCTTTTCCCTGGTGTATACTGGACATAATATGTTTGTAAGCTTATTTGAGATGTTTCTAAGTGGTAGGGGTGTGTGTGTGTGTAAATGTTACTTTTTTCAGATCGACTGTGGGTTTAGTTTTAGTTGTCTGAAAATCACTTCCACCACTGATTATTCTAAGATGACATTGTTGATCTTGAATGATACAGTTACCGGGAGCAATGAACTAAGTAAACTCTCACTGTAGAGTTCAGAAGGGTGTTGAGTTAGGGTGAGTTTCCAGGATACAAAATCTGGTTAGCTCATTGGCTGATTTATAAGGGGCTTATTAGCCTATGGGAGTAAGTTCTTCATTGGTGGTGGTAAAGGGCACAGGGTTGGGAATAAGGGTTGTTGGGGTTTAAATCCTGGCTTTGCCACTTCACTGGCTGTGTAACCATGACTAATATTGCTAAACCTCCATATCCTCATCTGGTCAATGGGACCAATATTGGCACCCCATCTCACAACTTCAGTGTGAAGATTAAATTAGATAATACATTAAAATACTTAGAATACCCAGTTCATTCTTTGAGAGCACTATTACCCTGACAGCTAAATCAGACAAAGATATCATGAGAAAATAACTAATATCCCTTATGAATATAGATATAAAACTCCTCCACAAAATATGAACCCATTCAGCAACATATAAAAAGGTTAATATACAGTGACCAAGTGGGATTTATCCCAGGAATGCAAGGTCAGTTTAACATCTGAAAATCAATTAACGTAACACACCATATCAATAGAGTGAAGAAAAAACCACATTTTTATCTCAACAGATACAGAAAAAGGATTTCACAAAATCCTTCATGATGTAAATAATCAGCAAACTAGGATTAGAAGAGAGCCTCTCACCTGCTAAAGGGCATCTGTGAAAAATCTAAGCAAATGTATGTAATAGTAAAAGACTGAATGCTTTCCTTCTAAGATCAGGAGCGAGACAAGGATGTCTGCTTTTACTCCTTCCCTTCAATATTATACTGGAGTAAGAGCAATTGTACAAGGAAATGAAATAAAAATTACTCAGATTGGGAAGGGAGAAGTCAAACTATACTGTCTCTATTTGATCTTGTATGTAGCTAAAAAAGTAAAACAACACTATTAAAGTTCATAAACAATTGTAGCAAGGTTTCTGGATACAAGATAAATACATAAAAATATAAAACTCAATTGTAAATTTTTTTTTTTTTTTTTTGAGATGGAGTTTCGCTCTTGTCACCTAGGCTGGACTGCAGTGGTGCGATCTTGGCTCACTACAACCTCCGCCTCCCAGGTTCAAGCGATTCTCCTGGCTCAGCCTCCCGAGTAACTGGGATTACAGGTGCCTGCCACCATACCCAGCTAAGTTTTGTATTTTTAGTAGAGACATGGTTTCACCACATTGGCCAGGCTGGTCTCGAACTCCTGACCTCAGGTGATGCGCCTGCCTCGGTCTCCCAAAGTGCCAGGATTACAGGTGTGAGCCACTGTGCCTGCCACTCGATTGTATTTCTGTACTTAACAGCAAACAACCTGAAAATGAAATAAAGCAATTTTATTCATCATAGTGTGAAAAAGAACAACATACACAGGAATAAATGTGACAAAAGAGCAAAAAACATTTACCTCCAAAACTACAAAATATTGTTTAAATAAATTAAATAACCGAATAAATTGGAAGACATTCTGTGTTCATGGGTTGGAAGACTTAACATTGCTAAGACAGCAGTACCTACAAATTGATCTACAGATTCAGTGAAATCCTTATCAGAATCCCAGGATCCCATGACTTCTTTGACAAGTTGATTCTAAAATTTATATGGAAATTCAAGACCCAGAATAGCCAAAACAATCTTGAAAAAGAAGAACAAAGTTGGAGGACTCACACTTTGTGATTTCAAAACTTACTACAGAGCTACAGTCTGAATCAAGACAGTGTGGTACTGGGATAAATTAGACATATCATCAATGGAGTAGAATCACAAGTCCAGAAATAAACCCTTATATTTATTGTCAATTGATTTTCAACAGATATACCAAGACAATTCAATAGGAAATAATAGACTTTTCAACAAATGATGCTGAGACATGCGAAGAGTGAAGTCGGATCCCTTCCTCACATATCATATATCATAATTAACTAGAAAATGATCATAGATGTAAAAGCTATGATTATGAAACTCCAGAAGGAAATACAGGAATGAGTCTTTCTGACTTTGGATTAGGCAAAGCCTTAGATGTGACAACAAAAGTATAAGTGGTAAAGTAAAAATAGAGAAAATTCATGAAAATTAAAAAACTTTCCTGCTTCAAAGGATATCATCAAGAAAATGAAAAGGCAATCCAGAGAACAGGAGAAGATATTTTCAAATCATAAATCTAGTAAGCAACTTGTATCTAGAATATATAAAGGACTTTTGCCATTAATAAAAAGATAACTATCCAGTTAAAGAATGGACAGAGGATCTGACTGGACCTTTCCTTAAAAAAGACATACGTTGAAAAACACACCAAAGATGCTCAAAACCATTAGCTAGCAGGGAAATGCAAATTAAAACTACACTGCGATATCACTTTATATCTCTTAGGATGGCTATCATTAAAAAAAAAAAAACAGACAATAACAAGTGTTAGGGAGGATGTAGAGAAATGGGAACCCTCACAGGTCACTGGTGGGTTTATAAAGATGGCATAACCACTCTGGAAACAGTCTGGAAGTTCTTTAAAAGACTCACCATAGAGTTATTATAGGACCCAAAAGAAATGAAAACAGATGTCCATACAAACACTTGTACATTAGGGGTAGGTGTGTTGGCTCCCAGCACTTTGAGAGGCCTAGGTGGGCAGATCGTGTGAGTCTAGGAGTTAGAATCCAGCCTGGGCAACATGGTGAAACCTCGTCTGTACAAAAAAAAAAAAAAAAAAAAGAAAGAAAAAAAGAAAAAGAAAAAAAAAATTAGCCAAGCGTGGTAGTGCACACCTGTAGCCCCTGCTACTCAGCTGGCTGAGGTGGGAGGATCACCTGAGCCTGGGAGGTGGAGGTTGCAGTGAGCAGAGATCTCCCCACGGCACTCCAGCCTGTCTCAAAAAACAAAACAAACTTGTACATGGATATTTATAGCAGCATTATTTCTAATAATCAGAAAGTGGAAACAACCCAAATGTTTATCAGCTGATGACTGCGTAAATAAAATGTGGTAATAGCTATACAATGGAATATTATTTGGCAATAAAAAGGAATGAAGTCTTAATATGTACCACAATATGGATGACACTTGAAAACTGTGCTAAATGAAAAGAAGATTCATGAAAGACCACATATTGTACGATTCCATTTATACATGGAATCATATGAATCATACGAAATGCCCGGAATAGGTCAGTCTACAGAAGCAGGAAGCAGATTAGTGGTTACCTGAGACTGGAGGATTTGAGAGAAAATAGGGAGTAACTGCAAATGGGTATGGAGTTCTTTCTGGGGTGATTAAGATGTTCTAAAACTAGTTACGGTAATGCTTACACAACTCTGTGAATGTAGTAAAAACTTGAATTGTACACTTAAAATGGGTGAGCTGTATGAAATATGAATTATATCACAATAAAGGTAGTATCAGTGTATATGCTCAGCATCATGCTTGGCCTTGATAAATTGGTAAATGTTAGCTACCAATGTAATAGTAACTCTCTGACTTCATGTGCAGAGCACGTTTATAGTAGCAAAGATGGAAAGAAAGGAAAATGCTGAGAGAGTAGATGAACATACAAGTTAACTCAGATACCAGGTGAGGGAGAAGGTGACTGAATCTGTGGCAGCCGTATGGTAGGAGCTGAGTGCTGCTTTTGGAGAAGGTGAATGAAGTTATGTGGTGCAAGAGCCTGATACCCTAAAAGTGTCTAGTAAACCTGAATGTAGTTACCCTTAAAATGTGGTTGAACTTGGGTCTGGGGATCCAGATGTCACTAAACAGTATCTTCTTCACAAAAGAGTAATCACCGTCAGTGTGATAAAAGCCAGAGTTTTTGTGTCTAGAAGTCACTAAACCAGGTAAGGGTTTGTGTGTGTGTGTGTGTGTGTGTGTGTGTGTGTGTGCGCGCACTTTCTTTTTAAATCACTGTATGACAAAGGCCAGAGTTTTAGTTTTTGTGCCTTTTTTTTTTTTTTTTTTTTAAGGCAGTGTCTGGGGGAACTTATCTTCCCACAGTCAGCCCATGGCTGACCAGCTTTGATTTTTGCAGGGTGTCTTTGGGCCTGAATGTTTGAGCCTCCCTACAGGAGATGGCTAGAGCCTAGCCCTCATGCTCTGGAAGTTAGTTCTGGTAAAAGCTTTGCAGTTGGCGCTGTGGATGCCCTGTGCTACTTAACAGTGGTTCCTCCTTTAGAACTTGGAAGACACGTGCCAATAGGGAGGAAGGTTCTCTGCTAAGATGCATTTATTTGTGAACACCTCTCACAGTGTTTTTTTCAAGGATATACCTGTGGAGGGAATTTCCCATTTCAGTTTTGGGGGAAACCTGGTGAGTTGCTTCTCAGATGTTTAGGTCACACACTGACACTCAAGGTCGAATGGCTACTGCGTGGTGGAGCTGTGATTCCAAGAAACCTTCCATGTCTGATTGCTAAGACAGCTCACAGTCTTAACCACTAGGCTGAATTTTCCCTCAGGGATGGACAAAGTGGAAGAGAGAGAAAGCTGAAGGCAGAGAGATGTGAAAATACAGTGTTTTCAGGAGTAGTAAGGAGGCTGGTAAGCATGTGGGATGTCTAGAAGGGTGGATGGAGTGTGGGGTGGCTTGTAAGCTGAGAGGTTACGGGAGTGAAGTGCCAGGCAAGGATGTTCGAACAGTAAGATTAGAGGTTCTCAACTTTTCTGTGTATGCAGCATATACACAGGAAGGGGGGATGGGAGCCCTTGTTTTTAGGATATTCAACAAGTGTTTGAGGAGAATTATTCTGGAGGCTCTATCTCCCATAAGGAGGCTGACACTACAACACTTCTGGTAGGAGATGAGGAGGGCTTGAACTAGGTCAGAGGTTATGGGAGTGACAAGGAGGGGATGGATGGGAAGGACATTTTACATCAGTATATTAGAGATTAGGCATTTAGATTAGGTGTATTAGAGATGAGAGGGCTCTGTAGGGTTTTCTGATGAGGGAGAAGATGAAGATTTTTCATCTGCATGGATGGCAGTGCCATTTATAGACACAGTTGTACAGCAGGGGAGACAAGTTGTAAGGGCCAGAGTTGGGGTAATGAGTTTTGAGTTGTATGGAGTTTGCAGTGCTTTGGGGCACTTCATGGGGAGGGCGCCAGCAGGCACTGGGCAATTCAGCATTCTGGATTTGAGAACAGTTTGGAAAACATCATCACAGGGTTTGGAGTTGAGACCCTGGAAGTGGATAAGCTTGTCTAGGAGACAGAGGGAAAGGACAGAAAGGAAGAAAGGCTAGGATAGAATCCATTGGAAGCATTAAGAGTCATTGTCTTGAGTAAGCATCTTCCATGTCATATGAAACCTTACAGATGCAGGAGCAGGGGAGTCTGAATTCACGTATGTTTACTAAGTGTGCTGAAGTATTTGTCTCCTGGTGGTGTGTTGATGGAAGCAGATGATTTTCTTGCAAGTTCCAGGGGTGCTGATGTCTTGGCATGTTCCTTTCTGTGGCCCCCTAGGGTGAGTTAATGGGTCAGCCCAGGATCCTAGTTCCTCCTTCCCTTTCCTTAAGTCAAAGCTGGCCTACGCTCCATGTGTGATCTCCTTCTTCCCAGCCTCCCTGGGAGTGTTGCTGAGCTCCGTTTGGAGTTTCAGTTGCAAGGCTTTAGCCACCCATGTTAACTGTAGCTCCTATCGCTTGAGAAGTGCAGGGTGAGGGGATCCTGGAGAATCAGCTCCCTTTTGAAATCTGCTCCAGCTTGCTCTCTTGGGGTCAGCATGAGTGTGGAGAAGACTGGAGAAAACCCAGAGATGGTAGGCATGACCTGCCAGATGCAGCAAGCCCTGCCCTCTCTCTGTGTCAGATCAAAGACTGACTCTTCAGTCATTTGACACCCTAATGTGAGGATGTTTCTGAGCCAGGGCCCGGGCTCCTGGTGGCCTGTGCCTGGGAGCCGTGGGGAACGTGTGGGCCTGCATGTGCTCTGGGTAAGTGGGGGTAGGAGAGTAGGACAAGTAACTTCCCAGCTGCTCTCTTAGACACAGAGCTGGAGGGATCTGGAGAGATCAGCCCAGCCTCCTCAGTTTTCAGATTGGAAGCTGCTGCCCAGAGATGCCCTTTTCCCGGTTCCAGTTCTGAGGGCGAGTTGGCCCAGCTTGGTTGCAGCTGCTCCTGCATGGCTCTTTCCTCCTGTCCCACAGGTCCTGGGTTCCAGGGCACAGAGGTTGTTCCCAGTTTGGCTGGTGCCTATAATGACCATATCATTTAATGTTCAGACTACGACACTTCAGAGAATAAATGGGGGCAATGTTAACAATGACACCAGGAAAACAGAAATAAACCTTAGGCAAACCAGGATATATAATCTTCCTTCCTGTGCCTTCACTTTTGGCTCAATTCTTATTCCTATGCCAGGTGATATTCCCTCATCCCCTACCGTCCTGGTCCTATGGCCCACATGACTTTAGGTTCCGGGAACTTACAGATCTTGGTCTTTGGAGGTTTGGTCTGTGGATCTTGGTATCTAGAGGTTAGAAACCTCAGGGATCTCCCATGTTGGAGGGTCCAGGAGATGGAAAACCTGGGAATAACATCGTGAGCATATCTCTGACAATCCATGACTATTCAGAACCTAGATCCAGGAACTTTGATTTTCAGTAGCTAGGGTGGGTATGTCATAATTTACTAACTTAGTTTTTTTTTCCAACATACATTTGTCTCTTGCACGTAGCGTAAGATGGCATGCTGGTAACATACAAATCACGAGAGCAGCATCCTACTCTGCAAACCTGTAGCCCCAGATAGAGCTCAGCAACTCAGCCATGCAATCTTCTGCCTTGGAGGTGGAGGGGAGCCAAGGCCCTGGGCTCCTGACAGGTGTGTGACGGAGCAGGGCATAGTTACTTGTCTCCCAGGTGTCCACAGTCACAGCACAGGGTGGGAGGGGACATGAGCAGCTGGGCTTTGCTGAGACCAAGCCAAATGGGGATTTAGGCAGAGAAGGTGTTCTTTATTTGAGAGTAGAGCAGGTGGAGATGAATGCTCTGCCTGGTAGCTTTCTCGGACTGCACTGGCTTGTTTTTCTATCTAAAGCTGGCAGAACCCAGACCACCATGGATCCTCAATGACAAAGGCCAGAGGAGAGGAAATGGTTCTTCACTGGGTCTTCTGGCTGTGTCCTTGGACCTCTGCCTCTCCCAGCTGACCAGAGTGGTCTGGATTTGCCCATTCTCTCACTGGAGTTAGGAGTAGGATTGCCGGACCTGGCAAATAGAAGTACGGGAGGCCCAGTTAAATTGGAATTGCAGATAAACAAAAAGTTATTTTTTAGTATGAGTATATCCCATGCCGTGGTTATATTTTATATAGCAACTCTACTTAGTAAGGACTGGCCTGATTTTGCTTACCTCTGGGGCATGGTTTCACAGTGCCTCTTTCATTCAGTAGATGCTTATTGAGTGCCAAGGATATGTCAGATGCCACTCTAGGCACTGGGGATATTGCAGTGAGCAACAACAGACAAGAGTTGGTGAACTCATGGAGCTTACATTCTAGTGGGGGCGATAGACAATAAGGAAGATATGTAAGTATGTTAGGTGGTGGAAGTGATAAAGAGGAAAATAAAGCAGGGAAGGAAGATAGGGAGGATTCAAACCTGAAGAAGATGAGGGATTGAGGGGATAAGCCAGACAGACATTTGCAGAAGAGTCTTCTAGGCAGAGAGCACCACAGACATCAAAGCTCGGGCATGCCTCATGTGTTTGAGGACTGGTGGGCCTCCGTGGCTTGAGTGGAGTCAGCAGGGAAGAGGATCCAGCATGGAGGTCAGAGCTCAGATCTTGCAAAGCCTCATAGCCCTCTGTAAGGATATGGGCTTTCACTCTGAGCGGGAGTGTGATCTGATTAGGTTTTGAAAGGATCACCGGCTGCTGGGTAGTGAAAGACTGAAAGCAAGCCTGGGCCCAGGTCTCTCACCGTATCCTCAGGGGTGGGCCATGGGATTTGAGACCTGCATGCCATTTGGAATAAAAGGGCATGCCACCTGGACACAGCATCACCTTGCAGGATCTTTGATTTCTTTTTGCCTTTTTCTTCCTCATTTAAGGGATACATTCCTACTCAAAAAAGGGAAGGATATGTTGCAGTTATCTACCTCTTTTTTGCTAACCATTGTATGATGCGCCTGGTTTAAGGGACAGTTCCCTAATGGTTCCTATTAAGCTTTGGAGAAAGAGTAGTGGTGTGGTGGGTGTCACATACCTGGAGCTTTAGAGCCTTCTGAGAAGATAATTCGGTAAAAATACATCATTTTTTGATTGGTGTTGAAGGAAGTTGTTTTTCGTTGCACAGATTAAATTTAAATTGTTCATGAGAGCTAAAGAGCTTGAAAGCATTTCTTTGTTTTCTGATCTTTAAAAGTAGAGAAGAGTGAGCTGGCTATATAATATAGAACTTTCTCGGCTTTACTTTACCAAAGCAGTCTGATTTAAAAACTTAAAGCCAACATATTTCACATTTATAGTTTAAGATTATAAAAACTAAATATGCATTTAATTTCATAAATTTATGTACTTAATTTCATAAAATTATGTTTTTTGGAGAAAAATACTGAGGCTATAAAATCTTGGCTTGTAAGTAAATAAAATTATTTTAAATGTCAGCCAGTTTTGATGATGAGAGCTATAATTCTAATGAGTGGCAAATATTTTCTAGATATCTTTGAAATGATACTCTGGTTTCTCTTCAGACTGTATAAATCTTTCACTTTTTTTTTTTTTTTTTGAGATGGAGTTTTGCTCTTGTCGCTCAGGCTGGAGTGCAATGACTCAGTCTCAGCTCACTGCAACCTCCGCCTCCAGAGTTCGGGTGATTTTCCTGCTTCAGCTTCCTGAGTAGCTGGGACCACCACAGGCACTCGCCACCATGCCCAGCTAATTTTGTCTTTTTTTTTTTTTTTTGGACGGAGTCTCGTTCTGTTACTCAGGCTGGAGTGCAGTGGCGCGACCTTGGCTCACTGCAACCTCCGCCTCCTGGGTTCAAGCAATTCCCCTGTCTCACCCTCTCTAGTAGCTGGGACTACAGAGCTACCGTGCCCAGCCTAATTTTGTATTTTTAGTAGTGACGGGGTTTCACCATGTTGGCCAGGCTGGTCTTGAACTCCTGACCTCAGGTGATCCGCCCGCCTCGGCCTCCCAAAGTGCTAGGATTACAGGCATGAGCCACCGTGCCTGGCCAAATCTTCCACCTTTTACTAAATATCTTTGACAAGCCTTTTGACTTAGTATACTGGTAAATTAGCTTTGGTAATATTATTAACAGATTTGTAAATTTTTGGTATATCCACAAAATTCATTTGAAAAGAAGCAAAAATGAAACCTTTAAAAAAGTATAATGTACACATTCCAAATATGAAAATGTACTACTTCACCAGAGTTGTGAAGCATGTAAGACGTGGTCCATATTTAAGAACAAAGCAGACTTTTTAAAGGGACTGTCTTGTACAACATCACGCCCTTGGGCACTGAGAATATGGAATTACAGGGGTGATCCCTGTAAAAAATACTGAGTAAAATGCAATGTGTGCTAAAATGCATCTATATGTGTATAATTTAAAAGGCAGGCATTTCAGTTTAAAGTTATTTTTAGACTAGAGATTTTAGCTGTTTTCTTAAGCAGGGATTAAAAACCAATTTAACTGGGGGTTTGGGTTTGTTTTGTTTTAAGAGATGGGGTTTAGAGATGGGGCCTGGCTGTGTTGCCCACGCTGGTCTCAAGCCCCTGGCCTCAAGTGATCTTCCTGCCTTGGCCTCCCAAAGTGCTGGGATTATAGACCTGAGCCACTGCACCTGGCCCAAAACTGTCTTAATGTAATTGAGACTCTTACACACATAATAAATTGAGATTTTTGTCATCTCAGTTTGGAATTAACATTGTAAAAGTACATGCACTTGAGGGTTAGATGTAACATTACTACCTCTAGCTGTATGACTTTGATTTTAGTAAGTCTCCTCTGTAAAATGGGGACAATGAAACCTACCCCGAGGACTGGTTGTGCCAGTTAGATGAGGTAACTTGAATTGGTTCCTGAGACAGTACCTGACACATAAGCTCTCAGCACATAGTGACCAGTGTCATTCTTATTGGCATTGCTTTTATTATTTATTTTTATTATTTTTGCTATATTCATAAAATGTATTTGAAAAGCAAAAATGAAATACTTTTTAAGAAAGTACAGTGACTTGAGTGAGACCATACAGTTTATGTTAGCTAATGATTTCCAAGGCCATCCAAGTTCAAGTTTTGAGTGTGCAAGCCAGCATCTTTTGAATACCTTGAGAGAGGGAGCAGACAAGAAAGAGTTTGGCTCAGAGAAGGTAGGCGGTGGGAACCCAGAGTCCTGGTGAGTGTGCCTTTACACCCGACATCTCCCTCCAGATGGCTTTTCAGCCAGGTTGATAATTAGCATCAACAGATGCAAGCCGAGAGTCTCCTGGGCTGCATGTCTCCAGCATGGATATGTATGGAGAGAAGCATGCAGCATGTGGAAGCCCGAGCTCAGTTGGGTTGTACGGCTGGGCTCGGCTGGGCTCAGCTGGGCCTGTGGAGGCATTGCTCCGAGTTGGGCCTGCCTGAGTCTCAGCTGGTACACAGACACTGCCCTACAGCCCAGGACCTGCCCAGGGGGCTCAGCGTAACAGACCCACCTTGGTGGGGGGCTGCTGCTTCCAGCTGCTTTGCAGCTTCTGTCAGGCCAGGGCTGCTTGAGTCCTTGCTCTGCTATTTAAATCTATCACTCGTTGGTGACAGCTTTCTGCTTAAGCAGTGGCAGCATGTATGCTACAGGTTTCAGCTCATTACCTCTGTAGGGCTGTTCCTGGACTGCTGGCTGGGGGAAAGGCCAGCCATACAGACTGAGGCACCAGCCCCAAACTCTGTATTGGATGTTGCTGAGCCTGGGTGGAGAGTGGGGCCGTGCTACCTACAGTGCCTGCTACCTGTCCTTCAGAGGACCTGTCTGCAGCAGGGCCAGAGCCTAAGGTTTTGTTTTCTCCCAGCCTGATGGGACTGTGATACTTGGACATGGACATCAAGGAGATGTGGGCTTTGCCACTCTGCTTAAGTGGGCCTGGGCAAGTCATTTTACCTCTTGGGGTTCATTTTCTCTGTTAATAGGTGGTGAACTTTTCAAGGGTGATTAACATGTCATCTTTATCTCCATATCCCTTGGACACAGTAGGTACTCAGTAAATGATAGCTTAAATTTGTAAAATGGGAATGATAGGACCCTTATCCCTAATTTGTACTGGGCAGAGACAATGAATATAATTCTATTAAACTTTGACAAATGGGAATAAAGTGAAGGAACCCTTGTATTTCCCCAGGTTCATCTCCCATATCCCCAGTATTAAAGAATCTCAGATGAATGGGGACTTAAAAAGTTCATTTGTGTATCTTTATTTACTGATTCAAACTTTTACTACCTTTGCCAGTTGATCTAAATAGACATCTCTGTTTAAGCATCTTCTGTATAAAGAAGGTGTATAAATAGTCAAGAAGCACATGAAAAGATACTTAACATTAGCCATTAGGGAAATGCAAATTAAAACCCCAGTGAGTTACCACTTCATACCCTCAGGTGACTATGGTCAGAAAGACAATAACAAGTGTTGGTGAGGGGGGTGAAAAATGGGAAGACTTATGCATTGCTGATGGTAATGTAAAATGGTGCAGCCTCTTTGGAAAGCAGCCTGGCAGTTCCTCAAAATGTTAAACGTAGAGCAATTCTATTTCTAGGTATTTACCCAAGAGAAATGAAAACATATGTCCACGCAAAGACTTGTATGCACATATTCACATTAGCATTATTTTTATATGTGCATCTGAATGCCCTCATCTCCGTTATGGATTGGATGTTAGGACACCCTATAGAGGAGATTTCCAGGGATAGCTACTCTTGTGTTTGTCTTCTTATATGGGGTTCATGCATAGGAAATGCCAAGCTTTTGGCCTCTCTCATTTATAACTTCCAGATAACAGCCTAAGTTTGGTCTATGTTTAAGGAAATTCAGGAGTCTTTTGCAGGGCTTCTGTAGAAACCTTTATCAAGTAAAAGTATCTGGTGTTTCCCAGGCTTTGCTCTCCTGCATTCCTTGTAGTCAGCAGGGAAGGACCCCTTGTTATGATGTGAGTTACTCTCAACATTTCAGGCTTTTGAAGATTAATTCCTGATCTGAGGGAAGATTCTGGCAGAACTGGGATATCTCTAGAATGCACTGATAAGGGCCTTGTCAGTTTCTGGGGTGGGCAGGTCCTTCTTATAGACGGTTTTGTGACTAAGATACCTGATCAGTAGGCTTTTTTTCCTGGCTGTAACTAGTGATGGGTTGCAGGTGGGTGCGTGTGGGGATGGAACATCTTAGAGTTGTCTACAAAGTTAGGCATCAGAGAGCATGGGTATCATGGAGAGAACTTTTTGATTGAGATTTGGGGCCAATTTAAGTCAGTTCTCTAATATTTTCTTGCATTTGAGTTATAAGCTGTTCCTATAAGTAAGTGATAAGGGAGTAGTGGGAAAATGCATCCTTAATTAATAGGCAGAATAAAGCTAGGTGGCCATAGGAAGGCCATAAAAAGCCCAAGGAAGCAGCCCTATTTATTTGTAGAACATAGGTGAAATGTTTATTATATGCAAAACAAGTTAAACCAAAACATCTAAATGCACCATAGTATATGATTACAGAAACCTGAAAGATCCAGGAGTAACAATAACAAAGGAACAAATGAACTACACATGAACACTAATCTTCCCTGGAACTAAGGATAGGTGGGCACTTAGAAGTGCTTCTGGGATGGGAGGTCAGGCTGCAGGGTGATGGACATTGGGCATGTGCTTGGGACACTCCTTGAGGCACATGGAGACTATTTGAGATCACCTCTCTGATCAGAAAGTTGTTTGGTGAGTACCAAAATAAGACAAAAATGAGTAAGTGTTTTTAAGGGAGATTTCCCTCAAGCTGTGTTTGGTAGATAACTAATAACTCTCTGTTCTGGGATATTTTCTCTCTAGGCCACTGTCATTGACCTCTCAAATGCTTGGGGGTGAGAAGGGTAAAGATAATATAAAAATATCAAGAAAAGGAAAGTAAAGGGAAAATAGTAAAAAAAAAAAAAAAAAAAGTCCTATATAGTCCTATGAAGAAAGTTTTGACCTAGATATAAAAATATAGGCAAGTCTGAAATCTTGTTGCTTTTCTCTTTAGTTTGCCTTCGTTGATATAAGTCTGTTTATTCATGTCTGTATGCTAACCGCTGACACTTAAATGTGAAATTGTTCTCAGGACTCTGCTGCATTGTCCTACTAGTAGAAGTCCTGGTTTTAGAACATAAGGTCTGGATATGTACAGCCTAGCTTTTGGATGAGCAACTCTGTGCAAGTTCCCCAACCTCTGTTCAACTTCAAAATAAGGGCAGTTATACTGAACGCCTGTATGGGTGCTATGAGGATTACATGAGATATATAGTAAAGCTAGCCAAAAAACATTGGTTATGGGCCAGGTCCCAAAATGTTACAAAATGAGCTGGGCATGGTGACTCATACCTGTAATCCCAGTGGTTTGGGCAGCTGAGACAAGAGGATTGTTTGATGCCAAGAGTTTGAGACCAGCCTGGGCAACATAGCAAGACCCCATCTCTACAAAAAATTAAAAAATTAGCCGGGAATGATGGCTCATGACTGTAGTCAGCTACTCAGAGGCTGAGGCAGGAGGATTGCTTGAGCCAGGAGTTTGGGGCTGTAGTATGCCATGCTCACACCTGTATAGCCACCTCATTCCAGCTTGGGCTGTTAGCGAGACCTTGTCTCTTTAAAAAAACAAAACAAAACAAAAAAGATTTTTGCATATCATTGAAAATCTATGAAGTGGTTTTTTTTTTTTAATTTATAAATATACGTTATTCAACCGGTTGCCTATTTTTGAGCAATTAAAGTGGGTTTTCCCTACTACAAGTAACTACAGTGAATGTCCTTGAGTGAGATACATAATTATTTCTTTAGGACCAATTCCAAGAAGTGGAATGGCACAGTTAAAGGATAGATATTTTTTTTAAGAACTATGATAATATTTCCAAATACCAATGTCTGCTCTACTAAAAAAGTAGTGAGAATGGTCATTTCCTCAGTCTGTGATCAGTGCTGGATATTTAGGTTTTTAAATATCTTTGCTATTTTAGAGGTAGAAAATATCTTATAGTTTTTTTGATTTTTATTTCTGGTAACAGCTGAGCTTAAATAATGGTATATTTTATTATGTACTGTGTTTCTTTCATACAATATTGTTTAATTTTGTTCAGTTTTTCCTTTAGAGTATTGTCTGTCTTATTAGTTTGTAGGACATTGACTGTTTTCACTTTTGTTGCAGATACCTCAAGTTTGGCATTCCATTCATTCAAAAAACCCACCGTTTTTAGATAACCCACTGACATGGTGAAGTAAGGACATTGTTAGGAAAAAGGCATGTAGGATGTGGAACATGAATCAAAAGAGAACTATCCTGGATGATCTCTTTGTTGTTAAGCCCAGTGATTGTCTGAGGGAGTGGGATTGGTGGGGATCTCACTGAGTGCTGACTGTCCAGAACTCACTTTCTCATTGTGATCTGACTCCAGTTGTTCAAAAGCCGTTCCTTACTGGGAGAAGTCAGAGCATGGGATATCCCTTGAGAGTATATGTGAAATGCATTACTTTGAAGAATTGGTTTTGGAACACTAAAGTGGATAATGGAAGCAGCTATTTCATTCTTACAGCTCTGGAGTAAAATGGCGATGATCTTTGGTCTACCCCAAAACTGTCTTAAATTTCGCTTGCTTTGGCTAACTCTGATAGGAAATAGCTATGGGAGAGTAGGAAGGGAATGGGGCTTAGAGCCCATAATTCAAACCCTACTACCACTTCTAGGTATGAGCTGTGTAACCCTGCACAGGTTACTTATCTCCGTTTTCTAGATTTTATGCGGTCCATTTGGCATGTCCTAAGCACCCAGTACATGTTCATTAATTATTTTTTCTCTTCTCACCAGGTCTGGTCTATGTCATGTTCATCTCTATCCTCATTAGCGTGATAGTCTCTTTGAGATTATTTGATGACCAAATTAATGGGGCTGGAGTGTAACAGCTTAAGAGCAGGTACATTCTGAAGAGTGAGAATAAACTTTGTCTGTGTATTATTTACTGTTTAAGAAAAAAGAAAAAAACAGCCCTCATGGTGTTGATGGATTTTGGGTAATCAAGGGAGATTTGGAATATCCCTCTCTTTTCGACATGTGACAGCCTGTCTAGGTGAGGGCCAGGGTCACAATGATGGTTCTGATTGTTCCTCTCCAGGAGGGCCCCTGAACTTTGACATCATCTCCTAACGCAGTTCTGCCGGAGGCCTTCCTGTCAGAGCCTCCTGGGCCAGAATGGGCCTCTGTGGCGAGCCGGGCCTGTAACTGTTCCCACTCATAATGAGCAGAGCTGCTCCTGCAACCCGGCAGGAGCACCCGAGTGGGTGTGCATGCACATAATGGGCCCAGCTGCTGTGGCTGCAGCCTGTGAATGCCTTCCAAGAGGCCAGATGCCTGGACACATCTCTCAGCAGCTACTTTTCCTTTAAGGGGGATGATAACTCCCTGGCGCTTATCCCTAGTACCTCTGACAAGGAAAGGAAATCCATCCTGCCCTGAACAGCAGGGTGAGCACCTTCACCTGATTCAGTCTCATGCATCTCAGCAAGGGAGATGCTAGTATCTAATTGTCTTAGTTTCCTAGGGCTGCCATAACACAATAGTGTAAACTAGGTGACCTAAAACAACAGGCATTTATTTTCTCACAGTTCTGGAGGTGAGAAGCTGGAGGTTGAGGGGTTGGCAGGGCCATGTTTTCTCAAGTCTTTAGGGGAGGATGTGTTCTGTGCCTTTCTCTTAAAGGCTACTGTGTTGCCATCAATGCTTGGCTTTCCTTATCTCACAGCTGTTAATTTCAGTCTCTAACTTTGTTGTCTCATGGTATTCTCTCCTAGGGTTGTCGTTGCATTATCTTCTTGTAAGGACAATTGTCATATTGAACTAAGGGATCGCCCTACTCCAGTATGACCTTGACTGATCATATCTTCAATGACACCATCTCTGAATAAGGTCAAATTTGAGGTGTACTGAGGGTTAACACTTCAACAAATCTTTTTGGGGCATGCAATTCAACCCATAACTCTCATGTTGCATACATGGGTGCAGGTTTAAAGAGGATCAGTAATTTGGGTATGGTCACAATTAGGCAGTGTTGGGACCAGGATTGGAACTCAGGCCAGCCTGTCCAAAGCCACTTCTCTTTCTACTAAACTTTGGTGTGTCAGAATCACTTGGAGGGCTGATAAGAAAGACTGGGGCCCAGGCTTTATACCCTTGCTCCTCCACCTGTGGTCCATGGACCAACTGGCAACATCAGCATCACCTGAGAGCTTTTTTTGGAAATGCAGAGTCTCAGGTCCCACCACATACATATTTTTAACAAGATCCCCAGGTGATTTGGGTGTGCAGTCAGTTTGATGAAGCACCTGAATCGGGTATACGCTGCTTCTCAGTCCTGATTGCATATTAGATTGCTTGAGAACAGTAAAAGACAAAACACAAATAACAGTGATGGCAGCCTTACCCCACGCCATTGAATCAGATCTCTGATGAGGCACTGACGTTTATATTTTTTAAAAGCTGCCCAGATTATTCTGATTCACAGTATAAGTTGAGGACCACTGTGGGGCTGGAGGTCCTCATTTCTGGAATATCCAGACTTCAATATTGAGGTTGAGAATTCTTTTTGCACAGGTTCTTCTTTTTATTTCCACAGTAGTGCAGAAACTGGGCCAGGAGGGGGGCTAGTGTACGGAATTTATTTCAGAGAAGGCAGAATATTATATAGCAAAGGAGACCACAGTGCATTTTTTTTCTGACTTTACCTCTTACAGATACTAAGTGTTGGGTAGCAACCTATTTGTCCACCCCAGGAGCTTGGGAGAACATGAAAGGTGGTGTGGAGATAGCATATAGTGGGCAGTCAGTGCTTGTTGAATTAAATTGAATAACAAAAACCATAGGAAATCAGCGTTGTTGGTCTCACTGAAACATATCATTTATAGAGATGCTATTGTGTTACTTTTGGGGTACAAGGAAGAGTTGCAGAAGACTGCACAGATGCTTACGATGTTTAGCAATTCTTAGGCTACGTGGGATGGCTTATGCTTGTAATCCCAGCACTTTGGGAGGCTGAGGCGGGCGGATCACTTGAGTTTAGGAGTTTGAGACCAGCCTGGGCAATGTGGTGAAACCAGTCTCCACAAAAAATACAAAAATTAGCTGGGTGTGATGTCACACACCTGTAGTCTCAGCTACTTGGGAGGCTGAGATGGGAGGATCACCTGAGCCCAAGGAGGTTGAGGCTTCAGTGAGCCATGATCGCACCACTGCACTGCAGCCTGGGCAACAGAGCTAGATCCTGACTCAAAAAAAAAAAAAATTTAGCAATTCTTGTTATATCAATAAACATGGAAGAGTTATTGGAAGTTTTGAGAATAAAGTGGGAGCACCCCTTAATATCTACAGATGTGGCCGGGTGCGGTAGCTCATGCTTGTAATCCCAGCACTTTGGGAGGCCGAGGTGGGCGGATCACGAGGTCAGGAGATCGAGAACATCCTGGCTAACACGGTGAAACCCCATCTCTACTAAAAAATACAAAAAAATTAGCTGGGTGTGGTGGCGGGCACCTGTAATCCCAGCTACTGAGGAGGCTGAGGCAGGAGAATGGCGTGAACCCGGGAGGCGGAGCTTGCAGTGAGCCAAGATTGCGCCACTGCTCTCCAGCCTGGGAAACAGCAAGACTCCATCTCAAAACACAAAAAACCTACAGATGTATTTTCCGTTGTAGGTTTTGTGGTGAGGGGAAGCACTAGTATCCCAGATGGTGACCTCTTAACTTTTAATTCTTCAACATAGACTTGAAGAAGGATGGTGATTGTGTTCAGACCATCTTGCCCTACTGTTCCCTCAAACTCTGTCCCATCAGTCCTTCTCCTCTTAGCTGATCTTTTGGACAATCACAGAATGTGGGGAAGGGGCTCATTTCAGTCTGGGGTCTTGATGTAGCATGCATTTGGTCCTCAGACTAGGGCTTTCACAGACGGTTGGCACCCTATCCAATGACAATTCTAGTGTCCTTTTCTCATTCCTGGACTTCTTGACGTTTGTGCTTTTGTACCCCCTGGTGTGCCACCCACCCCATCCCATCTGAAAATCCTTGGTACAGCCCTTAAGTCTTGGATGTGCATGCTGTCCCTCTCTTTTTTTTTTTTTAAACTAACCTTTCTTCCTCTTCCTGACTCCACTAAGTAGTGGTTATCTTTAAGGTTTTATTTATCCCCTCTTTTTTGTAGGGGTTTCCTCCACTCTGCCAATTTTACTGTCCTATCTGTGCAGAGGATCACCATTTCTCTTCCAAATGGTTGTCCCTTCATCACCAAAACATCCCATACATTGAAAATGGAATTCTCCAACTTCTCTTGTTTTCTGGCTTGCTTTTTTATGTCAGTGTATCCTATCTACTATTTTTCAAAGCCCCTTGTCTTTGAAACCTCCTATTTGATTTACCCTGTAGGGACTGATCAGTCCCTTACTCTTCCATTCTCCTTTGGGACATCTTTTGTATGTTCATTTTTCCTTTGGATAATTCTCATTATCCAAACTCTTAATTGCCTGATACCTGGATGAGTCTCTAGCTATGCTTTCCATCCCTGCAATGGAAATTAAACTTTTTATTAAAGCCGTTTGTGTAACATATCAACTCTACCTGTATTTCCACTTTTATGTTGCAGTACTGCCCTGGTGGCCTCAGCTCCAGCTACACTATTGTTTTTACCTTTCCCATAGTTGCCTCCTGCACACATGCTCTGTGGTTGGCCCCCGTTGCTGACTGCTGATTGGAGATGACGTGTACCCATCCTCTAGACAGTCTGTGCTTTTCCTGTCTTTGGAGCTTCCAGTTCCACCCCCATCAGTTTTTTTCTGACCACTCCATCTTGCCTTATTTCTCTCTCTTTCCTTTTGACTGGAAGAGTACTCATCTTTTCTAACATCTTTTCATAAACTGTTTTGATTTCACTTATATTGATTTTTAACGTATAATGTGCTGGTGTTCTATTTCCTCAGTTAGATCAGAAGGCCCCTAAAGACAGGGCTCCATTGGTGTTAAACTGCCATCTTCAAGGTCTGGGACTTGATTTCTCTTTTTTTACCTCCACAACAAGGCACTCCTCTGCACCCAGTCGGAATTCAGTGCCTGTGGTCAAGTAAATGCATGAAGGAAGTTGGAACCCGTGGTGGGTATGTTTATTTAAATGTGTAAACCAAGAATGCCTTATGGTGTGTATGCCAGAAGTGAAGTTCTCATCTGTAATTACCAATGAAGAAAACACCTTGTATTTACGGTTGAGTTTGGCACCAAATCAGCACTGGTCTTTCCTTCCATGGTACAAATGTTGTAAAACTCTGAATGCTGCGTTTCCATAAAAGGAGCATGCATTTCTGTGGAGGTGGTGATTGATGTTGGATGCCTTTAGGCGGTGCCATCCTACTCATGAGGGAAGCAGTGCTGTTCTAGGCTCAGTCCACGAATTGGTTTGCCTTTTCTCCTTTCCCAACTCTGCCACCTGGAAAACAAAACAAAAGCAACAACAAAACCCCCCCCAGGCATTCTGCCTGCTGGCACCCTGTTAGAATAAAAAGATTAGAACACTTGGTATCTGTTCACTCACTCAGGTGAAGTTTGAGATGTCCTACTGGGCTTTTCTATCTGTAGACCCATGAAAATCTCATTGAAGAGGTGTTGTGGAAACATGAGAAATACATGTTTATCATCATTTGTTTGTTTATTTACCTACCTGTCTACCAAATTAGAAAAGTTCCAGGCGTTTATCTCAGTGTTTTACAAATATTAACTTGTTTAATTTAAATTTCATAACCACCCTGAGAATTGAGTGGTATGTTTTCATTATCCCACTTCACAGATAAGGAATCTGGGCACAGAGCACTGAAGGCGCTTGTTAATAGTCACATGCAATCTTTTTCCTATTTCTTGGCTTCCAGTAATTTTTCAGGTAACTAAATGCCTGTGATTCCCAATTAGGTGTCGAGTTCTATGGCTTTTATTTCTATAAATCATTCTGGTTTCTTTTTATGGTCATGGCTGTACTTGTGTTTCCCTCTGAAATTGGCAGAAGATGAGTGTGTGTGTGTCAGCGTTTTTAACACCCACTAAAAATAAATCTCCTACAGTGCTTTACAGTTTATAATTGCTTTTTCAGATATTATCTTCCTTAGTCCAGCAATGCTGGTAAGAAGAGTTATTATTTATTTCCATTTAACAAATGAAGTAAGTGGCTTAGAGAGGTTAAGAGACTGAACATATCCTTAATGTGATTAGTACCTTGGAATTTGAACCCAAGTCCTCTTAATCCTTTGCTCTTCCAAGCTGTTACGCTGCTTGTAAATTGGGAAACCCTATAGTCTGTTTTTCTTGAAGTTCTTTGTTTTTCTAACCTCCGTCAAAATAATGTAGTGTTTTGCTTTTTTTTAAACTTATATCCCAAGCCTGTATGGTAGAAGATGTGAAAGTAGGGGGGTTGAGAATGCAGTTTTTTTGAAAGAGAGGAGTTTATCAGATGCCACAAGAAATACTTTTTTCTGTTTTTCTTTGATAGCAAAAGAGTAAAAATTTTGCAAGGCTTTTCTTGATATTTTTGGAGTCCAGGGGAATAAGTGCATAATGGTAATAATTAAATACAGTTTCCAGTAAGGGAGTTTTCTCAGGTTTAGCTGCACAGGCTTAGAAAGTTGGGTGAGAGAAGGCTTTGAGGAGAGATTAGAAGTTGGAGAGCCCATCTGTCGTGCCAGTATACAAAAATGTCCGTGGATGATGACTGCTTGCACCTCCAGAGCTAGTCTCCTCTAGGAAAAATCAACAGTCACCAGTGCAGGAGAATGAATGAGTCAGAGCTCTGGGTCCTGAGCCGGTTTTACCTCTTAGCTTTGTGATCTTGCATAAATTATCCAAAGGATCTGGACTGCAGTTTAGTTCAGTGTAGCAAGCTTTGATCAAACAGCTATGTGCCAGGTACTGTGGTAGGTGCTCTGGAGAGAAATACAAATTAGATAAGGCTTCTGCTCTTGGATAGTTCTCATACCAGCTGGGGAGACTGACAGGAAACACAGCGATGGTTCCTGCTGTGTTAGAGATACGTTCAGAGGGCTGATAAGGGAGGGGGACGCAAAGCATATCAATCAGGGAATTCTACTAAGGTGCTGATTCAAGGTCAGCTTCCCTCCTCCTGACCGCTGTACTTAGCACAGCACGTAGAGGGGACTGTAGGGAATGCAATGAAAGTGAATGGTGACAAAAAAATGAAAAAGAGCCTCAAGGCAGGAGCCATGGTTTTCTCCTCTGGGGTGGGAATTTTCTTCAATCTGGGAATACTGTGGTGGGGCCTCTCATCTTCCTTTCCTCCCTTCTCTGCCCCCAAGCACCATGTCTTTTTCCTAGCACAAGGCTAGTCTCATAGATTTCTAAGAGTCCTATATAGCTGTCTTTATCTTAGGCACTAGCCTAAGTACCCCTTGTGAATGGGGTTGGTTGCATCTTTGTGTTCTCAGTGTCAGCACCATGCCTGGCACAGAATTGGTGGTTTAAAAATTCTGTTGAATGCATGGATGGATGGGGATTGCTGGAAGCACAGCCTGGAAGGAGCAGAGGAAGGAGAGATTGAAACGAGAAGAGTGAGATGTCCCTGGGCAATGGCTGATGAAATTTAACCCAGGCAGGGAGGGGCTTGGGCTGAAAGCCTTATTAAAAAGCTGCCATCTGCAAAGCAAGAATTTAACTCCTTGGTTTCACAAGAAAAGAGTAAGTGTAGCCTAGAAATTGGGGCTGGATTTGAAAATTAGCCCCAATTCTGCAATTTTCACCGCAATAAAAGCTTCTCCAGTTATACATGGTGATTGGTCTTGATGGGCTATTGTGGACAGAGGAGGGTGCTAGGTTGGGGTGGACGGGGCCACAGCTCAGACTAAAAATCCCCTTTTCTCTCTTCATGAGCTTGGCTGCAGATGTAGAAACTAGAGCTAACAGCAGTTTTACCTCATCTTAAAGAAAAGTAGTAAATTAATGGAGGCTTTAATTAATTGCTGTGGTCTGTTGAGTACTTACTATAGGCTAAGGGCTGTAGGGAACACTTTAATTCACTGAATAATGTCAGTAACTCTGTGAAATAGATATTAGTGACCTATTTTGCAGATGCACAAACTGAAGCTCAAAGGGGTTTTCACAGATAGTGCAATACTAAGTTGGAGCCTTGGTTTGAACCTGAGCGTGTCTGCTTCCAAAGCCCATGCTCTTAGGTGGATTTTCAGTGATGCCAGAAGATGGTTGGACTTTCCTGAAGATGTTTATGTGCATTGTCGCCACAGAGTCAAACCAAGAATTGTATGGTTGTATTTCATTCAGAATCATAACATGCTTAATCCAGATGATGCCTCAGATGATGAAGGTGGGTTGCCCACAGGCTGTATTGATTGGTGATTCTTAAGAGTGTAAAAAAAGGAAATCACTTGATTTTGTTGTGGGGAGGCAGAATGTATCACACAATAGCTTGGTTGAGTTTGGCTTAATGTAGATATGTTTAATATAATTAGACTGAGGGCTGAAATGGGCACCTTCAGGTCACTGTGGAATGAGACAGAGCCCTCACTAGATTTTTGAGTCACTTGAGGTGGTTATGCCAAGCCCTGTTCACATTTCACACTTGAGTTTAAGTATTTGTGAAGGGAATATAGATCTTTGGTTTGAACTAGATATAGCTCAAAGGTTACCCATTCAGAACAGAGCATTTCAGCCTCAGGGCACCTACTTAGCCTCTAAGATGAGACCACATCTGAACCAGCCAAGTCAGCCTGGGATGAGGTTGGAGGAGAAAAATTCATGTGATAAGTCAGATTACAATTAACTTTTTTGTTATTACTTTTTGAGTGACCACAATGTGTGTGGGACTTCGAAATATGGAATAATGATGGGTTTTATTATTTCTTTTTGAGAAAAATCCAGTCACTTTTTTTTTAACCCGAGGAAGTTGAATCCTGAAGAAGGGGAGATTTATCTCTGCCCTTTGAACTTAAAGCCCATAAAGTAAAATATATAGTTTAAAACAATTACATGTTCCCCCCATCTCACCGCCGCCCGACCCTTCACAGATAGTGTTTGACAAAACACTATTTAGGAAAGTGCCTGACTGGTGGTGGAGGGGCCTTGCTTCCTGTGAATCTGCATTCCCTGTGCCACTTGCTTCCTTCCCTGAGAGGTTCTGGTGGCCAGGTGTTATGAATCCAGGTCAAGATGAAGAAAACACACTTTTGTCATTTCTTCAGGCATGTGGCCGACCCGACCGGGTCTCAGGTATTCCAGATATGAGCGATGTGCCGATTGCGCAAGGCTGGAAGCATTGCTCACTCGGAGATACCGAGGCCTGCTTGCCCCGAGCCCTTTGTTCTCCTGGTTGAAAGCAGTTAATTAGCAACTGTCTCCATAGCAACACCCTCATAGTCCAAAAACATTGTCTAGTTTTTCAGTTTAGCTTATCACACTGTTTACCTGAAGGGCTTTTCACTGCTCTGAGTCTCATTTGAGTTGGCGGCATGCCTGTTGGGGAAGTGAATTGTCAAGATAGAAAAAAACACCATGGTAGCAAGAAGCCGAGGAGACTTCTCTCTACCCAGCCCAACCCGGGCCCTGGATTCTGGGAAAACAGAAGTTGCGCCTGCCTAACATTTTCACCTGTATTTTTTTTTTTTGTTTTGCCATAAAACTGCTGTTCTCTCCACCAAGCCCTGAATTGTGAGGATTTTTCCCCCCTTTCCCCGAGAGGCTTTCTAAGCTCTTTAATATTCCCTGTTTATAGTACATTTCCATGATTAGTCATCTTGAAACCCCGAGTGTTCTCAGCCCCTGTACATTCGAGGAAATTTTGCTTCCCTGAGGGTCTTGGCATTTGCAAAGGCCCTTGGATGAAGGATTATGAGTCTGAATGTGAATTAGTCAGAGCAGCTTTGTTTTTAGGCATAATGAGGAAAGGCTTCTCTTTCTTGGTTTAAGTTCATTGTTTGTGGGAAGAAGGCAACTTCAGGTGGCTTGTTGGTAAAATAGGAAAGGAAACTGTAGCTTTTTTATAAGCCATGCAATGAAGATAATTTTCATAGCTTTCATGGACTGAGTGCAGTCTGTGTGGCCCTCCATGCCAGCTGTGTGGCCCTCTGTGCCTGCTGTGTGGCTCATGGCGCCAGCTGTGTGGCTCTCCGTGCTGGGACGCTTAGGAGCTTTTTATCTCACATCTGCAATGGGAAGACAGGAGGCAGATGGGAAAGAAGACTGCATTTCCTGAATGCCTACCACATTTCAGTTGCTGAGCCAGACTTTCACAAAATGAGGTCTCCTGTATCCTTCACAGCAAACCTGCTAACGAGGCCCTATTAAGTATTTTAAAGATGGGAAACTGGGGTTCCAAGGAGTCGTTGCCTGCCCAAGGTTGTGGAATTCTAATCTAGACCTGTTGGTTTATAGGACGCCAACACTTGTCCTGAAGCAGCGTTGTGGATTTGGTGGTGGAGTTAGGCGGTACGTATCACAGATTGCAGGGCTCTGGGAGACTTTTGCTAAGGAGGTTAGTTAGAATTTGGTGGTGTACATGTGTAATTAGATGCCTAAGTATGTCTCAGGAAATCATGAAGCTTAGGTCCAGTGATAAAATAGTAGAATTTAATTTTGAGGCACGTGTGCCAGAGCTTATTTACCCAAACAAATGTAATTCTCTTTGAAGTATTAACTTGGAAAGACTGTGCTTTGTGATATTTCCATTCTTCAGACCTTTTTAAGGAAACTTTATGGGAGCAAGTGCTTTCCCAGCTTGCAAAATACGGCTTTGAATGCATTCAGCAGACCATTCTTGAGCATTGAACTCCCCTTAATATGGGCAGAGAAGTATGGCTTTTCCCTAGCGGTGGTCCCTGGGACCTAGCATGGGTTCACCAAGAACGAGCCACCCCAGGCTAGCTTCGCTTCTTTCTCTGAAAACCTTATTAAGCAGAAAACTATAGTTTATACAATGCATAAATGAGACCTTTGATCTGCTTTTTAATTTTATCTACTGTGTTGAAAACAGAGACATAGTCTGAGCTGAATGCAAGAACTATGGTCTGAACTGCCCCTTAGTTAATACCTAAGAGTGACAAACATGTGTTGTAATGGGAGATCAGTACTATGTGATTTTTGTTGACTGTGCGATCACAGTAAGTTTGTGATGTGGCTTCTGCAGAAGCGAGTGTTACCTCGGAGTGTGCAGATAGAGGAGGATGCATACCATGTTAGAACACACTTGGAGCCAGGGGTTCTGTTTTCCTTCCTTCGCTCCCTGCCTCTCTCCACTATACTGTATGCCAGGTACCTTTCTATGTGTTGGGATGCAAAGGTGGACAAAAGAAAGCCCCTTTAGAGAGAACGTAAAAACTAGGGTTTCTTCAGAGGGCAGCACCCCAGATGATAAAGAGAAGAAACCACATGTCACACAAAATCATTCAAAGGATGGGGTGGATGTGGGAGTGGTAGTATTTGCCCTGACTTAGAAAAGACTCTGCAGAGACATGGGTGAAGAAGCAGCACATTTGTCCAGTAGACTCTAGTTATAATCTTAAAAGGCAGTCACATTTTGGCTCAATTATAAAAAAGATATTCTTCACAGTCCTGCAAAGGTGGACTGGGCTTCTGCTTTAGGATATAGCGAGAAGTATTGAAGCAGGGATCAAAAGACCATTTGGTGGCTTACTGTGAAGGTCAACAATATAATGAATCTCCTTTAAAATTTCCAGTCATGAAAATTGTATAAGTGAGCAGGCATGTCATCTGCCTGCAAGACACATGCTAGTAATGAAGGAAGATGTATATCACAATGAACATGCCTGCTTTATATTGTTTATTTATTTCTTTGGGGGCAGCTGAATATGATCAATTTAGAGATGTTAGAACATTTGTAACTATAGTTTGTGAGATGGGCAATTTTAACTGCAGGAAGTCTTCAGAATCACAGCACAGGTTCAATTCACTGTGGTTGTTATGTCATAATTATATATTGTGGATGTCTAATTCCTTTTCAAACCTAGAAGTAAAGATCATGTAACATATCCTAGCCAATATTAAAGCAATATTATTATAAAAATGATCTCTGATGTAGAACCACTAGAATTAGGGCCTTAGGTCTACCCATATTGAGTTTGCCCTTTTTATTTGCAAAATGCTTGATCCCAGATTGCTATGAGAGATAGACATAATAGTGATCTTTCTGCTTTTGATAGTTAGGTATCATAGTTTTAAGACAGCCCATGGAGTTTTAGAAATTGTGTCTGTGTCTACAGAATCATGTGTGTGATTAGATAAAGATTAGTAGGTACAGAAACTAGCTGAAGCATTGATTGATACACCTTGTACCTTCCAAAGAATTGATCTGTTTAAATCAAGTTAGTTTTACAGCTCCGTTTGTTGCTTCTCTAGATTGATTAGGTGGTTTTATGATGTTTCTTTTATTTTTTTCACTAGGAATTTTGCTGAGTATTTTTAATACCTGAATTGACAGACTGGTTTATCGGTGTTGGGGGTCTGTGTGAGCTTCTCATTAGTCCATTTACAATGGCAGCACTTTCATGTTTAAATGTAGACAAACCTGTCCCTAATATTTATGGAGCCTGAGGCAAAGAGTGTCAGTGGAAGCTCATGTACTCTATGTTGAAATATTTAAAGGAAAATTCGAGTTAATACACTGTTAAATAACATTTTCTCACCTCCTACTTTGACAAATTTACTTTAATAATAACTTGGAACCCAGGTTCAAATTTAGAGGCCTGCCCCCTTCTCTTCCCACTCCAGCTGTATGTTGTAACATGTTCATATGGATGCTGCAGATTGCACAAGCAAACCTTCTTCTCCTTCCTCCTGCTAACAGCTGTTCCCAGGCCACTCCTTGCAGTGAAGCATACTCACACCTGTGACACAATCTGCCCTTTTGAGAACAGATTCAGGGAAGTGGCCTACACAGACCTTGGAAGTGGAAAAGGGTTATTGGCTTGAGAGTTCCAAAGTCTTGGGTCCTTGGTCGATGGTCTAAAAGGTGAGGGTGTTAGGTGAAGTGTCCTCTTGATCCTCAAAGGCTCCTCACCCTGGGAGGAGGAGGAAGATGGCCAGAAGAAGACCAGAGCAAGACCCTCTAAAGTCTAGGGCCCAAGTTGGGCCCTCTGGCCGAGGTCTAAGGACTGTACAGAATATGGATAAAAGCATGACTAACTTCCAACTGCCTTTCATACTTCAGAGCTTGAAACCGAGTAGTTTCAACCAAGTAGTTGGGTTGGCCTAAGTAGCTTTGCCATTTAACCTCGTAAATGATCTAAACATCAACATAGTCTGAGAGTTGAATAAAAAATAAGTGAAGTAGTTGTTCATTGTCAGGTCAGGTTTGAATTCTCTCATACTTGAAATCCCTGCAACTGTGAAATTGCCTGTAGGAATTGCAGGTTGTGCTAAACAATCAAACGAATTGGTAGGTTGGCTCCCATAGGCAAAATCTTGAGGCTGTTTGGGGCAAAAAAAATTACAAAATATAACTAGTAATAAGTGGGATGCAATAAGAATCAAATGTGATCCAATTTTCTGGGGAAGCAAATTGCATTGCACTTTGTTTTATTTTAAAAAATGATGTGAAAATACAGAGCATCACAGCACAGACAAATATCTTACACCAGTTTTCACAATAAAATCCCCAAATGTGAAAGCTCTCCCTTTTTGCAAAGGCACTTTGGAAGCAATAATGTTTGTGTGCATAGTTGAGTTTATCAGAGTATACTGATTTTTTATCCCATGAGGTTTTCAAGGAAAGTGCAGCTGGTCAACCTTTAGTGTTTTCTTTGCCACAGGGTATAGTTCTGTTTCTGTCCGCTCAAATACAGTCTTTCAGGAAACGAATTCTCTGTAGGATACCTTAAAATGTCTTTGTGTTGTAACACAGGGTAGGGGGCAGTATGTTTAATAGGTTAGTGTGGATACGTGGGTCCTGAAATCACAGTCCTGCTTTTTGCTCCTGGCTCTGCCACTTCTAGTTACTTGTGTAACCTTGAGCAAGTTACTTAACCTTCTCTAAGTTTCAGTTTTCTCATCAGTAAAGTGGGTTGAATAATAGTGCCTTTGTTAAAAGGTAGGTATGAGGATTGAAAAGTATAGGTAAAGGGGTTAGCACATAGTTAACATTCAATAAATGCAAACTATTAATCACTATTAGCTCACTTGTGTAAGGAAGGCCTATGGGTTTATAGAAAGGTAACATTTTGTGGTAAGAGAACCTCTCCAGGGGAACCTCTGTAAACTCCAGAGGGCTGCACGGAAAATTCCACTGTGGATGATGGGCCTTCTCCCGGAGTTTACCTGTTAAGGTGAAGTAGGTCGTGCTTTGAAGTGCTTGGCAGTGGCCAGACCTGGACAGGTACTGAGAGTTGCACTGGGTGCTGTGGTTGCTGTGTCCCCGCCTTCCATCCTAGGTAGCAGATGGTAGTCCTTACTCATCTCTGAAGAGTCCTAAGTAGCCCGAGTCCTAGATGTAATTTGTTGCTTATCCGCAAAGTGGTTTTGAAGGATATGGTTTTTCTTCTTTGGGTATGAAACATAAGAGGATGAAGGAAAAATGAGAAGTTTTGTTTCTAAATGAATATAGTACACAGCCTCAGAAAATATGGGGAAAAGATGAGAAGGAAAATTATTTTTATTTCTAAATGCACTATTCATTTCATTTTCCAAGTAACTTGTGGCTATCATTATTTTTAGTGATTTATGCTTAAATAGTCTTCCTTGGGAATAATCAAATACTGGCTTCAAATATAGACAGGGAAATTATAGGTCATAGTAGGCTCATAAAATAACGCTTAGAATGAACTTGGGATGGGACGTGGAACAGGGCAGCAGACTTTCCACCAGGCGCCATTCCTGTGTTCTCAGCTCTACCCTTGAGCCTTCTCTAGTGGGGCCCCAAATGCACCACCATGATGTAAGGGTCTGACCAACTACTTAGTTTCTAGCAGCCCAGAGTGAAGGCACCTCTCTGTGCCTTCCTCTTCGCTAAGCCTCAGTTTTTTTGTTTTTGTTTTTTTCCCTTGCAAAAATTGAGACAGTAGTGTCCAATTTGCAGAGGGTCTCTGAGAATGAAATCAGAGGCACGTAGCAACTGCCTGGACAGTGCCAGCACTCCACCTGCCACCCCTCCCCACTGCCCTCTATTTGTGGAGAGGTGGATGATTTTGCTAGTCACAAAGCCTGTCTTCTTTGAGACAGTAGGGAAAAAGCAACCACTGTGATTCACAGAATTTCCTGAATAGGCACAGCTGCAATTTCTCTGCCTTTACTCATCACCATAAACATACTTTAAAGTTGTCAGTTATGTTTTCTTTCTCATTTTTGGTGTTGAAAAAAATTAACCTTTGAGTTTCAGTTTCCTTTTCTGTAAAATGGGGAGAAGAATAGCTCCCATTCCATAAGGTGGCTGTGAGAATGTGAGAATACAGGTGACAGGCTGCATAATTCTCGCAAAATGCTGTTGGAGTCCCTAGAAGGGGAGGAGGGGAGCTGTGAAATCCGGTTTGGAATTGGGAATTTTCATCCTGAGCTTGTGTTAAGGAAAGGAATGAGGCCCATCCCAAAGTAGAAACCAAAAACGTTCTTACTGAATATGGCACAAGCACTGGTTTTCTTTCCTAATGAGTGTGGTCATTATTAGAGTTAAGCCTTTCCCTGCATGGCAAGTGTGAACATGTCTGCAGACCCTGAGGACACCAGAGCGGCAGGCTTTGAAGGGAGAGCAGTGGACACTCAGTGACGGGGCCACTCACAGTCTAGCTCTGACCCCACCAGATCCTGTAGGTTCCTGGTTCTTGTTCCTGGTGAATTCCTGACTATCACCTTTACACAGTGATAGAGCCTTTATTTCCACTCTGCATGGAGGCATATTGCATTTGAAAGATTGAAACCCATTGCTGTCCCCATTGACAGGGAGCATGTTAAGGGTAAGATGCTGCATTTCACTCATTGCTGGGCCCCCATTTCTGAATCTGGACTTGTGTCTTGTAGGCATTCAAGAAGTAGCAGTTGGAAGAATGTCACTGATGGAATTGATGTCTCTGTGTACACACCCCCAGATCAAAGACCATGCTTCTTGGTCTAGCCATAGGAACTCTCCACCCTTGAGACTCAGCCAGGACGTGGGGCCCAGCCTTTCTTTACCTCCCTGGTAGTGCCCTTTTTAGAGATAGGCATAAAATGACAGTGCTGCCCCTCAAGTCTAAAGGAGGGGGCAAAACGTAGCGTCCTGTGCTTCACCACTGGGGGCTGGCTGGGCCACTGTTAAGGTCTGTGGAGACTTCTGTTTGCAGGAGAGGTTGATGAAAACCCTTGGCTTTAGCTGTGGCCAGAGGATCCAGGCTTTACCTTGTATGCTCCGAGCCCTGTGCCTGGCAAGTCTGCCACATGGTTATGGAAATGTTCCTGAGGCATGAAGGAGGCCTTTCTGGACCAGCCGATGGGGAGTGGGTGAGGAGGTGTGGAGGAGGAAAGAAAGAAAACTCTTTCCCCATTCTTTTTTTTTTTTTTTTTTTTTTTTGAGATGGAGCCTCCCTCTGTCGTCCAGGCTGTAGTGCAGTTGTGCAATCTTAGCTCACTGCAAGCTCCACCTCCTGGGTTCAAGCAGTTCTCCTGACTCAGCCTTCCGAGTAGTTGGGACTATAGGCGCACACCACCACGCCTGGCTAATTTTTGTATATTTAGTAGAGACAGGGTTTCACCATGTTGGTCAGGCTAGTCTTGAACTCTTGACCTCGTGATCCGCCCACCTCAACCTCCCAAAGTGCTGGGATTAAAGGCTTGAGCCACTGCGCCCTTCCTCTTTCCCCATTCTTAAGTACCTAGTAACAGGTCTGAGCTGTTTAGAGGTGTAAGGGAGCTTGCGAAGTTGGGAAGTGTCCGGATGTATGGACGCTGGAGCATTTTCCCCATGAGGGTCTAAGCCTGGGAAAATGGCCAGATTCTACTCAGAGACATTCTCCCATTTTCTTAAACTAGGGGTGTGCTGGGAGAACTCTGGGCTCCTTGCCCACAGGACAGCCGAGAAGCTTTTGTCTTCCCCTCTCTTGCTGAGACACATCCTCCCTCTGAACTTCCCACCTTAGTCTTCGGAGTCGTTTTAGACTCGAGATTGCTAGTGACTTGAAGGTTCTGGTCTTTCTGCTATGATTGGGATCTGTGCTGCACCCCTGGGTCTGGCAGTGTCCCCAGCAGTGGGATGCTGCCCAGCAGTAGGTCTTTCATGCTGACGAGCACAGTGGCTGATGTCATTGTGGGGGAGTTCCTTCTGTGGCCATAGAGGTCTTGGTCTTTAACGCTATATCTCCTCCTCCCTGGCCCTGAAATAAATTCCTTTGGGCTGCTAACTCTCCTTCCTTTAGTGGCTGCTGTTAGTTAATAGTCCTTTTCCTAGACTGGTGAGATGGTTGCTTTCATCTCAGCCTGTGAGGCTGGGAGTCATTTGGATGGAGGTGGCCAGAAGCTACTTGAATGCTCCACGGCTATAGAGGACATTCAGCATCCATTCTGTTTTTCTTACCAAATGCATAGAGGCCAGCCCTCTCACTGGCTCATTGTATGATTCAGGTGGGATGACGTCCCTTGCAACTCTGGAAGTAGACCGTGATTGATATAAGCCTAAAACAGCTATGTCCACGGCGATTGATTGAGGGATGGTGCCTGACCAGTCACATCCAGTGAGATAGAGGAGATATCTTTCTGGGGCTGCTGGGAAAGTAAAGCTTTCTTTCGCTGAAGCTTTCAGAAGAGAATCACACATCCTGTGGATGGTGTAGGGTGAGGACATGAGTTCTATATGGGAGCAGTTTTCTTTCATAAGAATCCCACACATGTGCAGGACTGGTTACTGGTTGGAACCACTAAGTAACCTATTGGGAGGCAGATTGGTAATGATGCCATCTAAGCTGTTGGAACAAGACTTCTTAGTTAAATAAGCCACTAAGCCCCCTCCATTGCTTAAAAGCCAGTTTGATCATTGTTTCTTAGAACATAGTGACCTGATATGCAGACCTTCCTCTTGTGAATTTGTTGAGGACTTTTCCTACAAGGTCTTCTCCAAGGTCTGTGTGAGGGTTCGGCATTAGCATCTGGGAAGCCAGGGATCCTCATGCTAAGGCAGAACAAAAACAGGAGTCAGGGCTGGAGAGGGGCGTCTGTGGTCTCTGGGGCAAGGCAGCTTGAGGTGGGACCCAGAAGTCCAGGGAATCAGAGAGGAACAGTGGGTTGGAGTAGATCTGTGGGTTGGAATAGGTCTGTGAGAGGTCTTAGGGGAGTGGTCTTGCCCACAGTGGAGTGGCCCCGAATCCACTGAGGATCCCGGGATGGGGGTGCAGGCCTTCGGTTATCATAGACTGTATATGTGTATCTGGGTGGGGGTGGGGGTGGGGGTAGGGTGGTGTGTCTAAGTTCTTTCATGTCTGGGGTGGTGTTGTAGATCGAACTTCTCCCAAACAGGCTCAGCCACACCGGTAGGACGTAGTCTCTTCCTGTTTTGCTTTATGATGTTCCTGTCTCTTAAGCTGAAAAGAGCCCCTGAAAGCCACTATTTAGTTGCCTATACTGACACACACCTGCGATTGGATGGATCGTCTCACACAGAGAGTTATGCACCATTCATAGCTAACCTCAGGGCCGGGGTGGTGCTCAGAAACACTGTCTTTATGATATACATGGGCTTTTGAGCTCGTGGCTTGTGGTTGTGGACTGAGAAAATTGCTTCCTGGGTTTATAGAGATGGTAGGGGAAATGACCCTCTTGCCACCACTTATTCAGTGATGGCTTCCTGGTGTGATGCTTGGGGATGGATGTGACTGAAAGGATTTCAGGAGTTAATTGGAAGAGTACATCATAGCATGCATGATTGATCCCTATGTGGTATTATCATTATTAGAATCCCAAAAAGGTGATGGTTAAAAGAGTACTTAACTATTTGCTGGTCACTGGAGAGATGGAAACACTGAACATGTTTGTCCTTATCCTGCAAGAGCTCAGAGCCTAATATGGACAGCAGATCTGTAATAAATATTGTAGGGGATGGTAGAGGGACAGATTCACATTGACACAAATTTTTAAAAAGTAAATATTTAAAAGTAAACTTTTTCCCTCCAGAATATTACTGGTATTCATCTTCTTCCAGATAGAATATCTAATATAAAACCTATGAAATTTATCAAGAGAAGGCTTAATACAGGAGATGCTGGAAGCGCATAGATTTTCCTCAAATCCCTCTTGGTACATGTGAATCCACTACATCCAGAATCAGGCCATGCATCTTCACCAAATCATTCCCTTTGGGGAAGTCGTGGCTCAGTGCTCTTCTGGTTCAGGAACACTGAGCCAGAGTAAATCACCCCTAATGGTCCTCTCTGCAGCCAGTGAGATTTCTAATACAGCAAGAATTCAATAGAACAATACCTTTCTAAGGTACTAGCTAGACTGTTAAGAGGGGCTAATGTGGTAGCAGCCTCCTGGCACAAAGGCAAGGGTCTGTGGTTAGTGACTGTCGTGTCTGTCTGAGCAGGGAGAATGTCCGTGAGCAGAATAGCTGGTGTCCAGATGCTCCTAGTGAACTTTTATCAGTGAGCAGACGTGGCCTGGGAGGGCAAGCCAGACAGTCCAGCCGGCTTGGAGCTGGAAGGGAGGAGTTCAGTCTTAGGTCAAGATACTGTGCTGAGGGAGGTGGAGCTGTAGAGGCAGTGGGCAAACTGGGGGCTCCCTGGGAGCCCTGGAAGCAGCTTCCACCACTTTGGATATTTGGCAATTGGAGGTGGAAGGATGCCAGGGAAGGTGTTTGGGTTTCTTTTCTCTGTGAAGTTATGGCAGTGCCATCTTCCAATCAGCCATCAAGAGAGCCACCTTTAAGAGTGCCTCAAGTGAGCCAAATTAGGGGATCGCCGGGACAGAAAAGCTGCTGAGGTGGGATGAGCACTGTGGATCATCTTCTGCCCTTCTGGAAGTCTTTGTGGGCTGGACATCCCAAATGTGGGCCTGGGAAAATAACATTTCCCATACTTCATGTGTGTATGTTTCATTTTTTACAGTGGTGCTTTTGATAAGCAGTGTAACATCAAAGCCAAGAACTGTGCTTTCCATTTCTGGAAATATGAGGAGCCCAGAGGCTTCTCTTTGAGATAAGAGCTGTGTGACTGTGTGAGCTACTTAATTTCTCCAAACTTCAGTGTGCACCTTCTTTGCAGGGCTGTATAAGGATTCATTGAGATGCTAACCATGACACACTTGGCTCACAGTGGGTACTTAGTCCTTGTCAGCTTTCCTGCCCGTCTGCAGGGGTGGCAGTGGTGCCAGGGGGTGGCGTGCTGAACTGCAAGTTCATCTGGGATCTCCTGGTTGTGTTTGGATTTAGCTGGGGTGTGTCCTCTCCTCCTACACCTTGAGTCACCAGCCAAGGTGGAGGAGAGAGGATGGGGTGTAGCCTGTGTCCAGCTCTCTCTTGGACATGGTTGGGAGGTGCTGACCACAAGTCCGAGGCCCTGAAAAGAAGTGCTGCAAGGAGGATGTTTCTTTCCCCATTGGCACAGCATCAAGGTTCTCAACAGCTGGACACAAACAAGCTGTTCTGGGAGCCGTGTCTCATTCCCCTTCACCTCCTGCTTGCTGCCTGCTACGCTCACTGGTCACCAGGGCTGACGTATGGGGAGGAATGGAGAGTGGTCTCACTGACAGTGGATGTCATTGTTTGCTCTCTCTGGAAGGAGGATGTCTGACCGAGGCCAGAGACCACGCTCAGGGGACCTGGACGCCCGGGGAGTTCAAGCGAGCCTCTGTCCTCAGTGATGGAGTCCTGGGCCACTGGGGCAGTGTTTGGGTGCTGCTTCCACTCTGGCTCTTGACAACAGAGTTTGTTCCCTTTGAAACAAGTTTGTAGGAACCAGAGTGTGTGAGGGGCCTTTGGCAGCGCTGAAGGAAGGGCAGCTGGAATCTTTGACCCCCTCAGGCCCCCGCTGGCCTGGCTAGAGAGCTCTGCCTGGAAGGGGACCTCTGTTGCTGGGCAAGGGAAGGCACCTTTGGCTTTAGGAAGCCTGAGGGTCTTGTCCCTGTCCTGGTTGCCAGGGCTCTGCCTAGTGCCATGGAAGGGAAGACCAGATTGGAAGTGATTCAGAAGCCGAATAAATGAAGAGCGTGACAGCACTTGAGAGTCTTTGCGCATGTCATCTCATTTAATCCCCTAATAGCAGCAAGGGCGAGAGGCTTAGACATGTTAGGAAGCTTGTCACACCGTAAGCAAGACAGCCAGGAATTCTGATCTCAAGTCCAGCCACCCCTGACCATCGCAGAGCTCTGTGTGTGTGTGTGTGTGTGTGTGTGTGTGTGTGTGTGTGTGTGTGTGTGTGTGTGTGTGTGTCCCCGTCCGTCCCGAGCTGTGTGTGTGTGTCTGTGTGTGTGTGCACGCGTCCCGGAGCGCACGCACCCATCAGTGAATGCTGCCTCCACGTGGGCAAGGCATATGCGTTTTTCTTTCATTATTCTCAGAAACAGGCATCCAGTGCAGAACGGGCCTGTAATGGTTGCTGACTAAGTGCTTAATGGAGATGTTTCTGCTGATAAGCCTCAGTTGAAAAGGGAAAGACGCAGGCAAGCTGGCCAACATCAAAGCCGGGCTTTGTTTATAGATAAGGGTAGGTTTCATTCTGTGGGTTCCAGAGCCCCTGTCCCCAAATCTCAGAGGGGGTGAGTTTTAAACAGAAACTGTGTTTATCTCCCGCAGTGGGCTGGAAGACAGGCCTGCTGGGACTCAGAAGCTTCCCTCCCTCCCATCCTCCCTTCCTTCCTTTTTCCCTTTCTTCTTCCCTCCCTCCCTTCCCAGATAGCTAGCCACTGCCCTCATTTATAACATAACATAAATAATGCTCTCTCTGCCCCAGCTGTTTCCGTTTGGTTTTTGTTCTTCACATATTTTATTCGTACTTGATTGTGGGTTATTTAAAGTAATTTGGAAAATATGAATATTAAGTAGAGGAATCTGGAGAAGAGGTCACAGAACTGTAATGGACCCAAGCTGCAAAAATGCAAAACACAGTGTGTAACCATATGTGTGTGGACCTTCCCTCTTAGTTAAAACTGGCCATGACATGATGGTATGCCCCTCTTAACAGGTGTTTCAACTAGATGTAACCAAGTAATAAGTAGCTTCAATGATTGGGTGATGACGATTGGACTAAATTGTAATCTGGGCAGAAGTATAGAAATTCAACAGTTTTAAGGGCATTTGTGATATATGTGTATGTGTTACTTATGTGTTCTTCAGGACACAGATGGGGCCAAAGGACAAATTTTCTGTGTTTTCAGCACTGGGGTGCATGAGGGAGCAGGTGTCGGCCACACCAACACATATAAGTTGTTGCCTGCGGGTACAGATCAATGAATTCTTTCCTGTTACTTCATGGCTCAGAGGAAAGAAGGAAGAGCCAGCAAGTTAAGATCATGTATATGACGTAGAGCTAATCCTTTTAAATTACATGTTACAGCACTTCAGGTTTTGATATGCCCAGGACTGAGGTCCTTTTAGGTTTTCAGAAGACTGAGAATTCTTAGGAACCTAGACAGGGCCTCTGTTAAGGCTGAGCAAGCTGCGGTCTGCCTTCCTGTCTCTTCTGTTGGGCAGTCACGGGGGTGCTGATGCCAGGTGGCTTGTGAGCCTTCCCACTTTGCACTGTGCCTGCACTCGGGTGGCTTTTTATCAATCCGATACTGTTGCACTCACGTCCCACTTTGAGGCTGGATGAAGTCAAGCTGCCCGCCTTGCTGCCACCCTCTCTCATTCCAGTGTCTCTGACCACACTCTCACTAGGCCCTCTGGAAATCCCCTGTAGGATTTTGGAGGAGCATTCTGAGAACGGTTCTCTTGTATACGCTCTTGTTGTCAGGACACTTGAGCCAAAGTTGTTGGTCATTTGCCCCAGGAGCCCCTTTTCTTCTGCACGCTCTTTTTCCAGGGGATTTCAGGGTAGGTTCAACACTTTAAGTTACCCCGCCCCCTTTTTGGTATTTGTAGTGGCTTACACGCCCCAGGTAACTGAAAACTTTTGTTGGCTTATTAGGGGCATTTCCACATTGGAGCTGTAATCCGTGGAGATCAGGAAGACGTTTTCTTTGGGTGACTTTTTTCTCCTGGTGATGCAGTGGGCCAGTGCAAGGAGGAGGGTGAGTTTAGTTGCTATACACAAGCCAGGTACAAGACTTCCAGAGTGAGAGGGATAATTTACACCCTGTGGCTATTTATTTAGCACATCTTTTGTGTGACTCTCCAGTGCTAGGGACAGGGATCTCAAGATGAGTAAGACCTGGTTCCTGCTCTTAAGATGCTCATGGTTTAGTGGAGGGGACAAAGTGGGACACAGGTGATGATGGCATTACAATGAGAATGTAGAGAACCTACAACTGCTGCACCCCTCCCTGTTCTTCAAGATGCCTTCTCTGGCCATCAGGGCAGCATGTGCAGAGGCCCGCTGGTTTGGAATAGTGTTTCTTTCCATGTGTGATGCAGCGTTCCCTCAAAGCCGAGGCGAGGTTTATGCACACTGCCCAATTGAAATGTGTCTCATGTTCACTCGCTGCTGGATCAGCAGAACCTCGCGCAGGGCACTCCTTGGGCTCACGCTAGCTACTTTGCCTTTGTTTCTTCAGGCCTTGCGCTGCTTGGATTGAATTGGATTCTGCCACGCTGATATTATTATCTCACGCCTTTAAAGCCAGAATTTGTAATAAACTACTAATGTTCTTGGAATAAAGGCACTTCAGAGCATGCGTAGCTTGAAATAATTCTTCTAACACCTAGAAATTAGCCAATTTTACTTTTGAAGGAGATGAGAATAAACATTTAGTGGTCAGCCAGACGGAGAATAAATGGCCAGCATTTGAGATTTTCCTGCTCCTGTTTATGGAGAGAGACTGGCATGTACCTAATTCCCAACTTGTTGATCTGTTGTACCCTATTTTAATTATTTTGCCAGATGTAAACATTTTCCCTTTTTTGTGAACGGAGTGTTTACACCATCTATCACATTTAATGTATTCGGTGCCTGTGAGTGCCGACCTCTTCAAAATTTGTCGACTTCATCATCCGTGTGCTGTCCAGAAATGAGATCTTGATGCCCCCCAAATGAATTATGAAAAGCTTTTCATAGTAATATAATTGATCCACTGTTGGCCACACTTATAAAAAAATCAATGTTAACGTGTTAATATTTCATGAGTACCCACGTTGCCAGCTCCTTGCAATGGGACCAAACTATAAAGAATGAGAATTGTTTCACAGTAGCCCAGCACATGGACAGAGTGCCAAGAAAGGGAGTTCAGGGTTGACTTGAAAGTTTGAAGCGCAACAGGGCCATTGAAACACAGTCCTCTGACTCATGTCAGATTGTTATAATTATTTAATGCCCACAATGCAGCTTTGTCCCCACGGATTTATACTGGAGAGGTTTCTTACCCACACATTGTGGTTATTAGCTGCAAAGAAAGCGGCGTTTGTTTATAATGACATGGGGTATATCTGGATGGCAAAGAAAACACTGCAGATTCTGTCTTCTTAGGAAGGAGGCAGGAATTTGGCAGATAACCTATAGGAAATTGGGAGACATGCTGTCATTACTTTTCATATATGTGGGTGGTTGCAGCCAATAACCATTAGACACCTTTTAGTTTTCACCTTTGTCCCAAACTCTTGAGAGAATGGAATTGCATGCTTACTTTTCATCTATATGACGTTATACAGCTGGTATGCCCAGAGTGTATCTCAACTTAATCTTTTTAAATGTGTCTCCCAAAATCCCTTTCTCAAGGTTCTACATCCTGCCTCCATGAAATTTGGTGTCACCAACATTGTCTTACAGAACCACTGTTACTATTTTTATAAAGAGTTTATAAATATGTTTTGAAAAGTTCTCATGTGGCTAGATCTCATCAAGGGATTTTTTTTCAGACTTGAAAAATAAAGTTAAAGAAGTAAGGCTTTGGGGCCTCCCTGGGGACATGTCTGGTTTGGAGATCAGTGGTGGTGCTAATGGCCCTGAGTCCGGCATCCGGCTCCTTGGGAGAAGAAAGGTCATTAAGTCAGAGAGGACCAGTCAAGTCCAGCTCCTCCAAACTGCTTTTCTGTGTGTCTTCCTTGGATGTCCTCCCTTCTTCCCCTACATGGAACTCTCAGTTGCCTTTGCTGTCAGAGGAGGTTCAATATCAATGGGTTTCTCAAGCTTAGAGGGCAACAGGGAGACATTGAACCACAGTAGTGTGAAATTGTCCGCAGGTACTTACAAGCTGGGGTGTGCAGATGCAATTTATAATTGCACCGGAAATACTTGTAACCTTTATCATGCTTAGTGGTGGAAATAAGAAAATCTATGTGAGTCAGCTTAGTACTAACTTGGGACCAATATGAAGCAACTGAATCCTCTTAGGTTTTGCAAGAGAGCTACAAATAGAAAGCAGACACAAAACATAGGCTAGAGTAACAGTAAATGTATCTGGAGCCTCAAATCAGGACTCATATATTCAATTCCTTATTTTTTGTTTTCTGGTTCAACAGGAAGTCTGGGAGATCTATAGGAATTTGAATTACCTTTAATGGTTTATGGGGACCAGAGAACCTAAACTTTAGAATTGGGATTGTCCTGGAAAATCTGGAACACATATTGACCCAGATCCAGACAGTGGGTTATGGAATATGATGCAGATGATGAGCCAATTAAGAGAAAGGTTTGCATTTAAGCATCTTCCTCTTGTACTGGTGACTGAGTGACTCCAAGGTGGCACCATTATCACCGGTGCTTGTGCAGAGGTGATTTTTTTTTTTTTTTTTACACTTTGCTGTCTGAAATGCTTTAAATGATTCTTTTAATTAAAAAAATTAGTTACCTATATAAATATTCACTTGGTAACCCCTTCATTTAAACAGTCCATTTATGCCTTATGCACTTGTATGTGTGTGTGTGTTGTGTTTCACGGTAACAAAGTTTTTTGTTTTTTGTTTTGAGATGGAGTCTCGCTCTGTCACCCAGGCTGGAGTGTAGTGGCGCGATCTCGGCTCACTGCAAGCTCCGTCTCCAGGTTCACGCCATTCTCCTGCCTCAGCCTCCCAAGTAGCTGGGACTACAGGCGCCCGCCACCAAGCCCGGCTAATTTTTTTTTGTATTTTTAGTAGAGACGGGGTTTCACCATGTTAGCCAGGATGGTCTTGATCTCCTGACCTTTTGATCCGCCCGCCTCGGTCTCCCAAAGTGCTGGGATTACAGGCGTGAACCACCAAGCCCGGCCGGTAACAAAGTCTTAAAAGCGGTCTTATTCTGTAATACGTTGGCCAGTTTTAAACCATTTGCAGTAATGCATTTAAAAGATGTTATTTCATAGATAACAAAATAGCTTCTTGATTTTCATGATAAACATAGACTTGGAGCCTTTTTCTTTTTCCCCGATTGTGAGTCAGCTCTTGGAGGGCATGGACAGTTTCTCACACCTCCTGGGATTAGAGGTGGAGAAACAGAATGGGCTGGGTGGGCAGAGACTGGGTGGTTGGAGCTCAGGGCCTGGGGCAGGGAGTTGTGGGGAGGGAGGGTGGGAAGGTGAAGGGGAGGTGGTGGCAGGTCATGGGGGTCCACTGTGTGCCATACTGTGGAATATAAACCTCTCCATCAGTGCAGAGCCACACAGCAAAGGTTTTAAGTGGATAAGTATGTATGGGGAGTGGGACGTGATCTGGTTTGAATAATGTATACTCAGGACTCTTGCCATACAGTAATTTTTTTCAACCCGCTAGACACTGTTGCTGTGGGGAAGTGGAGAGTGGTTTCATCCATATGGCAGCATCATGGCTGTGTAGCCCTAAAGCCATAGGCACCTCCCACCCCACCCACCCACAGTGGCATCCACAGTTTTAGTCTCTAATAGCACTTTGTCTCCTGAGAAGAAAAGCAAAGTTGTTTTTCCTTTCTTCTTCTCTCATCCCCAAAGCGTTCTCCTTCTCACCCAAACCATGATCTCAGATCTTAGGAGTTACAGGTCAGACATGTCACGGAGCCTGTTTGAGATCAGTTGTCTACGTTGGTGATGAAATTATAACACCCTAAAAGAAGACTTTGGAGTAGGAACTTGCCAGGGTCATCAGACATGGTTGGGTTGAGAGAGGAAATGCGATTATACAAAAAACGTAGAATACAAAGTAGTGCTTATTCTGTGATCATGGCTACTGTTTCAGGGGACAGGACTAGAAGGGAACCCGGACAAAGAAAAACCCTTGGCCTGTGCAGGCTGTGGGGTTGTGAGTGCTGTTTCCCCAAATTAAAATATCTTTATTATTGTCATGATTTTGTTGTGCCATTGAGGTACATTAACTTAAATAAATCAAAGCGAACAATTTTAAGATGACGAGTAAGTCTGGAGAAAAACCTAGGACCCCAGAAAGAAGGCATATTGTACATCCCAGTCTGCTGTAACTTCCGGAGCTGCTGCTGATGACAAAGGGCTTTAAGGCAAGGGAAGTGTTTGCAGCACTTTGGGGGCTCTATGCCTGTCTGCATGCTTGTTTAGTTTTTGCCATGGCCTGTTCACCAGCCTGTCTGCCCTGAAACTGGGAAAGGTGGATCCAGCTGCTGTCCAGGCCTTCAAGAAGCAGAGCCCCATTCAATTGTCCACTTCTCTGTTGCTGCCCAGAGCCAGATCCTGTGTGGGATACTTGGCTTTTCAAGGGCCTGTGTATGGTGTGTTGTTGAGTAGAAATGTCTGAGATGCTCCTTTAGTAGCACCTGATTCTTTTGGATCAGTGATTTGCCATTTCTTATATGAAAACGAGAAGTTCAGAGTTTTGAATTCTGGCCCCAGTTCCATCACTTTCTTGCCCTGTGACCCTGTTCTCCTCCCAAAACCTTTCTGAGTCTTCATCATTAATAATGTTTAATTGGATCACATGAAATGATACAGGTGAAAGCATTTAGAAATGGAAAGCACTGTGGGGGAATATTTTTGTTCATAATTGTATCATAATGTGGACATGGAGAGTTAACCTTTGTCAGCGCTTAGTTTCTCAGCCTTTTTATCTATTAAATGGGAGTACAAATGATACCTTCATTGGGGGTTCCCTGAGCATGCAGTCGGAAACTATGACCTCTTCTGGAGGACCATGACTTTTATTTTTTGACTCTATAGTGTAGGAACATCTTAATTAAAGATTATGGAAAAAAATGAAAAATGGGTTTATAAAAAAATGCCCAGATCCAATTTCATGTATTTGTAAACTATTGATCAACAACCTGTGTGGAACCTATGGCCGGATATGAATTATCCAGTATTAGCATTGATATGAATGCTTTTATCAATAGAGCATTGATAAGGCATTTCATGGAACACACATGTCAGCTCGTTCTCTCACTTTACCTACCTCCTCCGCTGTCTGCCTCCCCTCTGCCTTAGATCTTCTCCCTCCCCTTTTCTCTTTCCTCTTTTCCTATACTCTCTCTCCTTTTTCTCTTTTCCTTTTTTTTTTTTTTTTTTTTGAGACAGAGTCTCTCTCTGTCACCCAGGCTGGAGTGCAGTGGCGCGATCTCCGCTCACTGCAAGCTCCGCCTCCCAGGTTCACACCATTCTCCTGCCTCAGCCTCCTGAGTAGCTGGGACTACAGGCACCCACCACCATGCCCGGCTAATTTTTTGTATTTTTAGTAGAGACAGGGTTTCACCATGTTGGCCAGGATGGTCTCGATCTCCTGACCCATTATCCGCCCGCCTCGGCCTCCCGAAGTGTTGGGATTACAGGCGTGAGCCACCGGCAGTTGTGCTGCAACTGTAGAGAAACTAGAGGTCTAATTTCTCAAATACTGGTCCTCTGTGAATTGAAATATAGATCCTCCCTCACAGATATAGATTCGGTGACTGAAATAATTATTTTGAAGGAACCATTGCATACGTGACATACTTACTGTCAGATAAAGTCTTTGGAGGGAGATGGGATAGTGTGTGGTGTCCACCCTGTCACTTCTGCCAGGGCGAGGGCTCACATAATTTATTCTAAGCTTCCCATCCTCAGCTTCTGCGCAGGAGTACAATGGAAGATGGGGGGTGGAGGCCTTGCCTGTGGAGCCTTGACTGGGAGAAGGACAAAGAAGGCATGTAGCTGGAGAGGTCCAGTGCTTTTTCCAGGGCTGGAGGCTGGGAGGTGTCCTCATGCACTCCTATAAGCTAAGCAGAAGCCAGAGAGCTTTCCCTAGTCATGCAGCTCACAGGATAGTGTGCAGTAGAGCTCTGCTAAAGGACCTTCAGTTTTAAGAGCGCCTTCACTCCGTAGTATCACAGATAAAATTAGCATCCATATTAGTAAGCCCAACCCAGAGAACCATGCAATTATCTCATGATTTTATTTAATGACTGTGCTCTTTTCACAGCTTATCAGGGTAATCTTTGGAGCATGTCCTGATTACATGTTGTACAGACCATAAAATAAGTGAACTTAAAAAGCAATTCAAAGCTAGCTCTAATTTAATTTATAATTTTTACATCTCAAGACAACATTTTTAGTAGATAATTGTCCAGTATTTGGTTTTGTTTTTTTGTTTTTTACATATGTCAATTTTTACTTGTCTTGCAGTTTCCATTCCCCCAGCACATCTCATCTTTGCTCATAGCAGCGAAGAAGAGAGAGCATCTGTCCTGGTTCTCCTTCACCTTGCTAATCAGGCTATCCCCCTCAGCTCTTCAGGGAATGTATAATGACAAATTAGACCTTGTAGGACTTGTGCATGGAGCTTCAGGGTCTTTTCTAAATGGCAAACCAAAGTGGCCAACACTTGCTAGCTGTGTGATCTTGAGTAAGTTACTTGACTTCTGAGCTCTGATTTCTTGCCTTTAAAATGTTCCCACTTCATAGGTAGTGGTTGATTCACAAGGTTGCCATGAATCAACAACGTACCTCAGTGAGGTACCTACCTGTGAGAAGTGCCTAGTCCCTGAAGGCGTTTGGAAGTCATTTCCCAGGGCAGGTCAGATACTGAGGCTTCCCAGGCTGCTGTACAGGTGGGCATGCTGGGGACCTTCTCAGACACCCTGGCCTCTTTTTCTTTCCATCTGGCACAAGAGATGCTTTTTCTAGTTGGGACATGCAGGAGGAAAGAGAGAGCAGGTGCTTCCTTGATGTGAATAATTTATTTTTCCTTCAGATCATTCTGATAATGCACCAACCTTTGGATGGGAAAAGGTGCAAAGCTGGGATATGCACTAGTGTTACATCACTGGAGTTATGTTGGGGATATGTCCAGTGTCAGATTTTTTTGTCCAAAATCCCATTAGCAGAGGAAAGGAAGAAGATACATTTCCTTGGCAACTATTATGTCCCAGGCACAGAGATTACAGAGGCAGGAGTGACAGTTGTTGAGGGATACAGTGGGTATGAGAGGGAGGGATGTAAACTGAAGAGTTCCCATCATAAAATGTGGTAGAATGTTCACAAAGGCTCACCTACCCTACCCCAGGGAGACATTTATTCTAATTTTGGGGGAGACTAAGTGATTGGGGCTATTCACTTCTCCGAGACACCAGAAAATGAGAACGTCTGTAAAATTAAGAATATGAACTCTAGTTCTGTCTGCATTTCCAACTTCTTCATTGTTTCCTTTCTCACAAGATTTTAAATCCCTTGAGGAAGTCATTTTTCAAACAGTATTTTCTGTGAAATCCCCAATTGTAATGTCTACTTTATTTACTCCTCCACTCATCCTTCCTTATCAGGTTTATTGCATAGTATAATGGAATATATGAAATTAAAAATAACTACACTGGACACTGGGCTCTGCATACAGTAAATATTCAGCCGTTGTCTGCAGACTTGCCTAAGTGTGTACGCAGTAGTTATTCTAGGCAGGTGCTGTGCTCCAGGCTGGAAGTTGTGTATAGGATAGAGAGAGAGGGTGCCTCAGAGCTGGCAGTTTCCTCCAGCAGTCAAATTCTGAACACCCAGCTATGCCTCTTGCTGGGGAATCTAAACTTTCACCTTTCAGAGAAAACAAGGTCTTTGGAACCAGTGTGTTCTTTCAAACAATGTTGGATACTGCCCGATTGTTTCCATCCGGGAACCAAGTTTTCAAAAAGAAGTCCGGCTGCTTTGTTAAGATAAGAGACTGTTGTGTGAAAATTGCTGAGTGAGAGCTCCCACTGGAGGCTCCTTGTCTTCCAGGCCATTACCAGTTTACTCCTAGCTGGGTGATGGGGGTGAGGGTTGGGGCCAGATTGCTAGAGCCCCATTCCTGCCAGTTCCTCCCAGTCCTGAACTCTGGGGTGAGTAGAAGGTAGAGAGGGTTGATGGGGCCGGGCTCCTGGCCTGGCAGAACCGTGCTGACCTGGAGCCTGTTCGGAAGCTGGCAGTGATTGCAGTCTCTCCCGGACTGTTGCTGCCCTTGTTTGCCCTCCCTTCTGTTTCCTTCTCTCTACTTCGAGCATTCATTACATGAGATGGTGCTGTTTTTTCATATATTTGTTATGAGTAATTTTATCTTTCATCTATTAGATGACATTTTTGATTCTGTTCTTAATTTAAAACACACACTCATTTTTTAAAGTTTCTAAGTACGTTTTTTATTTGTATGTGATCATGGTTCATCAGTATAAGAAAATATTTAGCCAGTTCTGTTTCGTAAAGTCTTCAAGAAAGATAATAGCTTGGGTGGACTGCTTCTTCATGCACTTTATTAATGTGGCTTCCTGTTAAGATCTGAAGCCAGGCAGAGATGTCCACTTTTGCTACTTATATTTAAAATTGTACTGCAGGTTCAGAAATCAAAGGCATCCGGATTGGGAAGAAAGAAAGAAAACTCTCTTTATTTTCAGATGAATTGAGCCTGTACTAGAAAACCTAAAGGAACACATGCCCAATCCCGATTCCCCCAAAGTACGAACCGACTAATGAGTTCAGCAACCTTACAGGATAAAAGATTAGTATACAAAAATCAATTGTATTTTTACATACTAGCACCAAGCAATCTGAAACCCACATTATGAACACAATTCTGAGGAATAAATTTAATAAAATCAGTGCAAGACTAGTTTATTGCTAAATGAGAGTTATCCCATGTTCATGGATTGGAAGACTCAATATTGTTAAATCTTCCTAAAATGATTTGTAGATTCAGTGCAATCCTTATACAATTTTAGTATGCATCTTTTTAAAAAAAATTGTCAAGCTGTTTCTAACAGTATAGAAATGTAGATGACCTAGAATAAACAAAACAATTCGGAAAGGGAAGAAAAAAAGATTAGGGGTCTTATATTTCTTAGTTTCAAAACTTACTACAAAGCTATACTATTCAAATCAGTGTGTTACTGGTGTAAGGATAGACAGTGGTGTAAGCATAGATAATGGTACAGAATTGAGAGTCTAGAAATAAACCATTACATTATTGTCAATTGATTTCTCTACAGAGGTACCAAAGCAATTCAAAAGCAATTCAATTCAATAGTCTTTTCAATGAATAGTGCTAGGACAATTGGATATCCACATGCAAAAAAGGTAAATTTAAATTCTTACCGCACACGGTACATAGAATTTAACTCAAAATGGATCCTAGGCTAAAGTGTAGAAGGTTAAGCTAAATCTTTTAGCACAACATAATAAAAAGTCTTCATGACCTTGAGTTAGGCAAAGAGTTCTTAGATATTAAACTGGAAGCACAGCATGTCAAATTACTTTTCGAGAAGGTTTGCTAGCTCATTCAGTGGGTGAAAATGGGTGAAAAGTGAGCACATTATTTAACTATATTCTCTTGTTCCTAGTTAGGTTGAACATATTTTTACTTACCACTCAAAAATATTACCACTTTCTGGGCTCTTGTAGGTCTCTGTCACATCTTCGAACTCACCAAACCTTTCAGGAGAAAATAGTTCCTTGGAGAAGTACATAAAGTTGTGGGACTTTGTACCTTGGATTACACTTTCCCTGTCAACTCTGGGTCCTCCATAGTGGGGAATCCATAGTGGTTTTTGTCCTGCAAATAAAACAGTGTGACTAAGTAATTTTCCAGAAATGAACAGCAGAGTGGGAAATAGACATAAGTGAGAGTAATATAACAATCACGGTGTGATAAATTAGCATGGGATTTGAAATCAACCTGTTTGGGTTCAAATCATGGTTCACCTCTTACCGGTTTTGCAAACCTTGGGTCAGTTACTTAACTCCATCAAATCCTTCACTTCATCTGCAAAATAGAGATAAGAAAATTCCTTTTCTCTTAGTGTTGCTTTGAGCATCAAATGAAAAAATGTGTGTAAATGTTTAGTGCTTTGTACCTAGCATATAGGAACCCATTATTAAGTAATATTACAGTTTGGATTTCAGACCTGTGAGCTTAGGGCTCAGACTCTAGAGGTTCCTGAACTAGGTTTTCCTAGGCATTGCATGTAGAGTCTTATCTTAAAAAAGTTTTAATTGAAAGATTGGCAGCAAATTCTTCTTGTCACTTCAGACATGATTTCCTTTGGGGCTCTTGTACTCCCATGGTTTGAATTCATAGAGTAACTCAAGGGCAATAGGGAATTCCTCTCAACTCTCTGTCTCCAAGAATACCTCTGGGTGCTGGAGAGATGCCACTTATCAATTCTGTTGTTATTGTTTTTAGGGCTGTAAGCCTTCTGGATAGAACTCAGTGGATTTTCCTGAGTAGTGAAGAATTAAGTGAGATGAGGGAAAAGCATTGAGAGTAATTATCAGCAGTGGACTATGCCTGAGTTTTTGTTAGCCCTGAACTTACATATCCTGACTTTACTAGTCCATGAGTTCTTCATAGTCAGGAACTGTACCTTTTAATTCTCTGCATCTCCTAGGGGCTTTCTCAGTGCTAAGCAAATAGTAAATATTCATGAGATACTGGGATTGTGCCCAGCATTTTCTGAGTTTTCAAATAGATGAAGTTATAGAATCATATTCATATCAAAGGAAGTTCCTGTGTATAATCTCATTTCATTCTGTCAACAACCCTAGGCTTGGGGTGGGTGTGTTGGTGTGGATGAGAACACTTAGTATCCCTATTTTACAAGTAGGAAAAGTAAGACCCAGATAAGTTAATGACTTGCTAAAAATGATACAGCTCTTGAGAGACAGCAGACATTTGAATCCCATCTACTGATTCTAGGTCCTATGGTCATTCCTTTGCTTTATGTTGCCTGTTTTGCAGACTGTCAAACGCATCAGACACTTCCAGTGGTTTTTCAGTGGGTTTTTGTCCTAGTGACAGTCCACACATCCTGCTCTCCTATTATCACATTTGCAGGAGGAAGTGAGACATCTTTTGACACTGGTGATATGGGAGAAGGAGAAAAATCCTAGAATCAAAGATACTTACTCCTTGCTTCCCTCTACTCATACTCTCTGGAAAGAAACGTTTAGGGACTTCTTGTGTTGTGCCTGTTGTGCCAGGACAGCTCAAATGGATGCTTTTGTCACAGCCCCTCCACCTTTAGCAGAAGTTGTTGTATTCCTAGCCAATGCAAAAATAAACAAGTGAGGGAAAATGACATTTCCTGGTAATGGAAAGTAGCAGTTGGTGAGACTTTAGACAAGAAGCGGGTGTTCCAGCCAATGAGCAGTGACCACAGTGGAGCTAGTTGTCGGTTTACTTGGCTGAAGAATATGTTTGCCTGCATCCTGATTGTCAATAAAGACGTTTAAAAACCCCAGCTTGACTCTGGCGGGCTGAGGGTGCTGCCGTGCCACTGCTGCAGGATGGAGCTCTCTTCCTGGTGGAGACTTGATTCACAAGGACGCTAATTATTCATTCTTCCTCCGTGCAGCCCGCTGAAACAATTGCTGTGCTTGTTCGGTGCACAGTGTGGCGTCGGACAGTCAGGCCTTTTTATGTAACTGATGGCGCTGTATGTTCATATTGTTCTTTATGTACTTATTTTATAGCTTATGCAGCAGACATTCGAGTCAATTAGCTTCTTGTCTTGCAAACTGGGCACTGCTGTTCTAGAACCAAGTTAGAAGGGTGTGTTGAGGGCGACCCGGGCAGACCTCTCTCCTTTCTTTTTGTGCTGTGTGGGTTGGTTTCAAGTTACAGCATTTTTATTGGCTCTTGTTTGCTGAACCTTGGTTTCAAAAGCTGATGTTTGAGTTGAATTTCTTAAAGATACAGCTTTTGTTTTCACAAAACTGAAGTCAGGCAATATGCATAGCCCTTGGGAGTGTGGGTTTTTTTTTTTTTTAACTGAGTGATTTTTTTTTTTTTTAAATGGTACCTATTAACCAAAAAATCTAAGCGAATGGTTTCCTAACTCACTTTTCCTTAACTGGCGTCAGCATGGAGTCCTTGTTTCTTATTGATTTGCATTTTTTTTTTTTTCTGTATAGCCTTACTCCTGACTCTTTTGTCCTGAATTTTTTTTTTTTTTACCCCGTATTTCTTGAAACCTGCCTGTTTTGGGGACAAGTTGGAGTTTAAATAAATTAGTTAAATTCTGTTGTGTATATTTCTGCAGATGATAATGTTTATGAAGCATAGATTCACTGTTTTGTGAGGATTTTTAAATATCGGAAAGAAAATTTCCTGCTTCCTCTTTCCATCTCCTTTTCTGTGGTTTTAGCCCCCTCGCCCTTAAGAGCCATCGGTTTGTTATTGCTGATTGAGGTAGTGGTGGTGGAAGCAGAGGCTCTGATCCAGAGAAACTCCCCAAGACGGAAGTGCAGCAGGCAGGATTTTTATCCAGCGGATTTTGACCCAGTAGACCCTAAAGAAGGTGCATGACAGAGACTCATATTTACCATACCATTGAATTCTCAGAGCTTTCCGTGGTGGCTGGCCCAAGGCAATTGTTCAAAACATACGTGAGAGAATGAATGAACAAATGACCTTGCCTACCAAACGTCTCCCTCCCTCTGTGTAAGCATCCCTTAAACTCTCCCAACCCAGGTGGCCTTGACATATCCCATGCTCACCCAGGACCCTGAAGTATGCCTCGGAGCAACTGGTTTCTCCTGACCAGTTAGTGTCAACTGAGACTAATGCAGAAAACATTGCTTACCCTAATGTTTGCCTTTAGAAGTAAAATCCAAACTGAAGGAAAGGACCTTGAATTTGTTTTTTATTCTTGCTGACTTGGAACATTGATAATGCTCATACTGATCCTCTGGCTAAACATTTTTCTTCCTTTATCCATGTATTTATTGAGCTCTCCACTGTTAGCATGAAAGGTGGAGAAGCAGGAATACATGGTGTGTGCTTCTGCTAGCCTTTTACTGTCCAGTTGTAGAGAGTAGGCCCAGTGAACTCAGTCAGGTGTTTATAAGATTGAGCAATTGAGCAGTTGCTGTATCCTGAAGACTGTATCTGGTGCTTTACTCTTGTATAATTCTTGAGACAGGAATACCTGGGTGTTGGCATCAAGGGGCTGTTGAGGCCATCTTTATTTCTCCATAACACCCAGCACAAGACATTTACATGTATGGGTTGGGTAGGGTAGGAGTTCATAGCTGTCCATAGAGCAGGGCAGGGACATTTCTGAGAAGGTCAGAGAGGTTTGATGAGGTGATTTTCCTGAGCTGGGCCTTGGGAGTGGAGAGATAGAGGGAGAACAGGTGCATGGACACAGAGGCCAGAAGGGCATCAGACAAAGGACCCCTGGGGCTGTGGGAAAGCCCCCGAGCCATTGGGAAATAGAGGAGCTTAGCCTTGCTAAGAGGAGAGAATTCAGAGAGCCATGAGGTGATTGAGGTTTCAAAGACCAAATAAACAAAGGAAGACAGCATCTTGGGGAGTGGGCAAGACCATGCCTCACCTGGCAGGTGAGGTCAGAGGATACCTGACCTACGAAGATCCACAAAGGCTGGCAGTGGGGGGCATCCCAGTGGACAGTGTTGTGATGAGCAAGGGGCCCAGAAGTAGGAAGACTTAAGGAGTCCTAGGCCTTAAGGAAGACTCAACCCAAACCTGGCTACCTCTTTAGGCAGCTTGAGTCTTGGCCTCTCCTACCAGCTCCTGAAGGGTAGCTTCATGTTACATCTGGCTGCAGAGACCCTCCTTTTTAGAAGCAGGCAGGGAGTGGTGCCCAGGCTCTCAGGACCTCCTCTTGTCTGGGAGACTGCAGCCTCCCCACACGACACAGCCCAGCCCCTTTGTTCTTGAGTGCCTGCTGCTCACGTGGTCTTAATAAACAAAATCTAGAACGTGCTCATCCTTTAAAAAAATCTGTTAGCCTGGTTAACGTGTATATAATATGTATAAATATATGTATATACACTAATTATATATAAATTATATTTTGTGTCAGTTATATTTGCAATCACACACACACACATGCACGCACACGCACATGCACATGCACATGCACATTCACATTGTAATTCCTATTTAAAGGGAAAAACGAGCCAGTTTTTTAAAGGGAAAAAACAAGCAAAAGGTGTAGGGAGAGGGAGACACCCATCTCTGCCCCCATCCGCTGATTCTCTTCCCTTTTCTATCCTCCCTCTGGCTGGGTTTACGGACAGGCCCTTCTTCCTCCTGCCCTTCATCTGCCGCAGGACCTCAGTGCTGGTGATGGTGAGCCCATGACCCTCCTTCTCTCTTGTTCTCTGCTCTTGTGGAGGCTAGTTCCAGCCGTTCAGTTCCACTGAAGCAACTGCTTTGGCAGACGAAGCTCTCTCTGCCTGAAATTTCTTACTTTCTTCCTTCTTTGGTTCCCATTTCACCACTCCATGGTTCCTCCTCCAGGAAGCCTTCCTTGTCTGGTTTTCTTCCTTCTAACTCTCCCCAGCCCTGTCTAAATCTTACCCTTCTTCAGAGCCCATCTCAAATTTTGTTTCTTCCATGAATTCTTTCCTATAGAGCTTGTCCTTCTCCTGCCCCCTCTGCCAGCTGAGGGCTTTCTTCTTTCCCTGAATTCCCCCAGTGCCCTGAGCTGATCTTAGATCTGCCTTGTTTGCCATTAATTGAGGAGTACATATTCCCCCCAAACTCCTTGAGGGCAGATGCTCTGCCTTATTGTCTTTGTGTCTTAAAAATCTTGCTCTTGTATAGTCAAGAAATTATTGTTTGAAATGGTTTTTAAAAATAGGGTTCTAGAGGTGTTTTTGTTGTTGTTGTTGTGTTTTTTGTTTGTTTGTTTTACCAAAGGAAAATATTCCACCTGGCTGATATAGTGAGACCTTATCTCTACAAACAATTTTAAAAATTAGCCAAGTGTGGTGACGTGTGCCTGTAGTCCCAGCTACTCAGGAGGCTGAGGTGGGAGGATTACTTGAGCCTGGGTGGCAGAGGTTGCAACAAGCCGAGATCATCATGCTGCTGTACTCTAGCCTGGTGACAGAGTGAGACGCTGTCTCAAAAAAAAAAAAAAAATGTAGAGTCTCAGTTTGCCTATAATATTTATATTGCACAATAATACATTTACTTATTTTTTACTTATTGAAATATGCCACTTGTTTTTAAATAGCATGTAAGATGCAGATATTTGCACTTTTAATTGATATGCCAGGCAGGAGATTTACTGCTCTCAACAGGTATTAAGAGGTAGGAAAGCTGCCCCCCGGCAAGTTTCTTAGCACTGTGGAACTGATCCTAGTGCCATGGTGAGTAAGTGGCAGACCTCAGATTCACACCACGTCTCTGACTCCCAATAAACCACACTGTCCCCCCACCCCCAACCCTCATGGTGATTAAAATGATTACTATGTACACACAAAATATATTAGGTTACAGGTTTTTTGTTTACAATTCTAAGCTTCTAAGCTCTGTTCATTTGTATCTTCATAATTTGGGGGCCTATGAAGGATTGTTTATCCCTAAATTGAAAGCAAGCAAACTAACAAAAAATGAGATCAAACATTGTCAGAGACGGTTGTTCAGTTAATCCAAGCATTCAACAAGGGTTATAAATACGGCATAGAAGACTAGGGGGAAAAATCCAAGTTTTTGATAAATTGTCCTCAAAGCTAAACTGTTTCTTAGCAAAGTGAGAAAAGGCATAATGTTCCCAAGACCAAATTTAATCTATACATTCTTGGTAAGACCTTATTTTTCTCCTCTTTCCATTAAGTTTAAGGTTTCCTTCTGCTTCTTGCACTAATCATTAATAACTATACTGTTGTCACAGCTCAAAACTTTCCTATTGACACTTCAGTCATTTTTAAAGATCTTGAATGTTCAACCTCTATGAAGCTAACCTTTTGCACTCTATTAAAATTTAAGAACCATTTGATTCTCAGTGAATGCCCCAGCTACTGGATCATGAAAGCATTACCTTGTGCCAAGGGCATGATGCAGAACACTCATTCCTTTTTAACAAATAAGAAGAAGTTTGACTTTTCATTTACACATCCTGCCAATTGCTAACAAGTTTCCATCTCGTTCAAACACCAGATTGATCCTAAGAAATTGAAAATATTGATTTAACCCTCTGTCTGATTTGTACTGCAGGCACCTGCTAGTGCAGTCTTAGCACATTACAATTGCTTGGCTGTAATTCCTCAGGGGACCACTAATAACTACCACATCTGTCTTTTCATCTTCCGAAATTATGCTAGCAGTTGTCCAAGTCAATTGTGATTCATTTGATACTGCTCTCCTTCAAGACATATTGCAACCAAATAGACTTGCTCACCAGTAATATATCTGATGACATAGTTAGTTCTTGTTAATTGACAGAATGATTCAGGCTTTTATGGATGGCATTAATTGGTCCCTTGTGTCCATGCAATAATTGACCAGACAGAGAAGGCAGCATTTTCTTTCACCAAGTCAGGAGAGTTTTGAGGTGAGATAAATGTAGTAAGGATGACAAAATGTCTATATTTTTAATCAAGACTTTATCAATGAGTTGAAAAAAGAAGATTTGGGGGGAATTCAGATCATCTTAATTATGAACATTGCATTGCAGCCTGCAGAGATGTGCTGAAATGCAGGTCTGCCTTCTCTTTGGCCTCCTTGTGCTGAATATTTTAATGCAGGGTACAACATGAATCTAATATATGCAAAGCAGAAGAGTGCTGTACCTGAACTAAGATAATGAAAAAGGAGAACTATAAGTAGCTTTGTTTTTCTTTTGACATTCATCATTAGTGACCCAATAGACTGGGCATGTAAAATCTGAAAATGTGGAATTTGCATTACCTCCTGCTTGCTGAGAGAGCCAGAACGTTAGTTACATTTACTCCTGTTGCCATGCTACTAAAAAAAAAAGCGTTGGTTCCTTTTTTCCTACAGGATAAAGTTTTCATATATAACAATTTTCACAAACTGCCTCCACCATTTATTCTTCCTTCCCATTTGGTCACACAGAATTAATATTTCCAAGTTATGGTACCATTTTGTCCCTTTTTTGTACTTAGTATGCTCTTTCTTTAATTAGTCATTTTATAGATTCCCACTCATTCTTCAAGAATCCCATAGGTGCCTCCCGAATTTCTCAAACCAAATTAGCTGCCCCCTCCTTGTGTTTACTCATTTGGTTGCTTATTTCCCCAACTAGACCTTGAGCTTGCCTTGGGCGTGGGCTGTGTCTGTTTGCTTGACACAGGCAGTTATGTAAGGACTTAATAAATGTTTATGGAATTGAGTTGCAATTGTTGCATTTTGAGGAATGAGAATTTAAGATTTGAATCCGAGAGAGATGACTTGGATCAAACTAGATGTCAAGCAACCTGTACTTCCAATGTGAATAAGTGGCTGACGACCAGCCCTGGGGAATAATTATAATTTGGTGTAAAACAAACCATTTGAGGTGTGGAAGATGAATTAGTCAGTTGACGTTTGTAGAGGGGAGGGTGAGATATGAGTTATGTGGAATAGATTTTCTGGTGTTTGATTTACTTAGACTATTCTTTTTAAATCATTTGTCACATAGGATAGACAGTGGCTGTAACAGATATCCATGGAAACTTTGGACTTGTGAACATCTGACATGACCTCCTTTTAAGGGCAGTGCAATCTGACAGACCTGGGCTGAAATCCCAGTGCTACCATTTATTAGATTTGTGTTTTGAGTGAGCTCCTTAATTGGTCTGAGGCTGTTTCCTCATCTGTAAAATGAAAATAATGACAGCCTCTGTTGACTTTTATGATAGTGGAGAGAGATGTATGGGAAGTGTGTTGCACAACGCCTGGTGGTATACAGTAGACACTTGATAAATGGTACCTGTTACCAATTAAAGATATTTTTTGTTTGTTTGTTTGTGTGTTGTTTTCTTGTAGGGATGGGGTCTCACAGTGTTGCCCAGGCTGGTCTTGAACTCCTGGGCTCCAGCGATCATCCTGCCTCAGCCTCCCAAAGTATTGGGATTACAGAGGTTCACACCTCTGTGCCCACTCTTTTTTTTTTTTTTTCTTAATTTTAAGTTTGTTTGTAGAGGTGGGATCTTGCTGTGTTGCCCAGGCTGGTCTCAAATTCTTGGCCTCAAGCTATCCTCCTGCCTTGGCCTCCCAAAGTGCTGAGATTACAGAGCAATTATAGATAAGTTTTGACTCTGTTTCTTCCTGAGAGTTCTGAAAGGCAGAGGGTAAATACAATTGTGTATATAGAGAAAATGCTTTAGAGTTTTGTGATTTTTTTATATTGCCTCTAGTTGCACAAGGCTGACCATGTCTCTGTGACAATATATATCACTTTCATGGGGTTCAGAGCTTCTTGTTATAGCTCAGGAAGTTACAGAGGGAGATTGGGAGCTAATGCACCAAAACCGGCAGTGAGTATGTGTAATGGGGTCAAACCTTGTTGGTTTTTTTTAGCTACAAAGCAGCAGATCGGCCACTGTGATAGAATTTGATTTTTACTGGTTTGGGATAGATTCCTGGTGATGCTGATAGTTTATTACCCAATGTAGGTCTAGAATTTATACTTGCAGAGCATTTTCATATTTGTGGGAGAATAAATTTATTTGGCTCTGAGGTTGGTTGGTTGGTTGGTTTGAGAAGGAGTGTTGCTCCGTCACCCAGGCTGGAGTGCAGTGGCGCAGTCTCGGTCACTGCAGCTTCAGCCTCCCAAGTAGGTGGAATTATAGGCTCGTGCCAGCACACCCGGCTAATTTTTTTTTTTTTTTTGTATTTTTAGTAGAGTAGGGGTTTCGCAATGTTGACCAGGCTGGTCTCAACTCCTGGCCTCATGTGATCCGCCCGCCTTGGCCTCCCAAAGTGTTGGGATTATAGGCGTGAGCCACCGTACCCGGTGGCTCTGAGGTTTTTAAATGGTAACACTTAAGTAAACAAACTCTAGTTTCTTTCTAACATATGGCTGGCCTAGAAGAATGTGTTATTTTTTCATAATCTACAGGTAGAGAAATAGAAGAAGAGAACTTCTATTCAAAGAGGCAAACTCAGGGATTCTGAATGCCTTAATGCTGCTATTTGGAGTTTTATTTGAAAGCATTAATATTTTCTTTTTGGGGGTGGATGGAGAAAGGAGAGGTCTTAGTCAACGGGTACAAAGTTTCAGTTAGGAGGAATAAGTTCTAGTGATCTCTTGCACAGCATAGTGACTATAGTTAATAATAATGTGGCGTATATTTCAAAATTGCCAAAAGACTAGGTTTTAAATGTTCTCGTCACAAAGAAATGATAAGAATATGAGGTGGCAGATGTGTTAATTAGCCTGATTTAATGATTCTGCAATGTATACATATATGATAACATCATATGATATCACAAATTTATCTGTCAGTTAGAAGCAAAATTAAAAAAAGATCTTTTAGGCCGGGTGTGGTGGCTCACGCCTGTAATCCCAGCGCTTCAGGAGGCCGAGGTGGGTGGATCATGAGGTCAGGAGATGAAGACCATCCCGGCTAACACGGTGAAACCCTGTCTCTACTAAAAATACAAAAAATTAGCCGGGCGTGGTGGCGGGCGCCTGTAGTCCCAGCTACTCGGGAGGCTGAGGCAGGAGAATGGCGTGAACCGGGCAGGCGGAGCTTGCAGTGAGTCAAGATTGCACCACTGCCGTCTAGCCTGGGTGACAGAGCGAGACTCCGTCTCAAAAAAAAAAAAAAAAATTGTTGCTTTTCCCGCGATGATGAATAAAGGGGTCACTTAGTGTAGTGTGGATGAGTTCAACTAGACTGCTTCCTCCTAACCCCAAACTGGAATCGTTATGTTGCGAGCATGAGACTTTAGCTTGGAGGAGAGAGCGGGTTTGGTAATTTTGGAACCTGGTAAACTTTAGGGGCCTTAGTAAATTTCAAATATATGCTACAGGATTGCTAATTATAGTCAACTTGCTGTATATTAAAGCTCCAGAATGTATTTATTTTTGTGCCACCTTTCAGTTTCTGATTTCAGTCCCTGGAAAACCACCCATTCTTGTGCTGACTATTCCACCAACTAGTTTATCTGCCTTAGAGGTTATTTTGGTAAACTTTCACTGCATCACGGACTTAGCAGGGTAAAAGTCGGAGAGTAATGGTACATTTGTCATAACAAGAAAAAGCGGATCTATTTTTCTTTGGCAAAGATCACCTTTGGAAAGTGTTGTATTATGAAATGCAGAGTTAAATACAACTAACTCAGCTTTGATGTGTCCTTTGTTAACGTTCAGCCTCTAAGCGCAAGTTGATTAATGATGCACATCCCACAGTGACTTTTTCTCAAGCCCAGCAAACTCATATATACCCTAGTGTATAAAAGCAAACAACTTAATTAACTTACTCTTCATCCATAATTATCTTGAAATTAACTACTTATAATGTCCAAAAGTTTATGCTGCAAGCATATTTAAAAATCTGTTGAGAGTAAAAGGGACGGTATAATTGGTTACCCTCTTCCTTTCTTGCCCACTTAGCTATTAATATGAAAAGTAGCTACTCCCCTCATACTCTTTGGCTGTGTGCTTAAAATTATTATTATTTTAATTTCTGCAAACAAGAAAAGGGCTTTCTGTTATTTTTTCATTGAGCCCCTGCCCTGGGCCAGGCATCGGGTCCTCAGTAACGGACAGGGCAGTTTTGGCTACTGTTCTCAATGAGATTAGAGTCTCTTTGGAAGCTACAGATAGGTTATACTAGTCTGGTAGGGCTGCCATAATAGAATACTGGGTGGATTAAACAACAGAAATTAATTTTCTCCCAGTTCTGCAGCCTGGAAGCCCAAGAGATCAAGGTATTAACAGGTTTAGTTACTCCTGGTACCTCTCTCCTTGGCTTGTAGATGGCCGTCTTCTCATTGTGTCCTCACACGGCCTTTCCTTTGTGTTCACGCATCTCTGGTCTCTCTTTCTCTCCTTCTTCTTCCTTCTTCCTTCTTTCTCCCTTCTCCCTTCTCCCTTCTCCCTTCTCCTTCTCCTTCTTCTTCTCCTCCTCCTTCTTCTTCCTCCTCTTCCTCTTCTTCTTCCTTCTCTTCCTCTTCTTCCTTCTTTCTTCCTTCTTCTTTTTTTTTTTTTTGAGACTGAGTTTTGCCCTTGTTGCCCAGGCTAGAGTGCAATGGCGCGATCTCATCTCAGTGAAACCTCTGCCTCCAGAGTTCAAGCGATTCTCCTGCCTCAGCCTCCCAAGCAGCTGGTGCCTGCCACCACGCCCGCTAATTTTTTTGTATTTTTTTAGTAGAGACTGGTTTTCACCATGTTGGCCAGGCTGGTCTCGAACTCCTGACCTCAGATGATCTGCCCTCCTGGGACTCCCAAAGTGCTGGGATTACAGGTGTGAGCCACCGTGCCCAGCCTAATCTATGGGATTTTGAAGACAATACTGTCACTTAATGACTTACAACACATCCTCATGAGACCTAATAACAGAAGTTCTGGGTTCTGTGTTAATACGGGACTTCCTTTTGTGAAACTTGTAATACACTCAGGAGAAATGTGTGACAAATAGGATTCTACTTTTTAGGGGCATTTGGAGCACTGTATTGTCCTTGGGTAATAATGCTTAATGTGGACGATGCTACATGGCCTCCAAGAATATCCCTAGGCCCTTGATCCTTTAAGGGAGAAAACCAACCTTTACTTTTCGATTGTGTAATTGTGATCAGAATAGCCTCTGAGATATAAATTCCAAATATATCTGAATTGGTTTTCTTTAATTAAGAATACTTTTGGATTCAAATCATACTGGCAGCAAATTAAAGACATGTTTCATGTGTTTACTAAATGTTAATGATGGGATTACTTTGAAGATAAATTTTAACATTTTAAGTAAAACGTTCATGTAAAACAAAAGTTTATTATAGATTGGTTTTAAAATGAGCACTGCTTCAGAGTCAGGATATTCTTAGTAAACCCACAAGTGTTGTGGCCTTGTGCACGTCTTTTGGTTTCTTTTTGCTTTCATTTTGTCATCAGCAAAATTGAAATTGTTAGATGAAATTGTCTCTAAAGTGTTTTCTAGAGCCAAACATTTCTGATTCTCTAATATTAAAGTCTCTAAGAGAGTTTCTCTAAGCCCAGGCAGTACAGTTAAAAATATTTTCGTTGTTTGCTTGTTGGTTATAGAGTGATAATATTTTGCAATTAGGAAGCTTGGATGAGAAACCACACACGTGACATAAAATGGTTTCTCAACAGAAAATCTGTGCCGCTCAAACTGGGGAAACAGACTTATAAATTCCTTTTGACAAAAGACACGTCACCACACAAGCAAGTTAGGACAGAACTCTGAGCATTGTTTTTCATAGACTTGGGACAATTCCCAAATATTCTTTTTTCTCAAAACAATATTTTTCATTCCAATTTACTTATTAAAAAAAAAAACTGGGAGCCGGGCATGGTGGCTTACGCCTATAATCTTAGCACTTTGGGAGGCAGAGGCCAGTGGATCACCTGAGGTCAGGAGTTTGAGACCAGCCTGGCTAACATAGTGAAACACCGTCTCTACTAAAAATACAAAAATTAGCCGGGTGTGGTAATGCACGCCTGTAGTCCCAGCTGCTCGGGAGGCTGAGACAGGAGAATTGCTTGAACCTGGGAAGTGGAGGCTGCAGTGAGTCAAGAGCGTGACACTGTACTCCAGCCTCGGTGACAGAGTGAGATTCTGTCTCAAAACAAAACAAACAAACAAAAAACAAAGCTCTTTTTGAAGATCACGAGCTTCAGAAAGAAATACTGCATCCACTCTGTCCACATGTTTCTGGCCTGTCCATTCAGTTAACAGTTATTATGTCCCAGGTGCTAGGCTGTGTCCTGGGGACTGAGGTAACAGAAATTACAGGATAAAGCTCCTGCCGTGTAGTAGTACTTTAGGGAGTAGTAGAGATGTTGGTTGGGAAAGAAGTGATGCCAGAATGTGGCGGGGGTTATCAGAGCAGGTTCAGAACGTAAGGAGCACGACCAGGGAATCACTAACTTCGCGTAATGGAAGGGTTTGTTTCAGTTGGATATTAAAAGATGAATAGAAATTTGCAGGCAGCAACAAGAGTTGGCATTCTAGGTGTAGTAGGGGACTATATGATAGAAAGCCCACATTGAAGGTAATGTGGTAAGACTCATTAATCTAAGAAAGATCCTTCTGGTTGTAGCCTTAAGGAAGGGTGAGAGTGGGAACAGATGGAAAGTAAGGAAAACAGTTCGGAGGCAGCTTTAAGAGACCAGAAACGGGCCTGGCGCGGTGGTTCACGCCTGTAATCCAAGCACTTTGGGAGGCCGAGGCGGGTGAATCATGAGGTCAGGAGATCAAGACCATCCTGGCTAACATGGTGAAATCCCGTCTCTACTAAAAATACAAAAAATTAGCCAGGTGTGGTGGCGGGCGCCTGTAGTCCCAGCTACTTGGGAGGCTGAGGCAGAAGAATGGCGTGAACCCGGGAGGCGGAGCTTGCAGTGAGCCTGGATCGCGCCACTGCACTCCAGCCTGGGCGACAGAGCGAGACTCTGCCTCAAAAAAAAAAAAAAAAGAAAAAAAAAAGACCAGAAACGAAATCGGGCCAAGGCAAGAAGGGTGGAAGGTGGATGAGTCTGAGAGATGGATGTTTTCACTATGGAATGGTTGTGTAAGGATGGGGAGTCAGAAGAAGCCATGAGAAGCTTGTGAGAGTTAAGAGGCCATATTCAGTGTTGTGCTGGTAAATATAACCTCCTATAATTAAATTGTAAAGAGGTCAGTCCAAATTCATGTACTGGGGTTGATCGTTTCTGCGTAATAGTCTTTCACTTAACTTTTACTCATTTTCACTTTCACGAAATAAATGGCCGTGTCTTAGCCTGGGGGCCTAGGTCTGGGGTTCGGCTGTGTGCTCTTCCTGCAGTTTGGAAGTGCCGTCTATGTTAATAGATATTCCCAACTCTGCAGATCTTCTCTCGAGGCTGAAGGGGCCCCATTCCTATCAGAAGCCTCTCATTTTTCTCTGAGGTAGAAAAACTAAGGCATAGACTTCATAGGGAAGTTTATATGCAAATGGTGGCTTTCTGCACGGGCCCCTGTGAGTGGAGTGGGATGAGATACCCAGTGGCTTTCAGAGTTCTGGTGGATATTTGATTGCTCTCCATTGGTAGTAACTTTATTGCTTTTATAGGGAGAGTTGTACTGGAAATTTGCCCTCCCTGTCCTTCAGCTGGTTTGTTCCCAAGCCAGACCTGTCTGAAAATTGAAATGGAATACTTTTTCTCATCTCAAGTTATCAGTTGTAGCTGTCAGGAATTTGTTACTGTCTGCTAAAGCCTTTTAACATGAAAATACGCTAAGGGCAGTGCATGTGTGAGTCATGTGGGAAGTTACATTATTTTATGGATGCAGAGAGGGACACAGACCCAGATTTATTCATAGGTGAAAGGGGAAAAGGAACAGAATTTAAAAGGGAAATCCTGAAAAATATGTAGCCTCTGTGGCTCTGCCTCTTTTCCTACCTGCGTCTCTTATACACCATGGATAGAATGTAAGCTCAGTGGGTACAGAAGAGCTGTCTTTTTTCCCTCCTTTGGTCTTCTTAGCTGTCCCCACCAGGCCATGCCTATAATCGGTGCTTAGCAAGCTACTGGCTTAAGAGAGTCTCTGTCTGCTGTGAGTGCAGCTCCTGAGATGGTGGGGATGGATGCTGGTTAGGAAGTGTGTTCGCTGCCTTAGCATAAAGAATAAGTACAGTTTTTCTCGATTATTTTTCTCCAAGGGAAACTCAATGGGGAATGTCGGTTTCATGCTGTTCTTGGAGGGGTTGGTTTAGAATTCTCTCTGGCTTTTCTGAGAATCCCTCCACATTCCCCCTCCAGGCTGCTGTCATGGTAGCTGCCCTTCTTTCAGCTACTTGCATTTTTTGGGAGATATGCCATCTTCCTTCAGTTTGCACCCTGGTAGCTTAGCTCCTTCAGTGTTTAGAGGGAAATGGGAGATGGAGAATCGAAGCACACTAGTGCTTTCTGGTGTTCTCTGCATGTGTTTGGAAGGAATGTAAAAGTAGCTAGGGCTTATCGTGGTATCATAGCATTATAGGGTATGAGACCTTTGGGGAAACTGAGGCTCACAAAGGCTGATAACTTTACCTAGAGTCAGTGACTGCTAATGGCAGACTCCTAGCGTCTGTACTTTTCCACACTTACCCGTTCATATGAAATAGTCTGGGAAGGTCTCTTTTAAAATGTATCGTGACCTCTCCTATAAACCTCAAGGTTACATATGTTAAAGAAATGTAGTCGGCTTTCCTCATGTGCCGAATTCTGAATCAAGCTTACCCAAACCCCCAAATCATTTCCACAGAGCAGAGGAAAAAAACAAAACAAAACAAAACAAAACAGGCAAATGTGAATCATGGGAACCTATTATAATGATATATAGCTTGTCATAACACATTATAATATTACAGCAAATGTATTTAACTCACTGAACGTTCTCAGGGGGCTCTTAGCTCCCTTTAAAAGTGTTCTCCAAATCTCTGCAGCAAGATGGAGCTGCCTAGTCCACCTCACTTTTGACCAAACCACCGTTACGAGAATACCTATTGAAAACCCTTACACTGTTGCTGTTTCCCTGGGCTTAAAAGTATGTTTGGTTTTGTCAGTACCTGGAAACAGGAAGTTGAGATTTGAGGAGAAATCTTTGGCAGTTGTGCACTAAGCTTGCGGGAGTTAGGAGTCTGTTGCCACGGAAACCACACTGCTGCCTCATTTATTAATGGAGGCTTGGTGAACTTCCGGAGATACTCTTAGCCTGTCCTGTAAATTCATTCTAGAGAAATGCAGGGTGACTTTTAAGAGATTTCTCTGTCGTTTCTCAAGCATTCTCTCCTGGGTCTTCATGAGCTCCAGAAAATTGCTTGTATGCAGGTTCAGAACCACTGATTTTTATCTGGCAAGCATGTCTGAAGGCCGTTTCCTTTTTTTCATGCTTAAATCGTGTTTATGCCTGCCTGCCTTGTCCAATAAGTGAATTTTTTTTTATTATGCTGCCTTTAAGAATTACATGGATTTCAAATGAAGGAAGAAGGAATACAAAAATGAACTAAGTAAATATATTGAAAACCTTCTGACACTAACTTTAAGAGAGTTATAAGCATCAAAGCCTTTTCTAACTTTTAAAATTCTAAACTTAAAAAATCTAAAATGAATGGTTTATTTCTTCTAATTCCAGTGAGATACTTTAAGAACATTTGTCTGAGACATTTTCAAATTTTGTTCTAATTTCACTAAACTAACTCTATTCTGCTAGGCAGAGTAACAGCATTGGAAGTTGCTTCCAGGAAAAAAAAAATTTTTTTTCTAGCTAATTGTTTATCTGGGAGGATGCAAATGGTGGTTTTAAGTCCTTTAAGTCATCCATCATGCCTGGCAGCCTCTATTGTCTCATTGTTGGATTTGAGCCAAGTCAGGCCCTTTCTTGGTCTTGGGAGGGTGCACATAGATCTTGCTCTGCCAAATCTGTGTTCACAAGGAGTCCGAGCCCAGCTCTAAGGGTAGGTAATGTTGTCAGATCTATAGATCCCCTCAGATTGGAAAAGATCATGCATCCTCGTTCCTTATGTCACACTAAAGTAGAAAGTAGCACTCTATTCAAAGTAGAAGTGACAGGACTTGTTCCCTCAGTTCTTCCAGTGTCTACGAATTACTGTTAGTTTTTAAACGCATTTTTGTGGATGTAATAAAATACTGTTTATAGTCAGCTACGAAGTAAGTAATTACAATGCGGGAAATGAAATTCAATATAGCTTTGTTGTGGTTTTTTGAATTTTAATTAAACCAGTCTTAGAGTAAATTATAAATGCTGCTGCTTTTGTTGTGACAAGTGACATTGACAAAATATTAATCTAATGGATTGTTATTCACAAAAGCTAAATCTTTTCAAATCTGCAGGGTTTGGTTGTTTATTTTGTTTTACTTTTCAGTTTGTGTTTTAAAAAGTCTAGAGAAAAGAATAAAGTTTTAAAACCACATGAAATAACTCCATGTATGGAATATTTCATTGTTGATGTCTTGCCAGCCATAATTGCATGCATCTCATTTATGGCGCTGAAAACTTGTTCTTTTTAAAAATCAGATGTTTCTGTGGTCACTTTTTTGTTATTAAAACTGGAGCCGGGTTAAATAACCAACCATTGACCACGAAGCCTAATATTAAAGGAATAATCAGCCCATGTTCCTATTAGATCATTTCCGTTTTCTTTTACTTTATAAATTACCTTGTTGCTTAAAAATGACATTTTGTTGGTTGTGAAGTCCTCTTATAGCTAAATTATTCAAGTTATTTTCTTTGGAGATTCTTTTAACTTGAATTTATATAAACTGTAAAGAATGTACATTAAATATTCAGAAACTTTTCTTTATGCCAGTTTCTTATTTTCACCCATCATGACTTAAAGCTTTTTTTTGTTTTAGCATTTTAATGTTTAAATAAATGTAAATAATTTAGTTACAAGGTCTTTATGGTAGTGCCGCCATTGTTTTTAAGAAGACAAATTTTAATCCAAGGTTAAAAACTTCACATTTGCTTATCTCTTTTTCCTCTTAAGAACTAAGAGTCCAGAGATTAGAGTAAAATCACCTTTTCCTCATAGTTTTTTCTTTCAACGTGTTAGAAATTCCTGTTTGAAAAGGAAAGCCAGTTCCTCCCCCTTTTTATGTTTGAGGGGATGATGGTAAAATCACATTATTCAGTCAGTTTCCACATGTGATTTGTTGCCTATATTTTTTAATCCAGGGATTAAATTGTTGCCACCACCAGCATCAAATCATTGGGGGGCAGGGGTGGGGAAGGTGCGAGACAGTTGGTTATAGACATCCAAATATGACGACAGAAAAATCTCCACAGCAATATGGCAGTGGAGCATTTGCTGACTTCAGAGTGCCAGATCAACCCCAATATTTTTTTCAGGGATGCTAAACCTCTTGTAACTGCTAAATTGGATTTGTTACTGAATGAAGTATCAGCTGCTGTTGGACAAGACCATAAAAGCCAGCCGGCTGGCCCTTTGTAGGCAGGGCTTACCCAACGATTGATATGTTTTAGCACTTTTGGGATTATTGTGATTAAGAGGAAACCATTCTGAATGAGTGAGCAAAGGGGGTAAGGACACACAGCCCACAGCTGGTGAGCAGCATGTGTTGGCTCCAAGGAAGTCACCATTATGGCTTTCTCCTGGTTCCTGCCCTGATTGACGTGTATGAAATCTTTTTTTTTTTTTTTTTTTTTTTTGGAGACAGGGTCTCGCCTGTCGCCCAGGCTAAAGTGCAGTGGCGCAATCTTGGCTCACTGCAACCTCTGCCTCCTGGATTCAAGCAATTCTCTGCCTCAGCCTCCTGAGTAGCTGGGACTACAGGCACCCACTACCATGCCCGGCTAATTTTTGTATTTTTAGTAGACACGGGGTTTCACCATCTTGGCCAGGCTGTTGTTGAACTCCTGACCTCAAGTGATCCACCCTCGGCCTCTGAAATTGCTGGGATTACAGGCATGAGCCACTGTGCCGGGCCTAGAATTTTTATATGAGGAAGTGGTGTCCTTATTTTCTCCAGTTGCAGCTCTCTCTGCAGGGAAAGAGACATTTGGAATGTTGTGGACTTGAGAACTCTGAATGCTTTCAAAGCACTATCGTGTGTGTGTGCGCACACGCACACACAGTAGCTAGAAGTGTTAGTCTAGCACAGGAGTTAATTGAGTTAATGTGTAGGGAATTCAGTAATAACAACAGAGCGTCCTCTTTCATTTCCCAGATCCAAAGCTCTGTGACATGCATTAACAATATACCTCCATGTAGTTTGTGTCTCAGTCTGTGTACACGTGTGTGATGGCTAAATGGGAACTGCACAGCCAGTGGATTTGTGAACTTGAGCACTTGCACCTGGCTAAGGGTTTATTAAGTGTGGAAACCGTACTGTTGTTGTAAAACAGTTTTCATCTCAAGAACCACCTGCCCCTTTTAGCGGTGGCCTTTTGCACGTGTCTTGCACTAGCCAAGACAAGTCTATCCAAGAGGGAGCTTGTGGAGTAGGTTGGTGTTTGAATCTTTCCCAGTACTCCCAAATGCACATAGAATTGGTCGCCTCTCTGGGTGTCCCAGGGGGCTGTGCCCCGCTCATGTTCAGAGTTTGCTCAGCATACCACACAGGAAAGAGGCCGGCTTGCCAGGTCCTGCGGAGCGCCTTTCCAAGCCTGTGAAAGGCACGAATCATCCAGCAGCCGAGCATGCTTACAGCTGGCCCTTTGCTAGCTTTGATCTGCGAATCAGGCCACACCATGAATGCACTTATTGTCATGTTATGTGTACACAGTGTGTGAATTATTGAAAATAGGGAGGCCTGAGCCTCATCTGGTAGAGATTACAGTGCAGGCATGCTGGGCGAAGGTCTGTAATTGAAAATCCCCAGATGCTGTTTATTTGGCCTTTGTCACATGACCTGCTGCAGGAAGATTGTCTGAACAAAATGTTGCCTGCATGGAGAGTGGAGCCCGCCCTCCCCCACCCCCCAGAGCCTCCACAGGCTCAGTCTGTGCACAGCTTAAACACCTGCCCAAAGGATTTTTAAAGGCTTAAAATAGATTCACTCATAGCATTTAAATAGAGGGCATCTTGCTTGTTGGTTTAAACTGCTTAAGCGGTTGTTGACTTGTGGAACCTTCTATCCACACAAGGGTTTGCTGGATAATTTCACTCTGAGATATCTTTACAAAGCAACATTCAGGGCCCGAGCCACATAAGTAGTTTGGGCTCTGCCTTTTTTTTTTTAGAAGTCAAACTTCTGTGTGGTGAATGAGCTTGCAGATAAAGCTGTGTTGACTGTATATATTCCTTCTGTCTGTAGAAAATATTGTGGGTACTGAGAATAAGGCCCTGAGTTAGCATGTCTGACTTCCGTTTGTCCAGTTCATTCTTACCTATTCTGCCTATAAACAAGTTGAGGTGTTTCTTAGAAAATTTGTTTTTCTCAATTAAATGCTGAATGTTATGCTCTCTGTCAGTGGTGGATTGAAGTAGGATACTAAATCTGAAATTGATGAAGATCACAAGAATTAAAAACAGGGAAGATTGAGCTAATTTTGAAGTAAGAAGGGCTTTAAGCTTTCCAGGTTCATTCTGTTAGGGAACAAAACAGCCACATGTCCTCTTTCATTGCCAGTCTGTCTCAGCTGTGCTTGTGGCTTCCTCTTTGATTTCTTGGAGCTTAAGAAGAGGAAAGATTCATGGGTATTTCTGCATTCCATAAGCATCCAACACGACTGTGAGCTCCTTGAAGGCAGGAGCCCTGTTGCATTCTTCTTTGCATCCCCAGTGCCTGCCAACACAGTGCTTTCTCTGTCTTCCTGCGGCTTCCCCCTCCCTTTCTGCCTGCCCATTCAAAGAAGACAGTCACTGCGTCCCATGAGCCATGATGTCATATATTCAGATATTTTTTCTTTCAGGGAGAGACTCAAGTCAACAGTAGCAATATCATTAAGTAGCACATTCTTCATGCAGGGCCAGAGGTTGGGAGGATGGAGTAGTTGGGAGTAGGATGTGGGTCCTGCCTTCACAAAGCTCACAATCTGCCAAGGAAAAAGCAAAAACAGGCAGAATGTGGTGTAGCAAGCTTGTGCTAGCAGTGTGCACAAAGTATGGTGAGCAGGAGGGGCAGACCCAGCCCACTGCTGGGGAGTGAGTGGAGGAAGTGCCAGCTGCAGAGGCCTGGCAGCTCAGGAATCATTCATTGTTCAGTAGATTTGGTGGGGTGGGGGTGGGGGTGGTGGCCATTTCACACAAAGGAAATAGCACCCAACATGACAGGAATAAGGATTTTTAGAGACAGAAGTGTGTGTAGAGAGTGGCAGGAGAAAAGACAAAAACTGATTTGCCCATGTAACGTTTTAATTTTTTACGGATAGAATGTGTTCATGTGTTACCTAGATCATTAGAAATTTATTTTATTTTATTTTAGTTTTTAGAGACGGGTCTTGCTCTGTTGGCCAGGTTGTTCTTGAACTCCTGGCCTCAAGCAGTCCTCCTGTCTTGGCCTCCCAAGGTGCTAGGATTATAGGCGTCAGCCACTGTGCCCAGCCTAGAAATTTAAAAGGAGAAGAAAAACCAAGCAGCTGTCCTGAATCTAAGCTCAACTGAGGAAGGTGATTTTCTTGGTTTGCTTGGTCATCATCTCCAGTGGGAACCCTATATCATAGGCCACTGCTTTCTCTGTCGTGACTAGCTGGTATGGGGTTACCTCTGGCTGCTTCTAGTTTTGAGATAGGTCTGATGTGGCTAGGGCAGTGGGGTCAGTGAGCCAGAGCATGGCAACCCTAGGAGGAAACATCTCTGGGCACCTGTCTCAGGCCCTTCCTGAGTACATCTATCCATCTAATCGTTCCGTCTTTGATTACCATTGTTTGGCTTCTAGCCTCATTTCTCTTCCTAGACCATAAACTCCTTGAGGGCAGAGAGTGTGTATTATTCCAGCGTGTTTCTCTTCTAGAGCCTAGCCTAATTCCTTTTGTACAGAAAATATTCTATAAATTTTATTGAATGGGAGAGGAAAGTGCCTTGGGGCCAGATTATGTAGGCCTTGGATGCTTAGAGAGTTGAGGCTTTATTCTTCTGTATTGTGGATGAGAAATTAGAGAACTTTAAAGTGATGTGTGTACAATTCAGTCCATTTCATGGCTGGATTCTGCCGCCATCTAAGATTTTGTTCTCATTAAACACTTAACAGTTGGTCTAATGTTAAGGATTAAGGAACTTGGAAGACAAAGCTGGGTTCAAATCCCGACTCCACTGCTTAATTAGTTTGGGAACTTGGGCAAGTTTCTTAACTTCTTTGAACTGCAGTTTCAGCATGTATAAAATGCTGAGCTAGGTAGAATTAGGTGAATGTGAAGGTTAAATTTGTGGTGTATAAGCACAGTGCTTTGGCCAGGTGCAGTGGCTTATGCCTGTAATCCCAGTACTTTGTGAGGCTGAAGCAGGAGGATTGCTTGAGGCCAGTAGTTCAAAACCAGCATGGGCAACACAGTGAGACCCCATCTCTACAAAAAATTAAAAAAAAAAATAGCTGCGTATAGTGGCACACGTCTGTAGTCCTAGCTACTCAGGAGACTGAGGTGGGAGGATTGCTTGAAACCAGGAGGTCTAGGTGGCACTGAGTCATGATCACACCACTGTACTCCAGCCTGGGCAACAGAGTGAGACGCTGCCTCACCAAAAAAATAAAATAAAAAAAAGCACAGTGCTTTGCATAGTGCTGGTGCATAGTAGATACACAGTGCATGTCATTGCCCAACTTTCTTGCTTTTTTTTTCTTTCTTTTTATTTTGAGATGGAATCTCGCTCTGTTGCCCAGGCTGGAGTGCAGTGGCACTGTCTGGGCTCACTGCAACCTCCGCCTCTCGGATTCAAGCGATTCTCCTGCCTCAGCCTCCCGAGTAGCTGGGATTAGAAGCACATGCCACCGTGTCCAGCTAATTTTTTTGTATTTTTAGTAGAGATGGGATTTTGCCATGTTGGCCAGGCTGGTCTCAAACTCCTGACCTCAAGTGATCCACCTGGACCTCCCAAAAGTGCTGGGATTACAGGCTTGAGCCACCGTTCCCTGCAAAAGCCCAACTTTCTATAGCCTCCCACCATCTCTAAACTCCGCAATAGTGTTTCATTTAGCTTATTCCCTGAATTTCAATTTCTTCAGTTTGAGTTCATTTTAAAAATGTTATTCCTTCTCATCATGCTTTTCATATTTTTATTAGATTACTGAGTGCCTAGACATTTAGATACTCCTTCAGCATGTTTTCTAAGCAGCAAGTCATCCCTGAGCATGCCATTTTGACTTAATGCTTGCATAACTTACCTTTGTGTAGCTATTGTTGTAGTAGCTTCAGAAGTTGATAGAATTCTTCTGGTGATAGTTGTTTTTACAACAAGAACTAAATACTGGACGTCCAGTGAGGGACATGCTGTTTAATGCAACACCTCCAGCCTATTCATAGACTTAATTATACAGTCTGTCACAAATTTTAAGAATTTTGGCTATACTTACCTTCTGGCAAAAACCTCATTCCTGCTATTTATTCAGTGGAGAATCTATTTCAAATTAAAAGATTTGTGCCCTCTTAATGTTAAGATAGTGCCCTCTTAATGTTAAGATATCACAATAAGTGCTCTGTTTACTTGGAAACAATTTTTAGGACCATGTCATTTTGAAAATTGAAGAAGATACAAAGATTGGAAAAGATGTTCAATTTCAACAACATTAGCAATAGAAGCATCATGGGTTTATACCAGATGCCATGTAGTACGGTGTCCTGAACAGAAAACCTTTTTCAACCCTTTTAGGACCCTATATATCAGTTCAAGCAACGAAGACATATAAACCTGGTGCAGTGACATTACATTACAGTTAAAGAACTGGGCCAGGTGTGGTGACACATGCCTATAATCCCAGCACTTTCGGAGGCCGAGGCGTGTGTATCACCTGAGGTCAGGAGTTCGAGCCCAGCATGACCAGCGTGGGGAAACTCTGTCTCTACTAAATAACAAACAATTAGCCTGGCGTGGTGGCTCATGCCTGTAATCCCAGCTACTCAGGAGGCTGAGGCAGGAGAACAGCTTGAACCCGGGAGGCGGAGGCTGCAGTGAGCCAAGGTCGTGCCATTGCTCTCCAGCCTGGGCAACAGGAGTGAAACTCCATCTCAAAAAGAGTTGAAGGACCATTTTAGAGCCCCAGAAGGTGCCAGAGCCTTCCCATTTTCTGTTACTAATGCATACAGCAGCCCTCTAGAGTAGGAACTGTTATTTCCATTTTACAGGTAAGGAAATAGAGGTCTAGAGAAGTTGAGCAAGTTTCCCAAGTTCACACAGCTCATAAGTCCAGTTTCCTCAGAAGAATCTAGGCAGTCATACCTTTGAGTCAAAAAACCAGAAATCGGCAGCATTGCATCATTAAAGATTCTTCATTATAAACTAGCGGTGTTTAGCACTTCAAATGTGTGGATTTCACACTTCTCTAAGGCCAAATAATTAATAAATAGAGTGCTTTTAGCAAACCTTTTCATTAATAAGACTTTCTTGGGTTAATGTTAAGATTAGCTTTTTTTGGACCAGGTCTCTATGGCTGTGGCTTGGGGAAGTGGCAGGGACATGGGTATAGGGCATGAAGAAGCAATGAGCATGCATTGGTCATAAGAGACGAGAACAAAGGTCTGAAAAATTGTGCCACTTCTCACTGAAATAGTTGCAACTTTAAAAGGATTTACAGATTTCAGGTGATATTGGCAGTGCTGTCTAATTTTCATAATCTTTTTCTAGATCTTTTCTTCGGATTTTCTTTATACAAAAGAGGTGAGCTCCTTCATTCATTTATTAAAACCATTTATTGAGCGAGACACGGAAAGAAAAAAACTATTTCATGATCTCACTTATACGTGGAATCTTAAAAAAAAGTCATACATATACAGAGTAGAGAAAAAACAACAACAGAGGATACTAAGAACCAGAGGAGGAGAGAGGAAACGGATATGTAGGTCAAAAGATACAAAGTAGCAGATATGCGTCTAGAGGTCTAATGTACAACATAAGGACTATAGTTAGAATTATGCTAGACACTTTTAGGAGGATTTTAACTATTGTCGTCACACACAAAAAATTACTATGCGATGATAGCTATGTTAATCTGTTTCACTATGGTAGCCATTTTATTATCTATATGTATCTCAATATCACTTTGTAAACTTCAAATATATGCAGTAAAATTTATTTTTTAAAAAAATGGCTGGGCGCAGTGGCTCACACCTGTAATCCCAGCACTTTGGGAGGCTGAGGTGGACAGATCACCTGAGGTCAGGAGTTCGAGACCAGCCTGGCCAACATTGTGAAACCCCCTTGTGTCTCTACTAAAAATACAAAAAGTTAGCCAGACATGGTGGCGGGCAACTGTAATCCCAGCTACTTGGGAAGTTGAGGCAGGAGAATCACTTGAACCCAGGAGGCAGAGGTGAGCTGAGATCATTCCACTGCACTCCAGACTGGGCAACAGAGCAAGACTCCATCTCCAAAAAAAGGAAAAAAAAAAAACTATTTATTGAGCACGTACTTAATAGCTACCAGATCTGGGGTCACAGAGAACCAGACAGGTGCTTTACCATGGAGCAGTCACTATTCTAGGAGGTGGATGAATAGTCTGTAGATAAGTAATGGCAGTGCAGCAGTAGCAGGGGTGCATGCTCAGTACTTGAGGTTACAAAGCAGGAAATGACTAACTCAGTTTGGATGGCTCCCACAGACATTGGGGAGGAAGTGTTCCAGGTAGGGTATACAGGAATGAATAGGACTTTGCAGGTAAAAGAGAAGAGAAAGAACATGTAAGGATAGGTGGTTCCACAAAGGCATGGAGGTATCTTTGGAAAAGAATGACAGTGGTCTGGGGAACTCTATGAAGAGCCACATTCTAGAATAGAGGAGCCCTATACAGGAGTGGGCTCTTAGCTTTAGGTACCAGACTAAGGAGTTTGTGTTTTGCTTGTAGTGGATGAGAACCTGTTGGTATAGGAAGGCAACATAACTAGATGTGGAGGTGAAAGAAAAGACAAATGCCTGCAAGATGAGTGGCAGGACATGGTGGGCGCCTGAGAGCCTGTGGGTAGCAGTCTATTTAGGTCACAGTTGGGGGCAGCAAGTTCAGGCTCCATTAAATCTCATCTTTTTTTCCTTTTTTTTTTTTTTTCGAGACAGAGTCTCACTCTGTTGCCCAGGCTGGAGTGCAGCGGCGCGATCTTGGCTCACTGCAACCTCCGCCCCCTTGGTTCAAGCAATTCCCTTGCCTCAGCCTCCCTAGTAGCTGGGATTACAGGTGTGTGCCACCACGTCAGGCTAATTTTTGTATTTTTAGTAGAGACGGGGTTTCACCATGTTGGCCAGGCTGGTCTCAAACTCCTGACCTCAAGTGACCCACCCGCCTTGGCCTCCCAAAGTGCTGGGATTACAGGCATGAGCCACCATGCCTGGCCTCCATTAAATCTCATCTACACTTTAAGTGTATGGGATACCAAGATGTGAAAGACATGGACTGTACCTTGAAGAGGCTTGTAGTCTGTTACACAGGGAACTCAGCAGAGTCTGATTGTGGGCGGTTCCCTGACACATGAAGTAAAGAACTATGAGACCAGGACAGAATGGTGAAGCTCATGCTGCTTGCCTAGTTAAGAGTCAAGCCATCATTCCCCTCATATACTAAGTGACTTGTTTTTAATTCATAGTACTTTTTGTTTCACTTTATAATATTGTGGTCTTTCCCAGTTGCTGGTCTGGTGAAGTGGGCTCTGGGCACCTGGCTGTCTGGCTTACCCCTCTTCATACACTCCATGTCTAGCACATGTTTCAGGCACGTTTCAGGTGAGGTTTCTTGGAGGGGACATCTGAGCTGGACCTGGAAAGATTTTCCTTGGTGGTCTTAAGGGTTATTGCAGCTATAATACCTTAGCATGGCAGGGTGGGTTCAGGGAACTGGAAGCTTGGTAGGTATTTTGATGGTGGTAAAATGAATTGTGGTGGTGGTCGTGGTGGTGGTGTGTCATGAAAAATAGTTAGGGGCCAGATGGTGGGGACAACACTGAACACCATACTAAAGCAGTTTATTCCTTTAGATGTGGGCAGTAGGAGCCTTGGAAGGTCTTATAACTGAGAACTGTGTTTTAGGTAGCTGTGTAGAGGATGGATTAGAAAGAAAAATGATCAGAGGCATAGTTACAGTGGTAAGGCTAGTCAAACTACTCATTAGAGGATTAAGAAAGTGATTATGTGGCGTATCTTTATTGCCTCATAGAGAATGAGCCACTAAGAAAACTTCATTCATATTTCTTTTTCATCTAGAAATAGTTAGAACAGAAATAACTTCTATCTAACATAGCAGTGTTGTATTCACTATGCAGCCTTAAACATTTTTACTTGCTCATCTCTTTCTGACCCCTGTAACCCAAGGCAAATGTGTAGTTTGTAAGCGGTTCCTCTAAGATGCGGGAGAACACAGTGTTCTATGGAGTTGTCACATGATAATGTTATCAGCTGCCGTTGACTGATACAAACTCCTGAGAAGGTGGGACTTGAGTTATCGCCAGACACTCACTGGCAGGGATATGAGATAGAAGTTCTGAGTAACCAGGAGTTAACACAGCCTTTCTCTGTATGTTCTTTCTCTGAAAGCTGTTTTTTTTAATAAGCCCCTGGGTGAATGCAGACACATATTATCTCCAGGGATTGCTATTGTTTACCTCCTGAAGGCCGTCAGTCCTTTGGTGAACTTCTAGTTTGGGAACAAGTAGTACCAGCCCCTGACAACCCTGAATGGGCGGCCTGGCTGTTTCTGGTGATTTTCCACATTGGTGCTGATTTCTGGTCAATGATTTATATTGAGGATTAACTGAGAACTTCCTCGTTGGATATGCTGTGGGACTGGTTCAGAGGCTGTTTTTCATGAGCCTGTCCTTACACCTAATCTTAGCCTGTGCCCCTTCTCCCTCCCTGGCTCTCCATCCCTCTCACTCTGTCATTTACTCCATCAGTCTGTAGCCACTGAGGACCTGCTGTGTTCTCAGCACTGGATGCACAGTGATGAGCAAAACCCAGTTTATGCTCTGGGCTCCTGTGGACTTCTCTGTCTGGTAGTAGAGGGGTAGGCACATGTTCATCTTATAGTCTCATTCAGATAAATGGAACACAGTAGCTGTGCTGTGTGCTGTGACCGAGAGGCGTAGGTTCCTGTGAGAGCACATGTTAGGGTGATCTGACCAGTTCTCATGGGTTGGAGTTCTTCCAAACAAGACATAAGCACCTCCAAGGCAGAGATGGCGTGTTTTCTTTTTCTTTCTTTTTTTAGACAGGGTCTCACTCTGTTGTCCAGGCTGGAGTACAGTGGTGTGATCTTGGCTCACTGCATGCTTGAACTCCTGGGTTCAAGCAATCCTCCTGCTTCAGCCTCCTGAGTACCTGGGACCACAGGCAGGTGCTACCAAGCCTGGCTGATTTTTTTTTTTTTTTTTTTTTAAGAGATAGGGTCTCACTCTCAGCCAGGCTGGTCTCAAACTCCTGGGCTCAAGTTATCCTCCTGCCTCAGCCTCCCAAAGTGCTTGGATTACAGGCGTGAGCCACTGCACCCAGCTTGAGATGGCATCTTTTTACCCCCATAATTTTAGCATGTTTCTTGTGTTCCATCCACACACAGTCCATGTGTGACCAGTGGATGACTGGCCAGCTTCCGTAGGCCTCCTTTCTTTTCCACTATTGCTGGGACAAGTTGCTATGGCATCCGTGTAGAAGAAATGGTTAATTAGTAACTCCTCACAGGTTAGTTAATAAATGTTCTTTACTGCTTCCTCTGGCAGTGTCCACAGATACATACCTCCTAGATCTTCAGGAAGATGGATGGGGAGATAAAACACCCCCATTCTGTAGACCTCTCCCAAGACAGTGACATGTGGTTTCCTCAGTGTCCCCTTCATCTATACTTTTTGGTTGTTGGCTTGCTTGCTTTCTTTTTTTTTCTTTTTTCTTTCTTTCTTTTTTCTTTTTTGTTGAGACGGAGTCTCGCTCTGTCATCAGGCTAGAGTGCTGTGGCGTGATCTCAGCTCACTGCAACCTCTGACTCCCTGGTTCAAGCGACTCTCCTGCCTCAGCCCCCCGAGTAGCTGGGATTACAGGCATGTGCCACCACGCCCAGCTTATTTTTGTATTTTTAGTAGAGATGGGGTTTCACCATATTGGCCAGGATGGTCTTGATCTCCTGACTGCGTGATCCACCTGCCTTGGCCTCCCAAAGTGCTGGGATTACAGGCATGAGCCATTGCGCCTGACCAGGTTGTTGGCTTTCATATCCTAAAATATTTTTTTCCTTTTGATGAACCCCAGCTGATGAAAACAGACTTCATGGGCTAAGCACAGTAGTTCACGCCTGTAATCCCAGCACTTTGGGAGGCCAAGGCAGGAGGATCACTTGAGGCTAGGAGTTCGAGACTAGCCTGGGCAGCATAGTGAGACCTCTGTCTCTACAAAAAAAAAATTTAAGAATTAGCCAGGTGTGGTGTACCTGCCTGTGGTCCCAGCTACTTGGGAGGCTGAGGTGGGAGGATCACTTGAGCCCGGGAGATCAAGGCTACAGTGAGCCATGATCATGCCACTGCACTCCAGCCTGGGCAACAGAGCTAGACCTTGTCTTAAAAAAAAAAAAAAAGGAGTGGTGGGGGCATATGACTAGAAGGCAGTTTAGCACTGTCTTGTAGAATCTTGCCTGAGAAATTTCTTTGTAAACCACTCTCCCCATGCTTTGTGCTGATGCCGGCATGGGGTCTCCTGTGGAAGACATCTTTCTTTGCTTCTTTCCACTGGGTTATCTTCTTCCTTTTTTTTTTTTTTTAACTTTATGTTCATGATCTGGTGCCAAATTGGGACTACAGGGATGTAGGAGCCTCTTTTCTGACCTGAAGAATGACTCGGTCCATAAATGTTGAGCCACCTGAGAAAGGGAGGCGGAGAAGAGATCCATGTCATTGGTTCTTGTTGCCAAGGACTTTATGACTTGGTTGCAATCATGACATGTGCTGAAATGATATCACATAAGGCAGAAAAAAATACAAGTTACCAGCAAAGAAGCCCAGGTCAAAGGCTGTGAATGTTTAGGGAAAGGGGAGGCCTCCACCAGCTGGTAGGTTCATGAAGGATGAGGCCTTGGGAAGGTAGGCAGATTCCAGACATGCAGAAATGGGCAAGGACAGTACAGGCCATGACAGCAGTTGTGCACCCAGGTACAAAGTTCAAGGTGTTCACAGGAAACATTCGATAATCTAGTAGTACTACTGGGCTGAGCGGGGTGGGGGGATATGTAGAAGACCCTTGTTTGATGTAGCTTTGGTCTAGCAGTCAAGGGAAATGAGTTTTCTTTCTGATTTTCCTTGTTTTAATATGGAAGAACGGGGTGGAGAATCCTCACACATCCTTCCCAGTGAAGGGAAAGGGCCAGCAGATGTTTCCTTAGAGAAGCCAAGCTAGAGCTTCCTAGGCCCAGGGCAGTCCAGTCCTTCATGGGTGTGAGTTTGCCTTAGGACTGGCCACGGCCAGGGAAGAGAAGCATTGCATTTGTTGCTTCTTTCTTGGTGGCTCCCTGACTCCATTCAATTACAAAGTGGCTCTTACACTGTTAAAGCTTGAGTGTCTCTGGGCTACAATTTCTAGCCACAGACCTTCATTTGCTGTGCCTCAAACATGACCTTGAGGCCACATCACATTATATATACAGCCCACAACAACGTTAACCAGTCTTCTATCTGGTAAGGCAAGCGCAGTGCAAACTCCATGCCTTTCTTCTGGGATCTCTCTCTGTATTGCCCCTTTAGCAGGAAATTCCATGGCAATCCAAGATGCAAGAGAAGCCAATGATGGGCTCATTTCGAACTGTGTTATATTATTTAGGAAAAAGAAAATAAAATGAAATAAAAACTAGATTACAGTGCCTGGTGAGGATCACAGTGTAAAAGTGACAGGTCAGGTTGTGTTTGTCCTTGCTGCTTATGTGCAGCCGGTGGGAAAGACAAGGGCAGCTACAACTACAGCATCTGAGGCTTAAAGAGGTGACATGTTGTGCATTTCTAAAATAATTTTTATGTTGTAGAGAAGCTTTATATCTCTCTCTGACTCACTGGACAGGCGTGGTGTAAGGCAGAAAGGAAGACGGTCCCCAGGTGACTGCAGGATTGTTTTAGGAAAATAATAAGTAACTTAAAGTTAGCTTTATTGAAAGTCATTTTTGTAGCATCAGGTTTACTGAATCAAGCATCTCTCTCTCTCTGTCTCTGTGTGTGTGTGTGTGTGTGTGTGTGTGTGTGTGTTAGAAGATCATGGCTGCAACAGGACTATGCTGCATAGCTTGGAGACCCACTTTCAGTTACATCAGTGATGGTGCTGCTTATCTTCTGGCCCTTAGGAAATGCTGCGTCTTAGTAACATGATCAAAATCCAGGGCTGTGGAATCTGTGAGCTCACCCCTTTGGAGGGCAGGGCTGTAGAAATATACATAGGGGCCAGTGCGGTGGCTCATGCCTGTAATTTCAGCATTTTAGGAGGCCGAGGTGGGCGGATTGCTTGAGCGCAGGAGTTTGAGACCAGCCTGGGCAACATGATGAAATCCTGTCTTTACAAAAAAATACAAAAGTTGGTCTGGTATGGTGGAGCAGGCCTGTAGTCCCATGAGCTACCACAGTCCCGTGCTACTTGGAGAGCTAAGGCAGAAGGATCACTTGAACCTGAGAGGTTGAGGCTGCAGTGAGCCGAGATCGTGCCACTGCACTCCAGCCAGGGTGATAAATGTGAGACCCTGTCTAAAAGAAATAAAGGAAATAGAGATAGGACTTAGGATGTCGTATCAGGGCCGCTGACAAGACTCTCCTCAGAACCTAGTTGATACACCATGCATATACAATCCCAAACAGCCAAAAAGATCTTCCAAAATTGTTTGGAATGGCATACTTCTGTAAATGGGTAAGTATAATTAAATTCTGGAAAGATTTAGAATTAAACATATAAAATTTTAGTAGAATTAGAGCCATAGTGTTAATGTTTTTGATTTAAAGGATTTATGTATATTTGATATTTCAAGTAATTAAAAGAAATAATTTGGCCTAGGTAACAGATCAGCCTGTATTTCCAAATTAAAATGTACAATGAAGTAGCTCATTTAGACATTTGATTTGGGGGAAGGTTGAAATTGTACTAGTTTTATAAGCAACATTTTAGTGCATTTAAGATAATTTATTAGGTTTCTAAGACTTGTTTAAGGGAAGATTTTATAATTTAAAAAGCAGGTAGTTCTAATATTTAAAAGAAATAATTACTTATTCATGGCTTGAAACATAGATGAAAGAAAGAACATGGGTTTTTGAAAAGTGAGCTTGCTCATCTGAAAAGCAAGGACATGAGAGTGAAGATGAGCTTTCAATGAAATAATGACTACAGCGTAATGCCCAGGCCACAGTACTCAGTAAGGACCTGTTGAAGTCATAATTTTTAGAAGTCACTGAACAACAGGATACGTTCTGAGAAATACGTCATCAGGTGATTTTAGTCATTGTTAGAAAATCGTCAAGTGTACTTACACAAACCTAGATGGAATAGCCAACTACACACCTAGGCTGCAAACCTGTCTGGTGTTAACTGTACTGAATACTGTAGGCCATTGTAACACAATGGTAAGACTTGGGTATCTAAACATAATCTAAACATAGAAAAGACAGTAAAAACATGCCATTATAATTTTATGGGACCACCATCATGTATGCAGCTCATTGTTGACCAAAATGTCATCATGTGGTGCATGATTGTACTTCAGTCAAAGTGTGAGTTGACACTGTTTAACTCCAAGGGGTGCCATTTGTATAGGCTGTGGTACACAGTCAAATAGGGCTGTCTTGGATATTGATTTTATTCATTCAACTCCAAGTGCTGCAAGAAATTAAAAGTTAGTCAGGTTATGTGTCACATCTATCAAGGTATTCTGTCTGTTTTCCCAGAAAATAAACAAGTTTGAGGGTAGGAGACATTTTTGTCATCTGGACAAGGTTCGGACAAAATTGTATGTAATACAGAGCCCTGGATCTATTTCGCCTTGGCCGCTCAAATAGCCCTGAACAGGATGCACAGTGAGGCCCCAGGTTGGAGGATGCTTGGCTTGTCTGCAGACATTGTCATTTAGCTCTGGCTTCTCGTAATTAGGTACTCCTAGCTGGGCTCTGTTGTCAGCGAGCCTTCAAGACAAATTGCAAAATCTGTACAACCATCTGAGAGATGGAGAAGTAGATCCAATGATACTACAGGGGATATTGGTAGTTCTCAAAAGTTTGAAAGAGAATGCTTAGAAAAGCAATCCTCAAAACTGAATTTAGAGGTTCTTGTCCTGTGGTAAAAGGGTTCACAGGATCTGAGAAGATCTTGCAGGCAGGAATGATAGACTGAATCTAAGGGGATGAAATGGAGTAGAAAAAATGTAAGGTTCTGTTTTGAGGTCTGAAAATCTCAGCTATGCATTAAAAAGACTGGAAACAGGGGTAGGGACATATCAGAAGACGAGCCCGTATGAAAAAGACCTAGGAGTTTAAGTTGGCATATATTGATAATTTATTGTGCTCCTTAAAAATTTAATGCAGTGTTTGGCTGCATTAACAGAGGTAGAGTATTTAGGATGAGAGAGGTAATAAACTGACTCTGATGCTATAGCAGGAGCACTGCCACAGTTCTGGACTCCAAGCTTTGAAAGGAAGACAGACAAAGGATGGTCACAGGATGGTGTGTGGGAGTGTTCCAAAGCTTGTCAGATAACAAAGTAACACAGGAGGTTTAGCTTGTGTACAACTCCAAGAGGACCCCAGAGCTGCTGTTAATATCTGAAAGGCAGTTAAATAAATAAGGGACTGGACTTCTTGTTAAGAGGAACAGGAAGGATCTGGGGATGAAAGTTAAAGCAGACCCCCAAAAGGAGGGTCTTCTTATTCTTAAATATGTTCTAAGATAGAATGGGCTACTTCCTCAATTTTAGAAGTGCTGACTAAGGCTTATGAGGACTTTCAGGAATGCGAATGGATGACCTAGGGGTACTTTCTAGCCCCCAGATTTCATGATTCCTTTGCCTTCCAGTGATGACCATGTCCTGCACAGTCCCAGCACTGGCAGGTGGTGGACAGAGCCATGACTCTAGGACATTCTAGGCAGTGATGAGAGAGTCTTCGCAATTCTCAGACAAGATTTCCCTAAGGACATTTTGATGTTCGTCTTCATCAGTGTTTCCAGTTCTTTACTCTGCTAGGGAAGATCTGGGGGATATGGTCACTTCCTTTCAGCAGAGGCTGTGTTATTTCCTCATTCATTCTTTTCTCTGTGCCCAGCAGTGTGCTAGGTGCTAGGGGGACATTGAGGAAGAAGACAGAGTTCTTCCCCTCTTCAAGTATGCAGTATATCTGGGAGGAAGTAAGACAACAAACACAAATTTTACAACTAACTATAAAGTTATAAATACAGTTACAGTTTGGGTACATCCTAGGAAGAAGTACAGTTTTTGCCACCATGGGGGTGTAGAACAAGGCAACCAAACCTAGTTGGGCAATTAGAGAAGACTTCCCCAAGGGAGTGACATCCAAGTGAGGCCTTGAAGGAGAAATAGAATCTAGCACAATGGTCTCAGGCTGGTGAAGCACATGAGTGAATGCCACAGCAGCAAGCTTCAGACTTGTTCTTGACCAAAGGAATTTTTCACAAGGATAGAGCTGAGCTGATACAAAGCCAGCCAACAGTAGTGCTATGAAATGGTGGTTTTCCATTTACTGTAGAAAGTATGTAGAAATAATTTCAGTTCCTGGTATTAGAGCAAGTTGAAGTCGTAAATAGGACCTGCTTAGAAGAACCCATGTCTTGTATGAGTGGTTTTTATTTCACGTGGTATTTTGGTAATACATTCTCTGCTTAGCTTCTGGGGATATTTTTTCCTATCATGGTTTTCTGAAGTCAGGTTGTCTGAGACTTCTCAGTTTCCTGGTGGGATAGGGCTAGAAGGTTTTTGTTTATACTTTTGGGCATTGTTCTTTCCCCAGAAGGTTATATAACTTGGAGGAGATTGAGTCATTTTTTTCACTGACTACCTTTAGGGGGTGTCTGCCTTCGTACTGTTAGCTTCTTGTCATTGTCCGGCTTCCGTGGCCACAGCAGCTCGTTCGTTCTCTTGTGGCTGTGATTTTAGCTGGAGTAAACTATGAGTAGAAACTTGAATAAGAAGGAAAGTGAATATGAATGTGAATATGAAAAACCAAAGACTAGAAGAGAACTGGGTTTGTTTAGTCCCAGACTAATCCTTGTCTGTATTTGTTGCTTATATGAGTGACCCACCACCCACAGCATACAAACAGACAAAAAGGCACATCTTAAAAAGATAAATTTCAGCTGGGTGCGGTGGCTCATGCCTGTAATCCCAGCACTTAAGGAGGCCAAGGCGGGTGGATCACCTGAGGTCGGGGGTTCGAGACCAGCCTGACCAACATGGAGAAACCCTGTCTCTACTAAAAATACAAAATTAGCTGGGCGTGATGGCGCACGCCTGTAATCCCAGCTACTTGGGATGCTGAGGCAGGAGAATCACTTGAACCTGGGAGGCAGAGGTTGCCATGAGCCAAGATCGTGCCATTGCACTCCAGCCTGGGCAACAAGAGTGAAACTCTGTCTTTTTTTTTTTTTTTTTTTTTTAAAAAAAAGGATAAATTTCTATTCTTAGATGCTGGTCTAAGTTCAAATTTAAATGCCTTTCATCTTAATTTTTCCTAGTAAACATTTTTGCAGACAATTGTGCTGTTTTATTTTTCTAGTATTAGTAAACACATAGTTGTAATTTTAAAATTCTTGATTCTGAATTTTGTTTTTTGCTTTCAAGGGCTTTGTTGGTTTGGTGTTTTGGTAACCCACCTCATGGTAAATTCTTCTTTCTTTCAGGTAGGAATGAATTGATAGCCAGATACATCAAACTCAGGACAGGCAAGACGAGGACCAGAAAACAGGTAAAATAACCCACCTGGAAATTGTGCATGTCAGCGAATGGCCCAAAAAGGCATTTTGGCTGCAGTGGCTGGCTATGCTTTGGCTCCTAGGAGCCCCCAATTTGAGTTCCCTGTAAGGACGTCAGTGTTGGAGGTATTTTAAATTGGCTCAGTTTTCACTGTTCATCATTTCAGTGACCCTTTATTATGTGGTCTTACAAGTTCCTTTTATACTCACATGGGAAAATGTCACTGCTAAGGACGGTGTATGAACCGCTCCTGTACTGTATTTCAAAGCTGACATTTCTTTCCCAAAATGTGCACCTGTGAACACTGCAAAAACTGCAAGTGCAAATGCACTTGCAGGTCATGAAATTTTGAGGTTTTGTGCATTGTAAAATCCTGGAGCGATTATATATTAGTCATAATTTCAATGAAAAAGTAACGCCAGCAGCCTTGAGTATTGGCCTGAATGTAATGCTAAATGATGTGCGTCCAGGGAACTGTTGCTTTTTAAGCGATGGCTTTTTGTCAGTAGCTGCTGTGACTGAAATGAAGTTACAACTTCAATACCTCTGTGCAGAGCAGTATCAGGAATTCTCTGCCCTTTGGCAGAGCTCTGCCTTTCCTCGTTCTTTCAGATGTAAAACAGCCCAAATCTCTGACATGAGCCAGTTTAGAACTGGAACGAATGAGAAATTAGTGTTTAACTAAAAACAAAAAAAAGAAAGGAGGAAAAAAAAAACCCTAAAAACCTCATGGGTGAGTTGTTCACAGAAAAGAATTATTTTTTAATGTCGATTTATGCTGAATGATACAGCATGAACCTTAAAAACTGTAATCAGACCAAAAGGCTAACTAAACCGTGGTCTCATTAAGATTGAGCAGCAGATTTCAGTTCTCTTCCCAGTGAGGAATTGTTTTCATGAGTGTTTATAACGGGGAGAGGCTTTTCCCAGGAATGCTACTTGTGCCACAGCCTGGGAGCCTGGCTGCTGAGTCAGCACAAAGAGAGGTGGCCTCCTGCCAGCACGCAGAGGCAGCGCATTGTCTGTTTGGGGGATGCTAGTGGCCCTCGTCAAGTCAGAGAATCACAGAAGAACAAAATTCGGGTGAAAACAAGTAACAGCAGGAGCCAGATGGAGGGCTGAAGAGGATGGGGGAGTTTCTGCTTCTCTGTACTTAAGAAAAGTACCAAAGCAAATTGGAAAAAAAAATAATTGAATAATTGAAGCTCAAAGACAAAGTTAAAGATAAAAGGACCGTTTATTATAAATCCTGTTTTAGAGCCGCTGGAGAGTTGGAAATGGGGTAATCACCACACAGTCTGAGTCGCTGAACTTTTAAATGGAAAGTTCTACATTTCGGAAACCAGTGGATCTAATCATCTACATTCTGACAGTGCGGGACCTGGGCTGTCTGCTGGTCTGTGAGCTCTGGTCATTTGCCCGGTGACCCCTTCACTGAGGGACTCTTCTAAATTTAACCAAGTCCCACTGAAAGAGATGCAGATTTCAGTGGAATCATTGTGTTTCAGAAGCTGGGCTCGGCTACATTTCCACGCCCCGGCATCCTGGGGATGTTTTTAGGCAGCAGTTGGTGATACCTCTCCAATGTGAATTTGTTGTTCAGCAAATCCATGTGGTTTTCAACCCAGATTTTTAACAGGATGGCTGGCTGGCTGTATTCACACATTTCGCTTTGTAATAATATGCAAATCCACTTGGCGCCCAGTCAATACCCAAAAGAGTGGAAGGATTAAAGATTTTTATAAGGGCAAAAAAAAAAAAAAATAGCTCTGCTAACTGGGTCTTTCCATTTCTCTTTGAGATCTAATTTACATGTCAGTATTATTTTAACGTTTGCTACAGAATCCAGAGCTCTTAATGAGATCAGAATACAACCAACAGCTTCAGCTTTTTGATTCTGCAGAATGTGCTAATTTATGGATAGTCTCTTCTAAATTGAGAAAAAGGGATTTTCCCTCCTGATACTGAGAAGCTATAAATATTTTCATTTACCTTTACTCCCACCTTTTTAATTTTAGAATGAAAACAGCCCCTCTCATCCCTCCCAAAATTAGTTTTTCCCAGTGCCCATGATTTCTCTTGGGTGGGAAGACTAAGATGAGTCTTAACTTTCATCCTGAATCAAGTCACTGCAGTGATGACCCAGTATGAAAAGCTTAGAGCAGCGCTGGGGGCTTGTGTCTGGCTGGGACTGTGTATTCCTAACTGCAGAGCTTTGTTGAGATGCAAATAACCACCCCCCAACCCCACCCCAAAACCCTCCCAAAGAGTAGCGATTTTATATTTGATTTCCTTTTTTGTTTTGTTTTGTTTTGTTTTGTTTTGTTTTGTTTTGTTTCCCCTCATAAACCCGAACAATGTAGGTGTCTAGTCATATACAGGTCTTAGCAAGAAAGAAAGTTCGAGAAATTCAAGCCGCCATTAAGGTACGTCTGGCTTGCCCACTTGTAGGGGGCTTTTCATCTCCATGGTTACAGGCTTTTCCTTTGTTTTCCTCCCTTCCCCTACCCTGCAGGTGTCTAGTCACATTCAGGTTCTTGCCAGAAGGAAATCTCGTGATTTTCATTCCAAGCTAAAGGTATGCGCTTTTCTGCTTTTTGGCTTGTGGTTGCTATGCATCTCACTTCCTGTTTTCCATGGTGACTGGTGAATGCCTGGTGCTGGGATTCTCGTAACCTAGTTTCCTTGCATGTGAGAGCTGTTTACATTTCTTTGTGTTTAATCTCTCTGTTTCTGTACTAGCCTCACATTAAACTCAATGTGTGTGAGCGCGTGTGTGTGTTTGCGTGTGTGTGTGCGTGTGTATGTGTGTGTTCCTAATAACAATGCAAATGCAGCAGAGAGCTGGTCTTGATAACTTTTCAGCACAGAAACATGATTTTTTTTTTTTAACCTTCAGATGTCCACCAAGCAGCCATGGGCTAGGAAAGCTTAAAAAAAGAAAAGTCCAGAGATGCAAAATTGAGTAGAAATTATTTAGAAAGAATCATTTCCAAAGTGGTCATGAAATTACCTTTTTAAAAAATTTAGAAATTATTTTAACTCATGCTTTTGATGTATTTTTAAGAAGACTTATAAAAAATACGTCTTTTTCATGCATGTCTCTTCCCTCAGAGTATTTTCAGCCAGATTTCTTCCACATTGCTTACTACTGTTTTTTAAGTGAATGGCGCTCTTATTAAAAGAGAAATCTGAGCAGTGGCCTTTAAAAAAAAAAGATAGATCTTAGAGATGGGAAAACTCTTGATCAAACCCATTTGCAGTTTCATTTGTACTTGAGTTTGCTTAAATTTTTTTTTACTTGTACCTCATTTTTCAGTCTCAAAATATATTTTATAGGAAAAATGGGGGCATTGATAATTTTTCATATACAACTTCTTTCTGCTTTTTCCCTTTATAAAATTTATAATAAAACATACCTGACTTTTATTTTTCTGTAATGCCCTATTTTAGAAATGCAAAGAGATTATAGTTTGCAAGGAGGAGCTTTCGTTTATAATAAAAATTGATTTTGGCACATATTGATGGCTTTCCCATGTGCCTTTTTCGGTTCTGTTCTGATATTTTTCTATACAGTAATTAAATTTGTGGTTTTGTTCTGAACTAAAAAACAGTGTAGTCTCACAACACTTGAGTGGTGAGCACTGGGACTCTTCCCAAAGTCCTTCGACTTTTTTTTATGCAAACAAGGCTGGCTGTGGAATAGGACAAGTGATTAGGAAGGAGCATTTGGTGTGCCCTCTGCAGTGGGCAGCATGCTGGCTCGCTCGCACGTGTGGCTGATGGTGGCTGGCTTTTAGCTGCACTGGCTGAGCAGTTGGAAGACTAAGATAACTTTGTAGATCCTGCTTTTTAACCAAAGGTGCAATACTCTCTATATGGATGTAACTACCCCAGTTTTTGCTCAAGTTCTGACTCTGTTTCTAGTTTCTCTGAGCTAATGAATTAATGATGTACAAAGAAGTTTACAGATAACAATGTTGTTTCCATCTGTGATGATATGAATTGCTCTATTTCTGCACTGTCTGTGTGGTTCCTGTGGACTCACCAGGGCACACAGCCTTAGACTGAAAGCCCTATAAGTGAGGAATAAAGCTCTTCTGTTCAGAAGGGATTCCCATGTGATATAGGAAGCACTCTTTTTCTCACTTGGTGAATTTTAGAGTTTTCTTCCATAGAAACAATTTTTCTGTTGCTTTATACATGTACATATGTAAAAATACACAGCGGTATTTATGTTTGTTTCTAAAAAAAAATTAACAATAATAAAAAAGAAACATTCCCCTGACTTTCAGCCCTGGGCCACTCTCTTTTGGGGCAGGCACAAGGAAGAGACAGAAACAGAAGCAGTAGGATAGCAACTGGCTCAGCATTTAAGCTCCAAGAACCACCTCCGTCTTCTTGTAGTTTCTTCCGTTCTTTCCTACCATATTGTTCTTGGAAAAATGGAGTCCTTTGTTTTTCCATCTGCTAATACCAACTGAGTGTTCCAGGCATGGTGCTTGCTCACTGTGATGGGCAGTTAACAGCCAATATCCTGTTCAGGGAGCTGGCCATGTAAATGGGAATGTAAACTAGAGGAGCACTTTGGGTAATAGCGGGAGCAGCCAAAATGAAATGTGGGGTGCATCCCGGGGATGAGCTTCGTGGAGAGTATACTGTTAAGTTTGGCAATTGAAAGAGGAAAGGCAGCCTAATGCGTGCTCCCTCATTTAAGCTCACTATGAAGTGACTTACAGTATTCTGCTTTTGGGGCATGATACTGAGGAAACTGGGGCTGAGAGAGTATAATTGACTAGTCACAAAGCCTTCCTAGTAAGTGGTGAAGCCAGGATTTGAACTCAGATCTTTTTGCACCCTAAACGAATCATTGTTTTAGATAAAATTTTATCTAGTGAAGGTGGGAGAATGTTTTCAAGCAGAGGGCTTCACACCAGCACACTGTACCTAAACTGTCACCCCTCACAGTCTTTGGGGCTGGGCATTCAGCCTTTGCTACCAGCCCTTCACTTGGCATCCACATTTTAACTTTGAGCCCTTGGTCAAAACGTGGACTTAATTTGGGTTGGTGCTGTGAGGGTCATCAGTAACTGGGGGAATGACATGGTCCTGGAGACAGAGCTGCTTGGCACCACTCTGAGGGCATTAGGACAGTCGCAGAGAGTGAGGCTGTCTGTCACCTGCTTGCAGGAGTTGGTGCTGCTTTCTTTCACTCCCTCCATGAGCATTTTATCTCAAAGGCAGTATACTTAACCTTCCTAACCAGCCATTACCAGGATATGGGCTCAACTCTGTTGATGTCCCAGCTCCATCCATACCCCCTTGTTCAGCTCTGGAATCTAATAGCACATTTGTGAGGAGGCAGGGACAAGCATCTTTACCGAGGTCATCATGGGGTCAGGCTGATAGCCATGGTCTTCTTGGCCTCCCACACTAGCTAGTGAGATAAACTCGCTACAGATAATTGAGGTCATCCCAAAAGACAACAAGGATAGCTTCTGGGTGGGTGGGGAGCAGAGGGGAGTGGCAGGAAGTATCCAAGCTTAAAAGAGACACTGTGCTTTGCCTGGGAAGATGTAGGAAGGCCTCCTGGAGCAGGTGGCTGGTGGCTGACCATCCCAGTAACTATCCTTGCAGACACTGCCCTAGCCAGGTTGGTTACCACTTCTCCACAAACTCAGACGTCGAAGGGGTAGACAAAGGTCTATGGTCCTCATGTGAAGACCGAAACCAGACTTGCATTTGTCTGTCCCTCTGTGGAGTTGGAAAAGTGGCTTACCCGCAATGGAGGCCACTGCCAGATGTGTCTTCCTGGTGAGTCTTCTTGCTTATAAGCTTCTCTTTACTTTCCAGGGAAGGGTGTGGCAGAGTTCTTTGGGCTGGTGTTTTCCAGCCTTTTTAAAGTAGCAAAACTCATGTTTTGAATTGAAGCTTACTCCCTCAAATCCTTAGTAATGGCCTCTTAGGCTATTCCATTGAATCAGGTTTGAAAAGCCCCCTGTTTTAGGCAGAAGGAAAAGGAGGTGTCTACCTCTTATGCTGTCCCTTCCAGCCTTTACAGAGAGCTCCTGTGTCCCATTTAAAGCCCATGTTTTTAAATTCTGTAGTTTTGAAGTTCTGCCATGTTCCTAGGAAGAAAACAGACTCCAGGAGAGAGTGGTCATTTGATGTCACATTGATAGATGAGTCATCCTAGCTACAAAAGTTACTCTCCTGAAAATCCGTTAGAATAAATTCTAAAGGTCAGCTTTATGCTTCTACTAATTGGCAGTTGTTCTCAATGTGCTTGTTTGTGGACTAGATCACCCCCAAATTGTGTAGACTTAAATTTTAGTAAAGAAAAAAATTGTTCTAGTGAAAGTCTAAGATTTCTACGTAGATTTGAACTTGAAAAGCATAGGAATGATTACTGAATTCAGTCCAGTGGTTTTCATTGAGAACCTAAGTGTGTTCTAGGTCCTTTTGTAGACGTTGGGCACATAGAATTGAATCCAGAGTTTCTGTTCTTGAGGAACATTGAACTTTTCTGTTATTTTTCCAGTAGATATCCACAGCTAGGGGGCTCTGCAGTAGAAATTAAACAGGATAGTGCAGAGGCTGCCCAAGTGAAAAGAATGATTCATTCTGGGAGTGAGGGAATTAAAGCTTCATGGAGAAGTGTCATTAGAACTAAACATAGTTGAAGGCAGAGAATTTCCATAAAGTTGGGACTATCTGGGGGACCATGAAGAGCATCATGTAATTGGGGACATGCGGTGGGAGGTAAGACTGGAGGAGCCTAAGGGAAGGGCCCTCGATTATCCCACTGAGGAGAAGGGATTCATCTGTGGGCCTAGGGGCATACATGGGGTTCATTCAAATTTACCCTCTGGAAAGACCTCGCCAGCCAGGTTTTGCAGGATAGCTAATAAGAGGGAGGCCAAGCTGGAGTCAGGGAGGCTAATTCCTGGGCTGCTTTAAGAGTGGGGAAGAGAGTCACAGGCTGGGACCAGGGGCCAACCCACACCCCCTGGGGCTGCTCCGTGGCACTTAGCACTCATCCTTGGCTGGCTCCCTGCTTTGGTGCTCTCTGCCTGCTCTGTAGTCTTTCCTACTCATTGTGTTTAAAGAATAAATTATAAGTTCTGTCCTTATGAAGTCTGAAAAGTGTTGTGTGCCAGAACTTTTCAGAAAGATTTTCAATAGCAGCATTTAAAAATCAACTTATTAAAATTGGGTTCTCTTAAAGTAATGGTAATTGACTAGGAGTGTGCATCAAAATTATGAAGTTTTTGTTGCAAAATTTAAACAGTACAGAAAATATATTAAACACTCATGTTTATACTATCTGGAATTGATCATTTTCATTATATAAGTTTTTTTTAATGAAAAATCAAGTGGCAAACATTATTCTGTACTTTTTCCTCTACCCACCCTCCGTCTTCAACCAAAATTAATCTTCCTTTCTTTCCTACCACCCACAATGTATTTTCTTGCCACTTACTTCCCTTAGAAAATCAAATCCAGTGAAAGCTCTCTCTTCTCATTTTGCTCCTAGATTTTTGCCCATTGTCTTTTTCTTTTTCTTTTTTTTTTGAGACAGAGTCTTGCTTTGTCGCCCGGGCGGGAGTGCAGTGGCGCCATCTCGGCTCATTGCAACCTCCGCCTCCCGGGTTCAAGCGATTCTCCTGCCTCAGCCTCCCAAGTAGCTGGGATTACAGGCGCTCATCACGACACTCAGCTAATTTTTGTATTTTTAATAGAGACGGGGTTTCACCATGTTGGCCAGGCTGGTCTCGAACTCCTGACCTCAAGTGATGCGCCTGCCTCAGCCTCCCAAAGTGCTGGGATTACAGACATGAGCCACTGCGCCCAGCCGATTTTTGCCCAATTATCTACCATGAATTTGTGCAATAGCCATTGGCACCAACATGAGACTTTTCCTCTGGAATTTTTAGCAGCTTAAGATAGACTCGGCCAACAATTTGGTGACCTTGGATACAGACCCTGACTGCAGAGGAGAGATACGAGGTTCAGGACATATAGGGGATGGTTGAACTAGAAAGGGAATAATGCGAGGAGACAGTGAACCAGGAGCAGAGAAGCTGGGAGAGTAGAGACAAAGCGTCAGTAGACTGAAGCTGAGATTCAAGAGCTCGGTAAGATGGAAAAAAGAAAAAAAAAAAGGCATTTGTGGCCAGAGCACAGTGATTTTGGAAATTAAATTTATACATTCAGAGTTGTGGGGATTTTCTCCCCCGCCCCCCCCGGGGTTGGGGCATTTTCAAAATATCTAGGACAAGGCTGGGCACGGTGGCTCACGCCTGTAATCCTAGCACTTCGGGAGGCCGAGATGGGCAGATTGCCTGAGCTCAGGAGTTAGAGACCAGCCTGGGCAACACGGTGAAACCCCGTCTCTACTAAAATACAAAAAATTAGCCAGGTATGGCAGTGTGCACCGGCAGTTATAGCTACTTGGGAGGCTGGGGCAGGAGGGTTGCTTGAACTTGGGAGGTGGAGGTTGCAGTGAGCCGAGATTGTACTGCTGTACCCCAGCCTGGGCAACAGAGCGAGACTCTGTCTCCAAAAAAAAGAAAAAGAAAAAATGTCTAGGACAGAAGCTAGAGTACAAACTGCAGGCCTAGAAGAGAGCTTAGCTTTGAAGGAGTTGTTTCTTAGTGATGGGAGTGCTATGTGTTTGTCTCCTACTCAGACAAAACCCTTTTGACCCACTGCTCTCAAGGGGGTAGGTTTTATAGATGACCCACAGCCTGTAGCTGGGCCTGAGTCTACTTCTAAAGTAGAAGATGAATCCATGCAGTTGCAGTGTGAAAGAGGCTTCTAGGCCTATGGAATATCCATTTAAAAATCCTGAGGATGCTGAGTTAGAGGTCTCCCTTGGACCTTGTGTCACCAGCTGCAGCGACAGCAGTGTCACCAACACCAGCTTTACCTGTTGTCTTCCATCTCACCCTTTCCCTTAGTTTAGCCCCTATTGGCGTCTCCAGTGGAGTAGTGAGAAGCAGCAGCATGTCTGAGGATTAGCTCACAGCCTTAGAAATTATTCTCTACTTCGAATTGTTTCACTTACCATTAATTCATGAAAAAGTCATTAACTGTTTTTTTAAGCTCCAGGGATTTATTATCCCAGCATGTAGAAAGAATGCAGAAGCATTCTCCATGTGTTAAGCAGTCTTTTTCCTACTCAGAGTTTCTTTGTAGAGTTCCATGCAGGAGTCTCTTTGCCTGTATGTTCAGTTGCCCTAAGAAGTTGTTCAGACCCTGCTCAGAGTCCTTCTTTCCCCATTAGCAGCAAAAAGGCAGTCCTTTCTTGCTGTTTTCAGAAGCTCACGGTAGCCACAGCCAAGGTCTGGGAAGCACCACCACACTGTGGGCCATCTCCATCTTCCCATGAAGATGGGCCAAGCCACCTCTGGTTCACTTCTCGAGTGTGTTTAGGTGAGTGTATGACTCGGGACAAAACTAAGAGGAAAGGAAGTCTTCGCCGTGCCCTCCGCTCGGCAGGAATACATCTTAGGCAGTAGATGTATTCACGTCAGGCTCTGGATGTGTATTGAAGAAAAACCTGTACTTGCTGACATTGCATCATCCCAGTAGAGCAGAAAGAGACCTGAGCCCCTCTGATTATGTCCAGTCGCCGGTGACTAATTTATGAGCTACATGTGCTCCCCCGGGGCCATTTTCTTGTTCTCGCCCTGGTGGCCTTTATGATTTGATTTCTGAACAGGCCATTCTTTCCAAACTGCTGTTCCTTCCAATAGGCAGAGAGCTTAAAGTTCAAATTGTTGATTTAATTCTTTTGAGTTCAAGAACTTCACTGGGGCATTGCTAAAGTCCACACTGCTGAATCATGTTTGTATCATCACTGATTCCATCCAGGAATGGGCCTGTCCACAGGGAAGGTAGACGTACTTCACTTCACTCTGTGTTGCTCCGTGAAGCCCCCTGAGCCACTCTGCTCCTTCAGGACTTGGCTGTTAGCAGTGCAGGAGGCAAGGAAAGCCTGAGCAACAACCTCCTTTGTCTGTGTCCACACCAAGACACTTGGCCTTGTCACGGGATTTGGGAAATGATATAATCTTTCCTGGCATTTCCCAATCTTCAGGGGGAGTTCTTTTGCATTTATGACATATACGCTTTCTCCTCAAAGATATTTTTATTACCTTGTTTTTAATTTAACTGAACGAAAACTAAGATTGGAGACAATTTCTCAGGCTTCAGTTGGAACCACTTGCCAACAGTGTGGTGATGGAGAAATTAATGATGGGAGCCAGGGCACTGAATATGTAGATAAAGATAATTCTGTGTGAACTGAGCCAGGTCTGGATTTTCTTTATAAGGGCAACAGAAACAGTCTCATCATTCTACATTTTTATCTCTTCATAGCGAAATCCCATTGTTAATTGGCCTCCAACTTAGATAATGCCCTAGAATGACATCTATCCAAAAGGTTATCTAGTGAGGACAAGGGCTCCTGAGTATTTCAGGTCCCGAGCAGAATCCAGCTTGGAAAGCCAGTCCATTACCTGGCCCCCGTAGACTGCAAGCTCACCCAGGGCCAAGGCTGCAAGCACCATACTAAGTACTTGAAGCAGTCCTGAACAAAAGTGTTTTTATCTTTGATTTATAAATTAGGACACAGAGGCGTGGAATGGCTAACTGGCTTGCTTAGAGTCACAAGTCTGAAGTTAATCCAGGGATATCTGGTGCCACAAGCCAAGCTCTTTGCAGGATGTTCTTCTGCCTTCCCAAAGAGTACTGGTCCAGGATGAGGTTCATTTTCCTGACTTGGAATGCTTTGCATTGTCTCCCTCCACTGAGCCCTCTTCATTGTGTCTTTATGTTTGAAAGAAATAGAAGAAGGACTCACTCTGGAGCTTAACTTGAGCCTGGAGCCAGTTTAGGTTCCTCTGGCCCCTTGCTGTCACCTCTTAGAGAAAAGGGGGCTGAGGTCAGAAGGGTGCCTTCTCCCAGACACCTGGATCCGGCAGGAAGCTGTCCTAAATCCCAGGCTTCCTGGGAGAGAGTCATGAGGCACACCTATGAGTTTGCTCGTCTGTAGTCCTCATCTACAATCCTTTATGATGTGAAGCCCCACATCAGAGTTAAAGGAAACGATGTTGACAATTATAAAATACCAAATATAGCTGAGTATATTTAAAAATGAACAATGGTAAAAGCCTTGAAAATTTTTCCTTGGATGTGAATGGAGTCTTTGGCATTTGGAAATACAATAAAATGAATTAATTGCTGCTTATTAGGCAGCGAGTCAGGAGAAGCATGAATGTGCCTTCTGTCCTCTGCGTTAGCTGTTACCTGACTGAAGTAGTCTCCTTTTGTATTTACTCCTGCCTTTTCTAATGATAAGCAAATTAGAGATCATAGCTAGAAAAAAAATCAAGTGCCCTCCATCCTTTTTCCAAAACCATAATATAGTTCTGTGATGTTTATCTGCTCAAGGGGTATGGCTAATAATTGCAGAGGTCATGTGGAGCCACATAGTGCAAGATTAGAAAGAACATCTGCAAGATTACTTCTTAGGAAAGTATTTTGTGTTTTGTCTTTTTCTGAAAAAGTGATTGTGCAAGCAAATTGCTGTCTTTCCTCCCTTGCACTATATTGCTGGTTAAAGCATATTTGAAGAAAAACCATTTAATAACTATCAAGAGTTTTTGAATCCATGGTCGTTTTTTTGACTTTACTATTTTTTCTGACGTATTTGATGGACTTCTATATGAATAAATTACATTGGAATCCTATCTTTAAATTCTGAAATCATGGCCCATGAATAAACTGTTTGGAATATATTGATTATGCTGTTCATTAAAATTCCATATATGGCAGCTATCATATATTGTATATGCAAGCATGTAACCTTTTTATGTTATCTTTAAAGTTTGTTCATGGTAATACCTATAGAATATGAGATAATTGATTTTGCAGAATAATCAAAAGCTGAGAAGCAGAAGGAAGAGAAGGGAACAAGACTCCTCTGATATCCAGACTGATCCGTGAGATGTCCTTGAGTTTTAAGAGTACACCACTCCAGCCATGTGCATTTGTGATATTGCTGTCCTCCTGTCATGTATATTACATGTAGATATTTTCCAAACATTGTGTCCATTTCAACCATAAAAAGGAGGCAATCAGCAGAACAGAGAGCTATAGCAGCAGTAGCCTTGCTCTCCTTCATGAAATATGAAAGCCTGTTTTTACTTAGAACAATAACAATTTGTAAGGCTTCAGGCTGAGGAGTTTATGCATGACACAGCCTGCTGGACCATGTAGCAGAGGCAGCGAGACCATTGAGTGTGGTGTGTTGGAAATTGGTTAATGATAAAAGTAGGGTAGATGATGAGACAGGCATCCCGAGTCTCAGGTCAGTTGGACCGTTTGTTCTTAGAACCCATCCTCTTTCCCATCAAAAGTCCATAGACCACCCATAGTTCCTGCTCCATGAGTGTTTTCTGCATTGCAGGTCATGGGCTTGGGTTGGGGTTCAGTTGGAAAAGGGAGATTTCCCTTTTCTTTCCCCACTCCCCAAAACATTTGGCTTTTTATGTCCTCATTCTTTGTAATCTTAGGGATAGAGGGACGGAAAATCAGCAATAAGTAGTCAGTGTGAACTTGTCCAAACATTTTTCTAGGATGCAATTTTCTTATTCTTGCTCATATGCACACGCACGCACACATACACACTCAGAATATTTCCTGTAACCTAAGACTTCACAGAGCATAATTCCGTATTAACCTAACAGTTTTTCAGCATCAAACAATGTGCTCACCTTTGTAAATCTCATCCACATCTCAGAAATGTTGGTGTGAAGACATCTTAAAATTAGTGTGGTGTACAAATGTAGCATGTGTTTGAATTTACCTAGCTTCGCTTGTTTGGATAGATTAGCCTCCTCCCCTTTAGAGTGAGGATGAGTAGTGAGGATAGAGTCGAATGCTTTAAAGTCTGGGATATTAAACCAGAGTGACACAGAGGAGCAGTTCACTCAGGTCTGACACTTAGAGTTATTTTTTCAAAGCCAGGCAGGTATCTCTGGGCTGCAAATGACAATTTAGAGGTCCTTCCATTGAAATCTCTTAGCTTGGCATTCTTTCAAATTCCCGTTTCAGGATAAGTGGGTCTGTAGGCAGACCCTTGGTTCTGATTTCAAGATATCCCTGGTGGTGCTTATTATTTCCAGGGTCACATTAGATTTTAAACAAAAACATTTTAATCCTTTTAATTTTCAATATATATTGTAGATAAAGGGGAGATGTTATAAAAATTAAATGAGTAGTCAGAGTAGCTCGACCACAAAAGGTAGGAAATCACTGGTATAGACATTTTAGTCCATTTGCAGAAAATTGCCTATTCTCAAATAGGTAGGTCAAGTGCAGAAAGAACCTCTACTTGAGATGAAATTTCCTTTCTACACTTAGCTTTCTATTAGGACAGCAGACCAAAGCTGCCCAAATTTTAACATCCTGCTGTCTTCTCACTAGTAGTTTCCTTGACTATATGCATTGAAAAGTATCTGTTTATAATGGAATTTACCCTCATAGCTACAAATACCTTTAAACCCAGAAGGACATTAGGCAGTAATGTGCAACTTTTAATTTTATAAATAAAGAAACTTCGAAGTCATTAAATGACTTGATCCACATAATGCAGCTCATTAATGTCAGGCAGGGACAGGTTTGAAGCCAGGTCTCCGGACACCCCAGTGGGTACACCTTTTATAGTCTTGGAGCAAGTTGGTGTCATAAAAGCAATTGATTTGCTCTCCTGCTCTTGAACTCCTGTTTTCATTTAGGTACCTGGTAGAATGCTGGGTAATGAGAGAGTCAAACCTTACTTTAACAGAAGAAAAAGATCATGTTCTGAAGCTGTGTGACATAAACAGCAAAGATAGGTGCTTTTCTCCTTTTCCACACTGACTGATTTCCGTTTCAAAAAAGAATATCAAACTTGTTTGAAGATTTCAAATGATTTTTAATAAGCCTAGCAAATTTCAAGCAACTCAATAAAGCGGGATGTGGAGATGCAGGGAACTCATTTGGACCTGGACTTAGAATTCATGAGTCACCCCACCCAAGTGTGCACAAACAGATTCTGTATTTGGGCAAGCAGAAGTGCCTCTGTCTGCAGAATTTCAAATACGTGGAACTCTTCGGGTCTGTGAGAGGATCCACGATGTTCTTCTGGAATGGAGCCAAGCCCTCAAGTTCTTTTGTAGCTATTGCTCAGATGTGTCAGTCAGGCAGGCAAGACGTCTGTGCTGCCATTTTCCAATCCCCCTAGCCTGGGCCCCAGAGAAGTTGTAAGGCTTGTTCTGTGCTGAGGAAGGCACCTGTGGTCATACCTGAGCCATTACCTCAGTTTCAGAAATCTGCCTTGAGAGCATTTATAACCCCCTTGGTAGAGGTTGAGTGGCTTGGGGGCTGGAGTCCAAAGTGACTGGTCTAAGAGAAACCAATGGATTCGTATTGATGTCAGGGTGATGTTGATGGGGAATGGAGTTGGTGTGACTAGGGCCATGGTTTCTGTTCATGGGCTACCCTCTGAGGGGATGGACAAGCGAGGAGCAGGTAAAGCCACAGAATAGCCAACAGTAGATTGCCTGGCACTGAGGTCTGCATGTGTGGGCCCAGTTTGTCAGTTTATCATAAAATCCCATACACTTCAAGATTTGCCCTCTTTCTGGCATCCTCAGTATCTGACATGTTTCAAATCTTAAAAAAAAGGTTAGTTGAGGAAGCTAGCTTTAGGTTAGAACATTTGACAGATTAGCAAATGGAGCCCCAAGTCGAAGAACTGCCATCTGATAAGAAGGAGATAACAGCAGCAAAAGGATCATTCTGAGTCACTCTGGCCGTTCTTTTGAGGCCCAGGAATCCTGCCAGCTTCTAGGGCCCTTGGAGTGTCACTCGGCCACGGGAGGTGTCATTACAGATGTTCATAATGACCTTGAGCATCCATGAAAAGCTGTTACTTGAGGCTCCTTAGTTTTTCAGTCACAGCCAGAGTAATATATAAGACATAAAAATTAATGTGGCTGGGCGTGGTGGCTTACGCCTGTAATCCCAGCACTTTGGGAGGCCAAGGCGGGTGGATCATCTGAGGTCGGGAGTTCGAGACCAGCCTGGCCAACATGGTGAAACCCCATCTCTACTAAAAAGACAAATACAAAAATTAGCCGGGCATGGTGGCATATGCCTGTAATCCCAGCTACTCAGGAGGCTGAGGTAGGAGAATCACTTGAACCTGGGAAGCGGAGGTTGCAATGAGCTGAGATCATGCCACTGCACTCCAGCCCGGGCAACAAGAGTGAAACTCCATCTCAAAAAAAAAAAAGAAGAAATTAATGGAAGTGTTAGGCTCCGTTTTCTTTTTCCCCCCTCCCCTCCCTTTCCTTTTTTCCTCCCTTCCTCCTTCCCCTTTTCTCCCTCCCACCCTCCCTTTCTTCCTTCCTTTTCTCCTTCATTCTTTTTTTTTCTGATGGAGTCTTGCTCTACTGCCCAGGCTTGAGTGCAGTGGCTTGATGAACACAGCTCATTGCAGCCTTGACCTCCCAGGTTCAAACAGTCCTCCCACCTCAGGCTCTTGAGTAGCTGGAACCACAGAAGTACACCACCACACCTGGCTAATTTTTTTTTTTGTGTGTGTGTGTGTGGAGACAGGGTCTCTCTATGTAACCCAGGCTGGTCTTGAACTCCTGGGCCCAAGTAATCCTCCCACCTCAGCCTCACAAAGTGCTGGGATTATAGGTGTGAGCAGCCACACCTGGTCTTCCCCTTTCCCTTTTTCTTTATTGGCTCTTTTTCAAAGGTTAATGTAAGCTTTTTGGAAATTCACATTGTCTTCCTGACAGTTATAGGGCAAAGTAGTATCTACACCCTGGGAACACCTAGCACATCTTTCTTAGAAGCCCTTAGCAGTTGTTCATGAGCTTTGATTTTTTAAAAACTCCTTTGGCCTTGCTTTTGATGCCTTGATGTGTTTTTTTCATCACCTTTGGTTATATCAGTAAGCATTGAAGCACCCTCTCTGCTGGTACTTGGTGTCTTAGCCTGAAGCTCCCTTTGACGTTCCCTGGAGGTGGAAAGCACTCTTTTTATTTTGATGTCACCATTTTGTTTTTGCTTTGATGGCATTTGGGCCTGGAATATAGACCCTCTATTGGCACCGGTAGCCTTTATATGCCTACGAGGCTCAAAGCCCTGCCTGTGCCCACCGGGCCTGTCTCATACCAGGAGGCTATTTCTCTGTCTGTCCTGGGGAAGCCACAGAACCAGTGCAAAGGAGTTGAGGGGTAGTTTTTTATTGTTGCTGTTGTTGGGTGCCCTTCTCAATCATTGCCTTTCTAGATAGCCATCTGGATCACCTTTTCTTCCTAAAATGTGAAAAGGCCCACACCCCTATGCATTTTATTGTTCCCAAGTATTATATGTTTGTGTACATATATACATATGTATATATACACATATATATATGTTTTTTTTTTAACCAAAGAAGAAAAAAAATCCCTTTTTATGCAATCCTTTTAACAAATTGTTTATTATTGTATCCAGGTAACAAGCATGGTAAGTATTTTCACCAAACTGAGTATTCTGTATTTTAGCTGTGCTTGGCAGACTTTTTTGGCTAGCTTTGTGTTGTTAGCCTTGGCTTTCCTAGAAAAGACCCGTTCAGGAAAAGGAGAAACCACGTACCTGTAGCATCCCCTAGGCTCCTGGCTTCAGTACGAACCCACGTAGCCTTAGCCCCACGGCGGGGATACCTGAGAAAGCATGCACCCCGCCAGCATGCTGCTTGGCCCTGTTACCCCCAACCCCCGCTGCTTCTGAGCCTCTCCAGCCAGGTGTCTGCAGGGCTTCCAGGCCTTGCATGACCCCAGCAGCTCCTGGGACCATGGCCCTGTGACAGTCAGGACACACAGATAGGGCTCCTCGAGCTCTGTGGACGGTCCTACCCCAGTCCACAGCTACATCTCTTCTCTCACTCCTCCTCCCATCCGTTTGCTTAAAAGCAGGGCCTTTATTTTTTTTTCTTCCTTAAATGTTTTAAGTAATTGGAGAAATCTTCTGGAAGCTGACAAGCTAAATAAATACGTTGTCCACTCTTCTGAGAGGCTTCACATTCTGTTGGAAAATGGATTTAATCCCTAAAAAAAGCCTTGCCCCATTGGGTCTTCCCAGTAAATGTTGAGAGGTACGGTAGGTTGAGTGTGGTTTAGCCTTCTGGCTGTGTTATTTATCCATGCATGTTTGCTTTTTTTGGCCTATTTTGTGGCTCTGTATTTTAGTCCATGTGCTCGTGGCTGTGCCTGTGTAACCTGCCTGGTAGCCATGCGTTATGTATTAAGTTGGTGTGTCACTGTCACCTTCAAGGATCAGACTGCAAAGGATAAGGCCCTGCAGCACATGGCGGCCATGTCCTCAGCCCAGATCGTCTCGGCCACTGCCATTCATAACAAGCTGGGGCTGCCTGGGATTCCACGCCCGACCTTCCCAGGGGCGCCGGGGGTAAGTCATGAGCTCAGTCCAGTAATGACAGCTGCTGGGGTTGGGGTTGGCATGTGCCAGTGTTAAGCCTCCCACCTCCATTTCTTGTCATGTGGGTCAGGTATGTGAGAGGGCAAAGGCTACCTTGTCAACTGATAACTGAGTCTAAAGTGGTGAAAGTAAGGAGGGAAGGGAGGCAGAGAGCTAGAGAGAAAGGGAGGGGGAGGAGAAGGAGGAGGAGAGGAAGAAAAGAAAAAAGGAAAAGGAAGAGGGAGAAAATCAGAAGAGGAAGGAATTCTGAGTCCCTGAAGACATGGAATTAAATGTGCCTTTCTGGGTTGGGCTCAGGCGTCTTCTCTCTTTATCTTTTTCCTGGCCCTTGGTCTCTGTCCCTCTGTCTTCAGGGGCAACTAGCCCCTAAAGGGACAAGGTATTCTATTAACATTTACATTTTGACACCTACCAAAGGCTGAGAAGCATTATGTTATAATCTCAATCCTCCAGGTAATCTTAAATGCTGCTTATTGTCATTGCCATTTTGCAGATGAAAAAGCTGAGGTTATTCAGTAGCAAAACAAGAGTTTGGATAGCTGGGATCATAGTGGAATGGATAGTGATGTCAAGAATCAGCCCCAGGGTTGCTTGACTCCTGAGGCTGCTCTTTCCCTCCTCTATGTCATGCCCCCTTTCCAGCCCACACCAATCGCAGCAGGGAAGCTCGCTGCAGAGAAGCTGCCTGCATTGCCGCTTGGAGCTCCTGGCCTTGTTCAAGCTTTGTCCTCTGCCTTGCTGGGTCTTCACTGCTGTTGACGCAGAATATTATGCAGGGAATGTTTCAGAATGAAGGGAGGGTACATGGATAAATCAGTCAGTTCAAATATTGGTGAGCCCCCTGCAGCACGCGCAGATCTTTGCTTAGGTGTAAGGAAAACAGGAGCTGCTGCCTGCGTCTGCCCTTGGGGGCATTTTCAGGAAGGAGGCGCTAAGGGGAGCTCTGGGTTGCCAGTCCAAGGATATAGGTTGTGGTCTCGTGCAAGTGGTGACCGCATTTGCACTCTGGGAAAGCGATTCTGTTGGGTGATCGAACCTGCTGTCTTTTAGCAGGGGTTGTGATGCGTAGGCATCCTAAACTGTGCTTTGAAGTAAACTCGTAATTCTGAGGCCTTTGCATTTTGCCTTCCAGTTCTGGCCGGGAATGATTCAAACAGGGCAGCCAGGATCCTCACAAGAGTAAGTCTGAGGAGGGGTGGGCACTGACAACTACGGGCTGGTCCCAGCCCACGTGGGGAGAGCTCTTCCTGGACCATAGTGTCTCAGGGCCTGGAGGAGAAAGGAGCATTACACTGAGGTCCCAGAAGGCATCCCCTTTTTATTGTGTACTTAGGCCCCTGGCAGGAAAGAGACTGGCTTTTCGGATCTGGGAGAGGTGGAAGCACCCCATTCCCACCTTAAGTATTAGCAGTCATCCAGCTGGAAGCAAGAAGTGGACCCCTCTTCCTTCATGGTATTGAAGGCTGAGCTGTGGTCCTCCTTGCCTGAGAAAGGGCGGCACAGGTGATCCTCTAGCCCATTTCATTCTAGCCAGCCCTGTAGTAGGATGGCTAGTAGACAAATCCTACTGATGCCTTGGGGGCAAGAGAAGAAAGATCAGTAAACTGGAAATAAGGGCTATTTCGGGATAAAAGAAAGGAAACCTTGCCTATATGCTGTAAAAAAAAACTTGCATTGTTTGGCCTAGAGAAGGAGAGCCTGAAGCATGTCCCACACTTTGCCTAGAAGTGGTGACTGCTTGACCTCAGAGGTTCAAAGGCAGATGCCACAGCACAAGGAATTCAGGCTGTCTTTCCAGCACATCCCATTGAACTGGAATGAGGCTTGGTGGTTTGATCCCTACCTGGCTGCTGGTCCCTCTCAGTTTATGGAACAACTGCCTCTGCCTGGGGTGTGCTACCACCTGCAGGCAGGGACCACAGCGGTGAAGGACCTCCCACTGGGAGGTCATGGTGGGGCCTGGGTAATAGCCCCTGCTGCAGATGCGATCTCTTAACTCTGTCTGCCATCTCTCTGTTCCCAGCGTCAAGCCTTTTGTGCAGCAGGCCTACCCCATCCAGCCAGCGGTCACAGCCCCCATTCCAGGTGAGTGTCCCTGAAACTCCTTTTTGGGAGCACAGCCCCACACAGCTGACAGCTGGGTCTGGCACTTTGTTCCCAGAGTCAAGAGATGCTCAACTTTGCCACAGCCGCACATTGCCCCTGACTTGCAGGATCCTTGGGTAGCCTGTAGCTCAGGAGGGCCACAGGGTCCCGATTCCCATCAGTCATCTCCCAAGAGCTTTTCAGATGGTTTGTTTAAGAAACAGGAAGCCTCCTCACTTTCACTGAAGACGCTGGATTATCCTCAGAAGGCGAAGTTGCTGCAGCATCTTCCTCAATATAAACTGGCCAAATTAGGCAGTCTAAGTCTCAAGGCCAGATAGGGTTTCATTCACCCTTTCTTAGATAAGTAGATTTCGGTCCTGCTACCTTTCTTTAAAGGAGAGAGTACATGGAAGCTCAAAGTGGAAAACATGAATCTGTCTAGCCTACCTGTCTCCTTCCCCACAAGGCGCACCCCCCATCCCCACCTGTGTGTGTAGAATTACTCCTTTGCACTACTTGAGGTGTACAGTATAAAAGTCACTGCTCTCCCTTATGGATTCCCCAAACTGAAAATGCTTTCACGTATTGCCCTGTGCCCGAGTGCTACGGAGCATTCAGAGAGAATATTCTATAGTGCTAGTGACCACAGTCTTAAGGAAGATGGGCAAACACAAGAAGTGCATGGCATGTTCGGGTCTCACAGGAAGTCTTTGGAAGCATTCACTTCTCACTGTCCTGTCATTCTTGGCTTGGTCCCCAAGTAGACCCCTTGGTGCAGGATTAGATGTCCTCATACTGCAGCCCTTAACCTTAGCTGAAGTTGGCTTAATGAGGAACACATGCTTTGTGCTTATTTGACTGTTTACCATCACTGGGGCCCTCTGCCAGCATCTGTCGTCTGAGTTATCCTGGCCAGAGCCGGTGGAGAGGGGGCTGTTGGCATTTCCTTCTGGGTCATCTGTAGAGCCCTGTTCCAGTATTTGCCTGAGGCCCAAGGGGAGGTGAGTGACCAGCATCAAAGGTGACGATTGCTCTTTCAGGGTTTGAGCCTGCATCGGCCCCAGCTCCCTCAGTCCCTGCCTGGCAAGGTCGCTCCATTGGCACAACCAAGCTTCGCCTGGTGGAATTTTCAGCTTTTCTCGAGCAGCAGCGAGACCCAGACTCGGTGAGTGTGCCCAGAGAGGTGTGTCTTGAATCCAGGATTTCTTTCCCTTTACTGTTTACCTCCTTGCTTCTCTTTCTTTCCTCCTTTACCCCGCCCCATGCCTGACAAATATCCTGTGTGAAAACGGGCCTAGGAAAGAATAGCCTTTTGATTAAGTAAAAAGGGATTCCTATTGGCAGATTTGTAGAAAACAGCAGAGCAGGAGGTGTATTACTGTCCTGGACCCCAAGGTGCTGTGGGGAATACTTGAGTCAGAGAGAGGGACGTTTACAAGCTCTTATGTTTTGTAAAATTTAACAAGAAGTAACATTTATTGAGCCTTGCCATATGCCTGGTCCCATGCAGAGTTATTTAGATATATGATCACAATTCATCCTCATAAAAACCCTAGGAAGCTAGGTACTAACTGACAAATGAGGAAACAGAGAGCGTAAGTAACTTTCCCAGAGTCACACAGTTAATCTCTGATGGATTAGAGATTCAAGCTCGGGTCCTGAAAACTCTAAAGCCTAATCATTTAGCTGTTATTCCATACTCTCTTTCCAACTCTGTTTTCTCAAGATAGCAAGTTGTTCTCTTCTTAAGAACAACTTCTTAAGAAGAAGTGGCCAGGCATGGTGGCTCACGCCTGTAATCCCAGCACTTTGGGAGGCCGAGGCAGGTGGATCACGAGGTCAGGAGATCAAGACCATCTTGGCCAACATGGTGAAACCCCGTCTCTACTAAAAATACATGGCCACGCACATGTAGTCCCAGCTACTCAGGAGGCTGAGGCAGGATAATTGGTTGAACCCAGGAGGCGGAGGTTGCGGTGAGCCAAGATCGCGCCACTGCACTCCAGCCTGGCGACAGAGCGAGACTCCGTCTCAAAAAAAAAAAAAAAAGAAGAAGTAACAAAATGGCACTTTAGCAGTTTGCCATAGAGTGCAGTGCATTATAATATCATAAATACCAGTAACATTGGCATCTGGACTCTATTTGTCACTTTCTTCTTTCCTACCTCCCCCACCCCCATCTTGTACCCATCGTCCCATTGTTTCTCAGCCAGGCATTTCCCATACATATGTGATCCTCCCTTCTTTCCCACCCAACAAGCCCCGTACCCTTTCTTCACACCCACTCCTTGGCTGTGAGTATGAGCGTTGCATCTGTGTGTGGGTGAGCCCAAGGCAAAAACTGAAGGAATCCTTAGTTTGTCTCTGAGATCCTCACCAACTCTCACCACGTTCTCTATCTCACCCCATCCTTCCCATCTCATAAGTCCCATGCTGTCTGTGTGTTGCCTGCCTTAATGTCATTTCTATTATCGGGAGACAGTGTCAAGAATGAGCTAAGAGCCTGTGGTAGATAACCGAGATGCTGAACAATTGGAGGTGACCTCTCACGGGAGTGTTTGCACTTCAGCTTGAGGGAAGGCCTCCCGTGGGGCAGAGGGGCTTGACCAGTCATCACCAGAGTGGAGAACCCACATGTGGCCCACTCATGTCTTTGTCCACAAATCATGAACTTTGGGAGCTGGTGGAAAAATAGAGCTGCTTCCAAATTAGGGGGAAAAATGAGGGAAGGAATGTAAATTGGGCCCATCAGGACAGGTACAAGAAAATGGGGCTATTCAGACCAGGAAAGAGAAGAAAAGGCCAACTGGATGACTCCTTCCAAGCAGCTGAGTGGCTAACAGGAAGAGTGATGGTGAGGGTTAAATCCGTCTAGGTGGAAGGCATTAAGACAAACTGAAAGATGCCCTGCGTGACTCTGTCCTGCTGGTTCTTTCTGGGAAGCATACATAGTTCTTTGGTTGAAGGCTGGGCTTTGGCCCAGATGCTGCTTCTGCCTCTTGTAACTGGTGTTTCCATGACACTTTGTTGTTTACAGAGTACTTTGTGGTTGAGTATTTCATTCTGTCCTTACAGTGCCCCATCAGATAGGTTCTGTTTTCCCCATGATAGGTTCTGTTTTCCCCATTTTACAGATAAAGAAACTGAGGCCCAGACATACTAAGTGACTTAAGATTAAACAGAAGGAAACAGGAGCCCAAATCTTGTATTTCATTGTATCCTTTTCACTATCGTAAAAGATCACCTCCCAGTTTTGAGGGTCTCTTGAATTGTCTTTTTTTTTTTTTTTTTTTGAGACAGCGTCTCGCTCTGTTGCCCAGGCTGGAGTGCAGTGGTGTGATCTCCACTCACTGCAAGCTCTGCCTCCCGGGTTCACGCCATTCTCCTGCCTCAGCCTCCCGAGTAGCTGGGACTACAGGCGCCCGCCACTACGCCTGGCTAATTTTTTTTGTATTTTTAGTAGAGACGGGGTTTCACCGTGTTAGCCAGGGTGGTCTCGATCTCCTGACCTTGTGATCTGCCCGCCTAGGCCTCCCGAAGTGCTGGGATTACAGGCGTGAGGCACCGCACCCGGGCTTGAATTGTCTTTTCAGTCTGAATATCTCCTGTGTAAGCAAATTTCTGTTTGCATATGACTGTTTTTTAGGAAACAGCTCCAAGACACTGGGAGGCAAAAGTCCCCACATGATTTTTGCTTCCCTGGTTAAAATACTATGGAATCATTTATAAAAATTCTCTTTTTTTAAAAGAAATTAAAATAATGTGGTAGCTCCCTCATTGTTAACTGTGCTCTCCAGTTATGGACCTCTTAGGGCCCAGAAGGCTCGATTGCCTCTTTTTGTTGTTAGTATTTGTTGGGCTAAACATTTTGAATCATTCAGACCATTCTGCAAACATTCGTGTGCACCTGCATGTGCAAGAAGCTGTACAGGAGAGGGGCTCATCGCTGCCCAGACGGCCACAGCCTCCGCCCCTGGGGAGTATAATGCCTAGCAGGGGAGACAGACACGAAACAGATGATTATCTGAGAGATCATTGCAAAGTGCTGTGACTTCTAGGAAGGAAGAATACTGAACGCTGTGAGTAACAGGAAACAGGGCAAGCTTCCTTGAGGAAGTAGCCCTTAAGCCGAAAGATGGAGGATTGGACAGGGAGAGAATAAGGGAGCAGAATATTCCAGAGGTGATGAAGCTGAAGTGTATGTGGCAGTATATTAAATCAGTGACTATTTTTGGAAAGTCAAGGCCCACTAAGTTGCTAGAGTAGAGGCCAGAGATAAGTGTTTCAGGTACGTTCAGGATACATATGATAATCTGAATGGGTAAACTGGATCTGGCCTGCTGTTGTTGAATAAAAAAGCTTGACTTACATAGACTCCACCACATGACTTAAAAGGCCCTGGAATGAAAGGAAGGCCTGGTGTAACATCCTTGGGACCTTTGAGAAAGATAGTTATATTTTAGGGGATATGAATTGGGGATTGGGAGAAATTAGAATTTATTTAACAAGTATTTTTTGAGCACCTACTACACGCCAGCCACTGTTTCAGGTGTTAGAAATTCAGCAGTGAACAAAACAAAGTTCTTTTTCTCATGGAGCCCACACTTGGGTGGAGAACACAAGAACTACCCAAGCACATAAATACCCAGTATGTCAGGGGATGCTAACTGCTTATGTGGAATAATGGTCCTTTGTCACAACTGATTTTTTTTTTTTTTTGAGATGGGGTCTTACTGTGTTGCCCAGGCTGGCCTCAAACTCCTGGGCTGAAGTGATCCTCATGTCTCAGGCTCCTGAGTAGCTGGGACTACAGTTATGCACTGCCATGCCCCAACCTTCTTCACAATTGAAAGTTACTTGCTTTTTGGATTTAAAGTATATAATTTCAGAAAATAATAATACCCCCTAATAGATATGTTGATGTTTCTGGCTTGTATTATGATACTAAGTGATGTGCATTAGACATTACCAGCCAGAGCTCTGTCACTGCTGTGAAATTATTTTGCCTAACCTCAGTCACTATTGTTGGTGTCGCTTCTGATATTCCTATGTTACAAACACTCATTCTTCAGTTGAACACAAATGATTTAATATATGCAAATGAATGTGGAAGTTTTTTTGTTTTTTTTTTTGTTTGTTTTTTTTTTTTTTGGAGACACAGAGTCTTGCTCTGTCACTCAGGCTGGAGTGCGGTGGCGCGATCTTGGCTCACTGCAAGCTCCGCCTCCCAGGTTCACTCCATTCTCCTGCCTCAGCCTCCCAAGTAGCTGGGACTACAGGCATCCACCACCACGCCCGGCTAATTTTTTGTATTTTTAGTGAGACAGGGTTTCACCGTGTTAGCCAAGATGGTCTCGATCTCCTGACCTCGTGATCTGCCCGCCTCGGCCTCCCAAAGTGCTGGGATTACAGGCGTGAACCACCGTGCCCGGCCGCAGATTGTTAATAGGATCTATATTTGATTTTAGTGGACATGTGAGGGCCTGAAGGTTGGTTCTTGTGCTAGAGGGAAAAAGTGGTGGCTGACCAGTTGAAGTGATGGAGAATTAATAAAATTATTTAAAGCATTTGACAGTATCTTAAGTACCAGCCTCTCAAGTTATATACTGTGTGCTTTATTGGACAAACACAACGTGCTATTACAATCAAGGTATAATGGTACTTCAGGGCTAAGGTTACACTGAAAAATTTGTATCATGTAGATAGTTTCTTTGGCTCTTAGAGTTTTTGTGACTTCTCAGACTTTAATTTTGCTATAGTTTTGTTCCAACAACAGAAACATTAAGGCCATCTAAGATAAACTCAGCTGATACATTTTAACAAATTTGGGCATACAGTACTTAAAATATAACATCCAGCATTAACCACATTAATTTGATAAGCGAACAAAGTGACCAATAATTAAAGGGCCCTAAGTAAGTTAAACTTTGCATTTGAATTCTCTAGATGTTTGTTACAGACAGACATGTACATATGTTTCCCCCTACTTCTTTGTAACGGCTTAGGCTCATTAGACCCAAGGGGTTATAAAATATTTTTAGTAGAGAAGAGAACTTATAGGTAGTGCTGGCAAAAAAAGAAATTATGTAGCCAGGTTCCATGCTATTTGTCATTAGTGACTTCTTTCATCTTTATTGAGCTCTGTGAGGTAGGTTATTCTATTCCCTTCTACAGAAGAGGCTTGGAGAGATGCTGCCTTACAGTAGCCAGCTTTGCACCCCAGCCTGCCTGTAGCATCTCTTAAGACAAGATAAGACATGATTGCTGGCTGGGTGTGATGGCTCACGCCTGTAATCCCAGCACTTTGGGAGGCCAAGGCGGGTGGGTCACTTGAGGCCAGAAGTTTAAGACCAGCCTGGCCAACATGGTGAAACCCTATCTCTACTAAAAATACAAAAATTAGCTGGGCATGGTGGAGGGTACCTATAATCTCAGCTACTCGGGAGACTGAGGCAGGAGAATCGCTTGAACCCAAAAGGCGGAGGTGGCGGTGAGCTGAGATCACGCCACTGCACTCCAGCCTGGGTGACAAGAGTGAAACTCCATCTGAAAAAAAGACATGGTTGCATACTTTGGTACCACCAAAGCCAAGAGAAGAACCTTAGTTTATCTCCTCCTTAGTCTGAAGTGGCCTTAGAACCAGCATTTTCTGAAATTTACTCGTTGGCTCACCACATATGTCACCCTTGCCAACATTGAAGACTTCCTCACAACCCCACCACTCCTAGCAATAGTGATGGCCAACATTTACTAAATATTTTCTGTATGCCAACACTATGCATTATCTTATGTAATCCTTATGAAGTAGCTTGCCCAGTGTTAGACAGCCAGCTGACATGGGAAGTAGGATTCAGATCCAGGTCTGTTGACTCCACATCCTGAGATAGTGACCAAAAGGCTATACGGTCCATTTGTAGCTGATGAGTAGTCTGTTTTTGTAGCCCAGGGCCGTAAGGAGCTAATGGGAGAATAATTAGGGGGATGATCGCCCCCTGCTGGCTCTGTGTCATGTGTAAACCAGACGGCAGCTTCCCCAAGTTGGTGGTGGTTTATGTTGGAGGAGAACCAGCGAGTCAGTCCCTCTGTTACCTTTGGCTCTACTGGAAGCTAAGAGAAAAACAGCAGAGGGTGAAGAAAGGAAGGAAGAGTGTAAAAAACAAAGACTATTTTAGTTGGAAATATACTTTCTACATGATTTCAGTGTTGCATATCAAAGGATCTCAAGTGTTAAGTGTGATATCCTCCACCCAGGGTGGGCTATTTAAAAGGGGCCTCCCTGAAATCAGGGTCCAGTTTCTGGAGGCCAAGTTAGGCAGATGAAAACCCGGCCTGGCTGAGCTGTCAGCTGAATCCTGAAAGTACACAGGGAGTGGTTTTCCTGATAAAGCCTGGAGTGATGCCTCCACCTCAATTCTGGGGCACGGCGGGTTCCTCCAGCCCCCCACCAGGGCAGCAGCTGGCAAACCCCTGCCTGCTCAGACTGCCCGGTCACCAGGCTGTGTGTCTCATGCCTGTTGTGGTCTGGATGCCATAGTGAGCAGGAGCCAGGAAGAAAGCACAGAAAGGATTTACTCAGGCGGGAGTTACACAACCAGAGGAGGGAAGAGTTGGGGGTGGAGAAAGAGGCAAAGAGATTGTTCTCTTTAGATTTTGAGGAAGCACTCACTGCCTTGCAGAAGAGAAGTTCCATGATACAGTAGAGGAACAAACCCGATCAGGGAAGGCACACGTTTGCTCAACATATGAAACTCATTTATTTTTATTTTTATTTTTTTAATTGAGGCAGGGTCTCACTGCATTGCCCAGGCTGGAATGTAGTGGCACAATCACAGCTGACTGCAGCCTCGACCTCCCAGGCTCAAGGGATTGTCCCATCTCAGCCTACCAAGTTGCTGGGACTACAGGCATGCACCACCACACCCAGCTGATTTCTGTATTTTTAGTAGAGATGGGGTTTTACTATGTTGCCCAAGCTGGTCTTGAACTCCTGGGCTCAAGCGATCCACCCACCTCGGCCTCCCAAAGTGCTGGGATTACAGGTGTGAGCCACCGTGCCCAGCCAAGCAACTTATTTATATATTATGTCAATAATGATCATCACCAGCACTTATGAGCTCTGTATTAGTATGCTGAGCATTATGTCCAGTCTGTACATAAAGGAACCGTGGCTCAGAAACGTTAAATAAAGTTATCAAGCTCTACCTCCAAAAACGGTGACTGTGCCAAAGTTTACCACCACTCTGTATTCTTAACCATGTCACTGTACTTTTGAAGAAATAAAGACAAAGTTCAAAAGTTAAAAACAGCTGCCTGCAAAGTAGGAGCTCCCCAAGCAAGGCCAGACCTCTGAGGGCCTTCCACATTGGGTAGATGGTTACTCTGGGTTTCCTCTGAGTTCCTATTCCAACCCATGGAAAATTGTCTTCCACAAAATCAGTCTCTGGTGCCAAAAAGGGGACCGCTGCTTTAGAGCCTATCTTTCATCATGCTCTAGTGGCAGCAAAGAGGTGACTGATACTAGAATTCTTAGCAGCTGTTTGAGATTTGGGGCAGATTACCGCAGCTCAGCCTCAGTTTCCAGTCTGTCTTAAGTGGACATAACAGGATCGCTGCCATGCTTACTGTGATGATTACATTTAGTAATATCCCTGAACATACTGAGCACTCCACAAATGCTTCTGAACCTGAATGTCTTACAGTAATGTGAAAGGAAATTGAGCCAGAGCTCTGGACAGGGATCAAGCTTGCGAGAATGTGCTCACTAAGTGCTTTGGACTCTACTGAAATTCTAACAGGAGTCAGAATATTTTTCAATTACTTTTGAGATGGAGTTTTGCTTCGTCGCCCAGGCTGGAGTACAGTGGCACAACCTTGGCTCACTGCAACCTCCACCTCCTGGGTTCAAGCAATTCCCCTGCCTCAGCCTCCCACATAGCTGGGATTACAGGCATGTACCATCATGCCTGGCTAATTTTTGTATTTTTAGTAGAGACAAGGTTTTGTCATGTTGGCCAGGCTGGTCTCAAACTCCTGACCTCAAATGATTTGCCTGCCTCAGCCTCCCAAAGTGCTGGGATTACAGATGTGAACCACCATGCACGGCCTCAATTAGTTTTTAAAATCAATTAAACTTTTCATAAAGGTAGTAAATTAATGTGGTCAAAAAATCTCCAAGCATAAGAGAATGGAAGGGAGATGTCCCTTCCTTCTCATTCCTATCCTACCCTTAAGTAGGTAGCCACTGCTACTATTCTCTTATGAGGCTTTGTAGTGATTTTAGTGCATATACAATCTAATATGAATATGTATTCTCCCACCCCACCCTGCTTTTTAAAGAGAGGATGTGATCTAATTTGTGCTTCAGGAACACGATGGCTGCATCAGGTGAGAGCAGGGGCTGGAGGAAACTATACTGTTGGCCAGCTGGTGGCTGATGAGGACCAAACCAGGGCAGGGGCCATGGCTGAGGAAATGGCAGAGGGGAGAGATGTTATGGAGATAAAATTAAAAAGCCTTGTGGATTAATGAGCTGTGAGAAGAGGAGGATAAATGGTAATGACTGGGTGTTGGAGACCAAGGATGCTGATAAGATTTGAAGAGTCCTGGAACAGAGGAGGAAGCAGGATTGCTAAGAACTGACTTGATGATAATGCTTTTGCCTTTCATTCTCAAAATAAGCTTGTTGAAATACCTATTAGAGACAGGAAAGCTCAGAGAGTTTAAGTAACTTCATCTGGGACCTGGCTAATAGATGGCAGGGTTGACTATTTGAACTTTGTCTGAATTTCACAGTGTATGAGAAAATGACACTTACCCCACTATCTGGGAAAATGGGAAGGGCAGGGATTGTTCTCCATTCACAGATGGACATTTGATTTGGGCTCCAGGACAGGAGAGAGTTCCTGAAGGGTCACCTGGGCTTGGTGATGGCAGCCCCTCAGCCAGAAGGAAGGGAGTTTTGCTGCCTGGTGTTCTGGCCCTTATCTTTATTCCAAGGGGCTGGACCTCCTGGACGTGGATGTGGGAGTTAGCAGTCTTCATAGTCAGAGGGAGCCCAAGGTCTCCCCTCTGGGGGACTGGCAGGCCTGTGGTTGAGCCCGCATGGAAGGTCTGTAAATATATCCTGCAGATAACATGATTCTTTCTCGTAAAGGCAGTTGGTCAAACGTGGGCCCAAGGATGATTTAATTTCACATTTTTATACTTCTTTCAATGGCCTAAATTTACAGATCAACTAAAATTCCGTTGTCAGAACACAGATCCTTTCTTGGTTTGGAAAATGTGACCAGGACAGCTCTAAGGAAATATGACATTAATGAGGCCTGTGGAAGAAAGAAGAGGGGGATGGCTGTGCATGGGGGATTAGGTTGGAGACACAAGATAAAAAGCAAGGTTTCAGCCGGGCGCAGTGGTTCATGCCTGTAAACCCAGCACTTTGGGAGGCCAAGCAAGGCGTGTGGGTCACCTGAGGTCAGGCATTCAAGACCAGCCTGGCCAACATGGTGAATCCCCCGCTTCTACAAAAATACAAAAATTAGCTGGGCATGATGGTGGGTGCCTGTAATCCCAGCTACTCGGGAGGCTGAGGCAGGAGATTTGCTTGAACCTGGGAAGCAGAGGTTGCAGTGAGCTGAGATCGCGCCATTGCTCTCCAGCCTGGGCAACAGAGGAGACTCTGTCTCAAAAAAATAAATAAACAAAAATAAAAAAGAAGCAGCAGCAGTAAGGTTTTAATTCCCGATTGCCAGGAGGGTTCTTGCCTTTATCCTGGGCAGGACAGAGAAGGGCACCGGTGTCTCTGGAGGAGCTTCCTAGTTTTATAGTGGCTGCTGAGGCAGTTGCTCCATCTTGGGGTGGAGAATGGCTGTTTGAACAAATCTGGTTCCTGGTCCTTCAGAAAAGAGGCTCCTTCTCTCCTGTAATTCAGGGCTTGGAAGTGATCTCATGCCAGTAAGCCAGGTCACCAGCATCTGTGCAGCTCTGTGTGGCCTGGGCGGAATTTTCACATTGACTGTTTCATTTGACCTTGTAGACAGGCTAGGGTTCATCACTGCTCAGATGAGGAAGCCAGGGCCCAGAAAGGTTAAGCAACTTGCCTCAAGCCACTCAGCTCAAAAATAGCAGAGCCTAGATATTCTAACCCAGGTGTCATTAATGTTCCCATCTCATGCTTCGGAATAAGTGGTCGGAAAGTACATTTGGCCTTCCAGGTTTGGGGAGGAAGGCTGCAGCTGATCTAACGGTTGGCTCTGCTTAGTCCTTGAATGTCTCTCAGGTTTTTCTCATGTTTTTCCAAGCCTGGTCTTCCAGCAGGACGTAGGAGATGGAGTGTCTCCCGGGGAAGGAGATGATGGCTCAGTGTGGAGCACCCCCATGCCCCTCACAGTCCTGAGCCCTTGCCGAGCCACCTGCGAGCCCCTCCCGGCCCAGGGCACACTCTCTTGTGGCAGCAGACATTGTACTGTGTTTCTAAGATGCTCTGGCCACTTCCCCTGTTTCTTCATTACCCTTTGGGAAGGAGGCCACTGAAAGCGTCTGGAAATCCGGGTTCTATAGACATTTCACAGAGGCCCCAGTCAGGCCCCCTCTGCTTTCTTTGGCAGGTCCGCACCCCACGCACCTTCCTGGTTGCTCACTCAGTCGGTGGGCCTTTCAGCTGCACTTCTGTGGGGAAGACACACTCCTGTCTGAGGAAGCAGCAGCCCCTCTGTAGAGATGGTGCTGGGAGTGGGAGGTGGGAAGGATGCATCTCGGTGTGAGATCCCGGAAGGAGGCATTCACTTGCTCCTTGTTTCCAATGATGTTTCTCTCTGGGAAGAACGAGGGGCATGGGATGAAGTGGCATATCAGGGCCAAGTGGCCAGAACAGGGCTGGTGCCCTGGACAGTGAGCTGAGGAGAGAACCCACTTCAGATTCACTTTCTCCTGGGCAGGAACCGTGAGCACAGGCAAGCTCCTGGGCTGAATGTGCGGGAACCTGTCTTGGCTTGGCTCCGCAGCCATTCCCTGTCCCCCCAGGGGCCACCGCAGGCTGCCCAGCCTGCCCTGGGGGGTAGGTGGACAGACATTCCAGGCAGGACCGTGACAAGAAGTAAATGTAGGTGATTTGTCCTTGTTCTGTTCCAGCTTGTACATTAGCATACCTTGACATGAGTTATTTGTCTTGATTTCTTTAAATTCCTAAGTGGATTATAATTTTTTTCTTGGTATTATTTGACAGCAGTCATTTTTCAAGGTTTCACTACGTTCTTCAAATACTTAGAATTTTTGGAACAAATTTAGGAAAAGACTGCCATCTTCAGGTTGGACGGTGCAGTGCAGGACCCGGTGTGTCTGAGGGCACCTCGCAGATGCTGAGGACTAGCAGATTTGTAGGGCTTTTTCTTCCTTTTCCACAAAGATTGAACTGCCTTCATCAGTTCAATACATCTAGATTCAATACATCTAGAATGTATTGTCAGTCCTTTTAAAAAAAAGAGAAAAAAGCCCCAGTGACCACTGTTGGAAGTTGTACTGTTGTGGTTTGTTTCATCTACAGTGATGGACAACCTCCTAGGCTGTCCCCACTCCACTTTTGGGAACAGACTTTGCATGCCTTAGAGGAAGGTAGGAAGCAGGTATCTGGAGAGGGTACTGTGTGCCTGAGGGAAATGCGGACGCCAGACCCCACAAGGCTTCCCCACACTGCCACTACCCTAGCACCGATGGTAACATCAGAACAGAATCGCCTTAATGAGTCTGAAACTTTCCCTGTCTTCATTTATGCTTTAAGTTTTAGTATGTCCAGGTTTTTGTTATCAGAGGGACCGTATTGATTTCACATTATTTCGTCCAAAGTAAAGAAACATCATGATTCTTCCGGAAAGTAATAACAACAGCAAATTACGTGCTATGTACAGTGTTATGTGTTTTCCTTGCATTATCTCATTTAATATTCTTGACACTCCAGTACAGTAGGTACTATTATTATTCCTGCATTATAGTTCTACTAAGTATACATATTTCCACTATGGCTGTGGAAACTGCAGCAGAGAGAGAGGGCTATAATCACTTGCCCTGGATGACTCAGTTAGGAAGTGGTGCTACTGCTCAGATTCAAACCCAGATCCCATCTGACACCACAGTCCAGGTGTTCATCACTCCTCACTGCAGGCTCCCTAAGCAGCAAAGAACAGCAGGGACCAGGAAACAAAGTGACCCATAGAGCAGCTTTGAAGGAAGACGAAAGTCCTTTATTAACCCCCCCCGGGTATCTCAGAAGCCCTTTGCAAGTGAATGGTTGACTTTCGAGGGTTGCATTCACCTTTATTATTATTTGCAACTGCTATGAAGAATAACTGGAGGGATTATAGCAAAACAAAGAGAAAATGGACATTTCTCCAAGTCAAAATAGAAATCCACATATTAAGATGGCATCAGGTACTGCGTGGCATCCTTGATCCAGGTAGGGTTTTACTGGTGCAACATCTTTTTGGTGAACCCTACCTGCAGACAAGCGTCCCAGCTCCTGTCCAGCTGTCCTGAGCGTTTGAGCTGTAGGAAAGCTTTGCAGTCTGACCCGAGCTCCTTTAAAGCCCAAGGAACTTGTGGCTAACACAGAGTAAACATCCTGAAGTAATGTTTTTTGCTTCCTTTTATGGTTCTTTCCCTTCCTCAGAAAAACTCCATAATCTTTCAAGATAGTTTTTGATTGGTGGTTTATTTAATAAAATAATTGTATAAGCCAGATTGAAGCACGTGGCCCATAGGAAAAGCAGTATTCTGCTCCTTCATGGCTCCTCACCTTCCAGTTCTACTTTTTGGGGACCATTGCTTGCAGCCTTTTCAGCCATTTCTTTGTATTAATATATTTACCTCCACATTTCTAAATAACATGCTTATATTGTATATCTCATTCTATTAATTTTAGGCATCATCTGTTGACTTCTTAACATAGAAGACTACGATTTAGTTCTCTAAATTTAGTATATGCCCCCCTCCGTCTTCCTTTCAGTCCCCCTATGTGCTTTTCTCTAAATTTAGTATATGCCCCCCTCCGTCTTCCTTTCAGTCACCCTATGTGCTTATATCACATTAAAAAAAATTAGCATTCAGTTAATTTTACAAACCCATATAAATTTTGCACACAGCGTGGTTAATGTTATATATTGGAACCATTTCCTTAATTGTAAAACGTTTTTTTCTGGGGTGTATGGTTGTCTTCTTAAAAAATTGTTCAGTTTTACATAGCTACACCAATTCACCCTCAAAGTTTCGAGGAGAACTCATACTCTTCTCCAGATGGTGAGATATAAATCAGGTCCGCTCTCTTGGTGACATCCTTCCAGGAGTCCTCAGCTCCACGGATCCACTCTGGACTGGTTGCTGACCTGGCTGGTTTCTTTACCTTTCTTCTATGTTAGGCCCCATCTCTTTTTAAAACGTATTCCATCCTTTTGTAGGAACATACCCTCCTATAGCTCCCTGGGAACAAGTTGCAAGGAAGGTCAGTTTTCTGATACCTTAAATATCTGAAAGAGTATTCTACTTTCATGTGTAATGGATAATTTGATGTTCATTATGGTTTTTGCCTTGGACTTGTGAAACTTTATTCATGTTTTCTAGGTGATTTCCACATATTTTCTCCTTGCTAATGAACAATATGTTTAATGCTGGAGAATAAGGTCATTCTTATAAAAAGAGCAGGTAAATGCTAATTTAGTTCATGTGATATGTAGAAGTGGTGTTGACTGTCTTTATTATCCCCATCTTCTCTGTAGGAATTTATGAGAACATATATTTATTTGGGAAAGATAGAATTCTAAGTATCGAGGTAATAAGCTTGCTCTGTACAGTCACTCTGTAGGTTCTATGAAGATGAGCACTTTGTTGTTAGCTCATGGATTCCTGGTGTCTAGCACAGTGCCTGGCATGTATGATGGATGATAGGTGTGCTGGTTCATTCTATTAAAATCTGTAAAACAGGCAGAGTGAGTACCTTTTCCATCGTTGACCTTGAGATGTTGATAATCAGTTGTGCCTCTACTGAGTGCCTAGGGGACTCTTTTGGAGAAGTCAAAATTAGCCTCCGTTTTGGATATTGAGGAAATCGAGTCTTGGGCCTTGCATATGTGAGTCATTGACATTCGCCCTTTTTCTGCTCATATCTTGATCCCAAATGCCAGTTTTCTTTCCCAAATGCCAGTTTTCTCTTATGAGTATTTGTTTTGTGCCCCATAGAATAGAATTGCCCTTTTTTTGTTTTATGTGCCACCTTCACTTTTGGGGAAACTACCACTGCTGGAGAAGAAACGAGATTTATTTGGGAAGGAGAGAAGCAAATAAATAATCCACCTTGGCCCACTTCCCTTATAAGGAGAACTGGCAAGACTGGAAATAGAGCCTTCACCAAAGGGTTTTTAGAATTCATTTCATTAAAACTTGAACCCAACATACAGATTTCTTCCTTTCAGCCTTCTGGATTTGGGGACAGAGGGATTCCTGACCTACCCAGGTTGAATGAAGGGGAGAGGGTGGTCTGTTTGTTTCAATGCTGTGGTCTCCAGGGCACCTTCTGTAGTACTTTGTATTCTTAGAAACAGAGTCACCACCTCTTGGCAGCAGTGAAGCCACTCAGATGCCAATGGTCAGAGTTTGGTTTCAAGTCACCAGCCTTGTAGAGACAGTGCCCAGTTTCCTTTGGCAAAGACAGCCTGCCCCTTCTCTATTCATTTCAGCCTTGAACACAGAGGTAAATTCCTCAAAATAGAAACCTTTGTGGACTCTATCTGATGCATTTGTGAATCATGTTTGTCACTAATTCTAATTTAACTTCATAGAAGTTTTAAAACGCTGTTTAGTTTTTTTGCTGTTGTTCCTTTCCCAAATCAACTTTCAAAAAACGTTGGTTTAACGGTGTTAGAAAGGCTTAGACATTTTCTTTTGGGGGACAGTGTGATTAATGTTTGCAGCAAACGCAAGGGCTGTGGTGTTGACAGATCCAAGTTTTATTAACTCCAGGACTATTCCTGGATGTGTGACCTCAGGCAAGTCAGTTCATCTCTAAGCTTCTATTTCCTCATCTGTAAAATGATTTAAATTAAATCCACCTCCAGCAGCGTCATGAGGCAAAGATTACCTGAGATCACATCTATAAACAACACATTGCTCACAGCGCCCAGTGGACACAAGGTCTCTTCCTTCCTTCCTTCAGGCACAGGTGAGAGGCCCACACTCTGAGCAGCTGGTTATGAGTGGGCCATTATCAGGGATTTGAACAGTCACTTGGCTTCACTGCTTGCTCCCAGCTCTTGGCTTGTGTTTCTTTTTTCTTTACTAGGCAGGAGGGATAGCAAAAGCAGGAAAGTTATTTTGCTTCTACCTCAGGATCTAGTGAATGTCACATGATAATAAACTATAACAATGGTCATCTTAGCTATAATTTATTGAACATGAACACTTTTTTTTTTTTTTGAGACGGAGTATCTCTCTGATGCTCAGGCTGGAGTGCAGTGGTGTGATCTTGGCTCACTGCAGCCTCCGTCTCCTGGGTTCAAGCAATTCTCCTGCCTCAGCCTCCCGAGTAGCTGGGATTACAGGTGTGTGCCACCACACCCGGCTAATTTTTGTATTTTTAGTAGAGATGGGGTTTCTCCGTGTTGGCCAGGCTGGTCTCGAACTCCTGACCTCAAGTGATCCACCCTCCTCAGCCTCCCAAGTGCTGGGATTACAGGTGTGAGCCACCAATCCTGGCCCCTATCAAACATTTCTTATATGGCAGGTCCTATGCCAAGCACCTTCTGAGCATTAGCTCCTTTAATATTCACATATGTTGCAAATATTACAGGTATTATATCCCCATTGCACATATGAGAAGTCTTGAGGTTTCAGGTTTGTGTCTGGCTCCAAGGCTTTCGTGCTTTACACTCAGCACCTTGCTTTTCAGCTGTACCTTCATGGTCCCCATTGGTATGTGGTAGATTTTACCCCCATTCACCTTCTTGACCTGTAGATGTCAGGGCCGTGGTTCCCATTTCCAGCAGTGCAGTGCAGGGACATTTTGATGTTAAGCACAAAGACTTCAAGTTTCCCAGCTTCTCAACTTCACCCCAGCTCTGACCTGGCCCAGGGGCAGCTAGCGAGGCAGAACAGCTAGGAGTGAGGAGCCTAAAGGGAGACTGGGATTCAGCTCAGTGAGTCCCTAAGGCTTGTATCTCATGCCTTCCATAAACTCACTCCTTGCAGAAGGCGCTAGAATGGACAGAAGCGGTGCCTTCTGGAACTGGGGCGGTCTGAGAGCTAGCTGTAAGCAGAGGTTGTTAATCAGGGTTGGATGGACGGATACATAGCCAGTTGTCTAGGTAATAAACAATGCCTTTTGCCCTGTACTCCCCATTCCATTTTGTGTTTCTGATTGCCTTTATACCAACGTCTGTGCCCACACCTTTGCCCATGTTATTCTTTTTTACTTTTGCCCACTGAGACTAGAAAGACTAGAAGCTTCTTAGCAGCTGTGACTGTGTCTCATACATTTCCATGGGCTGTTGTTTATAATTGGAAAAAGTGATGTGGCAACATTTGAAAAAATGTATAAAAAGCTCAAAGATGTTCCCTCCTACCCTTATAATCTCACCTCTTCCCACCCCCATAATCTCACTTCCCTAACACAATGGCTTTTACTTTTAACCTTTTTAAAAATAATTTCTTCCTTCTGAGGCAGACCCTGTTGTTTTATAGTATCTCCCAGCTTCTGTCTTACCTGCCAGGTGGCTAGTCCATGCAGCTGCATCCATGTCAGAGCTTGATAGGGTTCTCTCTTTCACCTCACCTGATACCTTTTAGGATTTTTGAAGCTTTGGAAAAGATACCACTCTGATGTTGAACAGGAGAGGGACCTGGCCCTCTCCAAAAGATACTGGCCTCAGTTGCACTGCCCCTTATATGCAACACTGGCATCAGATGGAGTGTCCAGCCTCCTGTCTTTTGGCATGGTGGCCAGAGATCCAAATGTGGGTAGCAGGTTATAGATTTAAACCAGTATTCCTTCAGGATATATTTCATAGGGTTTTGTGACCAACTGAGTTTGAGAAACTCTAGATTATATGTTTAAAAATGTTTCTTTATGGAAGTGCCTTTTTAAGAGACAAGGTCTTACTGTGTTGCCCAGGCTGGAGTGCAACAGCATGATCATAGCTCCATTACACCTTCGATCTTCCAGGCTCAAGTGATCCTCCTGCTTTAGCCTCCCAGGTAGCTGGAACTACAGGCATGCACCACCACACCTGGTGATTTTTTTTTTTTTTCTGGTAGAGATGTCTCACTGTGTTGTCCAGGCTGGTCTCAAACTCTTGGGCTTGAATGAGTTTCCCTCCTTGGCCTTCCAAAGTGCTGATATTAAAGGCATGAGCCACCATGGCCAGTCAATGGCACTGCTTTTAATACGCTAGTATTTACTGTGAATCTCTAAGAGAGGTCTTATTAAAAGAATAATAGCTAGATTTTATTGACTGCTTATTCTTGTTAGATCTAGGATCCCTGATGAAGTCTGTGGAGTGTCTTATTTAAACCCTGTAACAATCCAGTGAAGTGAATGCCATCACTGTCCCCATTTTAGAGACTTGAGAGGCACTTGCGCAGTATCATAGCTAGTTTGCCTTGGGCAGTGTTTTGTGCTTGAGTAGGATGAGTCTAGACCCACACAATCTTTTTTTTTTTAAAGCAGGTCCCAGTGATTAAGTTCCATGGACTGTACATTCTTAACCCATGTATAATACTCAGCTTTGCCCAAGCCTTCTGTTAGTTGGGACTTCCTGTGGAATAGATTAGTACTCAGGGACAGTAGTTGGAGAATTGCCAGTTTTAACTTGGAATGTGAGCAGACTTGGACTGCTAGATAAAGAAGGCGGATGGAGTTTCTCAGTGAACCCTATTTGGTTCTGAGGCCCATGGAGCCTCTGCATCCCCAGGTTTCTTGGTCTGTGTCACATTAAGTTGGTATTAATGCCTATTCAGTGGGAGAGGCATGCCCGAAGAGTCTGGAGTATAACGTCTAGACCAGTGGTCTCAAATTTGGCTGTGTATTGGAATTCACTGAAGAAGCTTTAAAAATTATGATGTTTGGCCTCTCTCAGGGATTCCAGTTTAATCCAGATTATGCCCAGGCCTTTGTGATGTTTAAATGATCCTTGGGTATTCTGATGTAGCCTGGGTTGAGAACCATTGGTTTGGACACACTCCTTTGTGGTCCAGTTACCATGTCTTATCCCAAAGCAAGGGGAAGAAAAGGGTTCACTTTGTGAGTGAAATGACTTAATGTGGTTTAGAGTTTTTTGTTTGTTTTTTCATGAATGAGTGACCTGTGTTCTTTTTCATCAGCCATGTATGGCCTTGTAGATCTTCTCTGTGATCTGTACCCCAGTCCTAACTTTGCACTGACAGTGACATATTGAGCAGCCCTTATGTAGAAGTTTTGGATTGGTTACTAAGGGGACTGGTGACAAAGAGGCTCAGCACTCTTATTCCTGCTGGAAGAAGGAAGTGGGTACCATTGCTCAGACCACTGTATCTACGCTGTCCCAGGAGAGTTGGGACAAGAAGTGCATTCTGGGTTATGACATGAGCTAACTGCACACAGATTTCTTATTGGGCTCCAAAGAGTATCACTTTCATTTTCAGTTGGGTCAGGTGAAATTGGGTAATACAATTGTTTCTTGGTTTGGTAGCTGGGTAACTTAAGCTGTTGTTATTAATGTGTCCGCAAAAAAGCCTTTTTTAGATATTTCGGAAAATATATGCCCTTGTCAGTAAAAAGCAATGATTGTCTCAACCCTAAGCTATAATCGCTTTTCTAAACATACTCATCATTTCAAAAGCATTGATCCTGGACTGGAAGGCCTAATTCCAGAATTTTGGTACTACTGCTCTTTATCCAGTTCAAGATGGATGAGTTCCAGGTTGATCAAAGAGTTTGTAATGGGAATGTTTCTGTTGGTTTCTTACAGTACAACAAACACCTCTTCGTGCACATTGGGCATGCCAACCATTCTTACAGTGACCCATTGCTTGAATCAGTGGACATTCGTCAGATTTATGACAAATTTCCTGAAAAGAAAGGTGGCTTAAAGGAACTGTTTGGAAAGGGCCCTCAAAATGCCTTCTTCCTCGTAAAATTCTGGGTGAGTAAGACATTGCTGTGATTTCCGTGGTTTTTGTCTGAATGGTCACATCTCTTACATGAGCACAGTGCAGCACAGCTGGCTTTGGATTTACACTGAGTGCACCTTCATGTGCTTCTGCACAATTGCCAAGGGAGCACGGACTCACACCTGTGAACTGTCCTCATGCCGGCCTTATGCATCCACATGGTGCACCTGGGTGACATTCTCTGTCCCTGCCAAAGGGCACAAGGGACAAGCAGCCTCTTTGGACTTCACTTAAATTCCCGGAGCTGGGATGAAAATAAAGTTACATGCTTCAAGATTTTGTAAGCATCAGAGAGGAAACAGAATTGCTTTGCCCAGTGTATACTTCATTTGTGCTTTAAAATGACGGGCAAAGTCCCCTGGCTGCTGCAGCTTTGCTGATGTTCCAGAGCCTCTGAGAGGAGCTTTGCCACCCTTTGGCACTAGTCAGCCTTGGGCCAGGGGAATGCTAATGGGTCAGAATGGGCATAAGTATAATGTGTGTGTGCTAAGGGATTGGGGCACCAGATAACCTGCTAGCGCTGCGAGTTTATGATTCCTCAGCCTTTACACACATTTTTTTTTAAAACTGTTTTAAGTGTTTGTGCCCCTTAGCATGGCATTAAAGGCCCTAAGCGACCTGGTTCCAGGGTAGCTTCCTCTTGTGTCCTGCCAAACCCCTGTTGCCCCACCTGTCCAGTCTATGCTCTGCCTTCTGTTTGTCTAGATGGACTTTCTGCTCCTTTCTCCCTGTACCACTGGGCCAGCTCCTTCTCCTCCATGAGACAATAGCTCCACTATAATAGAACCTTCCCCATTTGAGCAGACCATTGATTTCTCTTTTAATCCCATTGCATTTGGTAATCACTTCCCATGCTGTGTCATGATTGTTTGGAGGTGTCCCCCTTCCTCTGGGCTCTGCCTCAGGGGGCCTTATTCATATAGTGGCTTCCTTTTTTATTGAATGCTTGCTTTGTGCTAGGAGCTGTGCTGAATGCTTTACGTGCATTTCATTTCATCCTCCACGTTTTAGGTGGAATTTGCCTCAGCTCCACCTAGGAAAAAAGGCTCGTAGATCACCAGAGACAGGCTTGTAGGTTGGGTACCTGGAGCTTGACATCAGATCTGTGTGACTTTAATGCCTCTGCTCTGTTTCCTCGTTGCATAATCCCTTGTGGACCCTGACCACAGGATCTGTCAACCTAAGCCTCTACGTATCTCTATACCAAGCAAGAACCTTACACAACAAAGCCCAACAGATGTGAGAACAAATGGATGAATTAAAGAAAAATTTATGTTTTAGATTCCTTGGAAGGAAATTTGCATATTAAATTAGTTTGTTTCGTTTCTTTTAGCCTTCCATGATAACTAGATTTCATTTTTTGTGCTTCCATTATTGAAATTTGGTTAGTAGTCCAGGCACAGTGGCTCACGCCTGTAATTCCAGCACTTTGGGAGGCTGAGGCAGGGGTATTACATGAGCTCAGGAGTTTAAGACCAGCCTGGGCCAAATAGTGAAACCCTGTCTACGAAAAATACAAAATTAGTCAGGCGTGGTGGTGCACACCTGTAGTCTGAGCTACTCAGGAGGCTGAGGTGGGAGGATAGCTTGAGCCCAGGAGGTCGAAGCTGCACTGAGCTATGATTGTGCCCCTGCACTCCAGCCTGAGTAACAGAGCAAGACCCTGTTCCAAAAAAAAAGAAATTTGGATAGTAGATGTAGCCTTCTACTTATATTAATGGATGTTGGATCTGTAATACACATGGACAACCTGAAAAAGCGATCACAGTCACATTTTCCTTTTCTGAATTGGTGGCTGCCTTCTAGTAATTTGGATGGTGGTTGGAGATCAGTTATATGGTAACAGGGTAGCTTTCAAAATGTGGCCTGCGAACCCCTAGGGAGTTCCTTGATATCATTTTAATGGGTTGACAAGGTCAAAACTATTTTTGTTATAATACAAAGACATGATTTGCCTTTTCCATTCTGCTTATATTCACACTGATGGTACAAGAGCAGTGGGATAGAACTGCTTTAGTATGAATCAGAGCAGTGGCTTTGCTGCTAAAATTCATGCAGTTGAAAAAAAAAGTCCTTCATGAATTTTATTACAACCTAGAGTACACATTGAAAGTGAACACATAAGTTTTATCACATCAAGGAAAACAAATGACATTATTTGTTGCCAAAGATAAAATTTGGGCTTTCAAATGAAAATTAGAATACTGGGAAATTTGTGCCTACCTTAGTGAACTTCTCAGTACTTAAAGACTTTTCTGATGAGATCCACGATGATATTGACAAAATGTAATTTGATATTGTGTTAGAGCAATGGATTTTAATGTAACAGAGTTGGAAAAATTCATTGATATGGTTTCAGACTCCATATTCCAGCCTACCATTAAGAAACTACTACTGCTTGTTGACTTTTGATATAGTATCAAAGGAAAATGACCACTGTTATCTGAGGAGTCTGTCACATAATGTAAAGCAGCACTACCTGTCTCACTAATTTTTTAAAAATACAGGCATGTTTAATTTTTTTAAAAAGATGTATATCAACATGTAATTAGCTTATTATTTCTTAAAATGAATGAATATTTTAAAATTTGCTCAGTTTTAATTTCCAGTACAGAAAATATAGATATAACCTGTAGTAAGCAAAAGGTCTTTGAGGTCCTCAATAATTTATTTGGTCCTGTTTGCAGTATCGTACATGATCACCAAACTGCTGCTAGAATGCTCACACCTGTTACGGCAAATTCAAAACCCAGGAAAGGCGTCTCCTGGGAATTTACTTGAGGTCAGGGTCAGGCTGTCTGGTACATCAATAATTTATTTACGAGTGTAAAGGGGTCCTGTGATCAAAAAGTTTGAGAGCCACTATTTTAAAGGATGTAAAAAGGGGTTGTTTATCCAAGTGAATGAAAAGCTAATTCGGAATTATAGAATGTTATGAAGAGAAACCATTTTCAGTAATTTCAAATTCAACAGTAGTGTTTTTAAATAAGGTTTCTGATAATTAGCATATTGTTTGAATATAAAGTAGCATAGAGTGCGCTTAGAAAGTCTTTTTTGGTTTTGCCTCCAAAATTGCCCTTATTTTACCCAGTGGATGATTTTAATAAATGTTTTCCATGGTGGGGCCCTTCAGTCATGAATCCTCAAATAACAAAGTCTAGATTGCAGATGTTTAGAGTATGGTAGCTGTTGGGAGATGTGCAAATTTAGAAACAGTTACTCCGAGATCAGATACTTGTTTATTAAGATTTGCAGAATTAAAATGGAGAACTTCCATGAATATGATAGAAAACATCACTCCTTCAGTAGAGTTGTTAGGAATATTTAACCTTTATAAAGAAATTCAGTCATAACTATGTTAAAATAAAGGAGGGAAGGCAATTTAAATTCGGTTTGCAATTTGAAATGTCATTGGCTTCCTCTAATGACTCAGTAAGAATGAATTACATTTAGAATATCTATCCTTGGATATCAGTAGGTGCTTCCAGTGGGTGTTTCCGAAGTAGGTTTAACACTCCCTTCGAAATATCTTTTAGCAATATGCTTAGCAGATGTGCTTATTTTTGTTACAACAGAGACTCTATACCCAGTCCTTTTCTTCTCTCTTTTTCAAATGGCCTAAAGTCTCTAGGCTGTCAGTATCAGCCTGACTCTTACCTGTTTATTTGATCGTTCCTGAATTTGGTTTTCAGAATATCTGCTACGTCCAACCTGGGCTCGGTCAGGCTAGACCACGTGAGGGGTTTGCTATGGAAGAATACTATGTGTTACCTAAAGTACCTGCATTTAAGCCCCAGATGCAGGCACCTCAGTTCTGCCAGTTGACACTTGGAGGCGAATGGGATGGTGATGAGCCAAGTAGTAGTCACTCCACTGATTTTAGGGTGGAAGATTCTACTGGCATCCCAGGCCCCAGAGCATAAATGAATAACAGAGTCAAGGATGCCAGCATGAGTACCCCTCTACCATATAAGCTTTACAGTGTCTCATGCCTTCATGGTGTGGGACCCCTTAAAGCCCGTATGAATGGCTGTTTATCTGTTAAGATCTTTCTAAAGAGCCTTATTGAGGTATAATTTATATACTATAAAGATCACTCATGTTAAATGTACAATTTAGGCCTGGCGTGGTGGCTCACACCTGTAATCCTAGCACTTTGGGAGGCCGAGATGGGCAGATCATGAGGTCAGGAGATCAAGACCATCCTGGCTAACACGGTGAAACCCCATCCCTACTAAAAATACAAAAAATTAGCCGGGTGTGGTGGCGGGCCCCTCTAGTCCCAGCTACTTGGGAGGCTGAGGCAGGAGAATGGCGTGAACCTGGGAGGCGGAGGTTGCAGTGAGCCAAAGATCACGCCACTGCACTCTAGCCTGGGCGACAGAGTGAGACTCCTTCTCAAAAAAAAAAAAAAAAAGAAAGAAAGAAAAGTACAATTTAATTATTTTTAGAAAAATTTACAGAGTTGCATAATCATACTAAAATCCAGCGTTGGAATTTGTCTGTCACCCCGCGAGGATCTCCTGTGCCCATTTGTAGTTAGTTCTTATTTCCACCCCCAGCCCCAGGCAACTGTGGATCTACTTTCTGTCTGGATCAATTTGCCTGTTCTAGACATTTCATATGAATGAAATCATTCAGTGTATTGTTTTTCACAGCTGGCTTCTTTTACTTTTGTTGTATTTGAGGTGCATCCTTTTTATTGTAGAATTAGTGTCCCATCCAATGTATATACCACATTTTGCTTTGTTCATTCACTGGTTGATAGGCATGTGGATCATTTCCACTTCAGGCTATTATGAATAATGGTGCTATCGAGTCTTTGTAGACAAGTCTGTGTGGACATACCGTTTCATCTTTCTTGGGGAGCTACCTAGGAGTGGAATTGCTGGGTCCTACGGTAACTCTATGTTTAACATTTTAAGATACTGCTAAACTTCTTTTTTATGTGGTTGTACCATTTTACATTCTCACCAGTAAGATCTTAGGGGTTCTTCTCCTTCAGCCATTATGTCTGCAAGTATTGGGGTACAGATTACAGGGGACATCTTAGATGAGGGGCTGGTAAGCAAAGGCACTGAGACAGGGTGTGTGTAACGTATGCTTCAGGTGCATTGAGGTGTGTTGCAGCTGAATCTTCACTGGTAATGGAAAGATAGGTGAGTAGAAAAATTTGGAAAGAGAAGGAATCCAGAATTTAGTTGTGACAGCAGTAGGGAGCAGTCGGTGTTTTAACAATTTTTCAGTCAACAGAGTAATGGGATTCTTTTTACTGAGTGTTACAGAGACTCTGCATTTTGCCTTTTCTAGTTTTATTATATTTTCCTTTTCATGACAGCCTCTTACTCATTTCCTTTCTATTTCTTTTGCCCTCTTTTTATTTACTCCTATGTGTTTTAATTCTACAGCGTATTTAATTACAAAGAGAGAAAAGGTGATTTTGCAGGAATGGAAGGGAAGGGAAGAGGTTCCTCTCTTTTTCAGCAGTACCTGAACCTGACGCTTAACTGGTACCTTCTTTAAGCCAGGCACTGTGCCAGGGCTAAGCACATACTTGATATTATTTAATCCTTGTGAGATACATGTGATGAGTCCCACTTCACACATGAAGAAATCAAACCATACAAAGGCAAAGTGACTTCTGTGACATCATATTGCTAGTAAATGCCACATCTGCTAGACTCCAGAATCCATGCTCTTTGTGTAAACCTGTGCATGGCCTCTTCAGGGAGCACGGTTCTGTCACTAGAAACCATCCCAACATAGCTTCACTTAAATGGAAGCTAATGGTGATTGCTGAAGGATAGCAGCCTTGGTAGTTTCTCTTTGAAGTCCTGTCATTATGAGATGCTCTGGTGTGTTTACATGGGAGCTAAGGTGTATTTTCATATATATGTTCTGTATATTATTATGTTCTGATTTTTTTTAAAAAGCCTTTCTTGCTGGGAAAAGACTGGCCTTTCTGGGTCTAGCCAATTCTTAGAGTAGGAACATGATTCTGTCTAACAGAGGATAGTCCAGGAGCCTGCTTTTCATATGCAAACCAACCAGTCCAGAACCAGACCTCCTCTATGTGGTCCAGGCACCCCAGGATACAGTGTTCCTCTGCCCTAATCATTCCCTGGAATGGTACCAGACAACTAGGGACCACCTCTGAAGCTTAGAGCCAGCTGGAGTTATTCGAACTAGTCAATCCTTAATTGGTCATTCTGTTTCCCCTGCCCTGCCCATGGAAAGCCCAGGAAAGGCTCTGGTCTAAGCTGGCCTCTTGTCTTCTGCCTCCTGACCACCCTAGTATCTTTCCATGTGGCCCTTGATGGCCTGCCATGCTTCCTGTCTTGGGGACCTTTGAGTGTAATAAATTTTTTTCCTGAACTTCTCCTGTGCTCTGTGGCCGCACCTGACTGACCATCACATAAAAGAATACAAAACGTAAGGTGAATAAACTATTACCAGGAAATTCAGGTTGGAGTCTAAGTCTTAACTAGACAAGTTAGTGAGATCCTGCAACTACCATTAGGAGAAAGCAGTGTTGTTTTTATATTATGATTATGAAGGTATAACATTCTAGACAGTTGGGAATATATAATTTTTAATTCAGTCCTAAATGCATCATGAATATAACCTAATGTGATACATATTTATGTAGTTTTGATCAAGGAATACGTGAAATCTGACACTCCACTTTTATACCTTATGAAATATCATGTTAGCTATATGTCAGTATACTTCAAATTATCTGTTTTTTTTTTTTTGAGACAGTGTTGCTCTGCTGCCCAGGCTGAAGTGCAGTGGTGTGATTTACACACATGGTTATGTGTGTAAATAACCATGTTGCTTTCTAAAATAGTTGTAGCAGTTACTCTCTCAGGCCATGCATGAATAGACCAGGCATCTTCATCAGCCTTGACTGGTGCAATTTAAAACAAAACAAAAAACAATCTTCTATTGTCACTTGTTATTTGAGTTCTTCTACATCTGCTTTTATTTTTTCTTCCTACTCAAAAGTCTTCGATTCTTCCTCATTCTCTGTAGAAACAATGATTACTATTAAGGTTGAAATACCATATTTCTTCAATTCTGAGACATGGACTTGTTCCCATTTCAACAGTTCTAAAATTGGAATGCTTCTGTCAGTTGATATCCAAAGCACTTTGCCACATTTTCTTTATATCCAGTCTATTATTGAATACTATGCAGCCATAAAAAGGAATGAGATCATGTCCTTTGCAGGGACATGGATGAAGCTGGAAGCCATCATCGTTAGCAAACTAACACAGGAACAGAAAACCAAACACCACGTGTTTTCACTCATAAGTGGGAGTTGAACAATGAGAACACAGGGACACAGGGAGGGGAACATCACATACCAGGGCCTGTTGCGGGGTGGGGGGCGAGGGGAGGGAACTTAGAGGACAGGTCAATAGGTGCCACAGACCACCATGGCACACGTATACCTATATAACAAACCAGCACGTTCTGCACATGTATCCCAGAAATTGAAGCAAAATTAAACAAAAAAGCATCTTCTCCACCCCTAGGCAGAGGAGTAGGTTGTGACTGGTTATTATCACCTGACCCTGGCCAGCATAGAAGACATCTTGCCATTCCCTGGACACCTTAGTTGAGTTATTTGCACTTTATAGTACCATAGCAGTTGAATTTTAGCTTAAATTTAAATCCCTAATTAAACCATCTCGGAAAATTACGCATTGATGTGGCATTGAAATTGTTATTATGGTTCAAGAGGAGTTTTGGAACCAGATTTTTTATAAATGAGGCAAGTACTTGTACTGGCAGCTAGTCATACTTCTTTTTTCCTTACAAAACATGATCAGGTGCTGTGTAGGCTCTAGGAAAGAGGGATGTCCACCCACAAATGGATGAAGCTGTGCTTCATTGCAGCATTGAGATTCAGGCAGATGGATTGCCAGTGACGTGGCAGACAGTGCAATTAATGTAACAAAATGTCAACAGCCTTGGGAATTGATCATAGATTGAATTCCCAGAGCTAGAAGACATGAGTATGATTCAGTCATGCATCCCGAAGGACAAAAACCCAAGTGTAGCTCACAGCTGACTGTCAAAAGCAGTTAATTTCTAGCTATATGAAGTTTACAGAAGGAAATAAAATTACAGATTTAACCAAATAAGACATGCAATTGAGACTAATACCTTTGGAGGGGCCTCAGAATTCTATTTCCTGTCCTAATAATGTTCAAGGGTGTCAAGATTGGAAACACTGCTCTAAAGAAAGCTGTATGCTTTTAACATTCTATTCATAAACATTATAACCCAAAACTATTCATAATAATAATTAGTACAGTAAAGGCTTAGTCTTAAACTTTGATTGGAATAATAAAGAAGAAAGCAATATGAAAGTGAAATCTTACGGATTTGTATCATGTTGCCAGGTTATAACAAATTTTTAAATATACATTTAATATTTCTGCTTTCACTCTAATCATTATCAAATTAGTCATATCTTAGAAACCAGGATATATGATGTTATCCTATACTTATTTAAAATTGTTTTGTATTTTAAAATTCTTGGGATTATGATCATTCAGTGTAAACAATACTGTCTACATAGTTACTTAATTTGCTTTTTTTTTTTTTTTTTGAGATGGAGTCTCGCTCTGTCTCACAGGCTGGAGTGCAGTGGCACAGTCTCGGCTCACTGCAACCTCTGCCTGTCGGGTTCAAGCGATTCTCCTGCCTCAGCCTCCCGAGTAGCTGGGATTACAGGCACCTGCCACTGTGCCCAGCTAATTTTTGTATTTTTGGTAGAGATGGGGTTTCGCCATGTTGGCCAGGCTGGTCTTGAACTCCTGACCTCAGGTGATCCACCCGCCTTGGCCTCCCAAAGTGCTGGGATTACAGGCGTGAGCCACCATGCCTGGCCAATTTACTTTCTTAACCTATTATTTTTAAAGGAAGAAAAAGCAAGCCTACTTTTACTAACCATAGCAGATGTGAGAAGATTTTATAAAACAAAAAAAGGGGAAGCAAGTTACCTGGAAAGAGGACAGCCATTAGAAGATGCTTTTGTCTTGGTAGAAATGAAATCACATTTGTTCAACAAAATGACAGTCACTCTACATAAAACTGGGTTTTATTTAAAGAGAAGAAACTGGGCGCACAATAACCCAGCAGAACAGACCCCACCCCCATTGGAGTCTCAGCTTGTTTCTAATTGTATTCTGCATGATTTAGATTGGAATTGTAGACCTGAGTCTGTCATTTGGAACCAAACGTCCTGTTGCTATTCATGGAAGAGGGAGTTAACAATACGAAATCGTTTGCTTTCCACATGTTTTGAACTGCTATCAGGAAGGAGGGGCCTTTCAGCTCAATAAGTTTTCCATTTCTCCCTACTTCTGTCTCATCTCAAAATGCGTTTTAAAGTTAACTGAACAATATTAAGTGATGAAATGATTTAAGTAGAAGAAAGATTAGTGAGAAGTATCACGATATTCAGAGGTACTTGGGGGCTAATACATGTTAAATTTTAAGTAGACTGTGGTTACATGAGTCTTTTTTTTTTTTTTTTAATTATCTCTTGATAGGCCCTGCTATTGTAAGCACAGGAAGAGAGAAATCAATACATTTGTATATCTGCCCATTTTGGTTTGTTTTCGTAAGAAAAATATCTGGAGCTTGTGAGCACTTTCTGTGGTGACTGCTGCTTGGGATTGCTCCTTCCTGGTTCCCGAACCCTGGATGCCAAACTTCTTTGTAGGCCTTTCTAAGGGAGCGTACCCTGTCTGTGGCCTGTGTTCAGTGCTGCAATGTATATAATAGATTTTCAAGGCTTTTTTTTTTTAAGTTACCTGGAAAGTTATTTTATTTCAATCAGTAAATGGTCCTAAAGAAATTGCTGTGCATTGGGCACTCTGCCACATTGCCAACTCACATTACCACCTGAGAGTTTGTTGAGGAATCATCCGCAAGCAATTCGTAGGAGGAAAAGGAGACCTCAAGAGACTCACTTGAAAGCTTTTCTGGGCCATCTCGTTGCTAGAAAGTCATTCAACAAACATTTGCCAATGTCGTCTTTGCTTCTGGAAAACTGGGAAGCAGATGTGATTGAGAGTTCTGATTTGCAGGCTCAGGGTCTGGTGAGGGATGGCAGACATGTGGGCAGGTGAACAACAGCACCGAGGGGTGGGAGCTGTAGTGGAAGTGGGCAGAAGTTGCTGTGGAAGCACAGAGGTGGAACCCTTTTTGCCTGAGAACATTTCGGAAGGGCTCACAAAGACATGGCATTTAAACAGAATCTTGATAGAATTTGGTCAGTGCAAGGGGAGTGAGAAGGAGTTTTCAGGGCAGTGGATACTCATGTACAGACAAGGAGTCCTGGGAGGTGGCGAGAGGTCCCCATGGCCACTGGGGCTTACCGAACTCAGAGAATAGGGAGAGATGTGGGTGGAAACCCTGGTCACAGGGGCATTCACTTCAAAAGACCATACCTGAATCCTCTGAAAGCCTAAAACGTAGTAGGAATGAAATCATGGATTTCACAGGATAGGATAGCTTGGAAAATGAGCACAAGAGCTTACATTGCTTTTCCTCCCATCCTCTTCTATCAAACCACAGATACTTCTCTTTTTTTTAAACCTTTGACTCTGAAGTCTTCAGGGCTTCCGGGCAGAATCTCTTGCATTGGGAGTTGCCTTGACCTGGAGGAATTCATTCCAACAGCTATTCCTAAAAGACTTTCTGTCCTGGGTCCTTTGTCTCTGTGATTGCTAAGAAAGCCCAGGTCAGGGGTCTGTCCCTTCCTTCTGGGGCCATTTAATTCCACTCCCTTCTGTGGCTACAGACTGAGATGCTAAGCCACGATCCCACCTGAGCTGCTGCCACAATTAGCTTGATTCATGCTGTCACCTTTACCATTTCACCTCAAGAAAAACCTGAGAAGGAAAGAATTGATGTGCCATAGTCGGGGTGGCTGCATATTTTCAGACCCAGTTTTGCAAGGCGTAGTTGGATTAACTGGACACTTCAGGGATCTCAGTCAGTTGCTTAAAACTGAACCTAGGCCCTTGGTGGTGTGAGAGACCCCCTCTCCATGTGCAGGTAAAGATCCACGGTACCTCCTACCCCCCAGTCCACCCCATGTTAATTTACTTTTTAAATTAAAAAAGTGATGCAGGTTTGTTATGAATAGTTTGAGCAGTTGAAAAGAATATAGAATAAAAAGTGAGATCCTCCTTGCACACATACATGCCTGTGGTCAGCCAGATCCCAAAATTTGGAATGTATCCTTTTAGACTTATACGTATGTATCTACAACCATTATACGTATACATATACATCACTTGTTTTTACTAAAAAGGGATTATGCTCCAAGTGTTTCCTGCAACTTCATTTTCCCTACCTAAAGTGTCTTGGACATATGATGCCTTTTACAGCAATGAGAATTTGAGGGTAAGTCTCAGTTTTTATTCTCTGTGGTAAAGGTTTCTTGATAAGTAGAGTTGTCAGATTTATCAGGTTGCCCAGTTAAATTTGCATTTCAAATAAACAGTGAATACTTTTTTGGTGTACATGTCCTATACAGTATTTGGTATATATGTTCATATGTACTGAAAAAGTATTTGCTGTTCATTTGAGATGTGAGTTAACTGGGTTCCCCGTTTTATCTGGCAGCTCTGCACTTGTTAGTTCACTTACGTATCATTGGCTTGGGGTTGTTATTGTTGTTCTATGAAAAACTTTTCATGCACAAAACCTTGAAACCATAAAAAGGTCCTGTTTCCTGGGAAAGGTGGTGTCTGGGCCAGTGTTCACACACCTGATGAATGAGAAAGGTTTGGGGCCAGCTCAGCTGGGCACCCAGAATTCATTACTTGCCTCTATTGGAAAGAACTGGCCCGTGTAGCTGCTTTGTAGTTGGAGCTGAGACCTGACTCTTTCATCCTAGCCACTATGTGAAGTTGCCACTAGTGGTCACCTGAAGTTGTGTGGGTGATATTAATTGAATTTTTGAAAAACTAAATGCTGGTATTTGTAGGAATTTGCAGTGCAGACGGGCAGCCTTTCAACCAGTGCATAGCATAATTAGAGCAAGCTTTTAAGATTCTTTGAAGTGCCAAATGTTTATGAAATTCAAATAGGGGTGCCAATCTGCACAATAAAGGGGCCCTTGGTGGTGTTTTTAAAAATCTTCTATTTTGTAGATGTAAATATATGCCATAATTAGCGGGAAGTAACTTGAAGAGCCACGGCTGAGTTTATTCCTATTATTCTTATTTAAAACAGCTGTGGCAGGCAGGCTACAGCTGCTGTCTCATCATTGGGTTGGGCAGGGCATAAGGGCCGAAGTGAACACACTCAAAGACTCTTTTCTGAGGGCAGCTCGTTCACTCCCCCTACATGCTGGCTTCCTTGCTGGGGAGCTGTCTCACGGTTGGCCCAGCTTCCCCACCCACCCCAAGCCTCTGAATGTCAATGGGACTGGCTTCAAGGGTCTTAGCCAGAAGGCACTTGCCTGCAAATGAGAGGGCGAGGAGCCTTTTAGAGCAGCCAGCTTTCTCCAGACCTCCCCCTTCTCTCTGCCCATGGCAGTGCTGCCTCTAGGGGCACTGTTGCCCCACAGCCCCAGGCCCAGTGCAGAGCGATTGTCCTTTGGTGCCTGTGGGAGCAGCTGCAATGCCGCACTGCGTGCCCTGCCTGGCCGAGCCTTACCATGTGGCAGGCCTGGACGGCTGCCCGCCACAGGGCCCAGCTCCCAGCACCGCCTGCCAAGGAGCCAGATGCTACCATTGGAAAAAATTGCTTCACAATTTGAAATCTTGGTTCTTTGATCATTGCTCGGAGAGGATGAAGAAGAGAGGTTCAAAGTAGTGTTTTAAAATGCCAGCGTCTCGTTGCAGCCATCAGTGCCTATTAGACTGTCTCTGGTTGGGGACAGTCCTCTTGATGTTTTCATTTTTGCAACCAGGTCATTCTCCCCAGCTCTTCCAAGCCCTCTGGATAGGAAGGGAAGGTCCACAGCCTGCTCCTGACCCTGTGCCCCTGCTGTCCCCCTGCCTCGCGCCTTAGAGGTTATCTGCTTGCCTTTGTTCCAGCAGGCTTTTCCCCAATAAAGCTTGTAACAAAGTTGTTGTCATCCGCCAAATGCTGCCACCGCGTGAGCTGCTCACTCCCATTCTTCACTGGGCAGGAGTAGCCTTCACTTCCTGATCCTTCTGCCCCCACAGCCAGGTCTCCAGAGGACGGAGGTTTTGCAGGGATGATCCACTCTGTCCCCTGGCCTAGCACCCGCCTCCAAGGACTTCAGATCCCACATACTTGGGTGAGGCTTCATTCTTCCTTACCCTTGAAATGGGAAGGGTCAGTCTTTGGAGAGTGTTGCATTTTTCATATTTACTGCCAAAAGGCAAAAACATGAAATTTAAACCAAACAGATCCAGGATGGCTGGGCATGGTGGCCCACGCGTATAATCCCAGCACTTTGGGAGGCCGAGGCAGGTGGATCACTTGATGTCAGGAGTTCAAGACCAACCTGGCCAACATAGTGAAACCCCATCTCTACTAAAAAATACAAAAATTAGTGTGGTGGCGCACATCTGTAATCCCAGCTACTTGGGAGGCTGAGGCAGTAGAATCTCTTGAACCCAGAAGGTCGAGGTTGCAGTGAGCCAACATTGTGCCACTGCACTCCAGCCTGGGCAGCAGAGTGAGACTCTGTCTCAGAAAAAAGAACAGATCCATGAATAAATGGGCTTACTGAGTAAGAGGTAATAGAGGAGAAACGAATCCAGACTCTTATCTGGGGACTAAACTGTTTCAGTTGTGGAAGTAATGAGTATAAGAGAAGGATGATTTGGGAAAGAATTTGGAAACTTTTGATGGGGTGTATTTTTGTTTTCTGTTGCTGTCCGCTTCCTCTGCCCATCATTGAAACCGGCTTCTGCTTCGACTTTTTGTTGTTTTTCAGGACTTGCCCACAAATAGACCCTAAAGTCTTTAATTCACTCAACACACGTGTTAATGATGGCCTTTTTTTTAGTCCCAGAAAGAATTCTATAACATGTCTAATCATGCCTTTTGAGAAATTTATACCTGTTTGAGCTGTTATACTCAATACGTAAGACCCGTCATAAACACAAATCAGAAAAAGTCCTAATTTTTCTGTTTGGAAAAAGCCAGTGTTGCATCTGTGCCACACACCCGACAAACGTGGGTTGGGGCCAAGACTGGCTCCATGGTGACAGTCTTTATCGTGTTTATTGATTACAGACTCTTGTCTCGTTGAGGAAAGGTGTCAGTGTCTCTAGATGTGATTTGAGGCTCTGTCTTCATCTCTATTGTGGTCAATATTTCAAATTGACAAGTGAACAGGAGTGATGATAGGTATTGTTAATGACTGTGAATTTTATAGTACATTATAGATTACAGGTGAATTTTATATGCATTATCTCCTCATATTACCACCGTGGCCTTTGGAAACACATCATCTTCCCTGTGGATAAAGATGAGAAAAGCGAGACCCAAAAAGTGATTCCAAATCTCTCACTTCTGCTGCCTGTGCTGTCAGTCCAGTGTCTGAGATGAGATGACAAATGAGAAGCAGCATTCACAGACGCCTGGACCAGTGTCGGACTGGATGGGATGAGTGGAGGACTGAACTTTGTAGAGTTTAACAAAAGTAAATGTAAAACTTGAATCTTGGGAAGCAAACAGAACCTGAAGAACTATGTGGGTGAGGAGGAGGAGAGGAATGGTGAAGTTAAGGAGGAAAGGAGAGAAAACTGCAGAATTGTGTTACAGAAGTGTTCTTCGGTCTGTGGTACCCGAAGTTCTGGATGGAAGTTACAGAGGAGCTCATTTCAACTTAACAGATGTAATAGGCAGCATCATGGATCCCCAGACATGCCTCCTCTGTAGCCATGGAATCTGTGGATAATGGTACATTACATGGCAAAGGGGAATTAAAAGTTGTTAATCAGCAGATAGAATATCTTGGATTATCTAAGTGGGCCTAGCATGGTCCCAAGGTCCCTTAAAGCAGAAGAGGGAGACAAAAAAAGACATCCAGAGAGACGACAGCTGGCAATGTGAGAAGGATTCGGCTGGTGTTTCTGGCTTTGAAAATGGAGCAAGGGGCTCCGGGACAAGGAATGTGGGTGGTCTCAGAAGCTGGAAGAGGCAAGGAAACAGAACCCTCTTCAGAGCCTCTGTCTAGTAAGGAGTTGCGTCCCTTCTAGTTCCTTGATCTTAGCCAGCCTGGAGCTGAATTAAATTTCTGACCTACAGGAATATAAAATAATTAGTTTGTCTTGTTTTAAGGCACTAAATGTGTGATAATTTGTAGCAGAGAAAATTAATATAACAGAAAAAAGCATTAACAGTTAAGGCTGTCTGGCAATATTATTATTATTTATAAATAGAGATGGGGTCTTGCTGTGTTGCCCAGGCTGGTCTCAAACTCCTGGGCGTAAGTGGCCAGCGTGCCTGGCCCAGCAGCATTATTGAAGTGATTTTCCTGTGTCTGAAAGTATTTAGCTTTAAGGCAGTGCAGGTCAGGATGCTGTGGAAAGGATTTCTGCTTTTGGAGGTAGGAGAGAGTTGACCTCTGAACTAAGTTTCAGCTTAGCGTTTAGGGTCTCTGTTTCTAGAGCAAACAGGGAGAAGATTTCTTAGAAGGACTCATTTCCCTGGACTTACCTTCCCCAGCCATATTTCTAAGTGTTGTTTTTTAACACTGCAGAACCTGGCCTATGACCAGCCTTTTTGGCTAGCTTGTGCCCAGAAGATGGGATATGGTTTGACTTTGGAATTTATTGGAAAGATAAGTTTTACTAGTTTTCAACTGTTTCTTGGATTTTTGTTTTTATTTACTTTTAGAAAATATCCTGTGGTTAGGTAAAAGCTGATTAGGCAGAAATAGTTTGTATCTCTGATAGTGGTACATTTTTAAAAACTCATTTTCTTGCCTTCAGAACTACATGAAATAGGTTTGCTTTCCACCTGGAGTGATTTTCAGTTGGGAGGGGGGACGTGTCAGTAGGGTAGATAATGAACTCTGCAAATCCCAGACTTCTTTGTTGTTGACTTAATGCTAGCATTCTTTCTTTGATATTACCTTCACTTCATGGGAGTTCAGTGACTGCATTTCTTTCTGGAATAGCCATAACACTATCAGCTGACAGATAATTATATATATATAAAATTATATATATCTTGATAATTATATATATATCTTGATAATTATATTTTACATCAATACTTCCTCCTAGAAAATTCCTGAAGAGCATCTGTGATATGGTTGGATAGCTACATAATTATTTTCCATGTTCAAGGGTAATTACAAAGCAGTTGTAATGGCAAATTGGTTATTTACTGTTAGTTGGGAAGCCTTTTAAAATCTAATCTCTTAAATTTACACTAATAATTAAATAGAGAATTTTCTCAGACTGTTTCTCCCTACCTCTTATCTAAATGAAGGATAAAATGCACGTAGACTCTATGACCGAGTAATTACACTCCTAGGAACGTCCAACAGAAACACATCCATATGTCCCTCAAAAGCATATTCAAGAACGTTCATAGTAGCACTCTTCTTAATAGGTCCATTTGGAAGCCTCGCAAATGTCCCTAAGTAATAGGGTGGATAGATCGTGGCATTTTTCATTCAATGGAATATTCTACAGTAATGAGGATGAATGAACTATATACAACAACATGGTTGAGTCTCACAAATAAAATGCTGAGTAAACAAAACTAAACACTGTAAACCCTGTTGCACTTGCTTAAAGTTCAGAAACCAGACAAAACTAATGTGTGATGTTTCAGGATCATGGTTACGCTGGCAAGGTGTATAGATGATTGTGCCTGGAAGGAAGGATATTTGGGGGAGAGAGGGACTTCCATTTCTTCATCTGGGTGCTGGCTCACTTGATGAAAATTAATCAAGCTGTAAACTTCCAGTTTGTGTACTTTTCTGAATGTATATTTTAATTTTATGTAAAACTGTTAACTTTGACAGCTTTAAAACATGTAATTTGTTGGGATGGTTTCTGAGGGTAGGTTGGGTATTCTTTAATAACTTTGTTTTGAATAATTCTATCATTGTAACTACAGATCATCCATTCCAAATGGAAGCTATATTAAAGTTGTTTGGGGAGTTCTAAGAGATAATGGTAAACCAATGGTGAGGTGGTAGGAATGGTCTGCCGCAGCTGCAAGCAGTAAGGACTTTGCTTGGCTGTAGGGAATTTACAAACAATGGCAAAACCATCTAAAAAATCAATTTTCTTTTTATTATCACCATATTAACTGACAAAACCTCCTTTGTTGGCCTGAGTCCTAAATAATTGGTGAAGTTAGTGTTGAATTTTTTTAATTACTTTTTTTTTGAGACAGCATCTAGTTCTGTTACCCAGGCTGGAGTGCAGTGGTACAAATCATGGCTCATTGCAGCCTCAAACTCCTGGGCTCTAGGAAGCTTCCTATTTTAGCCTCCCAGGTAGCTGGGACTACAGGCACATGCCACCATGTCCGGCTAATTAAAAAAAAAAAATTATTTGTAGAGATGGCATCTCCCTATGTTGCCCAGGCTGGTCTCGAACTCCTGGGCTCAAGCAATCCTCCTGCCTCAACCTCTGAAAGTGCTGGGATTATAGGTGTGAGCTGAATTTTTATTTTTTATATATGTATGTATACAACATATGTTGAATTTTTATTTTATATATAGAACATCTATATGCTTCAAATTAGCAAGCACATTATCCATTATATTACTTCTCCTTCAGTAACACATGTGGACTCAGCCTAGTACTCATTTCAGGTGCAGTCTGAGTCCACAGTCCCCATGGTGCTCCTTGTTCCAGTGGTTAAACAGATTTGTCAATGAGCAACAATAGTAGAATGATTATGAAGATGAGGAAACAGAACTTTTTTTCCATTCCTTCATTCTCTGTTTCTGCTTTGGGAATTTTTACGTTTACAATTTTAAATAACTGAAGTAGAGTGCTGGTTATTGTTGAAAGTCATTTTGTCAAATAAAGGAAGGCGGTCTTAAAAATGCGTCAGATCTGCTAGGTGTGCCACTGCTGTGGGACAGCTGCTTTCACCAGCGTTACTTAAGCATGGAACCTCGTACAGACAGAACCGTAACAGTTGTGAACATATTCAGCAATTTTACTAACATCATGATGAATAATACCATTCTAAACTTAGTTAACATTTTAAAATTATATATATTGACAGATTATTTTTTCTGTTTTAAGGTTGACAGTTTTTAAAAACAATCTATTTACTCTCCCAGTGACCCACCTGCCCCCATACACAATTGCTTATTTCACTGTGTTCCCTTCCATAGTCCAGTCTGTACACCAAAATCACTAGACTGCTTTCCCCCATGCTTAGAAATAGGGTCTTGCTACGTTGCCTAGGCTGGTCTCAAACTCCTGGGCTTAAGCGAGCCTCCTGCCTCAGCCTCCTGAGTAATTGGGACTACAGGTATTCTACCACACCCAGCTTGCTAGACTGCATTTGATTATTTACTAGTCTTTCAGAACAACTTGATTAATCAAAATCAACTAGTACAATGTTAGCTTACAGTGTATTCATAGCACATGGAGACTCTTTTTCAAAGCTAGGAATTTAAAGTTGAAAGAAAGAAAAATAATTTCTAATGCACCTTTTCTGCTCAACACAAACTTATTGCAGCATCATTGGGAAGCATCATAGATATTCATCAGTAGAGCGTGTATTAAATTATGGTGTATCTGTGCCATAGAATAGTGTGCAGCCACTAGAAAGTGTGGCTGTTCATTATTTCAAATGGCTGTACTTTATAGTACTGAAATTCCATGTTAGTACTATATGAGTTCTAAGTGGCATAGGTATATATATATGTTTAACGCAAGGTTTTAGAAAAGTTAATATAATGTGCTACTGTTTGTGTGATAAAGGAGGAATGTATATGCTTGAATACCTAAGTGCTGAATATCTCTGAAAGGACACTTGAGAAATGGATAACATTGGTTACCTTTAGGGAGGTTGGCAAATTTTGGGGTTCATGCCCATTTTACAGTTTTATTTTTCCCCCGTCTTTACCACATGCATGTTTTCACTTTTTTAAAAAATGTTGGGCTGCGCCAGGCATGGTGGCTTAGGCCTGTAATCCCAGCACTTTGGGAGGCCGAGGTGGGCGGATCACCTGAGGATGGGAGTTCGAGACCAGCCTGACCAACGTGGAGAAACCTCGTCTCTACCAAAAATACAAAAAAAATTATCCGGGCATGGTGGCGCCTGCCTGTAATCCCAGTTACTTGGGAGGCTGAGGCAGGAGAGTCGCTCAAACCCAGGAGGCAGAGGTTGCGGTGAGCCAAGATCGTGCCATTGCACTCCAGTCTGCAACAAGAGCAAAACTCCATCTCAAAAAAAAAAAAAAAAAATCTGGAACGTTTTGGCACAGGCTACATCATAATAATAACAGCATTAATCCTGCCACCATAAAGCACCTGAACTGCTTTTCACAGCGAAGTATTCTAAGGTGTCAGCAAAGCGAGGCAGTGGCAGTTCTTGAAGGTAACACTGCCATGTTGAAAGCTCGATGGGAATTCCAGTGTTCAGAGCCCCTGTGTGCCTGAGGTGTATGGTAGCCCCTCTGCCCTGGAGACTGGAGCTCAGTTAGACCCAGGGGCCTCTTCAGCCTTGGGAGTTCAGATGCTGATCTCATTTAGGGAAAGACATGCATGATTTCCTGCTGAGCTGCTCTTTTGTGGAGCCAAATGTTAAACCTTTGAATGTGAGAAAAATGCACACCTGGGTATTTTTGTTTGTTTATGATTTATACCCCATAAAATCCAAAATGCAGAATGTGAGGAAAGCTCACTACATTTATGGGTAACATAAAACCGGATAAGTACAAGTTAAAGCAGATTGGAAACCAGTAAAAGGAGCTGTACCCTGACTGTTAGTAGCTATTAGAAGCACCTGAGACAAGTTAATTATTGTAGTTGAACTCTGAATTTAGCTTTGAATTTCTTGGCACATAAGGTGAAAAGGGGAATGTGGAGTACATGGTTCTCTTTTTTTTTTTTTTTTTTTTTTGAGACGGAGTCTCGCTCTGTCGCCCAGGCTGGAGTGCAGTGGCGGGATCTCGGCTCACTGCAAGCTCCGCCTCCCGGGTTCACGCCATTCTCCTGCCTCAGCCTCCCAAGTAGCTGGGACTACAGGCGCCCGCCACTACGCCCGGCTAATTTTTTGTATTTTTAGTAGAGACGGGGTTTCACCGTTTTAGCCGGGATGGTCTCGATCTCCTGACCTTGTGATCCGCCCGCCTCGGCCTCCCAAAGTGCGGTTCTCTTTATTTGTAGACAGAAAGTAGGAAGTTTTGCCTAAGGAGTTGGACATTTTCCTAATAACCAATTCAAAAAGGAAATTTAAATGTAGATACTTATTTTAAAGTATATGATGACTCAGGTCTTAGTGGTTAGTGCCTGTCAAGGTATAAAAATTAGCCAGTCAGAATCTGCCAAATCTGGAGCAATACGGTGCCTCACACCCGTAATCTCAGCACTTAGAGTGGCTGAGGTGGGCAGATAACTTGAGGCCAGGAGTTTGAGACCAGCCTGGGCACCAAGGCAAAACCCTGTTACTACTAGAAATACAGAAATTAGTTGGGCGTGGTGGCACATGCCTGTAATCTCAGCTACTCAGGAGGCTGAGGCGGGAGAATCCACTGAACCTGGGAGGTGGAGGTTGCAGTGAGCCTCGCACCAGTGATTCCAGCCTAGACGACAGGGCCAGACCCTGTCTCAAAAAAAAAAAAAAAAAAAAAAAAAAGTGCCAAACCGCACAAAATATAAAATCTCATTTGAGTGTCAGATCCACGTACCTCTGCTTCAACAACCACCACGGCAGTCCACATTTATCATCTCTCGCTTGGACTGCTATAATGGCCTCCTAGTATATATATATATACATACTTTCTGCTCTCTTCCGGAGTCTTCTCCGAGCCATGGTCAGAGGTGCCTTTTGGAAGGCAGAGCTGGTTGTGCCCTGTCACTGTTCCAGGCCTGTCTGCTCACTGTGTCCTTTGGTCTCAGGATATTTCACCTCTCCAGCTCTCCTGCCATCCTCTCTCTCTTGCTTTCTCTTTAGCGCTTCTTTCTGGCTCTGTGCCCTCTTCTCTCTTATGGAATGCTTCTCTTGCCTAAGCCTCGTCTTCTTTCTTGGGATCTGAGTTGCATCATCATTAGAAGTGTCCCTGACCCTGGGGGCCCACTCCTCACCGTTTGTGCTCGTGTCCCCCCGTACCTCTCTCCCTGGTGCTTAGTTCCGTGTGGTATGTTCCTCACTTAATTGTAAGCCTCACGAGAGCAGGCCCTGGCTCAGCTTTTGCTTTTTTTATCCGCAGCTCTGAGCATTGTGCCGGATGCGGAGCAGGGGGTTGGTAGATACTTGAGGGAAGGCAGCTATTACTCTGTGGCTGTCTTTGGTCTGTTTTGTGCTGCTACAACAGAATGCCACAGCCTGGGTAATTTATAAAGAACAAAAATTCATTTCTCACATTTCTAGAGGCTGGGATGTCCAAGATCGAATCTGTAGCATCTGGTGGAAGGCACATGAAGGGCCAGAGAGAGCCAGCTTACTCCTGAAAGCCCTACTTATAGCAGCGTTAACCCATATGCAAGGGCAGAGGCTCAACACCTAAACCCATCCCAAAAGGCCTCACCTCCAACACTGTTGCACTGGGGTTTAAGCTTCCAATGCATGAATTTGGTGGGGGCACATTCAGACCACTGCAATGATCAAACGCTGCAGCAGCCAGTTTCCCCAGTGGACATTGCATCCTGCTGAAGACATTTCTCTCTGAAGCACAGTGCTAATCATACCACTTCCTTGGCACGCAGGCTTTCAAGGGAGTATCCATTTCCTACAAAATACAATCTAAACTGTCTTCTTCGCCCCCATAACCTGTGCCCAAGTTGCATTTCCAAACTCCCAGTCTGAGGTCCTTAATCCATGCCCAGAAGCTAGAATGCAGCACTCCAGGCCTTGGCCTGCACTGTACCCCCAGCCTTCCCTGCATGTGCCAGTCTAAATCATTCCTCAACTGAGACCACCTGTGGAAAGTCATACCTTCCATTGCTGCAACTCTAAGTATCTCTGACATGGTACTTATTTTCTATCTGAATGATAGTTATTTTATGTATCTTCCATATCAGTTGTAGGCAAAACCCGTACATTGTCTAGCATGAACCTTTCATAGTAGGTGCTTAATAAAAATGTGTTAAATGAATGGCAACTTAAGTCATTATTTAACATCTTTGTAAGCCAGTCTTTAATAGGAACCATTTCCCCTCCAGATATTCTAATTTTTAAGAAAGTTTCTGTTTGTACATATATGACAAATGGCTAGTCAGCTGCAGTCTCTTGTTTTTTTTAAAAAATATCTCTAAAGATGAGTGAACATGAATCCAATTAATATCCTGCTTTCTGTGCATATTTCAAAGACCTTGTGGATCTTTTATTGCAAGGGTATAGTAGTATTCTGATACTGAATGCAAGAAAGTAAAACAAAATTGATACTTGTAGCATGTCATTTCAAGAGAGGACTGCCCAAATTAGCAAACTCTTTAAAAAACGACAGATGGGTATTGAACTTGTTTCTAGATGAGCATCACCTTCCCAAGCCAGCCCTCTTCATTCAGCCAAGCAGAGGTCTTACCCTGAAAGTTACTGCTCGGTGCCATGACTCCTGGGATGAGAGAATAACCCACACCTCCATTTCCTTTCCAACAGGCTGATTTAAACTGCAATATTCAAGATGATGCTGGGGCTTTTTATGGTGTAACCAGTCAGTACGAGAGTTCTGAAAATATGACAGTCACCTGTTCCACCAAAGTTTGCTCCTTTGGGAAGCAAGTAGTAGAAAAAGTAGAGGTAAGTTGGCCTCTGTATACTGGAAACTTCATTCAAGGGCAGACTGTTGCCTTCCTTTAAACCTTCCTTGGGGCAGAGAGTTGTATTTTTGGATGTCTGCTTCTTACCTTCTGTATTAGTCCATTCTCACACTGCTATGAAGAACTACCTGAAAATGGGTAGTTTATGAAGAAAAGATGTTTCATTGACTCACAGTTCCACAGGCTTAACAGGAAGCATGATTTGGGGGGTGTCAGGAAACTTAGAATCATGGTGGCTGAAGGTGAAGGGGAAGCAAGGCACGTCTTCTCATGGTGGCAGGAGAAAGGTGGGTGGGAACCACCACACACTTTTAAACCATCAGATCTGGTGAGAACTCCCACAGTATCACAGGAACAGCCTGGGGGCCACCTGCCACCAGGCCCCTCCTCTGACATGTGGGGATTACGATTCGAGTTGAGATTTGGGTGGGGATACAACCAAACCATATCACCCTCCTTCTTTCTCCCACTTCTTTTTCCTGTTAACTTCTAAAAAGCCAAAGTGATTTGGAAGCACCTGAAAGGAAGCAAATAGGATGTCCCGTGCCAGTCCTCTGACTGTGTCTGAAGTCAGCTGTGCCCTGCTCAGCCAGTGCTGTGCACCTTTGCTTGAGGCCTTGTGGGGTAGTGTGGTATGAAAGCTGGGTCGAGATAGGCCCTGCCACTCAGAATGATGCCCTCCCTACACCCAACCCCTAGGTCCAAGGGCACTCCCAGGCATTGTAGATAGACGTCAAGGTGGTACTCAGCTGATTGGCACCTGCCCTCTGAAACCATGATACCTTGAGTTTGATATTGTTGCTTTTGCCATTTCCACTGCCTTCGCTTTTAATTGTTTTAGATAGAGTTTATTATATATTAGGATCCAATCTCTTTTTACGGCTTTTATGTTTCATACCTTCCTCCCTTTAAAAAGATGTATATTTGTTTGATCAGGGTGAGTTGCTTTGTTGAATAATGTTTGTTGTTGGCATTCCTTAAAGGTTGTATTTTTTAGTGTCTTCTATCCATCACCCAATTAATTGATCCATGTTCAGTGAGCAGTTTTTATTTGCAGTGGCCCCAGACCTTTCAGGTTCAAGAGCCCACCTTAGCTGTACAAAGACTTTGTGCTGAGGAGGGAGAGAGGGAGAAGGATATATTTCTTAAGACCCTGGGCTAAGCAATGAGGATTTGGGATGCTGCAGGCCCTCGTAGCACAAGCCCCCTGAGCAATGGACAGGCCTTATGAGAATGTTGTTGAGGAAAGGTTATGCTGGCAGAAGAGGATCCAGGGGAGTTGACTCAGATGGACAATTTAAGCTTAGGGGTCATGAGCTTTCCCACAATGGTGGCAGTGGGAATCCTGTAAGATGTTTTGAATGGAACTTAGAAACTAACTGGATATTAATGAGGAGGAAGAGTCAAAAGTCACACTCACATTTTATGCTTGGAAGGATGGTACTGCCACTAATAGAGATAAGGAAATAAGGTGTTCAAGAGGAAATAGGCAATGATTATAGATGCAAGACTAGAACTTGGATGACAGGTAAAGACTGGAAATATAAATTGGGAATCCTGAGCATTAAGGATTGGGAATGGAGACCTAGCTGCAGAGAGGGAATAGAAAGGGCACAGGAATAAGGATTAAATTTGGGGAGCAGCCACTAGCCCTAGGATAAGTAGAGGGAGACATAAACAGAAGAACAGAGGACAAAAATGAGTGGGGAGGGCGGGAATTGGCTCAACATAATGTCTAGGAAGCCCAGGAGGTGAGAAGGTGGCTGTATCATGAAACATGGCTGGGACGCCTGGAACCAGATGACCTCCTCGCCTCTAAGAAGGAGGAAGCAAAGTTACCTGTGTGTGATTGGGAGTGTGGAAGATGAGTGTTAGGCAATGTTAGTGAATAGCTAAGTTGTCAGGGATGTTCTCTGTAGTTGAAATTCCCTGCCTGGACAGGTGCATTTGAGAAAAGATGAACCAGACAGCTTACTCAATTTCCCAAATGTCAAATTACTGGTGTCCTCAGACGATACACCCAAAGCTCTATGCAAATTCAGGGAGCAGGGAAAGGTTGCTCTTGACTGATAAAATCACAGGAATTTTTATGGAGAAGGTGGTGTGCATGGTAGGTGGGGTTTTACCTTTAAGCCTTTTATCTGTTTAGAATGTGTGTCTGCATTTGGTGTGAAGTAGTAGTCCACTTATATTTTCTTCCAGATAGGCGTTTGTATCAAAACCACTTATGAAATGATTCATTCTTTCCCAGTTAAACAGATCTGTCCCCTTTAAATTACCATATATTCTGAGAGCTGTTCCTGGAGTCCCACTGTTCTATTCCACCCACTATTTGTGTCTACGTATCCCAGTACCATGTGGATTTGATTACAGTGGCTTTATAGTATATACTGATATTTGATGAGGCGAGTCAGGCTCACTATTCTTTTTCATATATTTTCTAAGCTAGTAACCAACATTTATTCTTCCAAATAATTCAATCACTTAAACATATAAAGAAAAACAAAAACCTTGTTTGAGCAATCTAATTGTAATTGCATCAAACTTAGATGTTCTTTTGGAAAAATTTTATATTAAATATTTCTAATCAAGAATGTATTTGCATTCTCATTTCATTTTATGTATTTCAATAAGATTTTATCATTTTCATTATACAGGTTTGTCTCTTTCTTGTTAAATATATTTCTAAATATTATATAATATGTTGTAATTTCCTGTTTCTAGATTCGAATTAATAGAGAAAAGCTCTTGATTTTGCATATCTGTCTTCAATATGGCCATCTTAGCAAATTCTCATACTTAACTTTAGTTTTTCCCCCAGATTCCTGGGGTACCCTTGTATAGTTAACTGATGTTAGTTGAAAAAGTTTTGGTGTTTTGCCCTTTAGGATTATATTTACTGTAGGCTTTTATTAATGGTCTTTATTACTAATTTAAGTGTTTTCTTTCTATTCCTATTTTACTTAGGATTTTTATTAGTTACAGCTGCAATACGTTATCAAATGCTTTTCAGCAACTGTTGCTATATGATTTTTCTTCCAAGTTGTTGACATAACAAGTTAATACATTTCCTCAATGTGTATGAAACACCATAGCATTTCTGAAACAGTCTTACTTTGGATTTATTGTTGCATTCTATTTGCTGATATTTTACACAGAATTTTCACATTACATTTCATAAGTAATATTCGTCTATACTTTTTTCTTTTCCTTTTTTTTTTTTTTTGAGATGGGGTCTCACTCTGTCACCCACACTGGAATGCAGTGGCATGATCTTGGCTCACTGCAGCCTCAGCCTCACTGGGCTCAAGCAATCCTCCCACCTCAGCCTCCTGAGTATCTGGGACTACAGGCCTGTGCCACCATGCCTGGCTAATTTTTTGTATTGTTTTGTAGAAATGTGGTTTCGCTGGTCTGAAACTCCTGGGCTCAAGCGATCTGCCTACCTCAGCCTACCAAAGTGCTAGGATTAAAGGTGTGAGCTGTCACACCCAACTATATACCTTTTTCAATAACCTGTTTGCCAAATTTCAGTCTTGAATGTACACTAGTTTCATAAAAAGAATAACACTGGAAATAACTATTCTTTAAAGATTACATAAAACTTACTCCTGTGAAACTATTTGGTCTTTATATGTTTTTTAGCATGTACTTTTAATTAATTATTTTTAATTGATAGATAAAAATTTTATACATTTATGGTGTATAACATGATGTTGTGAAATATGCATACACAGTAGAATGGCTGAATCGAGCTAATTAACATGTATTACCTCACATAGCTTACCAATTTTTGTGGTGAGAACACTTAAATATTCTCTTAGCAGTTTTCGAGGATACAGCGCCTTGGTATTAACTGTAGTCACCATGTTGTACAGTAGATCTCTTGAGCTTACTTCTCCTAACTGAGATTTTATATCACTTGTGGCCTCCACCTTTTTCAGTGGTAAATAGCTAAACTTGTTAGTTGTGGTCATTTCCACAATGACTGATCTATTTGTTGACATTTTCCCCTTCTTTTTGACTCAGTGTTAGCAAGTTGTATTTTTCTGGGAAAGCATCTCTATCTGCTGTGTTTTCTTTGCTTTGCCGTGTGTGTGTGTGTGTGTGTGTGTGTGTGTGTGTGTGTCTGCTTTAGGGTTATGTGAAATAATCTCTTATGTATCTTCTAATTTGTACTGTAATTGTGGTTTTGCCACTTTTCTTTTTTCTCCTTTTTACTTGTATGAAGAGTTTATTTTGTCTGTCTAAAGGACCAGTTTTTAATTCTGTCTGCATTTTAAATTTCTATTTCATTGATTTGAGCTTTTATCTTTATTAATTCCCTTTTCCTGGCTTCCTTTGATTTCTTTGTGGTTTGGGTTTTTTTTTTTAAGGATGTGTGTTTTATTCTGTAAATTTTTACCTTTAATGATGAAGACATATGAGGCTACTTCATTAAGTTTCCTTCAAGTGCAGCTTCATCATGGCTGATACGTTTTGATGTAAAATATCTCCCTTTTCATTGCTCTTTAGTTTATAATTTTCTTAATTCCTTTTGATCCAAGGTTATCTAGGAAGCCTTGTTTCTTATTTCTGAGTTATTGAAACTGCATATATACTAGTATTTTCTTAGTTTCTTCCTTTCATAAACAGGTGACATTCAGGGGCTCATGATCCGTGAGAAATAATCAGTTTTTTCTAAAGTAGAGAGATTAGCTATATTGGTTGTTAACCTATGAGGCTTTATCACAATAAAGAGATTTTCTTTGAAGAACTGTAGCTAGCTGGGGCCTGCTCTTACAGATCTCCTCCAGGTAAAGCATCATAATTAGGCAGTTTTATTTTTTTCTGACCTTTGCTAAAAGGATCTGTCAACGCTTCTTAAAGCTCTCATCTTTCCAACTAATTTTTTAAAAAACTTCCAGAAAAATAATGGATTCTATGTATAGCAATAAATTTGGAGATAGTTTTTTTTTAATTAAGTAGATTACGTAAGTAGTATAGCATATAGAAGATGATTCATGTTGAAAAACTAAAATGCTTTTATGGGCAGTAATATCTGTTTCATGTGTTTTGGAGTCAAAAGTGTAAAAATACTGAAATCCTTTTTTCCTCACAGACGGAGTATGCAAGGTTTGAGAATGGCCGATTTGTATACCGAATAAACCGCTCCCCAATGTGTGAATATATGATCAACTTCATCCACAAGCTCAAACACTTACCAGAGAAATATATGATGAACAGTGTTTTGGAAAACTTCACAATTTTATTGGTAATGGTTTTGTCTCTTTCCTCTGTGGGCAGATGCTGCCATGAGGCTTGACAGAAGTGAGGAAGGTGGGCCTGGGAGGCGCTGGGCCTGCGCCGAGGGAACTGACCAGGTTGTTGGATTGGGTTCCTAGTGGTCAGTCAGCAGTTGAATTTGCATCATCCATAGGGAAAACTTGGGCTTGATTCTGTAGAAGAGAAGGGGTTTTATCTGGCTGGGGTTTCTAAGGTTCGCAGAACTGGAATTCAGTTGGGTAATAAAAAGTGATGTGTTTTTATCTCTGGCTGCAGAGTAGAAAGGCCTGGAGAACTTTTAAACATCCGGCTGTATCCTAGATCAATTAAATCAGGATCTGTGAGAACAGGACCCAGGCATGTGTATTTTTTTAAGTTCCGCAGGTAATTTCAACATTAGCCAAGTTTTAGTCTCAGCAGCAACATGGTATGCAAATCAGGCAAAAGCTGAGTTGGTATGTTTGTACTTCAGACATACCTTGACATGTTCCATGATGGACTTCCAAGGCCTTCTAAGAAGTTACATGCATTAAGGCAGGAAAATATAAGCTCTCAGTACCAGAAGAAATATAAATTAGAATAGAATGCATGGAATGCAGTGACCAGGAGGAGGAAAATGTTCTTCATAGGCTAAAAAATCTGGCTAGGCTGAGTACAGTGGCTTATGCCTCTAATCTCAACACTTTGGGAGGCCAAGGTGGGAGGATCCCCTGAGCCCAGGAGTTCAAGACCAGCCTGGGTGACATAGTGACACCCTATCTCAAAACAAACAGACAAAACAAACTTAATGGGCAGCTAAAGGAAAGGGAAAATAGTGTTCAAGGTCCATGATGGGAAAACTCACCAGTGCCCCTGGATGGTTCTATGTGGGTTTTCCCCTAATACTTAACTTTAAAACAAATTTCTTCTGGGAGCTTTATTTGGGGACTTCAGAAGTTGTTAGGAACAATGTCATCCTCAAAATAGAAAATACTCAGTAATGGGTTTCATAAGGCTCATTTAAAAAAGTAACATTACTTGATTAAAGGGAAAATGCCAAAACAAAACTTGAGGGAAACAATCTTAGCAAAAGAGGGGCAACAAGGCTATACTGTGGCCAAATACTCCTCTGAAAGCCTACTTTATTCCTTTTTGTTACTAGGATTAAGAATCCATACAGCAGGAATTCTTTACTTGGTGTTTTTGGTTCCATTGGGACAGTGGCTTTCAATCAGCAGTGTTCTGTTTTTTTGTTTTGTTTTGTTTTGTTTTTGTTTTTTAGAAAGGCTGTTTCCCAGTTTCCCAAAACTCTAATTTATACCTTTTACCTATTTCTGTGGTGTAAATATGCCCTTCATGGGCAATTTCAAGCTACCGATAGCTATTCAGCTAATGAAATTCCTTAATATTTAACAATAATTTTTATGAGCCAGTAGGAGCCAGCTTCTATACACCATTGTATAAAAAAAAATAAGTAACATTTAAAAATAAAAACCCTGTGCATATTAGATTCATCCAGGAAGGTTTAAAACATCTAAGGCCTAGGCCCCACCCTGGATGAATAAAATGAGTCCCTGGAGATGGGGCCCAGCATCCTGGTTTTTATTTTTTAAGCTCTGCATGTAGTTGAAGTGTGCAACCAGGTAGAGACCCACTGCTGTAAGAGATTGGGAAATGAGCCGCAAGGACTCTCAGAGTTTATAGACACATGATTGGCATACAACTAGCAAACAGATAATTTTGCATATAATTTTCGTTTGTTCCAAGAAGAGAATCTTAATGGGTTCTCAGATGTGCCCATGTCCTTCTAAAATTTAGAAGCCAGCATTCAGGGGAAGTTTGGAATACATGCTCTTTAATAACATTGATCAGTATTCCTTTCTTTAATGGCCCTTTGGTGAAAATAGAGCAATTCAAGGTTTGCAGGACTGGCATATAGCAGGTGCTTGACATATAGGTGCTTCCTGTTGCTATCTAAGAATAGATGCATCACTTTAGCAGTCAGACGAGTAGAAGGTAAGTGTGACATCTACTGAGGATCTTAAGTGGCCTCAGGAATTAACCAAAACTCTGAATGAATGGCTTCCCTGCCTCTCTTGGGGGGGAGTCTTAGCTGTTTATTAAAAATCAATTCTGATTCTGTTTCTGCATGCTAAGGATGCATGTTCTCAGTCCGTAAAACTCTACCTCAGAGAGCACAGCTAAGATAAATGTGGCCTGGAAAAGTGTTAAAGCCCCTGTTACCCACAGAACCTGACTACAGTTGTGCACTGCATAGCAGTGTGAAGGGCGGACCACGTGTATGGTAGTGCTCCCATAAGATGATAATGGAGGTGAAAAATTCCTGTCACCTAGTGATGATGCAACTATTATATAATACAGCATAATTATTTTTAAAAATAAATTTAGGTTAGCCTAAGTGTACAGTACAAAAGTTTACAGTAGTATACAGTGATGCCCTAGGCCTTCCCATTCACTCGTCACTTACTCAGTGACTCACCTAGAGCAAATTTCAGGCCTGTAAGCTCCACGCATGGTAAGTGCCCTATATAGGTGAACTACTTTTTACCTTTTATACCATATTTTTACTGTACTTTATGTGTAGATATGTTTAGATACAAAAAATACTTACCATTGTGTTGTAATAGCCTACAGTAATCAGTACAGTAACATGCTATACAGATTTGTACCCTAGGAGCAATAGGCTACACCATATAGCCTAGGTGTGTAGTAGGCTGTACCGTCTAGGTCTGAGTAAGTACACTCTATGCTGTTGGTTCGCATGACAAAACCACCTGATTACACATTAGGAGGTGTCCTCATTGTTAAGCAACTCATCACTGTATATCATTAATGCTGCCTTGCAAAATATGACTTCAACCAATACAGCCATCCAGATAACTTAGCAGGTTAGATTAATTTCAAAATGTGTCATTAAGCAACTAAATAAATTCCTTTAATATGGAGAATTAATACCTATCAATCAATATATATTAGAATTAATAGTTTAGTTTTAGAAAAACTGAAATTAAGCCAGCACTCTTGGATTTTGAAAATAAAATCATCTAATTGATGAACAGGAGAAATTGTACCTCATATAAAATGACATAGTATTTGCAGATAACTTATACAAATCATCTCTTATACTTTAAATCATCTCTAGATTACTTATAATACCAAATACAATGTAAATGCTATGTAAATAGTTGTTATACTATATTTCTAAAATTTTTATTATTTTTATTATGTCTTTTTTCGTCCCCAAATATTTTCCAATCTGATATTGATTGGATCTGCCAGTGTGGAATCGCAGATTGGGAGGGCCAACTGTATTCTTATTTAATAGAAAGCTTGCAAGAAGTTTGAATAGGTTGTAGAGGTGCCAGGTGCTGTGCTAGACCCTTTGTAAATGTTATGTAATTCTCACTTTCAGACTATGAGGTCATTTTTCTCATTTTATGGATAAAGAATGTCAGGCCACCCCGAGGTCACAGAGCCAGTGATGGAAATAAATTTGAGATACCATCTCACACCAGTTAGAATGGCGATCATTAAAAAGTCAGGAAACAACAGGTCCTGGAGAGGATGTGGAGAAATAGGAACACTTTTACACTGTTGTTGGGACTATAAACTAGTTCCAACCATTGTGGAAGTCAGTGTGGCGATTCCTCAGGGATCTAGAACTAGAAATACAATTTGACCCAGCCATCCCATTACTGGGTATATACCCAAAGGATTATAAATCATGCTGCTATAAAGACACATGCACACGTATGTTTATTAGAGCACTATTCACACTAGCAAAGACTTGGAACCAACCCAAATGTCCAACAGTGATAGACTGGATTAAGAAAATGTGGCACATATACATCATGGAATACTATGCAGCCATAAAAAATGATGAGTTCATGTCCTTTGTAGGGACGTGGATGAAGCTGGAAACCATCATTCTCAGCAAACTATTGCAAGGACAAAAAAACCAAACACCGCATGTTCTCACTCATAGGTGGGAATTGAACAATGAGAACACATGGACACAGGAAGGGGAACATCACACACCGGGGCCTGTTGTGGGGTGGGAGTAGAGGGGGAAGGGATAGCATTAGGAGATAATACCTAATGTTAAATGATGAGTTAATGGGTGCAGCACACCAACATGGCACATGTATACATATGTAACAAACCTGCACGTTGTGCACATGTACCCTAAAACTTAAAGTATAATAAAAAATAAATAAATAAATAAAGCTAAACTTAAAAAAAAAAAAGAATGGATAGAAAAGACCTTGCAAGGTATCTTATGGTCATGAAATCAAAAGACTTGAGTTTAAGACTTTATGGCCTTGGTCACTTAGTCTTCAGACATCAGTTTCACCTTGATTTATAAACAGAATGCTCAAGTCTGCACTTTCTACCTCAGAGGTTATCATTGAAATATTTTAATTCAGCTAAGCTGTGAGAGATGGTACTGCCTTCTGGGATACAATGCAAATAAAACCCAGCACTTGTCACGTAGTAATTCATGGTCCTTCAGGATGAAAGAGGCAGGTAAATAAACCATTGCAAGCAAATGATGGCTGTAGTGTACTCGTGAAACAGGTACCTCTGAAATGCAGAGTGATGAGGTAGGGATTCTCAGGGATGTTGCCTCGATGGATAAGGAGACATCTTTCTGATTACTAAGAATAGGGGTATCCCATGGGTACATACTTAGGTACCAGGGGCTGGGGTGCTATGGTGAATTAGGCAGGTGGGCCGCCATCCTGGGTTCTGATGCAGGAGGCAGGCATGCATCAAGTCATCACAAAATAAATGAAAACTGTAGCTCTTGCTACCTGGCAGAGGGACGCAGGGCATTCGTAGAACAGGGGAATTTGACCTAGTTCAGGCGGAAGCTGAGGAAGGCTTCCTGAGGAAGAAACAGTTGAGAGCTCTCTGCGTGGTGAATATGCAACCATGACCAAACGAACCTCTCAGCTCCTTCCCTGTCAAAGAGCACCCACTCCTAGAGGTCGTATGATATCATATGAGACAATCTGTGTAAAGCATTTGATACTGAGTAGATGGATAGTAAACACTCAATATTTGTTGGCTATTCTGATGTGAATTTTCATTCATTCAGCAATTATTTATTTATTTATTTATTTATTTATTTATTTTTGAGGTAGAGTCTTGCTCTGTTGCCCAGGCTAAAGTGCAGTGGTGCAATCTTGGCTCGCTGCAACCTCTGCCTCCCGGGCTCAAGTGATTCTCCTGCCTCAGCCTCCTGAGTAGCTGGGATTACAGGCTCCCGCCACTGTGCCCAGCTAATTTTTGTGTTTTTAGTAGAGACGGGGTTTCACAGTGTTGGCCAGGCGGGTCTCGAACTCCTGACCTTGTGATCCACCTGCATTGGCCTCCCGAAGTGCTGGGATTACAGGCGTGAGCCACCACGCCCGGCCCAGCAAATATTTATTAAATGACTTGTGTGCCATGTCCTCAAGCTAGTTGCTGGGAAACAGGGCCCCTGTTCCTTAGGAACTTATATTCCACTGGGTGAGATGGATATTAGAAAAAAAATTGTACACGCCAGTATGTGTTTACCAACTGTATAGCATGCTGTGATGGGAAAATGAGATGTACTGCAAGACTATTCTTTAAGTAGGGACTGGAAGCTTGGATACCTTAAGAGCAAGGGAAACTAAACAGGGGAAACAGCCTGATACTTAGAGGGAAATTAGGCCTATAACAAACTGGAAGAGGCTCTCAAGTTCAAAATGTTTTCATTCAAACAATGCTTTGGCGTAATCAAACACAAAAGTAACAGAGTCACTGACGCGTTTCATGTTTTTGCTTGATTAGATTTGCTCTTAGAAAGTTCCTTCTGAGAATAGCATGGGGAATTGAGACCAGAGTGAGGACAGAAAGGAGTCAGGGTCTGTGTGGTGTGGAGGGAGCTGCAATGATTTGGGCTGGAGAACTCAAAATACGAGGGATAATTAGAGGGATTCAAGAGACTGGAGGGGAAGCATGAGTATTTCACAATACATTTTGAAAGATAAAGCCCATGTCTATGGAAAGAATGTCATTCCACAGGATTCTACCTATCCCACTGTTCCTTGATTCAGCAGATACTTTTCTGGGTCTAGGCACTACTGGTTAACATAGTGGTGAGGGAGGCACTCCTGCAGCTTCTCTGTCCTTGGCTATTGTGAAACAAGATTTAGCAGAAGTTTAAGACTAGGATGGGAAAAAGAGTGGATTTTAAATGTTCTCATCACAAAGAAGTACGTGAAGTGCTTGGTATGTTAGCCTGATGTAATCGTCCCACAAGGTATATACATCTATCATCACATTGTAGCCCATAAATATATGTACTGCAAGACTTTATTCTTTTAGGTAGGGACTGGAATTATTACTTGTCAATTTAAAAATTCAGATAAAAAATAAGACAATTTCTTAGAGTAAATGATTGCCTTGCGGGACAGAATTAAAGAGAATTCTTTGTTGTAAAGAAATCAGCCCCCTAAAAAACAAAAACACAAATGTGCTAATTTTTGTGGTCCTTTCTTGGGCATAGATTATGAGTGACCCTATCTAGAAGGTATTTCTTACTTATGATAACCACGTTTAGATGGGCTTCAGGTCATAGTTGTAGTGTTCTGAATCTGTGTTAGAGGACACAGAGTGAGGCTGAGCAAATCTCTCTTGGACTTAAGACTTGTTCTTCTCCAATTAAGTCATAGTCGTCATACACAGATGGAATATGTTTTCATCCTTTTGGTATTATATACTTTTTTTTTATCTTAACAGGTGGTAACAAACAGGGATACACAAGAAACTCTACTCTGCATGGCCTGTGTGTTTGAAGTTTCAAATAGTGAACACGGAGCACAACATCATATTTACAGGCTTGTAAAGGACTGAACATGGTTATTTATATATATAGATATCTGTATATACACACACACATATGTGCACACACACACTCTCTCTCCATTATCGAACGACTGACTGTAAACCTCACCACACAGGGTGGTGCCCTGGCCCCGAGGTCACCCCGACTTTTCTAAATCTTGTTTGAGTGAAGTCATTTTTTCATGTGTTCATACTATCATTGTAGCTGTGAAGTTCTGGTACAGTTGTAAAAAGAGAAATTGAGTTGTTTCTCTATGTTCTTCAGATGTGCAGCCCACAATTCCTCGGGAAAGGTGAACCTGAACAACCCAAGTCTCTCTCTGCAGAGCCCTGTTTCTAATTGTGGTAGAAAATATTGAGACAGAGCATTTGCCATGGGACATTTACAGCCTTTATACAAATGTATTTAGTTCTCTTTTTTCCAACATAAAATTCTTGTTTTAAGATACAAGTAAAATTAATCTTTAAATATAAATGTAAATTAGTACACAAAACTAAGAATCTTTAGACTTATCTTTGTAACTAATTAGGGTGGAAGTTATGAAAGAATGTAATTCACTAAATTATTTTTTAAATGAAACCTTTTTTTTTCTTTTTGAAACCAAATGTTAAACTATAGCCTTAAGAAATGCTTGGTAGAAGTGTCCTAATGAGACAAATTTGTACTTTTATCCTCAAGGTTAACACTAATCTCCTAATCCATTAAACTCTTGAACAGGTATTACAAAGGAAGAAAACTTCACCCCTTATCCTTAACATATATAGTATATTTAAAAAATATAAAATTGTATTGTACTAATGTGATGATGGATTATTTAATGAAAAAGAAAAAATGGCTCTTTTTGCAATAAGTAGATACATACTGAAAAAATCTAAACTTACAATGTTTATAGTCTTGTGTGTGCAGTTATATTTTATATGGACGACCAAATTTTTTATTAAGATGAGTAAATATTTGAACCACTGAATTTTAATAACAAAATTTTAAAATTGGCATGAATACGGAATACTGCACTGTGAGATGCAAAGTATACAGAATCTGTGGCTGGGAGAAAATTTCATCAAATAGACAAGTAAAAGGCTCATCAGTTTTAGCATCTCTGCTCCCCAGAAAATTGTAAGCATCCTCACCAGCCTGTGGATACATTCTTTATTTCTAGTGACCCAATATGCATATTAACCTGCTATAACTAGGGCTATATGTGTAGGTATGTGTATACATATACACAAATGCACATATAGAGTTAACACATTTAGTGAACACTTGTTTAGTGTCACTCAGTTTGCTAGGTGCTGATATGTACGTATATCTCAATGTGTCTGTAGACTTAGATACATCCTCTTGAAGCACATCCATTTCTTTAGCGTCTCTCAGTAAGTTACAGTACTTGTTTGACTTAGGTTTAAGAGGCCCAGCTACCTATCTCTGACCTTTTCAAATAGGCTCATTTGGGAGATTCTTTTGCCAGGAGAGATTCAACTTTCCAATCTAAGTATTCCAGAGCATTGCCCAGGCAGAGTTGGTTTGATGTGGCCAGATGTTTTGAGTTATTTCCCTTAAGTGTTTCACTGGGGAGAGAACAGGGAGTGCTCCTCCAGCTTCCCAAAGAAATATGTTTTTGTAAGTGGTAGGAACATGTGCACACAATAGAACATGAAATAAGTTTTTTAACTTGTAAAACATGTCAAGATTTTTCCACCAAGCTAGAAAATAAAAAACTTAGTTCTACCACATCCAATTAACTTACACACCCCCTTCCCTGTCTCAACACCTGCTTTGACCCTGCTTTTCTATTATTACATCAGTCAGCATCTTGTGGTCCCTAACATGAGGATGTGGCTGGCTCGTGGGAAACAGCAAAACACTAAGCCTGACCTCTCCCAAATTGGGAAGACCAGAGGAGAAAGTGCAAAACTGTCCCCATTTGGAATGCCCATTCCTTCTAGAAACCAGTTGGACAGTGCTCCTCTGCCCTTCATAAACAGACTACTGTTGGGTCCCTGATTCCAGGCTGGCCTGTGAAGGATTGCCCCAGGTGTCCCCTTTCACGGTTGTCACATTTACAGTGACTTCTGTTGAACACCCCTCTTAGGGATGTTTCTTTTGCTCTTATTTCCTGCATCTTTCCTTAAGGGAAGCCCCATCCTCTCCCAGGACCAGGAGTTTATGACCAGGCGAGCACAAATGGCTAAAAGCCAAGCTGTCCTAGAACTTCAGTGGGAGAGCTGTCTGGTTCATATTCTACCCAGGAATGGTACTTTTCAGTGCAGCCAGGAGGGCTCTTGGGATTTCCTTTCCAAAGCACAAAAATACTGGGACCCAAGAAGAACAGCTAGAGGACAACTCTGTTGGCACAGAGACGGGGACAGCCCAGTCTGCTGACCTCACAGGGTCAGCTGGGCCCCCCTGGTGCTTCACCACCTGCATCCTCTTGCTCAGAATGCCTTTGCAGTTGAGTTTTCTGGGTTTCTATGATTGACCTTGAGGTTTACTCCTTGCTCTTACAACATTTCTAAGGATTTTTAAAAGTTTACTTCTTGTCTTGTTCTTCTAAAGCTTTCTCCAGGACAGATATTTTCCCTGTCTTAACCACTGGTCCAGTCATCCCAGTGGGCTTCTCTTTGTCTCTCCCAGATTAGACCTTTGGGTGAGATTGGCATCACAACATCTAATCTGAGTCTGTCTTTTGTCCTTCATTCTGTATGGCAGTCTCCCTTTGTTATAAAAGCTTTCTAAAGCATACTAAAGAAGCCTTCCCAGAGCCCCGTCTTGCTTCTCTTCCAGGTGCTCTATCCCCTCGAGACCCTCTGGTGCCAGGCTTGCTTCACGGCCATCTTGTGTTGTCACTGCAGAGTTTGGAGGCCAGTTTTCCACAGCCTAAACAGGGAGGAGCTGCAGAATGGGGCTCTGGTCTCTGGGCATTCATTTCCCTCATAGAGGCTGAGAATAAAACAAGGACTTATTCACACATGTTCTAGAACCCCAGAATGGCCCAAGTTACCTGAGACCAGGGTTTCTCAACCTTGACACCATTGACATTTTGGACTGGGTAATTCTTTGTTCTGCAGAGCTGTCCTTTGCACTGTAGGAGATTTACTAATATCCCTGGCCTCTACCCAGTAGTACCACTAGCACCTATTCCCCACCCAGCGTGTCTCCAGATATTGTCAAATATCCCATCGGGTGCAAAATGATCCCTGGTCAAGATCTGTTGCCCAAGATGTTACAGGTCACAATGACCACATTTGAAATTGTTTTCCCTTTCATTTTACCCTGTGAAAGCATCTCTCCTAGAGCCTTGCAAGAGGCAGGTGACATTGTGTCCATATTTCTTCCTGTTTCAGAACTTCTGTTTCACAACAATTTCTCTCTCGCTACAAGTATTCTTTCACTCAGCACTGGGGAAGTTGGGAACAGCTGGTCACCATCATCCCTTTAATCAACTCACACCTGTTTAAAGAGTGTTTCTGATTTGACCTTCATCCCTTAGTTTACTGGCGTTAAAAAAAGTCTCAGCAATTTTCATTATTTCTCGTGGGTCTCATTATCAAACCTTTACTTATTTCGGCATATTTCCTCTGGGCTTCTTCTAGTTTCTGCCTTACAAGCAATGCTGTTCTGTAAATTTATTGAAACCTCTGGAACATTTCACCTTTAGAGATGGAGGATGGAAGGATTGGTACCAGAAGAGGGCTAAGATACGTTTTCTGTCTTGAGCTGAAAGCACAGTCTACTCTCCTTCGTTTTGTCGATGAGAAAGTTGAGGCCAGAGGGGAGGTGACATGTTTAGAGTCACCCAGCTGGTTAGTGACAGAAAAAGCGTGAGAGTTGTCTAGGATTCCTGCCACTTTGGTCCCTGGCCTCTCCTGGGGGAGGCTGCTGTTCTTAGGTGCTCTAAGCTTAATCCCTCAGAATGTGTGGACAGGTCAGCTTAGAAGAGATGGGGAGATTCAGGATCCCCCTGTGCCAGAGCACAGCCTCACCGGATGCTGCTTCCCACACTGAAGTGTCCTGTCCGACCATTGCTATCTGAGGCATCCACAAGCAGGTAGGAAAGCTGGCGAGCCATTTTACTTCCTGAGGACAATTCCCCAGCCACAGGCTCTGAGTCAAATTTCTATTTGGTAAGCATCCTAGCAGCAAAGTCCTGCACTCAGACCAGCCAAAAAACAGCCCCCATTCCAAGTACTTGGTGTCAAAAGTCCCCGAACGACTTTTAAACCCAAGTCTTCTTAAGGTTTCAGTACTGTGGTGGCTTTAGCAGTTGTTTTTGTGCAACTATAAATTATTTAAATCATCTGAGATGACAGTCAATTTTACAAACCAGGTACATATTAATTTGTATAATTTTGTATATGCTCTGGTACACTACCTGAACTAACGAAGGGTAGAACTAATTCTGTTTGTCAGTGTTCACACCTGTAACATTAGGAGGATATGTCTGCATTGCTTATTTCTTTATGTTGGTGTTTCTGTGGCAAAGCCCTGCACATGGCATTTCTGAAAAGCCTTAAATCTTTAAGATGTTGCATGTAGGGTATGCAGTGCAAAAGGCTGCCTCAGAACTGTGAGCCCTTTTGTAAGCTGGAAGCATTTCTCTTACTACTGTTACTTTTGTAGGAAGTTTTCAATTCAGAGCTGCCAAAGTGTTCCCGTAAGCAGTGCCTTAGTAATACCTTAGTCATGCCGCCAGCCTTTTCTTACACCAATTCCTAATGTTCATTTACGAATTGGCCCAATATTGGAAACAAAACAAGCAAAAATTGTCTTCATTTTTGTTTTGTAAGCCCATTTTTTCTCCAGTTCTATAGGAAACTGACTGCTTGGTGTAAAATCCGAAACTGGACACAAGTCAGTTCTTTCACCACACTCAAATGTATATACCAAAACAAAAGGTTGCAACTTCATAGTTTACTATGAAAAGCAAATTGTACTTTTTAATGTTGCCTTTTAAATTCATGACCAAATACTTAGCTATTTGTGAATCTTCTGCACTCTAGCATGAAAGTGCCTTTGGTTTGAGATTCCAGCTTAGAAAAGTGCTGCCATAATAACGATAATTTGTAGAGAGACCAAAAATATTTTGAGATCACCGTAATGCCTTTGGTTTACCGGGATGAGTAACCAACCACAGGCCTCTGTTCACAAGAGCACGACGTGGTCCCCGCCTGCTGCTAGTCTGTCTGCCACTGGGGGCCTCCCAACATCCATAGCACACTTCAGCGGAAGGACCCCAGAAACTGTTGTGTTTGTGTGTGCTGATGACCTAGTGTGTCATTTCACCTCGTCACCCAGCCCTGCGTCCGGATGAGGGGACTTCTGCACAAATGACAGAATCTCGGCTGGTGGACAGATACTACAGCTTTCTCCTCCTCCTTGTGTTCGTGTTCAGTCTCTGTGGAGACTTTCTTTTCCATTCAAATGACAGTGCGCACTTATCTGGTTTACACAATGATACCATTTTGAAAGTTGGAAGCCTCAAACTGAGACGACAGTGCAGAACAAAACAAAAGTGAGTTAGGGTCGTTAAAATTGAAGTGTTCTTCTTAGGGCAAACATGTTGACTCCGAGTATTGTGTATGAATGTGCTACGAGAAACTTCCAAAGAGCACCATTCACAATTTGGCATTTTCAAAGAATGTTCCAGCCCTCAAAGGGGCAACTCTTTAAAGTCCTTGTTGGCTTTTATCCAAACCTTGTAGAAATTGGGAAAGCTGATAGAGGTAAGGAAGACGAGTGAAAAGGACAAGAAGGCCAAACACCAGCCAAAAAGAAACTAGGAAAAAAAGATTTTCTTTGCTAATATAGATGTAAAAATAACATCAGACATCTTTGAAAATTAGCCTCTAAACTCTTAATACATACGTTCTGTGTGTCTCTACCTGGCGTCTTTAAGAATATCCTCTCTGGGCTCTGAAATTTTAGGAGTGATTCTTATCCACTCCAAGTTGTAAGTATTTGTAGAAATTTGTGCAAACAAACAAAAACTATCAAATGAAAAGAAAATGTACTCAACCTAACTTATAGTTAGCAGCTGGAATTCTCAACTCTTCCCTGCCAGCACTATACCACAGTGTGGAAGAAATTAGTCAAATGCTTGTTTTCCTGCTTCTCTTTTCAACTGTTACTGTGCTTTGTTTGAAAGTAGTTTTCTCTCTCAAAGCCGTTGCTTATATCGTTAAGAATGAAGGTTTGTGTTTAAAATTTATTGCATTGCAAAGGGTAGTTTCACTGAAGTCATGCACCATTAAATAAGATGAAATATTTGTATTTATTGTCCTACTTCCTAAGCCGTAACTTCTTTTCCTCTGTGAATTTGCATTGAGTCACTCATGCTACACTACATCGCTTTAGTATTTGAGATGGCATTTATGTTTCCTCTCGTTTATCATGAAATGGGGTCAGATTCCATCAGATTCCACCTCTGTCAGGTGGACTCTTGTCTGCCTTCCATGATGAGATTTTTTTTCTCCTTCCCCTTTCTTTAAGAGAGGCTGACAGATCTAGGTGTCAATCAATTGGAAACCAGTCTCTGATTTTTTTTCATTAGTTATTTTCTATCATTAGTTTCACTGTGTAAATTAGATATCAACTGCACTTCTTTAAAAAAAAATACATCTCCCTATTACCTCCTTGAAAGATTTACTTCTGTAGGCCTTTTTCAATAGGCTCATGACTGCAGACAAGGAAAAAAAAAGTAAAAACAAAAACAGTATGTGCCTGAAAATGACAAAAAAAAAATTTGTAACATTTAAAAAAGAAACCTGAATAGCCTTTAATTCTTTAATAATACACTTAAATTTTATGTAAATCGGTTTTCGCCACGTGTGTTTGTTCACATTCTAAATGACTTAATGGGATTCTCACGGTCTGTGTCTTTGTGTCACGTGTATAAAATGGGCTTGTGATGTAAGCGTTTCATCTGGTCAGTGGTTCCTTTGATATTGTACTGCTGCTGGGAGTGGGCTGTGGAACCTGCCTTCGGGTAACTGGGTTCCTCTTGGGTAGATTGGAGAGATGGGGGTGGGCGTGGGCAAATTCTCACACATGTTTTCTTAACCTATTTGCAGAAACTTTCAAAAGGCATTTGATTAAACCTCTTGGCAGTACAGTATTCTTGTATTTGTTAACGTCTGTGTTTAGGTACTGGTACCTTTTTGTTTTAAAATGTTCTAAGTGTTGGCTTTAAAGTGAATTTATCTTTAGTATGATAGTTATATGAAAATTATAGGATTTGTGTGCAGAGAATTTTTTTATAAAGTGCTTTGTAAAAAAAAAAAAATGTATTCTAGCTTTTGCGGTACATATGTGTGATAACTTTAATACCCATGACAGTTAAGTGCAATTATTTCATCACTCTAAAAATGCTATTTTTGTGTCAGTTCCTGCAGGTGTTTTCATGTCTTTGCAAAGTGACACATTTTGATGCCTTCTTGATAAAGTGGTAGACATTTTGTAGCTTTCTAGAAACTTTGTATTCATACGGTATCAATGAAAAATAAAGAAAATGAAAGTGTGGGTCACCTTTTTTATCTGCAGAAGTGTATGTTGTTAGGAATGAAATGTGCTTTATGTATTGTGAGTGATGATATGAAAGACAGAGTAAAGGAGGTCACAGCTTTCATCTTTTTGAAGGTGTCCACCAAGCTTGATAATTGGAACTTTAGGTGTTACATCTAACAGCGTTTCTTAAACAATACCCACAAGTCAATCAATCCACTTGCCTATCTCACTCTTTAGTGCATCATTAAAATTGACATAAGTTTTGCAGAATGGCTTGTCTGTCGATCCCAGACTTACCCTGAGAAGCCAGGTCCCATGGGCTTTAGCACACCAGCCCAACCATTGAGTGTTTTTTGTTGCTGTTATCCCAACTTGTTGGGCACATGCCAGGAATGAGGGATAGAGCAGAGGATGGGGTACAGAGATAAATGCAGCATGGCTGTTTCCTACACAGTACTTAAATTCTCAGGAGTGGGATTGCACATTGAGCTATAACTCCTCCCGACCCCTGTCCTCAGCATCACCATGGGGTTCATGATTCAGGTGTATGCAGCACAGGTGCCTAACAAAACTTTGGATTCCCCAAGCGTTTACTGTATGCTGGGCACTGTGCCAAGTGTGTTGGTACAATGTATATGTACATTGTACTTTAAAATTCTCACTATAGTTCCAGTGACATCATTCCCCCAAACTGAGGCCCAGAAAGGAAAGGATAGCTTATTAAAAGTCATGACTAGTATGTGGTGGAGCCTTAAAGAAGGTCACTCTGACAGTTCAGCCTGGACTCTTGGCCCCTGCATCTTGGCTCACTGCACTGTGGAAGCAGCTCAAGACTAGAGGAGAAATCTGGCTTGGGGGCAAAGAACTTTCTTAAACGATGATTATCTTGGACTTCTGACAATGAGACTCAAATGTACCTTGGGATCCTTCATTTGTGTGAACTAGATCTCAGAGGGTCTTGCTTCTCCTTATTTCCTTGAAGTCTGAGGCAAAGCACGCTCTGGAGGGGAGCATGAACAGAGAAATAACTTGCCTGCCCCTTTGAAAAGGGATGATTTTCAGCAAGCCACCATTTGAGAGGAATGCCATGGTCCAGTGAATTGCTCAGAGCAGAGGGAAGGAAATGATTTAGCATTTTGTTGAAGTCCTATGCCAAGCATCTTCACCATTTACTTTAACCCAAATACTCTTGAAACGTGGAATCATTTCTAATTTTTCAATAAGGAAATCGAAGCCTTAGAGATGGTAGAGGCCCTTGTTAAGGTCATACAAGCTGGTAAGTGGCAAGAATTTAGAGGTGACAGCACCTCCTTGCAGTTCTGGTGCGGCCACTCATGACACCTTTCTACCTCCTCCTCTAAAACAAGGTACTTTAATACCTCAAAAACATCCTTTGTTAGTGCCTAGGGTTCCAGTCACCTTGAGTTCAGCAAAGAGAGTGACCCGCTAGGTAAACCAACATCATTGAGTAAAGAGACTAGAGGAGCAAAGAGGAAGGTTCTGGTGTGATCAAGGAACAAGCAACTTTGCTGGAAACCCCTAGTCATTTCTTCCTGCCTTATTGCTTCAGGGTACAAATATGTTCCAGGGTACTATTGAATTCTTCCTGCCTTATTGCTTCAGGGTGCTAATATAAATAGCTACGACTTATTGGAAGCCATATAGTTATAAAGTAGCTACGACTTATTGGAAGCCATATAGTTATAAAGTAATCAGTGTGAGCAACTGATAAAATTCCAATAATGTGTAAGCCTCTGAGGTGTTAGTGGGTAAAATTGCCTTCAAAGCCTCCCTTGTCCTGTTTGATGCCCCATAATGCCCCATACACCTGATTTTAAGTAGGTTATCACAAGTAGCAGATAAGCTGCTGATTACCTGACTGCATCTTTTCGGCAAATATTTTCCCACTTGCTTAGGTTTCCAAGAAGCTCAGATTTTTAATTTGTGCCCTGTGCTATTAATAAGCAACTAACTAAAATATAAAGGCACAGAATGATTGAAAGTAAAGAATGAAAAATATATACTATCAAAACACCAAAATAAATCTGATGTAGCTCTATTAACCTCAAACTAGTATAGCTCGAGGCAAAAATTACTACTAGAGTTAATGAAGATTACTTCAAGAAGACACAGGTTTCAGTTGACCAGGAAGAATAAAGATGTTAAACTTGTAGGCACCTAATAACATAGCTTCAAATTACATAAAGCAAAATTTGACAAATGACCATAGTGGGAGTTTTTAAAAATAAACTCAGTTACTTACAGATAAAGCAGACCCCAAAAGTGTAAGAATTTGAACAGCATGATTTAATGTGCCGTTCTAATACAAAATACAAAGTAATGAACCCCGAAATTGGAGACTACATTATTTTCAAGTGCATACAGAATTGTTAAGAAAATTGATCATGTCCAAGGCCAAAGGCCAGGAAACTATGGCCCATGGGCCAAATCTTCCCTGTTGCCTATTTTTGTAAGTGAAGTTTTATTGGAACACAGCCATTTCGTTACTTATTGTCTGTGGCTGCTTCCACATGACAATGGCACAGTGGGTTTGTTGCAAAAAGATCCTATAGCTCACAAAACCTAAAATAGTTACTATCTGTACCTTTACAGAAAAAAATTGCCAAATCCCATCTTAAGCCAAAAAGCAGGGTTCTACATCCAGTAGTCCTAAAAAGATACTCATGATTCCCTTTCTTCAATGTATAGACACTGGCAAATGGTTAAAGATCCCTTTAATACCCTCATGTGGCATCCTAGTATCATTCTTAAGTGCCCCAGCCTCTCCTTTGATTGGTGGTCTGTGGGTCTGAGAATAGGCTTAGATCTTGAAAGGATGAGTGAGGAATGGTGATTATATATGTGTGTGTGTGTGTGTGTGTGTGTGTGTGTGTGTGTGTGCGCTGCAGCAGCTGACAGCTGACATCTCACCTGATCTTAATATTTTATTATTAGAACAGTTAAACTGCCCATCTACCTTATCCCTATCTTGCCATCTCCACAGATCCCTGTGGGGTTGCATCCTTGGTTGCCATTTCCTGCTACCTGTTATGGTAATAACTACCTTGCCTCTGACAGCTAAGTGCTGTCATCTGGCCTCTGCTGTTCCAGACTCCTATCATCCATTCACACAAGGGAAACCTCTCAACTCTGTTCTTCAAACCACTACAGAGTTTCCCAACAGCACAGCCCACTCACTAGTGCATTCACTCTGGTTTTAGTGAAGGAAATGTCTTTGGCACATAGGTAGTGGGTGTCCTGGTCATAAATTACAAATCCATCTCAGGAGCATTGCCACTTTGAACTTTCTGAGCCCTGCCTCTGTTCTGCAGGGCAGTTCTAGCATCTCCGCCTCATTTACTGTAGACCATCATTTCCTCCAGACTTCAAGGAGCTATCCAGCAGCACGTTAGTATCAGCTTCAGGTTTCTGCTGGGATGTTAAATCCTGAATTGTAAAACTATCCCACATACTGATAAACCATCCCTAATCTAGTCTAGTCTCATGTCCTCAAGATTCATTCCCAGGCATGTTCTCCCAATTCCTGCTGAGAAGAGTAGCCAAATCCTGCAGCTGTCTTGATGATCCTTCTCTTCCTGAAGCAAGGACCCAACTTCCCCAGTTGGACCTTGCTGAGGCTTTACCCTAGTAATTGGTCTAGAAGCAATGACAGGAGGTGGGGCAGGCCTTGGAGGAGGCAAGCACTTCATCTTGGGGGGCATTCATTTCAGTTGAGGCCTTGACATGGTCTCCAAGCAAGGAAGCCTGTTATCCATCTGCAGGAGGGAGTGGACTGCTGACCCAGAGGGTTCAGAAGTATATGAGGTTCAGAGTTCTCAGCATTTCTATCCAGATGTTCCCACCCCATGTTTAGGGTCCCACTCCTTAACTATTAGACTATTAGTGCCTGACTTTAACAGGATACTTGTGAGGGCTGTCAATTCAGTATTATTTGTAACTTCTAGCTTGGTTTTTAGCACAGTCTGCCCTCCAGCTGCATGGGCTGAGGATCACTTTAAATGCCAGGGAGTCCTTTGACACCATGCCCTAAGTTGAGCCTGATGCTGCCTTCCATCCTTGCACTGATTGCACTTAGCAACAACCAACCTATTCCACCATCCTTATAATTAACACCACCCCCATCTCTCTATCATTCTAGAGATTACGTAAGTGAGTGTATCCCCTTCCTGATGGGCCCAATACCAATTTACCACAGGTGGGAGTCTTAGCTATCGTGGTGCTACAACATACCAGGGGAGACGAACTGTCGTAGTTTAGGTTCCCCCAAGAAGCAGACCCTGAAAAAGGACTCAAGTGCAAAGTTTATTTAGGCGAATTAATAGAAAATATCACTTTGTGTAATAAAAGGTGACATTCATGAAGGTGAAATAATTTTAAATTGGTATGCACTTAATACAATTGCCATAAGGATATGAAAGAAAAATGAGAGAGCAACAAAAGAAAGTACAACTCAAAATCGTACATCTCTCAGTAATTAATGAAGCAAGCAGACAAATACCAGGAAATATGTAGAAATTTTGAAGTACTGAAAATACATATATGTTTGTGTGTATTGTGTGTATACTATATCCCCAAATTGTCAAATTAATATTTTTCCAATCACATATGGAAAAATATGAAAACCTGTACTTGCAAATTAAGCAAGTCTCAATGTATTTCAAAGGATTGCTACAAAACACACAGTATTCTCTGACCACAATGGATTTCAGATAGAAATCAGTATAAAAGGCATCTTTAGGAAAGCTCCATGTATTTGAGAATTAATAAACATTTCTAATTAGTCATGGGAAAAAGTCATGGAAATTAAAACTGTCAAATCCTATTAAAATATGTGGAATGCAGCTAGAGCAGTATTTAGAGAGCATATAGGCAGACCTGCTTAGAAATGTGCATATTAGAAAAGAGAGACTAAAAATGAGTCATTCAATACACAAAGTTAAACAATAACAAAATGGAAACCAAAAAAAAAAAAAAAGGAACTACTAAAGGTAAGAGCAACCTTGGAAATAGAAAACACAATAGAGATGAACAAAGTCAGCAACTGGTTCTTCAAAAATACTCATAAAATATATAAAACCCTGGCAAGACTGAAAGAACCAAAACGATAAGAATGAAAATATGAGCATTCCTACAGGTCATATAAAGATTAATACAAGTATTTAAAAAGGTAATAAAAGTATACTATATAAACTTTATGCCAATAAATTTGTAAGTATAGATAACAGGGTGAATTCTTTAAATACTATAACTTAGGAAAATTGTCTCATGAAGATGTAGAAAAACTGAATAGTCTTAAAATCATTAAAGATAACAGTACTTCCCAGTATTTCCACACAGAAAAACCCAGGCCTAGATGGTTTATAAGCTCTATCAAACTTTAAAGGAACAAAATTATGGAATCTTACATAAAATACTCCAGTGCATAGAACAAAGGAGGCAATTTTGGTCTTAGTTTAGGTCTTCTAGAAAGTGGAGCCTGAGGCAAGGATTAAGATGCTAATATTTGACCAGGCGCAGTCGCTCATGCCTGTAATCCCAGCACGTTGGGAGGCCGAGGTGGACAGATCACTTGAGGTCAGGAGTTTGAGACCAGCCTGGCCAACATGGTGAAACCCCATCTCTACTAAATATACAAAAATTAGCTGGGCATGGTGGGCACCTGCCTGTAATCCCAGCTACTTGGGAGGCTGAGGCAGGAGAATCACTTGAAGCCGGGAGGCAGAGGTTGCAATGAGCTGGTATCATGCCACTGCACTCCAGCCTGAATGACAGAGTGAGACTCCATCTCGAAAAAGATGCTAATATTTTATTTGGGAAATGCAAATTCAGCACAGTATGAATGAGAGAAAAGTAGAAATAAAGCAAGGGAAATCCAATGAAATGTGATATGATGCATTACTATATTGACTACCACTTCATAGTAAGTCAAAAGGGACATGTTAGGTTACTCAGTATGTGAGATTCTTGGAATGTGGATGTTTTTGGAAAGGTTGCAAGGAGGAACAATATCTTGGAGTAGTCAGTGGAAGAGAGAAAAGGGGGTAATCTTCCTGTCAGGTAAGCTCCCATCTCCCAGTTCTCATTGAGTAACATTCACCCAACAAGGATATTACTGCCATTTCATCTGTGTTGCATCATGCCGACTTAGCAGCTGTTCAGGAATTGAGATCCATGTACTATGATGTGGTGTTTTATTAAAGTTCAAAAGTGAAGGGGAAACCTGGCATGTGTGGGGTGCCCACCAAGGGAAGGAAAGAGGGAGGCAGTTAAGGGAATCTGAGAAGGTACACAAAGTGTGTTTCTAAGTATGCTTTCCCATTTATTTGATAAGGCTAAAATACCAACAAGAAGACAATATGAAAAAGGAAGAATATAGGCTAATCTCATGCATAATAGAAACTGACAAAATATTAGCAATTTAAGAGTAACGATGTATATAAAGCATAATGAAGGCAAAATGGGGTTCATTTTAAGAATGCAAGGTTAATTTAACTTAGAAAATCAACCCATGTAATTCATATTAAAAGATGAGAGAAAAATCATAGATCATCTGAGTAGATGAAGACACATACACCTGATAAAATCCAATGTCTGCTGTGGAATTAATATTTGTGTCCTTCCTTTCCCAAATTCATATGTTGAATCTCTAATTCCCAATGTGATGATATTTGGAGGTGGAGTCTCTGGGAGGTAATTAAGGTTAGATGAGTCATGGGGTTAGGGACTCCATGATAGGATTAGTGCCCTTATAAGAAGAAAAGGCTAGAGTCCTCCCTTTCTGTTCACCATATGAGGAGATGGCGAGAAGGAGGCCATTTTCAAACTCAGAAAATGGTGCTCACAAGATACAGAATCTGTCAGCACCTTGATCCTGAACCTCTCAGCCTTTAGAATTGTGAGAAACAAATGTTGTTTATGTCCATTCATGATTTTTAAAAACTTAGCAAATTAGGACTAGAAGAAACCTTTCTGAACTGATAAGAGTATCTACTAAAAAAAAAATCAGCTTACAATAAAAACATTTCTTTTGATGTTGCGAATGAGACAAGAATGCCTACATTAAGACATCTACTCAACATACCAAGGTTCTAGACAGTGTAGTAAGGCAAGAAAAATAAATAAATGAAGATTGAAATTCAATCTGTCATTATGCTAATATGATAAACTTCTATATGTAGAAAATCCAAATGTTAAAATGGGGCAGGGTGGGAGTAGTGATGAAGTTAAAATGTAGATTTTTTTTCAGTTTTTCCTTTGTTTCTATATGTTTTATGATCAAAGATAAGTTGTCACCTTTTTAAAATAATAACTTTTAGTAACAATACAGTGGTTTTTTCCTAAACCTCATGGTAACCACAGAGCAAAAACCTACAATAGATTGACTAAAAATAAAAAACAACAAATTAAAACATACTACAATAGAAAATAACCACACAGGACAACAGTAAGAAAGGAAGAGAGGAGTTACAAAACAACTAGAAAACAAGTAACAAAATGGCAGTAGTAAGTCCTTCCCTATCAATAATAACATTAAATGTAAATGGATTAAATTCTCCAAGTAAAAGACATACAGAGGCTGAATAAATAAACAATATCCAACTATGTGCTGCCTATAAAAAACCTACTTCACCTACAAAGACACACATAGACTGAAATAGGGGATGGAAAAAGATATTCCATGCAAATAGAGACCAAAAAATTGCAAGATTAGCTATACTTAGATAAAATAGACTACAAGTTAAAGACTGTAAAAAGAGCCAAGGTATTACATAACGATAAAGGGGTCAGCTCAGCAAGACAATATTACAGTTATAAATATCTATGCACCCAATACTGGAGCACCCAAGTGTATGAAGCAAACACTAATAGATTTAAAGAAAGAGACTGCAAAATAATAATTGTGGGAGACTTCAACTTCCGACTCTCAGTAACGGACAAATCATTGAAGAAAGAAACATTGGAGTTAAACTACACACTAGACCAAATAGGCCTAACTGACATTTACAGAACATTTCACCCAATTGCTGCAGAATATACATTCTTCTCTTCAGAGCATTGTCCAGAATAGATCATATCTTAGGCCACAAAACAAGTCTCAACAAATTCAAAAAAGTTGAAATTATATTAAATATATTTTCTGATCGTAATGGAATGAAACTAGAAACCAAAAACAAGAGGAAACTGGAAACCATACAAACACATGGAAATTAAACAACATACTCATGAACAATCAATGGGTCAATGACAAAATTAAGAAAGTGGTTTAAAAATTTATTGAAACAAAAATGGAAATACAACATACCAAAATCTATGGGATACAGCAAAAGCAAGACTAAGAGGAAGTTTATAATAATAAATGCATACATCAAAAAATAGATTCCAAATAAACAGCCTAACGATGTACCTCAAGGAACTAGAAAAGCAAGAACAAACCAAACCCAAAATTATTAGCAGGAAAGAGATAATAAAGACCAGAACAGAAACAAATGAAATTGAGACTAAAAAAAATACAAAAAATCAATGAAATTTAAAATTGGCTATTTGAAAAGATAAATAAATTGACAAACTTTTAGCTACACTAAGAAAAAAATATAGAAGGCCCAAATCAAATTAGAAATGAAAATGAAGACATAAGTACAGGCAGCACAGAAATGCAAAGAATCAGAGACTATTATGAACAACTATACACCAACAAATTGGAAAACAGAAGAATAAATTTCTGGACACATGCAATCTTCCAAGATTAAACCACAAAGAAATGGAAGACCTGAACAAACCAATAATGAGTAATGAGATCAAAGCCATGATAAAAAGTTTTCCACCAAAGAAAAGCCCAGAATCTGATGGCTTCACTGTTGAATTCCAGCAAATATATGAAGAAGAAGTAATACCAATTCTGTTCCAACTATTCAAAAAAATTGAAGAGTGAGGACCAAACTAATTCTACAAGGCCAGCATTACTCTGATAACCAAAACCAGACAAGGACACAACAAAAAGAAAGATACAGGCCAATATCCCTGATGAACACAGATGCAAAAATCCTTAACAGAATACTAGCAAACTGAATTCAACAGCTCATTAAAAAGATAATTTACCATCATCCAGTGGGTTTCATCCCAGCGATGCAAGGCTGGTTCAACATACACAAATCAATAATATAATACATCACATCAAAACCAAGGTCAAAATCCGTATGATCGTTTCAATAGATGCTGAAAAAGCATTTGATAAAATTCAATATCCTTTTATGACAAAAAACTTTCCACAAACTGGGTGCAGAAGGAACATACCTCAAAACAATAAAGGCTGTATATGACAAACCCACAGATAGCATTATACCAAATGGGAAAAAATCGAAAGTCTTTCCTCTAAGATCTGGAACAAGACAAGGATGCCCACTTTCGCCACTTTTATTCAACATAACACTGGAAGTCCTAGCCAGAGCAATTAGTCAAGAGAAAGAAAGAGAAAAATTGGAAAGAAAAATATCAAATTATCTTTGTTTGCAAATGACATAATCTTATAATTTGAAAAACCTGACGACTCCACCAAAAATGGGTAAAATTGATAAATGAATTTAGTAAAGTTGCAGGATACAAAATTAGCACACAAAAATTAGTAGTATTTATATATGCTGGCAGTGAACAATCTGAAAAGGAAATCAAGAAAGCAATCCCATTTACAATAGCTACCAAAAATATACAAGATCTATAAATAAATTAAACCAAAGAAGTGAAGGATCTCCATAAGGAAAATAATAAAACACTGATGAAAGAAATTGAAGAGAACACACAAAAATTGAAAAAATATTCCATGCTCATGGATTGAAAGAAATAATATTGTTAAAATGTCAATACTACCCAAAGCTACTTACAGATTCAATGCAATCCCTTTCACAATGAATTTTCTAATTACGTTCTTCACAGAAATAGAAAAGAACAATGTTAAAATGTATATGGAACCACAAAAGACCCAAATAACCAAAGCAATCCAGAGCAAAACAAAACTGGAGGCATCACATCACTCTGGCTTCACAATATACTACAAAGCCACAGTAACCAACATAGCATGATACTCATATACAAACAGACACATAGACCAATGGAACTGAATGGAGAACCTAGAATCAATTCACGCATTTACAGCCAACACATTTTTGACAAGGTGACAAGAATATACAATGGGGAAAGGACAATCTCTTCAATAAATAGTGCTGGGAAAACTGGATAACCATATGCAGAAGAATAAAACTAGACCCCTATCTCTCACCATATGAAAAAAACCAAAAATGGATTAGACTTAAATGTGGCCAGGCGCAGTGGCTCACACCTATAATCCCAGCACTTTGGGAGGCTGAGGCGGGTGGATTACTTGAGGTCAGGAGTTCGAGCCCGGCCTGGCCAACATGGTGAAACCCCATCTCTCCTAAAATACAAACAGTTAGTGGCTGTGGGGTTGTGCACCAGTTACTCAGTAGGCTGAGGCAGGAGAATCGCTTGAACCCAGGAGACAGAGGTTGCAGTGAGACGAGATTGTGCCACTGTACTCCAGCCTGGGCGACAGAGTGAGACTCCATCTCAAAATAAATAAATAAATAAATACATACATACATACATAAAAACATACATACATACATACATACATACTTAGTGTAAGTCCTGAAACTGTGAAACTGCTAGAAGAAAACACTGGAGAAGTGCTGTAGGACATTGGCCTGTGCAAAGATTTTTTGAGTAAGACCTCAAAAGCACAGGCACCAAAAGCAAAAATTAGACAAATACAATTATGTCAAACTAAAAAGCTTCTGCACAGCAAAGGAAACAATCAATAAAGATACAACCCACAGAATAAGTGAAAATATTTGCAAACTATCCATCTGACAAGGGATCAATAGCTAGAATACATAAGGAATTCAAACAATTCAATAGCAAAAAAAAATAACCCAATAAAAATGGACAAAAGATCTGAATAGACATTTCTGAAGACATACAAATGGTTTACAGGTATATGAAAAAATGCTCAACATCACCAATCATCCGAGAAATGGAAATCAAAACCACAGTGAGATTTCACCCTAGTTAAGATGGCTATTATTTAAAAAATAGGGAATATTGGATGTTGGCAAGGGTGTGGGGAAAAAGGGAACACTTGTACACTGTTGATGGGGACGTAAGTTAGTACAGCCACTATGGAAAGCAGTGTGGACGTTCCTCAAAAAACTAAAAATAGGACTACCATTTGATCCAGCAATCCTACTACTGGGTATATATCCAAAAGAAAGTAAATCAATATATTGAAAAGATAACTGCAATCCCATGTTTATTGCAGAACTACTCACAATAGCCAAAGTATGGAACCAACCTAAGTATCCATCAATGGATGATTGGACAAAGAAAACGTGTTATATATACACAATGGAATATTATTCAGCCATAAAAAAGAATGAAATCCTGTCATTTGCAGCAACATGGTCATTGTGTTAAGTGAAACAAGTTTGGCACAGAAAGACAAATACCACATGTTATCACTCATATGTGGGAGCTAATAAAGTGGATCTCATGAAGATGGAGAGTAGATTGGTGGTTCCTAGAGGCCAGGAAGTGTGGAGGGGAGGGGGATATAAAGAGAGGTTGATTAATGGGTACCAAAATACAGTTAGGTAGAAGAAATAAGACCTGTTCAATCGATCAGTAGGGTGACTATAGTTAATAATATATCTGTTGCATATTTGACAATAACTAGAAGATAATAATTCAGATGTTCCCAGCATAAAAGATAAATATGTAACTAAAAGAGAATAATTCAAATGTTCCCAGCATAAAGAAAAATGTTCAAGGTGATGGATATCCCAATTACCCTGATTTTACCATTACATGAAAGTATCAGTATACCAGATATAACCCCCAAATATATACTATTATGTATTAATAAGAAAGACTACATAAGGTAGGATTCTATTCAAATGAAATTCTAAAAAAGAATAAAATCATATGAAAAAAGAAACATGAGTACATTTATAATCTATAACCCAACACATTTTATATGTAGAATTACTTGCAAAAGTGCTCCAGGGACTCATAGAAGAACGTTACACCCCTCCATTGGTCCACTCAAAAAAGAAAGAAATTATAAACATTACAAATGTTCAGCAATGATTAACTTTAAAAATAAATTATGATTTATTTATATAGTAGACCATGATATGAGTACAAGGGACTCTGGAATATGTGGACCCAATATCTTTCAGCCATAGAGAAGAGCCCTTTGGCTGTGATTTTGTGGTTGTTGTTGACTTTTTCTTCAGCTGTATTGAAGTATAATTTACAATACAGTACAATTCATATATTTTAATTGTATAATTTAATGACTTTGGGTAATTGTATACAGTCATGTAAATGTCACCACAATAAAGATACAGAACACATCCATCACTTGCTAAAAGCCTCTCATACCCCTTTGCAACCTGCCCTTCACCTGGCTTAGTAGCCTCAGGTATATGCTGATCTGCTTCCCTTCCCTGTAATATTGCCTTTTCTAAAATTTCATATAAATTTAGTCATACAGAATGTAGTCTTTTGTATTTGATTCCTTTCACTTAGCATAATGTGTTTGAAATTCATCTATAATGTTTTGTGTATCAATAGTTCATTCCCTTTTACTGCTGAGTAGTATCCCACAGTATAGATGTACCACAATGGATCTATTCACCAGCTGATGGACATTTGGGTTGTTTTCAAATTTTGGCTACAATGAATAATGCTGCTATGTGCATTTGCATACTTGTCTTTGTGAGAACATGTGTTTCCATTTCTCTAGGAGAAGGGATTGTTGGGTTACTGGTAAGGATATCTTCCACTTTATTGGACCAGTACCTGTCGGTGGCCTGTTGGGAATGGGGCTGCACAGCAGGTGTGCGGCAGGAAAGGGAATGAAGCTTCATCTCTCTTTACAGCCACCTGCCATCAGTCGCATTACTGCCTGAGCTCTGCCTTCTGTCAGATCAGCAAAGGCATTAGATTCTCATAGGAGCATGAACCCTATTGTGAACTACACATGCGAGGGATCCAGGTTGTGTGTTCCTTATGAGAATCTAATGCCTGATCATCTGTCATTGTTTCACATCACCCCCAGATGGGATCATCTAGTTGCAGGAGAACAAGCTCAGTGCTCCCACTGATTCTACATTATGGTGAGATGTATAATTATTTCATTATATATTACAATGTAATAATAATAGAAATAAAGTACACAATAAATTTAATGAGCTTGAATCATCCTAAAACCATTCCCTTCCCCCACTGTCCATGGAAAAATTGTCTTCCATGAAACTGGTCCCTGGTGCCAAAAAGGTTGGGACCACTCCTTTATAGGACCTTGTCACTCTGTTTTCCGGCCTGACTGTACCACTTTGCATTGCCTTCAGCAATGTGTAAATGTGTGAGAGTTCCTCACATTTTTATTTTTTGGGGTTTTTTTTTGTTTTTTGTTTTTTTTTGAGACAGTGTCTTGCTCTGTCACCCAGGCTGGAGTACAGTGGCATGATCTAAACTCACTGCAGACTGGCCTCCCAGGGTTCAAGCGATCCTCCCACCTCAGCCCCCTGAGTAGCTGGAACTATAGATATGCTCCAGGCTAATTTTTGTATTTTGTGTAAAGACAGGGTTTTGCCATGTTGCCCAGGCCAGTCTTGAACTCCTGGGCTCAAGTGATTGGCCCATCTCAGCCTCCCAAAGTGCTGGGATTACAGGTGTGAGCCACAATACCTGGTGATTTTCATTTTTTTTAAATTTGGCCACTCTAGTGGACATTTAATAGTATTTTATTATTATTTTAATTTGCACTTCCTTGAATGACTTGTGATGTTCAGCATCTTTTTATGTGTTTGTTGGCTATTCATTTATCTTCTTTTATAAAGTGATTGTTCAAATCATTTGCCCATTACTTACTATGTATGTCTTTTTATTACTGAGTTTTAAGGGTTCTTTATATAATCTGGATAGAAGGCTTTTTTAATAGCTGTTTTGCCAATGTTTTCTCCCAATCTGTGGCTTGTCTTTGTTTTCTCAACTCGTTATCTGAGGAGGAAAAGCTTTAAATCTTGATGAAGTCTGTTTTATCTTTTTTTCTTATGTGATTTGTGCTTTTTGTGCCCTGTTTAAGAAATAATTACAGGCCGAGGAGGGAGGATTGCTTGAGTCCAGAAGTTTGAGACCAGCCTGGGTAACATAATGAAACCTTGTCTCTACAAAAAAACAAAAACAAAAAAACAAAACTAAAATTAGCCAAGTGTGGTGGCGCATGCCTGTAGTCCAAACTACTCAGGACGCTGAGGCAAGAGGATGGCTTAAGCCCAGGTGATTGAGTCTGCAGTGAGCTGAGATCACGCCACTGCACTCCAGCCTGGGCAACAGAGTGAGACTCTGTTACAAAACAAGGCAAGGCAGGGCAGGGCAGGGCAGGGCAGGGCAGGGCAGGGCAAGGCAGGGCAAGGCAGGGCAGGGCAGGGCAAGGCAAGGCAGAAGGAAGGAAATTCTTTTATGCTGTCTTCTAAAAGTTTAATAGCTTTAGCTCCTTCATTTAGGTCTACAATCAATTCAAATATTTGTATATGATATGAAATAAGAGTTGAGGCTATATACATATATATGATACATACATGTATATGATGTATATATAAATGAGTGTATATATATAATGGATATATATATATATCCAGTTGTTCTAACACCATTTTTTGAAAAGACTATCTTTTCCCCATTAAATTACTTTGGCACCATTGTTGAAAATCAATTGACCATATAAGTATTGGTGCATTTTAAAGCTTTTATTTTGTTCCATTGATCTCATATGGTCTATCTTTATGCCAGTAACACACTGTTGTGATTACTGTATCTTAATGATAAGTCTTGAATTCAGGTAGTTTAAGTCCTTCCAAACTTGTTTTCCTTTCTTAAGAGTATTCTTGCTATTCTAGGTCCTTTGCCTTCTCGAACAAATTTTAGAATATACTTGTCAATTATTTTTTAAATTAAGTTTTAAACATAAATACTTTTAATTGCCTGGCATTTTAATGTCCAACTTGAGACCTTGTAAAGAAAATTGTGGTACAATACACATAACATAAAATTTACCATCTTGACCATTTTTAAGTGGCATTAAGTACATTCACATTGTGCAACCATCACCACCATCCATCCACAGAAATCTTTTTATCTTGCAAAACTAAAACTTTATAAACATTAAACAATAACTTTCCATTCTACCAGCCCCTGGCAACCAGCATTCTACTTTCTGTCTCTGAGTTTGATTACTCTAAGTGCCTCATAAAAGTACAATTATGCAGTATTTGTCCTTTTGTGACTAGTTCACTCAACATAATATCTTCAAGGTCCATCCATGTTGTCGGAATTTTCTTTCTTTTTTAAGTAAATATTCCATTGTATTCCACATATGTATGTATATATGTGTTTGAGACAGGGTCTTGCTCTGTCACCCAGGCTGGAGTGCAGTGGCACAATCACAGCTCACTGCAGCCTCAACCTCCTGTGCTCCGGTGATCTCCCACCTCAGCCTCCTAGTAGCTAGGACCATAGGTGTGCACCACCATGCTCAGCTAATTGTTGTACTTTTTCTAGAGATGGGGTTTCACCATGTTGCCCAGGCTGGTCTTGAACTCCTGGGCTCGAGTGATCCTCCCACCTCAGCCTCCCAAAGTGCTGGGTTTACAGGCATGAACCACTGCACCCGGCCCCATTGTATTTATATACTATAATTTAATTATCCATCAGTAGACACTTGGGTTGCTTCTGTCATTTTCTTTCTTAAAAAGTATTTTGGAGACTATCATAAATAAAAATGTTTTAAAACTCCATTTTGAATTGTTCATTGCAAATATATAGAAATTCACTTGACTTTGGCATATTGACCTTGTATCCTTTAACCTTGGTAAACTCACATATTGTTCTAGTAGCTTTTTTTAAACCATTATATGACCTTGTCATCTGCAAATTTAGACAGTTTACTTTTCCCTTTCCAATATGTATGCCTTTTATTGCTTTTTTTAAAATCTTTTTAAAAATATTGAACTGACTGGGACCTTCGTACAAAATTCAGTGTTAGTAGTGAAAGTGGGTATTCATGCCGTCCTTGTTTCTAATCTTAGGAGGAAAGAATTCATTTCTTCACAATTAAGTATGATCTAAATAGTGGATTTTATAGCATGAGAACAGTTATAATAGTAGCTTTAAAATCCTTGGTGGATAATTCCAACATCTGGGTCATCTTGGAGTGAATCTCCGCTATCTTTTCCCTTGAGAATGGGTCCCACTTTTCCAGTTCTTCATATGTCGAATAAGTTTGGATTGTACACATTATAAACGTTAAGTTGTGGAGGCCCTACATTCTGATAAGAGAACACCTTTTCTCTAATAGGTTTTGTTTATTTTGTTTTAGCAGGCATTTTTTTGTGATTGAACTCTAACTTCAAACTCTGTTTCTCAGGTGGCAGGTCCAGTCTCTTTTAGACTCTTTTGTCTCTGGCTGAGATGCTTTTGTTTTTGCTGTGTGTGTCCGTGGTTTGGGATCAGCCACAGACAGGAGCAGAAAGAATTTGGGAATTCCCTCTTTGGCTCTTTCTCTTCCAGAACTCTTTCTTCTCTCTTTTGGCAGTTATAGTTGCCCTGAACTCAACCTTCCATTTTCATAGTCCAAAAAGATGGCTGTTTTTCCACCAGCACCACACCTGGTTTGCACAATGGCTGCACCTGCCTCCAAGCTAAAAACAGCAAAAATGGGCGCTCACTTCCTGTAACATCTTTTCTTTATTGCGTGGACTTCCCACCAGAATCTGCCTGCTCTGTCCACTTTCCATTGTTTTCAGGTAGCTGCATTTTGTATTATGTCCACCTAGAAAAACCACATCCAGTCATTCCTGGAAGCAGAAGTCTGGTATGATGTGTTAAGGACAAATATTAAGATGCCTCTCTCCCTCTTTTTTTTTTTTTTTTTTGCAGTATTTAGATGCTTTTTTGTTGTTGCAGGTTTTCAGCTCCGGCATGGGCTTCCCTATTCTGCTGTGAAATTAATATGACATCTAGTGGCTTGGTAAAGAAGATCTGGACTGATTTTAATGGACACATCTGGATTTGGGGCTTCTTAGGTGTGGAGGTGGAGACAGGGGCCAGTGGTTACCATTACGTTTCAATGGTTGGTTTTTAAGAAATATTTGTTGGAAAACAAAAACTGACACACATAAAGACCTTGAATTCAATCTACTCCTTAATAGTTAGGAAAGAAAGAAGAAGGGAGGGAAAGAAAATGGAAAAGAAAATAGGAAAGAAGGGTAAGAAAAGAGAAAAGGGGCTGGATGTTGTGGCTCATGCCTGTAATCCCAGCACTTTGGAAGGCTGAGGTGAGAGGATCACTTGAGCCCAGGAGTTTGAGACAAGCCTGGGCAACACAGGAAGATGACCCCATCCCTAAAAACAGTTTTAAAAATTAGCTGGCATGGTGGTGTGCATCTGTAGTCCCAGCTACTCGGGAGGCTCAGGTGGGAGGATCACCTGAGCCCGGGAGTTCAAGGCTGTAGTGAGCCGTGATCACGCCACTGGACTCCAGCCTGGGTGACAAGAAATGAGAGGAAGAGAAGACAGAAGGCAGGAGGAGAAGGAGAGCTGGGATGATGTGGGCAAAGGGCGTTCAGGGAAGAGGAAGCAAAGCTAAGGGCCTAGAAATATGAAATAACCTGACAGATCCAGAAACAGGAATTGGTGGGAAATATGGCTTATAAAGTGGTCTGGGCCTGCGCGAGAGCTCTCATGGCGTGGGGTGGAATCCACATTCTGTACAATGGGCACGGGGCAGCCCTTCGAGGGCATCACCATCAAGGGAGTGCCCTGGATCCTCCGTGCTCATGTCCACTCCTTGCCTCTCCCCTCCTCTGCAGTGCAAGGAAACTCAGCCCTGTTGCCGGTCTTCTCCAGGTGCTGAATCAGCTGCCTTTCGCTGAGTGGCCAGTGGAAGGTTCTGGTAGGAAACAGGGTGGGAAGAAGGGAGAAGTTAGGGTCTCATCCCGTCTCTCTCCATCTCAGGTGGCATATCCAGCAGTGGCTCTTTTTCCTTCATAGCTCCAGCTCCTGCCAGAGGGACCCTCACAGGTTCTGGCTCCTGCCAGTGATCTGGCTGGGGGATCTGGGAACAGCACCTTACCCCTTCACTCCTTCATCCTAAGAATGGCAGTGACTTTGTATTCCTGAGAATCTTGGGATTTCTCTTCCCAGCACCTCCACCAATTCCCTGCATCAGATTCCCTTTGTTGTAACTACTTGGAGTGGTGTCTATCTTCCTAGTTAGCCCCTGAATAATATCGGGGGGACACTGGCCCCCCACTGCTCTGGTTTCCACACAGAGGGCTTTTTCTCTAAATCCTCCTGGCGTCTTGCTCTGCTCCTTAATCCTCCCGATGGAAGTGTGCTGAGTTAGCTAACTAGTGGGTGACAGCAGTCGGCCCACACTCTCATTTGCGTGGATCTCTCCTGGTGGAACTGGGGAGTGCATTTTAGCATGCTCATCATTGCCAAGCTCTGTCCTCCAGAGTAGTCTGTTCTGTAATGCAGGTGATATTTTAATCTCCATCTGTCTGACTCCCTGAGTCTGAATTGGTTCCCAAGGCTGGGACAAGGAGTCCTGTTTTTTTGTTTGTTTGTTTTTTTGTTTTTTTCTTTCTCAAACTCCAATAGCAAGGAAGTGGAAAAAAGATTAGACTTTTGGCCCGGCGCGGTGGCTCACGCCTATAATCCCAGCACTTTGGGAGGCCAAGGCAGGCGGATCACGAGGTCAGGAGATCGAGACCATCCTAGCTAACACGGTGAAACCCTGTCTCTACTAAAAATACAAAAAAATTAGCCGGGCGTGGTGGTGGGCGCCTGTGGTCCCAGCTACTTGGGAGGCTGAGGCAGGAGAATGGCGTGAACCTGGGAGGTGGAGCTTGCAGTGAGCCGAGATTGCGCCACTGCACTCCAACCTGGTGACAGAGCAAGACTCTGTCTCAAAAAAAAAAAAAATTAGACTTTCAGTACCACTACATTATAGCCAAGAGAAACTGATTCCCCTCAGCCTGGCATATTAGGGAGAACCTTACCTGCAACTCCTCTCCCCACATATTCTCCTAAACTTAGACTCTTCAGGAACCACTGAGACTCTGTCATAGCCCTGACGTGCAATGTCAGGAGCAGGGAATAATGAGGCCAGCTTCAGAGTGTGGGAGATAGTGGCACAGGCCCCACCCTCACAAATGTCCACAGCTTAGCTTAATACTCTGTTCGCTGTCTTGAAACTCTCACTGTTTTTAAGAAGTTGTCCCACATTTTCATTTTTTCGCCAGACCCCTCCGACTATGTGGCTTTTCCTGGTACTCCCTCCCTCTTGGGCGCCCAAGCTCCTTGGATTGTTAAGGCTGGCGGTGCTGCCCAAAGCATCCCCCCCAGGACTTCTCGATATGGACAGCAGAGGGCAGCAAACTGCCATTTGAGGGCTCCTCACCCAGGACGACCCAGGGGTTTGAACCTGGCTTTATCCACGTGGGGTGAGAGGGGTGGGAGGAGGGTGGTATTAGTTGTTTGCGTGTTTTTAATAATTGAAAACCAGAAACCCGACACTCTGAGCACCACTTCAGGTGATGTGCTGTGTGGCATTTTCTGCCCTTGTGGAGTCCAACCATCCATTCTGAAACAGAGCAGTTCCTTTGACCTTGACAGTACAGTAAGTTAACGTTGTCCTTAGGTTCTCGGAACTACAACTTAAAGGGAAACCAATTTTACTACAGGCTAATGGCTATAAACTAGAGTTGAGTTCCTACAGTATATTTCAGGTCACAAAAACATCAGCAAACTTCTAGGTAAAGACTCAAAACACTTCTAATACTAAACACTGAAATAAATGTGAGCTATACATGCATTTGATGAATAAAAACAAGATCATTATTTACTTAGTAATTCCAGTTCAGGGTAATGAGTGCTCGAAGCCCCTCCTGGCAGCTCAGGGCACAAGGTGGGACCCAGCCCTGGATAGGATGCCATTCCCTCACAGGGCGCACTCACCCACACCCACGCTCGCTCCGACTGGGACCATGTAGACACACCAGTTCTCCTAATGTGCACATCGCTGGGATGTGGGAGGAAGTGGTAGTGCCTGGAGAAAACCTATGCAGACATGGAGAGAGAGTACAGACTCCACACAGAGTGTGGCCCCAGAAGGCATGGATTTTTTTTTTCTTATCCATGTTCTAATGAAATGGTGTAGGCTGGGCAACGCAGTGAGACCCCCATCTCCACAAAAAATTTAAAAATTAGCTGGGCATGGTGGTGTGTACCTGTGATCCCAGCTACTCAGGAGGCCGAGGTGGAAGGATCTCTTGAGCCCAGGAGGTTGAGCCAGCATTGTGTCACTGCACTCCAGCCTGGGTGACAGAGCAAGACCCTGTCTCAGAAAAACAAAAACAAAAACATGACATTATTTGAGGACCTGCTGTGCAAGCTAGTGGCCAGCATGTGCAGTGCCGCATGTCCCACGCTGCTCCTGATAATATCTAGATCAACTACAAAGAGTCTTCCAGGGGGTCTTCCCTGCATGGGGTCTTCCATATATCACCTCTAATCCTTACGGTACCTTAACAAAGTCTGTATTTTTATCTGCATTTCCCTGATGAGGAAACTGGACTCAAAAATGTACTTGATGTAACTTGTCCTAGGTCATACAACTGTGAAGTAGAAAAAGCTGGATTCAAATCCAGGTTTTACCTAGTCCACCTAGTGTCTAAAAGGTATGCTCCTTCTACAAGTCCAATGTGCCTCTGTGATGCATAAAAGGGACAATGACATTTTGTCTTGCCTTTACTTTGTAGGGTGAAGTTCTTGTCTGAAATAACAATCCCTAGGGCGGTGCCCCAGCCCTCTCCAAGGCACAGTGGACACCTGTAAACAGAAAAGCTCTCATGCACCAAATGCCTGTGATCTGGGATTGCATCTGTCATCAGGCAAAACAATGAGAGAAAAATGTATTAAAATCTTTTTGTTGTTGTTGTTATAATAATCCAACGGCCCATGCTACTCTCTCCTAAAGCCTCAAGTTCTCAGGAAAAGCTCATCATTGATTTGAGCCTAATGAAAACCGTCTTTGGTGAGCATGCTTCCACATTCCCAACCAGCTTGTAACAGTTCTATAGAAATGTGTTAAATTCAGAAGCTACTTAGAAGGCTTCCTAGCCTCCTAAGGCATCCCCAAAGCATGTCAATATCAGAATAAGACAGAGCTGACATTTTTCCTATTAGAAATGTTGTAGTCCTGGAATCGCAAACTCAAATGCACACCAGGGTCAGGCAAAACTTACAAATGCACGAAGCAGATCTGCTGTAACAGGCAGTATGTGCCTCACTGATGGGCATTCACAATGAAAACAAAAGTGCCGTGTGACTTAGCCCATCTGAGGGGTGAGGTTCATTGAGCCCATTATCTTTTGCTTTGCCTTAGTGGCTAGGGAATGCATGGCTGAACGACTATGGGTAGTGACAGTATGGGAAGGAGCGCTGTGTAGTGGCTAAGGCTGAGGGCTCTAGAATTACCCAGCAGGTTCAAATTCAGGTTCTATTATTGAGTAGCTGTGCATCTTTGGGCAATTTACTCCAGTTCTCTGAGACTCCATTTCTTTATCTGTGAAATGGTTTACCATGCAGTGTTGTGAAAAGTGAATGGGAAGGTGGATGCCAAGTGTTGACAGGACTCACACATGGAGGCTGTCATGCTATTCTCCTCCTCCAAAGTCGATCTGGAGTTTGGAAAGCAGGTATTCTGCTCCAGCAAAAGATGCTGCCTTGTTTCATGTTTAAATACCTTCTCCTGTGTCATGCTTTACATAAGCCCTTCAGCTGTTTTCAGAAGATAATTACACATTTTAAGTTCAACAACAATGAGTAAAATGGCCTTCCTTTGTTCCCTTTGCCTTCTCTTTAGCCCTTTGGGCTGAGGAGAGTATCTTGCCTGGAGTTGCTGGTAGGAAGAGAAGACCCTCCTTTATCCCAGGATGAAACTGCACATGGACTTTCTTGAATTTCACTGAGATAAACACCAGAGAAGCAAGTCCTGTTGCAACCCCCCAAAGCAACCTCTGTGAACCTGGGAAGGGGCACCTGCCAGATTCCCACAGTGTCAGAGTCCCCAAGAATGGGACCTCCTGCAGAAGCCCCCCAAGGACAAAGCTGAACCCTTCCCTGCTGAGCTGGGCTTCAGCCAAGAGGCCTTTTAGCAAAGGATTACAGTTCCAGCTGGGATCAACTGACTCCCTGAGGGATGAGAGGCAAGTTTGTCTGGGAAAGGGTCTGAGTTGGCAAGATCTGGGATGCTGGAGGGGCTCCTGGAAGGGAGGAAAATTTCCCTCCTCCAATGCTCCAAACACCTGGTTTGGACGAAACTCTGCTCTTCAACACAACCTGTGTACCTCTTTTTCTCTACACCTAACAAGGAAAGAAAATCAATGTGGTCATACTTCTGGCCATCCCAAACTCTGAATCCAAACTGGGGGTCTCCCACAAGACTCTATTTCTGTGGCCAGGACGCCCAATCCTGTCTGAAACTTCTTAGCATACAAAGTACAATGCACCTATTTTAAAACTTGGAGCCAGGTTTCAAAGGTGTTTTGTGTATTGTTTTACAATTAAACTATGAAGATCATCTATATTTCGTGGATGTAGATACAGGTGTTTGTGAACAGGGGTGGTAAGGCAGATTTATCAAAGTGATTATCACATTGAAATGTTAGAAGCTGCCTCCAATCCTTTTTGGAATGAGACTGGGTATGAAAATCAATAGGTAAATGCAAATTTAATTAAAATATGTGTCGATCAGTATCAACTGGCTCTAAGACAAGAGCTTTGAAAGGGGATTTATGCAGAAAAAGCCAAGTTGTAGGAACATAGGGAGCCAAGGCATTGGTTTCTAGATTTGGAGGGGAGATATGTAAAGTACTGGGGTTGGGCCTTGAATGTATTCACTCTCAAACTATCATCATGAGTCCCTGTCGGTAGGTGGTCTGGGGCAGGCTGGAGAGCCTGATGAGGTCAAGTCCATGGTGGGAAGAGGGACTGAATTTCCCCTGAAGAGAGCCTGCTATTCTTAGCACAGAATGGGAGAACTTGAGCACTTCACCCTTGACTCTTCCCTTCCTGCTCTTTCTCCTTCAGCCTCTTTTCCTTCTGCCTCCCCACACCCTCTTTGAAGCTCCAAAGTGGAGTAAGTGGCATTCCATATATACCTTTTCTTCCTCAGAACTTTGCCAACAGGATGAGGAGCCACCTTCAAGTGGAAACTTGAAGTCCTTTTCTTCTATCTCTTCCTTTAATCATGGCCCCTCCCTCCCACCTCTAATTGAATCATCCTTTCTCTCTTTAATAAATATTTTCAGAATTCCTATGCCATGAGTACTCTTTTAAGCTTGGACCTGTCCACAGAAGAGCCAAACCTGAGAGTCCTTGGTGATTGGCAGGCACAGGTGAAGTCCCTTTTCTTCCCTAATGAGGAGTCTTGACCTCCTTAACATTTTCCTTCCCTTATTACTGACGTCACTTTAGGACTCACCAGTCACATCTCTTCCATACCACCCTGGGGCCTGCATATTTTCTTAAACCACAGAAGGGAATTGACATTTACTGACACTTAATTATATTGAACACTTACTATGTGCAGCCTCCCTGGAGGGCATTGCTGTCCCTACTTCTCATGGTACAGCATGCCGGGAAACATATATTAAAAGAAAAAGCAGTAATTAAAACAGAAATGGGAGAAGGGGCCCAGGCTCCCAGCTTTTGGCTCAGTTGCTCTTGTGGCATGAGAGAAAGTGTAGGCTTGGGGCTGAGTTCGCTGGGAGTCTGTGGCTTGTCATGGCTGCGTTGTCAGCCTTTGCTTGTGGAGTTCCTCCAGAAAGCCCTCCACCTGAAGCCCAGGCTGCAGCACCTCTACACTCCACCCTCTATGATTCGATCCAACATGGAATGATGATCCCGAGTAATTTATAAGCTGACTCCACTGACATGGGCTCCAGCAAGTCCTGGCGGGTGTTTGGTGGTGCAGGGGGAGCGGCCCTTGCTGGTTGGCACAGAAACGGAACACCTGCAGGCCCCAGAACTGTCCCCAGCCCGCTCTCTCCTGCAATCTTGCACTGGATCTCACGTTCCAGCTCAGATGTGAGGGAGATCAGACATAAAATTCCAGGGGCTGAAAATTCCTCGCATAAGGACATCCCCCCCATCCTCCCTTCTAATTTCCAGTGAAGCAGAAATTTTAACTCCTCAGGGCAACTTTTCAAAGCTGAGTAACTTCAGATTACACACTCAAGTCCTGTTATTTGTTAACAGCATTTGAATGAGTAACTTGCTCCCATTGCTTTGAAAATATTTCTTTTAAATGGAGAAGCAGGAGCAATTAGAGATGAAAAGTACCTGTACAGTGCCTTCCAAGATGCCAGAGGCTGTTCCGAACTGGCATTCCAAAGTGGGTAAAAATAACTTTCTTTAGGAAAACATAGAAGGAGGGTGACTTACAGGGGGAAGGAGCAAAGGGCATGTCCGAGCTGTAGGAAAGACCACTCTGTGCTTGTGTGTCAAGGACCTGTCCTCTGATGGCCAGTTTCAGATGCAGACAAGTGTTTCTTGCTACATTTGGATTTTCCAGGCTGCTAGAGAAACAGGCCTAGGCTTTTGGGATAGAACAGGGATGTCGACTAAATATATATATATTTTTATATATATATTTATATATATATAAATAAATATATAAATATATATATACATGTGTATATATATACACACATATATACGTATATATATATACGTATACATATACATATATATATATATATGTATATATACTAATATTCTGAAAACATGGGGCCTTTTCCCACCCTGCTGTCTTTTATGGAAGGGTCATCTTCCCACAGCACACCCAGCAATCCCCACCCACTTCCCTAGTGCTAAGCTAAGCTATAGAAACTCTGGAAAAAATAGATGTTTCTACTTCTCAAAAGAAGATATATATGTGGCCAAGAAGAGTATGAAAAACTGCTCAATATCACTAATCATTAGAGAGATGCAAATCAAAACCACAATGAGATACTATCTCATACCAGTCAGAATGGCTATTATTAAAAAGTCAAAAACTAACAGATGCTGGTGAGGCTGCAGAGAAAAGGAAATCCCTATACCCTGCTGGTGGGAATGTAATTAGTTCATTAGAAAAATTAGTTCAGCCACTGTGGAAAGCAGTCTGGAGATTTCTCAAAGAATGTACAACAGAACAACCATTTGACCCAGCAATTCCATTACTGGGTATATACCCAAAGGAATATAAATCATGCTACCCCAAAAACACATGCACACATATGTTCATCACAGCACTATCCACAACAGTAAAGACATGGAATCAATCTAAATGCCTATCAGTGGTGGACTTGATAAAGAAAATGTGGTACATATTAACCATGGAATATTATGCATCCATAAAAAAGGATGAGATCATGTCTTTTGCAGCAACATGGATGGAGCTGGAGGTCATTATCCTAAACACATTACAGTGAACAGAAAACCAAATATCACATATTCTCCCTTATTAGTGGGAGTTAAACATTGAGTACCCATGGACACAAAAAAACGAAAAACAGACACCGGGGCCTACTTGAGAGTGGAGGATGGAAGGAGGGTGAAGGTGGAAAAACTACCTATCAAGTATTATGGTGATTACTGGGTGATGAAATAATCTGTACATTAAATCCCCATGATGCCAATTTACCCATGTAACAAACCTCCACATGTACCCTTGAGCCTAAAATAAAAGTTGGAAAAACCCCCAAAACAAGTAGGTAGTTTTGATGATGCCTCCAGGATGGACACTTCCGAGCACCCTGTAGTCTCTTGCACCCCAGATGGGGACTGCAAAGCTGTCAATAAGAGGGAAGATGCTCCCTGCAGTCAAAAAATGAGGCCAGAGACCTGGAAGATTATTGAACACTGGGAACTCCACCAGGCTCTGAGCTCAGCTCAAAGAGGGTGTATTATATAGATCAGTGGTTCTCCAAATGGGTTGCACAAGAAAATCACCTGGGGAGCTTTAAAAATCCTGATGTCGGGCCACACAATATCTACTCCAACCCCACCCCAGCCAAGGTCTATACTCAAGAAACCAGAATCTCTGGAGGTAGAACCCTAGGAGCAGTCATCGTCACAGTTCTCAGGTGATTCTAATGTGCAGCCAAGTTTGAGAACTAGTTGCGAATAGTTGAGAACTAGATGCAAAATGGTTGAGATGATTCAGAGACTCTGGGACCCACTCAGGGAACAGATGAATGTATAAATGAATGATTATTTCTTGCTTGGATTACAGCAAAAGACTTTTGGCTGGTCTTATTGCTTACTCCCCACCCCCTTTGTTTTGTCTCAGTCCGGCAACCAGAATGAATTTTTTTCTTTTTGAGACAGAGTCTCACTCTGTCACCGAGGCTATAATGCAGTGTGATCATGGCTCACCACAGCCTCGACCTCCTGGGGCTCAAATGATCCTCCCACCTCAGCCTCCCAAGTAGCTGGGGCTACAGGCGTGAGCCATCATGCCTGGCTAATTTTTGTATTTCTTTTTTTTTTTTTTTGTAGAGATGGGGTTTTGCCATATTATAGAATTATCTTTTCAAGAATATAAGTTGGAGTGTGTCCCTGTTCACCTCAATACCCTCTATGGCTTTCCCACTAATTCAGAATAAGAGCTGGCATCTTCATAATGACCTACAAGGCCCTGTATGATTTACCTTTGAAGACTGCCCCATGCCCACCTGCCCTCCCTCTGATATTATCTTTTACTACCACCCCCCTTCCCACCCTTTGTGCCCACGGTTCCAGCAATACTGGCATCCTTGCAGTTCCCTGCAGGTATTAGGTGCACTGCTGCCCCAGGGCTTTTGCACTTGCTATAATTCTGCTCTTTCCCTATATAGTCACCTGGCTTGTCCCTTACTTTTTTCGGGTCTTTGTTCAAATATTAACCTGCTCGCCTTACATTCATGCTCCTCCATGCCTACTCTGCTTATCAGGAGGTTTATTTTTGTGTATTTATCCTCTTTCTCCCTATCTAAGTGGATACTGGAGTCTGTACAGCATTTTTAGACCACTTACAGCTTGTGAAAAGTTGGGAATCCAAATTCCTGATTTCTCTCTTTAATTTCTGCCTGCAAGCCGGCCAACACTTTCTAAACTCATCTCTTAACTTTAATTCCTTGTCAAATGCAGCCAATGGCAACATATTATCTAAACTCTTCCCCTAGACTAGGGGTCAGCAAATAGCCAACAGACCAAATCCAGAGTGCTACCTGTTTTTGTAAATAAAGTTTTGTTTGAACACAACCATGTTCATTTGTTTACATATTGTCTATGGCTGTTTTCATGCTACAATGGTAGTTGAGTAGTTGCAAAGGAGTCTGTCCAATAAAGCTGAAAATATTCATTATCTGGCTTTTTATGGAAAAGTTGGCTGGCCTCTGTGTTAAATGTATAAACTCAGTTGGCTCATGGTCTGCTTTCCAAGTTATCGCCAGCCGTACTTCATTAAATTTTTTGCCACTGCATATCATGGATTTCCATCTATCCAGCCTAACTGGTAAGCTAATGCCACATCTCTTAGATTTTTTTAAACTATTGCAATATTTCACTCCTGCTGTTAGTCAGGATAATTGACAGCAGCTGCTACAATCAAAATCTCAGGGGTTTTGATCTCCAGGTAACCGGATGACAGTTTGTTTACTGCTCATGCAAAGTCAGAAGTCAGGTGGGCAACCATCCTCCATCTTGTAGCTGTAGTGTCTTGGAAGATGTGACCTCCAAGGTCACTGTAGCAAGTTAAGAGGGCGATGGAGGAAGAATATAATTCTCAACTGCCTTTCTTTTTATTGGCCAGAACTAGTTATAAGGCCCAGATCTAAATAGAAGAGGGACTGGGAAATTTAGAAGAGAACTTGAATGTTTGATTAGTTCTAGTCAGTCTCTGAAACATTGATCATTAACCTCCAAACAAGATGGGATCTTAACTCATTCCTGTAAGAGCCTCTTGGAGGATCTACATAGGATGGCCTTCCACAGCTCTTCCAGAGGGCCTGGAGGTCTTTCTTCATATACAGCTAAAGCAGGGAGTTTCTTTTCACTTGAGAGCTGCTAGTGCAGAAGAAAAAATAATTGAATGAAAGAATAAGGGTGTGAGTGAAGAAAGCAGGTTGGTGAAGAAAAGACCTGTGGGAAGGAAAGGGATACTTGAAGTCAAGAAAGGTAGCCATTGGGAGGCCTAGGCGGGCAGATCATCTGAGGTCAGGAGTTCGAGACCAGCCTGGCCAACATGGTGAAACCCTGTCTCTACTGTAAATACGAAAATTCACCAGGTGTGGTGGCAGGCGCCTGTAATCCCAGCTACTCGGGAGGCTGAGGCAGGAGAATCACTTGAACTGGGGAGGCGGAGGTTGCAGTGAACTAAGATCACGCCATCACACTCCAGCCTGGGGGTCAAGAGCGAGACTTCGTCTAAAAAAAAAAAAAAAAGAAGAAGAAGGGTAGAGGAGGGTAGCCAAATGAGACCAAAGGTCTGCAGAAGCCTGTGAACTACCCTGCTTTTCAGAGCACAGGCACCATTTAAATCCAAGCTATCATTATGACTACAAAGCTATTTACTTATTTTAATACTGTATTATTTAATACAGTGAATCAAGCATTTTATGACTTGAAGTAACTTCAGAAATAAAGGTTGGCTTTCCCTGTCATTGAAGACAGGTTGAGAGTTCATTTCTGCTTAACAGATCAAGGTAGTAAATTACATTTTCTATCAGAAAGAAATGTTTAGAGAGCTCTAGGAGGAGCGCTGGGTCTTTGGCCTGAGCAACAGGAATTTGGGCTCAGTGCCCAGATCTCTCTCTCTCTCTCTCTCTTTCTTTCCTTTTTTTCTTTTTTCTTTTTTACCCTGTTCATGACCCTTAGAAGTCACAGAAACCTTCCTGGAACCTCAGTTTCTCTCTTTGAAACAATCACCACTTGCCTCCCTTGGCAAGTTGTATGATGAATAATGACACAGTGTTAGCAAAGTTTCTTTGAGGTCTTTGGATGAAAGACAACCTATAAACTTTGCTGAAGATTTACTGTTTTATTAAAGGAATAGCTGCATATAGTACTCCACTAATAAATGTTGACAAAGGTAAACATTCTTCACTCATCCTAGCAAGAGCAGGTTATTCATCTATTGCAAGTACAATGAGGGAGGGTGTGTTCCAAGGTCATAAAAATTTCTATTAATATTGTCCAGAAACATATTTTGGATCTATATCTACATTGTCACCTGGAGTTAAACTAATGGAGTCAGTCATCTAGACTTACATAATATTGGATAATGAACAAAACAAGCATGTGGCTTAGCTTTGTCCCTTGACTTGGGTATGTAAAGAGTAACATGGATTGCTACTCAAAAAATTAAAACCAGAATTCTGGTAAAACAAGAAAAAGCTTCAAGATGAATATGGAGCCTTGTACTAGGATTGACTTTGCAGAGTATCTTGACAAATTAGACAGGAAGACATATGTTGGCCACATAGGAAGGTTCTAGAGAGATTTCAGATCTGCCATTAATTACTAATATCCAGGTTTCTCATCAACTTAGTGAATTTACAGAGGCTTGAAAGCACCCACATCTGTGGTACCTGGGAATTGTAGGTAAATTCTCTGGTTATGTGGAAAAAGCTAAGGAATATGAGTCTAGGAAACTGGTAGCTCTGTCATTAACTGTGCAATCTTGAACAAACTATTTTCTGGGCCTCAGATACCTTATCTGTAAAATGAAAGCATTGAACTAACAATAAAACTAACTATTTACTGAGCATATACTAAGTACTAAGCTCTTTGTTATATACTATATGTACTTTATCTTATTTAATTCTCTGAGGTAGGTGATATTACTTTCATTTAACAGATGAAACTGCGGCTCAGAGAGTTTGCAAAGTATTTTATGCATAGTCATTTATTTGATAAATATTTGCTAAGCATCTTCTATATATCTTATGTCAAGAGGTAAGGGTAGACATTTAGCTCTCATCCTCAATGAACTCACAATAGGAGTCATCACTAGAAGATGGAAGCCTGAGTATGTGAGCTTAGCAGGTCTAAGCTCTTAGCCTTTTCATTGTACTGGATCAGAATACAAACACGCTGATGTTTCTTCCATCTAAATGAACAAGTGGCTTCTCTCAATCCCACTTTGCCCATCAGCTTCCACCCCATTTAGATGCTTCTCATTGTAGCACTCCTATAATGAGTTGTCTGTACTGCTTGTCTCCAATGCCTGTCCTCCTATTTTCTCTTAAACTCACCCCACTCAGGCTTTTGCCCCAACCAGGCACCCAAGTCTTATCATGGACATCAATGATCTTCACATGCTAAATCTAATGGGCAGCTCCCACTCCTCATCTTACTTGAGTATCAGTGGCATTTGACACAGTTGATCCCCCTTCTCCTTGCTATATTTTCTCTTCACTTGGCTTCTAGGACTTCCCCTTTCTCTTAGTTTCTTTCCTATCTCCTTGGCTGCTCTTTATCAGTTTTATTTGCTGGTGTTTCCTCTTCTCACAGATTCTGAGTGTTGTAATATTCCAGGACTCAGACCTTGGCGCTCTTCTTTGTCTACACTTACTCCCCTGGTGATAACACCCCGTTTAGAACTCTTTAATACCATCTTTATGCAGATGACTCCCAAACTTGTATCTTTGGCCCAAACCTCTCTCTCAGATTTCAAATGTAAGAAACCACTGCCACTTGCCATCTCCACTTGAACATAATAGACACCCAGCATCAGCATGTTCAAATGTGAACCCGCCATCTTTTCTCTGAAACCTGTTCTGCTTGCAGCCTTCTCCATCTCAGATGATTGCAACTTTACCTTCTAGTTCCTCAAACCCAAATCCTTGCGTCATTCTTCACTGCTCTCTTGCTTACATACTCCATAGCCAATCCATTAGGAAACCCGTTTGGCTTTATCTTCAAAATGTATTTAAAGACTGATCAATTCTCACCACTCCCACTGCTATCACCCTGGTCCAAGCCATCATTAACTCTTAGCTGGGCATCTACCCTGTGCTGGGCTTTGTGCCAGATGCCAGGAATGTAGATAAACAGGACACAGTCCCTGCCCACAGAGAGTACACAGTCTAGTGAGAAGACAGATATAAAACTTGATAATCATGATGCATTATGATAAGTGCTGTGGTAGAGTCGTGGAAGTTTAGAAGAGGGTATGTCATCTTTATATCCCTTTCAGCTCAGATGTTAAAGCTGCTCGCCTTAGTCCTATATCTTTAAACTAAGCTGACCCACAATGTACTAGACACCTTAAAGCTAATTAAAACAAGTTGTGGGTTCCATTCACAAATACTGGACCCGTTCATTTACAATACTTCAGTACCTGTCTTTCTACTTTTATTTTTGCCTTCCCTTCCTTATATCATGCTCATCCATGAACTTAGAGGTACAACTCAGAATTCTCCAGCATTGACGTTCAGTGTGTGTTTCCCAGGATGTGGCCTGCATTCACCCTTCTTCTCCTGGCAACTTTTAATAAATTGCCCACTGGACCCGCTCCAGCCCCAGGGACTCAGACCCAGTGGCCTGACTGGTGCTCAGTCTGTGGAAGATGACAATAGCAATATACCTTGATGACATCTCAAATTCCCATGGAATCAACCAGATTGGTGCTTAATTAAGAACAATTGGCCTTGGCACCCTCAGTATGAGAAATATCTAGGTATCCATCTGTTCCATTTGATTTTCACTGCTTCCCCTTAATCCAAGCTCTCTCCTTTCCTTCATTCTCTCCCCTGACAATTAATTTGTACATGGTTTTCCATACACATCTTTTTAAAGTACTGCCTCAGCTACATCATTCTTTAGGCAAAAGTCTTCTGGGGTTCTTTATTGCCTACCAAATAAAATCCAAATTCATTACCAATCAAAGCCCTCCATACTTGGACTCAAACTTTCCCCATCTTATCTCCCAGCATACTTGTATATAGCCATGACCTACCTACTCATGGAGCCCATAACCTGCACACGCTTTCCCACCTTCTGCTTGTGCTCTCTCCACTGCCAGGCATGGTCTTCTCCCCTTCATTCACTGAGACAATATCTTCAAGGCCCAAGCTAACTTTCTCCTCCATCTTTCCCACTGTGGCCCACAAATCTCTGCCTACTCTGAAGTTATAGCCCTTTGGCCTATATTCACTAGCAATGAATCATGTCCGTCCCTCTTCATAACATCTATTGCAATGCAGTCCTTATTGTTTTATTTGTCTACTCTTACACTGCTATTGATCCTTTTGTCAGCTATGTCTTCTCCCTTGGACTATGTCATGAACCTGTGCAATGGGAAAGCACAGACTTTCGAGTGAGATATGGGTTTTATGCCAGCTGTCTTATTGATTAGATATGTGACTTTGAGCAAGCCACTCATCATGCAGCCTCAGCTTCCTCATCTATAAAATGGGGATAATAACTGTCTCATAAGACTGTCGTGAAAATTAGATAAGACAGCATGTGTGAAATTGCTTAAGGGTGCATGGTACATAGTGTTTTTTCCCTTTTTGTGTCCCGCATGGAGCTTTATACATAGCATGGCTTGAAAATCTATTGATTTAATTTTGAAACAATATGTCTATAATTACCTTGAATTATGAACAATTAGAGAACACCCATTTCTGCCATACACATTAGTGCCATAAAACACCTGGAAATAATGGGTACATTGCATCCTTTTAAATGCATAACTAGATTTGCAAAAGGAAAAGAAAAAAGGAAGGAAATGCTCCATGTCCACAAATGGAGTGTGAGCTGACATAAGGAGTTGCAAGGAGTATCTGATACTTCGGCTGTCCTTGAGGGCAAGGTTGTCCGTTTGGGGTTTCATTGCTCATTCAGGAACAAGACATCAAACTGAGAAGCCTGCATAAGCCAATACCTTTTAAAGGCACATTTGGGGAAATTCTGCTTAGCTGTAAAGAGCTCTGGGTAGGAAAAAATGTTTTCCTTCTGAGAAATCATAGCAAGCATCCAATCGTAACTAAAGGATTATACCCACAGCAGGTATAATACCATAGGGTTTGAGTTTAAAAAAATTTTTTGGGGGACAGGGTCTCACTCCATTGCCCAGGCTGGAGTGCAGTGGCATGATAAATGCTCACTGCAACCTCCTCCTCCTGGGCTCAAGCAATCCTCCTACCTCAGGCTCCCGAATAGCTGGGACTACAAGCATGTGCCACCATGCCTGGCTAATTTTTGCATTTTTTCTAGAGACAGGGTTTTGCCATGTTGCCCAGGCTGGTGTTGAGCTCCTGGACTCAAGAGATCTGCGCACCTTGGCCTCCCAAGGTGTTGGGATTACAGGAGTGAGCCACCACACCCAGCGAGGTTCTAATTTATACTACTTGAGTGTGGGGGAGGTCATCCCCAATAATTCAACATAAGAAACAACTTGAGCTGATAACAAGGTTGGCAGAAGCAAATGCAAAAACCTTTTTGAAGAGATACTCTTAACCCAAGCTGCACAGAAATTCCATAAACCTCACCGAACATCAATCCACATATGAAACACAGAAACAATCTCACAGGAAACAGCAGACATAAAAAAATAAGCAAAGCAGCAACCACAAAAGCAGCAGAATTACACCCCCAAGTTAGCAATATTTACTGCAGTGGCTGGACCCGGGTCCGTCTTCAAGGAGCATTCAATCAGACTGGGAAACAATTCATTAACAGTCTAAGGCAATAAAGACAAAACCCAATTTAAGAATGGCCTGGGATCCACAAGGTAATTAGAATATGCTGTTCAGCAATCAGCATGTCATTTTCCTTAGAAAACAATGTTTTACCCAGTAGATCACAAAAGCTTTTGGAATTCACAAGTCAGAACCTGTTGAGGACACTGAGGCACAGTTTCCGGCACAAATTTGTGCTCCATAATCACTGGCTAAATGAATTCATAAATGAATGAATGAGGTAGCTAAATCTGACCCAGGTTCCAGTACTGCAGAACACGAGGCCAAGGAGTGAAGAGGAAGGAGGAGAAACAAATATTATTGTATTTCCAAGGCACAAGCCCAGCTGTCTGGAAAGCTTGTAAATAGATACAGTTTGCATCAGACACTCTTCCACCTGCCCACTGTAGATACTGGAGATTATCTCACTGATCCTAAACCCAGGAGTCACTGAGGCTGTCTACACCTAAATGCCCCCTGCTAGGAATGCCCATCTTCTCAGTGCTGGGATCTTAGCTCCATGTTTTTGGAAAGCAGATAGAGTGAGGATCAGGGTAAGATGCAAGATTTGAACAGCCATTTACCCCTCAGAGATGTCTGCAACTCTAACAGTTGCTTGTTTCCCCAAATGAATCTCTAATTCATGTGACAAAGTGAAATAAGTGTATTCCAGCTATGTGGTCATGATGGACTAGGACTGAAAACCTTTGCCCAGGCTCACCTTCCTGAGGTCCATCCTTGGGGTCTTCATTCATTCACTCATTCCTTCAGCAAAGTTTATGGACTGCCTACTTTTGTTTCAGGCTCTGTCTACCTACTTCTGTTTCAGGCCCTGGAGAGGCAGGAGTGAACAAGACACTATAGCCATGCTCCCATGGAGTTTTCATTCTAGGCAAGTGGACAAATAATAATAAAAGAAAACACATGGACAGGATATATACAGAGTGACACATGCTACTTAAAAGAACAACAAAACAGGGAGAAGTGAGAGGCAGCAGCCTTCCCTTCCTCTCACTAAAAAAAAAAATCAAAGCATGGATTCCTTTTTATTGCTCCTCCCGTGTTTTTTGTTTGTTTGCTTGTTTGTTTTTTTTAGATGGAGTTTCGCTCTTGTTGCCCAGGCTGGAGTGCAATGGTGCGATCTTGGCTCGTTGCAACCTCTGCCTCCTGGGTTCAAGCGATTCTGCTGCCTCAGCCTCCGGAGTAGCTGGGATTACAGGTGCGTACCACAACGCCCGGCTAATTTTTTGTATTTTTAGTAGAGATGGGGTTTCACCATGTTGGCCAGGCTGGTCTCGAACTCCTGACCTCAGGTGATCCACCCACCTCAGCCTCGCAAAGTGCTGGGATTACAGGCTTGAGCCACCGTGCCCAGCTGCTCCTCCCATGTTTTTGTCTTCCCTACCACCTCTGATGAACCCACAGTTTTTTTTTTTTTTTGGTTGGTTGTTTGTTTGAAGCTTCTGTTTTTTTTGAGCTTCCTCTCTTGGTAGCTGAGTCTCTCCACTCAGGGGGGAAAGGAGTGAGTATATGGAGATGTCGAAATATTTGTAGAAATGTCTTAACCTGCAATGATAACTGCCATCACACTATCTGATTCCTTAGTGGTTCACTCACACACACTCCAGCAAAGTTGTTTCTCTATGTGAGTTTTAAGGCTCTGCTTATCAGTGGACTCATCTTTGCCTCCCTATTAATTTCAGCATAGAAAAAGAAGTTTTCCCACAGGTAACCTTTGGAAACAAAGGCAGAGCTTGAGCAGTGATCGAGGCAATGATTAAGCAGTCAGAAATAAAACGTGAGCTTGCATTCACCTCTGCCGGTGGCGGCCTGAGCTTCTTCCTGTAGACTGTTGACAAAGAAACTTGAGAAGGCAAAAAAGCCTTTTCAATAGCAAGAGGACACTGTGAAGTGCAGGGAGGACCATATTATGTTGATGATGGATGAGTGGATCCCTCTCCACTGAATGTGCCAGGCTGGAGCCCATCCATTAGAGAGAGCTTAATCTGCCCAGAGATCTCAGCAGCTCCGGCTGCTGAAAGATAAGCCTCCTCTTCCTGCCTCCTCAGAGGGCTGTTCTCCTGAAGAAGCTACCTGGCGTCTGTGTAGTGTTCAGAAACTGCAGGAGTGATTGCTTCTCCTCCTCTCTGGCTGGCAGCCCTTGGGGTGCGAAGCATGAATCCAACCTGGAGCTATCTTGCTGCAAGCTTCCCTGTTGTCCTGGTCACAAGAGTCCTCAGTTGTTCTCAAAATCGTGGAAGAAAAAGTCTTTTATACTTGAAAACTCATAGTGAGGAGAGCTTAAACTTTCTCCCTGTGCAGAAAAGAAAAAAATGCATCCTATTTTTAAATGGGTTTCCTCATAGAATCTTCTGATGTGTTAATTCCAGGTCTTGGTCTACAGCTTGAAAATAAAAATACCAACAAATCAGTGTCCCTTGTGAAGGACTTCTCTCCATCTATGCCATACCTCTGTCTGTCCCTGTCTCTGTCTCTGTTCTCTCTCTCACATGTCTCCTCCCCACCCACCCTGTGTTTTGTTTTGCTTGTTTTGTTTTGAGACAGGGTCTCTGTCACCCAGGTGTTGTGCATTGGCTCTGTCACAGCTCACTGCAGCCTCAACTTCCTGGGCTGAAGTGATCCTCCTGCCTCAGCCTCCCAAGTAGCTGGGACTACAGGTGTGTGCCACCACACTCAGCTAATTTCTTCTATTTATTATTATTATTTTTTTTGTAAAGACGGGGTCTCACTATGTTGCCTAAGCTGGTTTCAAACTCCTGGGCTCAAGCAATCCTCCCATCTCGGCCTCCCAAAGCGCTGGAACTACAGGCCTGAGCCACTGTGCCTGGCCTCCTCTCTGTGTTGAACTCACTGTATTTCTGCCCATTCAATTCCATGTATTGTCCCCCTCCTCTCTGCTCCCCCCATCCCTGCCCACACTTTCAACATCTCCCACTAGTGCCATCAGCCTCCTAACAAGCATTCATCTCTGTGCTTTTATATGTGTTTTTTTTAAAGTCTATCCTCCTCACTGTCTTGGCTTATTATTATGTTGGTCAGCAGCTCCTTATTACCTACAGTACAGGGTCCAAACATCTTAACATGACATAAGCAACACCTATCTACTCGTTTCTTTCTGCTTCCTGCACATACTCTTCTCACAGCTGAAGCATTCTATTTAAAGGATCTCAAATGCTGAAGTGCAGTCTCCAGTTGTTGCACATGCTATGTCCTTTGCTCTTCTTTCTAGGTGAGCTTCCATTCAACCTTCAAGGCCCAGATTAGAAACTTTGGAACTTTGAGAAACACATTAGGCTTCTGATTGTGTTGCTATTGTAATATTGTATTGCTTATCTATTTCAACATAATGAATTGCATACAAATTTAGTGGCTTAAAACAACAAACATTTATTAGCTCACAGTTTCTGTAGTCAGGAATCTGGGAGTGGTTTAGCTGGTGGTTCTGGCTTACAGTATCCCATGAGGTTGTAAGTGGAATAACAGCAGGAACTGCAGTCATCCAAAGGCTTGACTGGTACTAGAGGATCCACTTCCAAGCTCACTAATGTGGCTTAGCAAGAGACCTCAGTTCCTTGCTTGGCTGTTGACTGGAAGCCTCAGTTCCCTACCAATTGGGACTTTTCTCATGACAGGGCAGTCATCTTCCCCAGAGAGAGTGACCCAAGAGAGAGAGGCAGGAACCACCATGTCTTTCAGGACCTAGATTTGGAAGTGCCATGTCGTCACTTTTACCATATTCGATTGGTCCAACAAACAATGGGGTAGGAGACCACACAGTGTGAATACCAGGAGGCCAGGATCATCACTCAAAATTCATAAGACCCAGGCTTAAATTTTGGTTCCACCACTTATTTGCTGGCTGACCATAGGTAAGTTATTTAACCTCTCTGAGCCCTGATTTCCACATCTGTAAAATCTGAATGATAGGATTGACCTGACAGGGTTGACGTTGAACCTAAAAAGGTGATTTACCTTAAGCACTTGGCATGTAGTGAGCATTTAATAAATGTTAGCAATTATTATGTTGATAACAGTTCACAGACTCCCTGGGCCAGTAGCCCCAGGGGTACTCCTATACAGTCCTGTAATGCTCTTATCTTACATTACTCTCCACCTGGGTACTTACTCTTAGATTCAGAAGTGTTTAGACCTTCAAATATAGGGCCTCTATGTCCATGTCTTTCATGAACTGTTTTTCTTTGCACAATCTCAGGCTTCTCTAACAATATTAAGCTTCAATCCCATTCCTTCAGATCCCAAAGATGTGAATGAGATTGTATTTGCATCCTTAAATTAAAACTCCAAGTTTAGCTTGTTTGTTAACTCCATCCCACATGTGGTCATCTGCTTCAGACCTTGGGGCCTCATCCCCATTGGAATTGTTTTTGTGTCATTTTCGTTCATCAGCTGTGAGTGGTTGCTCCTTGTTAGGGCCTAGGCTCGGTGCCAGGGTTGCCAAGATAAAGAAGACAGGAACATAGCCCTTTAGAACCTTAGTGTTGTTTCATATCATCATTTTTCTATTTTCTCTGGATGTCTTTCTTCTCAATCTTGCTTGAAATGCAGTTTTATTACTAACAACCACCAATTCTTGAGCACTAGCTTCATGTCAGAGTATGTTCATGTCATCCCTCTGCCATTCCTGCAAAGTGGGTATTACCGTTCTCCCCATCCCTTCTCCATCTTGGAAACAGAAGGCTCCTCATTTATTACAGAGGTTTCTGACTCTGGATCTTGAGCCCTTTCCAAAATGACAAGTTGCCAATGTAAATATTTTTTAAATTTAGTTTTATCCCTAGAATGTGATCACCCTACTGCAGATTGGCACATCACTCGCAGTAATGTCCCTGGTCCCTGGGAGACATGCACGCCAGTCTGCCGGTGTTTGTCCAAAGGGTGACAGGGCCCCTTCAGATCTTTGGTTTCCACAGTAACTATGCAGCCAGCCATTCACTCCCGGCTCCAGTCCACTTTCCAACAGAGAAGAAATGAGCATATTAATTGAAACCCTAACCCCTTCAGTTTTCTACTTAGGACTTCAAAGTTACCAGAAAGTCCGCCCAGATCTCATTTGCCCGAATAATTCTTTCGCAGGGTGGTCCCCACCCCCACCCATGTCCACTCCCTGCCTTCCTTTGCTCTACTCTGTGCTCTGGGAGCCTGGCCCCTCTGAAGCATCACCACAGCTTTTTTGCCCTCTGGTTCCCTTTGGGTTCAGACAAAGGGAGGCACTGGCTAGAGATCAAAGGGCAGCAGGAGAAGGAGACTGAAGTATTTCTTCTTTCCTGATTCCTCTCTACTTCCGCACCATGTTTCAGGCGATAGTTGTGTCCCTGGTGGCCATAGCTCCTGCCAGGGTGGGTAGGAGGGAGGTACCTCCTCTGAGTCTCTAGCTCTTACTTGGCCCAGAAACAATCTTTCTTCCCCTTGTCCTTTCATGCCTAGGGGTGCTAATGCCTTCCAGATGATGCAAATTATGCCCTATACTAGGCTATTGTCTCAGTTCCATGAAATTGCAAAATACATTATTGACTGTCATGGTTTTCTCCACACTACTTCTGATCAAGGAATATGTTTCATAGCAAAATAAGTGAGGCAATGGGTCTTACCTACACCCATGGGATCTGCTATCTTAATCTTGTAAGAAGCAGTGGGCCAGACAGAATGGTGGAATGGAACAGCCTGCTGAAGACCTATTCGTGGCACCAGCTGAGAGACAACACTGTGAAAATTTAGGGTGCTGTTTTACAGGATGCAGTATATACTTTGAATCAGCATACGATATATGTTACTGTTGTACCCATAGACAAAATACAGAGGTCAAAGTATCAAGGGGTAAAAGCAGAAATGGCTCCTCTCACTTATTGACGTAATAACATACTTATAGAACTTTGTTCTGATGTCTTGGTGGTCTGAGTACCCAAAGGAAGAATGCTTCCACCAGGGGACACAACCCATTCAATTGAAACATTATGGGCTCCTCAGGCCACTAAATTAAAAGGCAAAGAAGGAAGTTATTCTACCTGCTGGGGTGGTTAGTTTTGATTACCAAGGAGAAATTGGATTGCTGCCATACAAGGAGGGCATGGAGGACTGTCTGGAACCCAGGGGATGCTTAGGGATGCCTATTAGTACCTCCAGGTCCAATAGTAATACTTAATGGAAAAATAGGCAGAACCTGAAAGACCCCAACCCTTTAGAAGTGAAAGCAATGATCATTCTGCCAGGTAAAGAACCCACATCAGCTGATGTCCTGGCAGAGGACAAAGGAAGGAAATGTGGAAAGAGTAGTGGAGGAAAGAAGTTATAAATATCAACTTTGCTGGTGATCAGTTAAAGAAACAAGGACTGTTAAAAACTATGCATGGTTTTTTCCTTACGTGTTATTTACACATGTATTATTACACACATACTCATGTCTTCTCTCTATTTCTTCCTCCTTATGATTTATAATTTATTTACGTATTGGTGGTGGTTAACTTAACTTTAACATATAGTCTTTAGTAGAGTGAAACACCAAAAGCCAAATGAAGAAAGTACGGAGGAAGATGGGAATGATCAACTGTGTTAAAAGTGCTTTCTTCATTTCCACAACTGCTAAGGGGCTCAAGAATCCCCTTACCTGGGAAGCTCCTTTGACATCCTTTGACCAGCAATTTTACTAGCCAGCAAAAGCTACCATTGACTGAGGACTTTCTTAAGTACTTCACAGGCATACTATCATTCAGCAGAACACTCTTTAATTTATCTGTGGGATAGGAATTGTGACTCCAATTTGCACATTCAAGAGCTGAGGTTTACAATATTGAAGACGCACACTCAAGTTTACTATCTGTGGAGCTATTTGATCTAAACCAGGTCTGTATGAGCCAATGTCCTGTTTTTCATTGCCTCATACTTGATTTGTTTCTTATTTTTCACTAAGGTAAATACTACTGATACAAACATCTTATACAAAATTAAAATTTAGCCTCTAGATCACAGAACGTTCAGATGGGACTGTAACTAAATGATCAGGCGAGACTGATATTCATGTCACCCAGAGACAGATACTGTGACTGTCATCTGGAAATGAACACAATTACTTTTGGGATTTTGTGTCTTTTTGTCTTTTTTTCTCTGGGAGAGGTAAGAGTACATTTGTACAAAGGCTAGTTGCATGTTATTAGGCAGAGACGTAAAACCATATTGTTGTATGGAAGTTCAAGTGTGTATAGAAGGGTGTATATGAGTAATGAGGGGCCAAAGGGGTGGACTGGACCAGATGGTCAGTTATGATTTCTCAGCTGCAAGCCCATCCTTCTATGCTCTGTGTTTTGATGCTGGGGCTGGGACTCTATAATCACATCACTCCTTTACCAGCTGGTTCTGTGAATAGGCGCACTAAAGGAAAGGTAGATGGGAGGAAGAGGAAGAGACTTACTTCTTCCAATTTTGGCATGCTGCTCCTGTCAGCATCCTCTAAGCAATAGTTTGTCTCCCTGGTAGTGGTAATTGGTTCCAAGGCAGTTTACGATATGGAAGCAGGCTGCCATCATAGCAAGCAAGTGAGAGAGAAACAGAGGGTGAGGAAGATGGAAGCCAGATTCATTTGCAATCTAATCTCAGAATTGACACCCCATCACTTTTGTTATATTCTACTCCATGCACAAGAGGATTATATGATGGCATGACTGCCAGGAGGCAGAGATTATTGGGAGCTGTCGTAGAGGTCTTCTACCATGTGATGTTAAGTCGGTGTCCCTGACGAATCAATGCATTCTGTTAGATTCTGTTCATATGTTAGTTGGTTTCTGTTTCTGTTTCTTTACTGGATTCGTATACGGTAGTCTGTTGGTGTTTGCTCCCTTTACCCTGCTTTGTAAATACAGTCAAGTCACCATATAACGATGTTTCAGTCAACGACAGACCACATATTCAACAGTGGTCCCATAAGATTATAATACCATTTTTTCTATGATGTTTTTGTATGTTTAGATACACAAATACTTACCATTGTGTTACATCTACCCTACCTGCAGTATTCAATACAGTAACATGCAGTACAGCTTTGCAGCCTAGCAGCAATAGGCTATACCATATGGTCTAGGTGTGTAGTAGGCTATACCATCTAGGTTTGTGTAAGTACACTATATGATGTTTGCACAACAATGATGAAGTTGCCTAATGAAGCATTTCTCAGAACATATCCCTGTCATTAAGGCACACGTGACTGTAATTCCTCCATTAAGAACTTTAAAATTTGAAATGACTGGGATGAATTATTTTAGCTCCTGGGCTGCAGACTGATGACTGAGTGGATAAACTCAGTGGGCTGGTACTGATCTGGGGGTTGCATGGATCCTCTGTACTTGGAAGCAGAAGACCAAGGCTAGCTTAGCTTTGCCACTCACTCGTTCTATGCCCTTGGATGATTCACTTAACCATCTTAAACCCTAGGGTCCTCATCTGGAAACTGGGGAGAATAAAGCCTCACTTTCAGGGTTATGGTGAAGATTAAGTGAAAATTCAAGTGCCTGGAAGAGTGTCGAGCACACAGTTAGCTCTCAAGAAATGGTTGCTATTATTGGTAGAAAATGTATCCTAATGTTCAATCAACCTGATTAAAAATGTCTACTTTGTCTGGGCACGGTGGCTCACGCCTGTAATCCCAGCACTTTGAGAGGCCAAGGCAGGTGGATCGCCTGAGGTCAGGAGTTCGAGACCAGCCTGGCCAACATGGTGAAACCCCGTCTCTACTAAAAATACAAAAATTAGCTGGGCATGGCGGCAGGTGCCTGTAATCTCAGCTACTCAAGACGCTGAGGCAGGAGAATTGCTTGAACTCGGGAGGTGGAGGTTGCAGTGAGCCGAGATCACGCCATTGCACTCCAGACTGGGTGACAGGAGCGAGACTTCGTCTCAAAAAAAAAGTCTATTTCACAGGGTTGTGGGGATTAAATTAGATGATGGGTGCAAAGTGCCTAGTACTGTGGTTAATGGTTGACAAGTGCCCAATAAGTATTAGTATTAAATTGCTTTTTAAAAATTTCAAATAAAATTTGTTTGTAGGCTAGAAAGTACAAGTACACTATATTAAAAAATATTTCTGTTAAAAAGGAATTAACTTGGTATCAAAATTAGGCAAGAACCCATTTTATTTATAACTACATTTAAAATTCTAAAACTGGTCGGGCACAGTGGTTCACACTTGTAATCCCAGCACTTTGGGAGACTGAGGTGGGTAGATCACTAGAGATCAGGAGTTCAAGACCAGCCTGGCCAACATAGTGAAACCCCGTCTCTACTAAAAATACAAAAAATTAGCCGGGCGTGGTGGTGTGCGCCTGTAATCTCAGCTCTTGTGATGCTGAGGCAGGAGAATCGCTTGCACCCAGGAGATGGAGGTTGCAGTGAGCCAAGATCGCACTACTGCACTCCAGCCTGGGTGACAAAGTGAGACTCTGTCAATAAATAAATAAAATTCTAAAACAAAGAGAATCCAATAATCAATTATCTCTCTCCCCCTCTCTCTCCATATGTATCATAACTAACAGATTTATTCCAATAATTCTCATCAAAATTTTTCTTTTGAGATGGTGTCACTCTGTTACCCAGGCTAGAGTGCAGTGGTATGAACATAGTTCACTACAGCCTCAACCTCCTGGCCTCAAGAGATCCTCTTGGCTCAGCCTCCCATGTAGCTGGGACCACAGGTGTGCACCATCACACCTGGCTAATTTTAAAAAAGTTTTTATAGAGATGAGGTTTCACTGTATTGCCCAGGCTGGTCTCGAACTCCTTACCTCAAGCAATCCTCCCTCAGCCTCCCAAAGTGCTGGGATTACAGGCATGAGGCACTGCATCTGGCCTAAAATAAACAAACAAACAAACAAACAGTGATTGATTTAGTAAACATTATCTTTTTCTCTGGAAAACTGAGTTACATGGATTTCACAAGGTTACTGACTTTCAATGTATGGCTAAAATTGGTGGTAGATTAATTTATGGACATGCTAGTAACAAAATAGAATTTAATAATCTGTTTCATCCTCTAAGTATTTCTGACATTTTGTTGTTGTTGCTCATTAGTCCCTGGCTACAAATAACCACAAACTCCCTAGTTAAGATGATGTCAGGACTCTCAGACTAGGGAAAAAAGCCACATTCTGGTTGTAAATGAAAATTTAACGGAGAATAAGATATTTGAAAGAGAAAATCATTGTTTTGAGAAAGGAACAAAGAAGCCAGACAAGGTATAAACTTTACCAAATGTTCAAAAAATTCATTTAATATCGGGCTTTATAATTCATGAAGTTTCTTTTCTTTTGGCTGCCAACTTATCTAATTACAATTCTAGATTGACAGCAAAAATATTTAATATTCTCTGAGGAAATACCCAACTCAGGTGAGACAAGGACAGAGCAATGAAATGGAAGAAAACTGTGAGAAACCAGGGAGACTGTATTAGTCCGTTTTCACACTGCTATAAAGGACTACCTGAGGGCCAGGCATGTTGGCTCACGCCTGTAATCTCAGTACTTTGGGAGGCCGAGGCGGGTGGACCAGCTGAGATCAGGAGTTGGAGACGAGCCTGGCCAACCTGGTGAAATCCCATCTCTACTAAAAATACAAAAATTAGCTGGGCATAGTGTCGGGCGCCTGTAATCCCAGCTACTCGGGAGGCTGAGGCAGGAGAATCACTTGAACTCGGGAGGCGGCGGTTGCACTGAGCCGGGATCACGCCATTGCACTCCAGCCTGGGAAACAGATGAGACTCCGTCTCCAAAAAAAAAAAAAAAAAAAAAGAACTACCCGAGACGGAGTAGTTTATAAAGAAAGGAGGTTTAATTAACTCACCGTTCCGCATGGCTGGGGAGGCCTCAGGAAACTGCAGAGGGTGAGAGGGAAGCAAGCAGTTTCTTCACAATGCAGCAGGAGAGAGAGAGAGAGTGAGGTAGGAAGTGCCACACTTTTAAGCCGTCAGATCTCGTGAGAACTCACTCATCATCACGAGAACAGCATGGGGCAAACCGCACCACGATTGAGTCACCTCCCACCAGGTCCCTCCCTAACATGTGGGGATTATAATTCAAGATAACATTTGGGTAGGGACGCAGAGCCAAACCATATCAGAGACAATCCACGAGGGCCATGAGGTCGGCTCAGCCCTGATGTACTCTGGAAATCCTGGAATCAATGTGCCCATAGAGGGATGTGTGACAGGGAGGAGGGATCCTAGAGGGTCATGATATGACCTGGAGGCAATGAGATCAAATTCCTGGTCCTGCTAAGCCCCCAAATCGTAAGAGTTTACATGCTTTCAGGTATTTCTGGACTGTGCTTTTTAACGTCTCAAAACCTTTTTACATACATCACCTCATTTGAGCCTGATACAGACTAGTGAGCTAGGTGAGGGCTGGTTCTTCTCTATCTAGGTGAGGAAAGTGACAATCGGGAAGAGAAAGGACAAAAACCACTGCATGTTAATGGAAATAAATGACAAGGAGAAACAAAACAAAGGCAAGGACTCCATGGTGATGAAAGAAAGGCACATTGCCCAGGAAGGGAAGTGGAGGCCATGGCCCCACTTCTGCTCCTGACCCCAACCAGGAGACCACCAAGTTGAACCCAAGGGTGTGGCTGAAGATGTGCCTGGTCTTCTAAGATGTTTGCTGTCCAACTGCTGGTGTTGAACCTCCACTCCTCCTAGTTCCTTAATCATGTAGATAAGTCTATTTACATCCTCCACTAATACCAACTTTTACAGTGGAACGGGGTAAAGCCCTAAAAAGTATTTGTTACTGTAATGTACCATATAGTGGTAATTATTATTATAAGAAAGTAACTTGTAAACTGCCAAGTGCTATACAAATGTCCATTATCATTATTATGATGATGATTAGATAATGATCATGTTGGTTTTTCTCCAACCCAAGGAGTGCTCATTCAGTCCCATCTTTTCTTCTTCAATTTCAGTAGCTTCCCTATCCAAAGCCAAACAAATTTTAGTGTTCTTAATACCCTCAGTATGGTAGCTTGTTAATGTCTCTTAAAAGCTCAAATAATTTATGCTTACTTTTTAAACTTTCTTCTTATAACACAGCTTCCCCTCCCTTCCCTCCCTGTCCCCCAAAGCCAGAAACTCTAGTGGGCTAGAGAAATCTCCAACTGGCAGAGCTTTTAGAAATAGAGTTAGGCGACGGGGTGTGGTGGCTCACGCCTGTAATCCCAGCACTGTGGGGGGCCAAACCGGGGGGGGGCGGGTGTGGATCACTTGAGGTCAGGAGTTCAAGACTAGCCTGGCCAACATCGTGAAACCCTGTCTCTACTAAAAATATAAAAATTAGCCGGGTGTGGTGGTGTGTACCTGTAGTTCCAGCTACTCAGGAGGCTGAGGCAGGAGAATCGCTTGAACCCGGGAAGCGGCGGTTGCAGTGAGCCGAGATTGCACCGCTGCACTCCAGCCTAGGCGACAGAATGAGACTTCGTCTCAAAAAAAAAAAAAAAAATAGAAACAGAGTTAGCCTCACAGAGTCACAGAAGTGGAAGGACATGGAAGTGAACAGATGACAGTACTCAGACCCACAGTGATCACAGTGGTCACTTCCCCAGGATCACAGTGGGGCAGCTGCAGTCATGAGTGAAAGTCAGCACTTCCAGCACCCGGCCTAGCGCTCTTTGCACTGAGCAGGGCTCTCTGATGTGATTTTCCTTTGCCTCCAATGTCAAAATCCCAGGCTTCTGAGATTTTATTCTTGTTCATAGTTTCCCCAGTATGGTTCCACATAGGGGGTTGATCATAATCCTGAAAGACCCATCCCAAATATTGAAATCCTGAAAGATCAAAATCCCAAAAATATAATTCTGGAAAAAATAAGAAGAAATTATCTTTAAAACATTTATTTACATTTTTAAGGGAGATTTATTTGAGAACCATATAAAAACTGACAGAGCACTTCAGAGGCCAATTTACACAATAAAATTGGCAATAATAACATATATATCTTTGCAAACATAAGCACTCAGCTATTCTAACAACAGTCACATGATTACAACAATTACAAGCAGATGAACTGTATTCATAAGGCAATATGCCAAAAACAAAGTGTATAAACATGTATCATGATGGTTGGTAGTTGTGTGTACCTAGCTTTATAACTCCAGTCATCCGAAATACTGTGATGGACAACCTGTCTTTTGACAAGATCAATCAAAAACCTCTATAGGTCACCACTGCATATGCAGTGGCCCAAAAAGGCAAGATCTCAAGAAATTTTGGTCTTTCACAAATGCAGATACACAAAAAGGAAATCTGTTCATTTATTGAGGAAGTTTCAATGTTTTTATATTGAGAACCACAGCAGACAATGGTGTTACTCTCTGAGGCCAAAAGCCTCAGGACCCAGATGGCCGCTGCTGTTAAGTACTGGAGTGCAAAGGCTGGTGAGCCTGGAGTTCTGATGTCCAAGGCAGCAGAAGAAAAGTCTGTCCCAGCTCTCAGAGAGAGACCAGTTGGCCTTCTATATTTGTTATCTCCAGATTGTTGGCCAATTGAATGGTGTCCACCAATATCAAGGGCAGATCTTCCTCACCGAGTCTACTCAGTCCTCTGGAAACACCCTCACACACACCCAAAATAATGCTTTACCAGGGTTTCAGGCATTCCTTAATCAGTCAAGTTGACATCTCAAATTAAGTCAATAAATCCATCCCTGTCAACTTGGCACTATATGCATCTCCTTAAACCATACTTAATTTCCAAATAAAGACCACAACAAGGTAACAGTTTCACCTAACATGATGCAACTATCCTATGATTGTGATTTTCAGGATTTTAGATGTTAAGGATTTAGTCTTTAGAAATTTTGATCTTTCAGGATTTCAACCTCGGGGATGATGGCATTCAGGAATGTGTCTTTTGGGATCATAATCCAAACTCTCTATAAGTGTGTTTCCCAGTGGCCCTTCTTGGGACACTCTCATGGATAGAAGTCACCTGGGAATCTGCCAGGCCTTAAGAACAGGGGCTAGTGAGAAACCAAGGATGCACACAGTATGAATGAATAATCCTAAAATGTCTCTCTTGAGGTTGTTGGAAATGTCATAGTCTAGCCATGGAATCCTGAAAATTTGCCTGCTTTGAGTTATGTCTAGAGTGGACAGTCTCAACTGCAGTGATATTCTCAGAGCCACTTGGAGGTCTTTTTGAAAATACTGATTCCAGGGCCTCACTCTGAACTGCCTGAATCCAAAGCTCTGGGGGAGAAACCCTGGCAGTGGTAGGGTTGAAAAGCTCCCAGGTGATTCTAGGGTGCAGCCAGGGCTGAGAATTGGAGCTTCAGAATCTAGAGATCATATTAAGTTCTCTACAGAGATCTGGTGTCTTTGATCTGTTAATTTCAAAGTCTACAAATCCACTGCTATTCATTCTTGGGAATGACCTCCTTTTCTTAAGCTCAAATAAACCCACAGTCTGCTCCAATGGAAGAGTTTCACCTGCTCAGCCTGCCAGGTCCACCCTCAGCATCCATCCCTTAGACAGATGCCCTTTGTCTCCTGGTGAAGCCCATCATTCATATGCTGGCTTCCCCCCAGCCCCAAATACCCCATCTCTAAATGAACCCCAAATGTGCCTCCTTGGTTTCTACACTAAAAGAGTCCTCACTAGACAACTGAATATGGTAGATGTTCATCAGATGAGGACATGAGACAAATACACCTCACATCTACTGAATCCTTAATTTGCCCCAATTTCCATTGAACTGTTTATTCATTCATTCATTACGTATTTAAGGAACACCTTTTGTAACCAGATTCAGCTTCTTCCCTTCTGAATATCTTGAATAATCCCACATGAGGACCAATATCTTTGCAACCATCAGACAAGTCACCATGCAACTTCTGGTACTGTCTAACATCCAGCTAAGGATTATGCCTGATGAACACATCTGCAAAGCAGCAGCTTTCCATGCCTGCTAACTTGCTACCCTCTCTCCTTTCCTGGTGTCTCTCTCTTCAGAGAGAGAACACTGATGATTTCTCACTGCTTGTTTATGCTTTGACAGAAAGCCCTCGTGATACCTAGAAAGCCTAGATACTAGCAAGTGAACTGGTTCTTCCTAAACAAGATATCCTGGAAGGCCTTATTCACAAATTTAAGTGTGTCAACATTGATCTGAGAAAGAAGGCAGGTATGCTGCCCCAGTACATTCCATACAGAAGTGTGCTGTTCATTTCAGAGCCTGACATTCTCACCTGTTCTGATTCATGAATCACTTCCCAATAGACAGTGGTTAACTCCCTAACTTCCCATTTCTTCAGATATAAAGTATGAATGCAAACTCAACTTTAAGCAACAGAATCTGCCAACAGATTCTAGTGTACAAACTTTATAGCCAGACTCCCTGGTGCACCTGTCCTTCTCCTGGGAAACCTCTAGAACTGCCCCAGGCACAGGCCTGAAGAAATGTGAAATAAGTGGTGTGTGGATTGCCACTTTCCCCCTTGGCAAGCTTTGGCAAGACATCCTTTTGTCTTTCCCTGTCAACCTGGATGAGGCTTCAGTCTTCTCAACACGAGATCCAGGCGGTCACTATCCTTTGGAGCTGGTACAAAAGGGGCAAAATCTATTGTCCAACAGAAGCAGTGGAAGAAAGTATCTTTAGAACTGCACACACCTAGGTTTGGAATTCAACCCTATGACTCACCCAACCTCAGTTTCCTTATTTTTAGACTGAGATACTACTACCTACTTACCATGGTGTGGTCATGAAAATTAAATGAGTTAATGTCTGTAAAGTATCTAGTATCTTCCTAGCACAATAAACACAGGTTCCTTTCTCTTTTCTCTCACTGTGGGACATTTCCTTGAAGATGTGATGAGCATTTTGTTAGGTAATTTTAGGGTTGGTGATAGGTAAGATCTGTTAGAGTGGGGGAAATAGTATGTATAGATAAAAATGGAAGGATTTTTAGAGTTTACAGAGGAAGAGCCCACAGAATCTGGAAATTCTAGCTGTAGAGGGAGGCACCAAAGGTAAGAATACAGTGTGGTGAGGCTGTGTTTTTGAAAGATAAGAAATGGTAATGAGGGATGATTACCAAGAAATGAAAGTGCATGACAAGTTTTGAAGAAACTAGCAAAGCAGCATACGTGGTTGAGCCTAAGTTGCTGGTAAATTAGCTGCAAATTAAATAAAATTTTAAACAAGGTCCTTATACCTTCTCTAACTATTTGATCCTTTGTTTTTTCTAATGAATCACAAGGGCCCGTAGTACAGAGTGGCTATAAAGCAATGACATTAATTGCCAGAAGATACACTTGAGGAAAATCAGTTTTAATATTTCTGAACATATCCAATCCGTGGTTAGAAATAAGGAGAATGCACATTTTACTCATTGTTACCAAACCCATCACAAGTGGCTAGAGTAGTAAAAGGAGAAAGGCCTGGAACTGGGAAGGCAATTCCTCCTAACTAGCCACGTAGCATCCATGAGATTTAGTCTTTTCTTCTGTAAAAGGAAGGGGGTGTTTGACGTGTATCAATGATGTAGCAGAATGTTTTTGGTTCTAAGTAACAGAAAAGCTGGTTCACATTGGCTTAAGTAATAAAGGGAAATTACTAGCTCATGCAATTGAAAAGCCCACAGAGATTTGAAAAACTTCAGGGCTAGCTCAAACAACTTGACCAGGGACCAACATTCCCTTCACCATTTCCTGGCTCTGCTATCTCAGTGTTTCTTCATCTTAGGGAGACTTTGGCAGATCTCTGTGGTTGCAAAATGGCTTCCAGCTGTTCTGTGAGGCTACATGCCCTCATTCATTTAAAAAAAAAATCTTTTTGCCAATGTTATCAGCAGAAGTCCTGAGGTTTACTCTAACCACACTCTCTTAGGTCACATGTCCATCCCTGAACCAATCACTGGGTCAGGGGATAGTATGTGATGATTGATCCAGCCCAGGTCATGTGGTGCTAGGTTCATTCCCATTGCTGAAGGTGGATTCTCCATAACTGCATGGATTCCCATATGAAATTAGAACAGTTGGGAAGTGAGAAGCAGAGAAGGAAAGGTGCAGAGTCAAGCAACCTATTTTCTTTTTTTAAATTTTTATTTTAAGTTCAAGGGTACATGTGCAGGTTTGTTACATAGGTAAACTCGTGTCATGGGGGTTTGTTGTACAGATTATTTCATCACCCAGGTATTTAAGCCCAGTACCCATTAGTTATTTTTCCTGATCCTCTCCCTCCTTCCACCCTCTACCCTCAAATAGGCCTCAGTGTGTGTTGTTTCCCTATATGTGTTCTCATCATTTGACTCTCACTTATAAGTGAGAACATGCAATATTTGGTTTTCTGTTGCTGCATTAGCTGCTAAGGATATGGCCTCCAGCTCCATTGAAGCCCCTGCAAAGTAAATGATCTTGTTCTTTTTTATGGCTGCATAGTACTCCACAATGTATATGTACCACATTTTCTTCATCCAGTCTACCATTGATGTTAGGTTAATTCCATGTCTTTGCTATTGTGAATAGTGCTGCAGTAAACATACACACATGCATCTTTATGACAGAATGATTTATATTCCTTTGGGTATATTACCCAGTAATGGGATTGCTGAATGGAATGGTATTTCTGTCTTTAGGTCTTTGAAGAATCACCACACTGTCTTCCACAATGGCTGAACTAATTTACACTCTCACCAACCGTGTAAAGTGTTCCCTTTCTCCACAACCTCACCAGCATCTGTCATTTTTGGACGTTTTCATATTAGCCATTCTGACTGGTATGAGACAGTATCTCATTGTGGTTTGATTTGAGTTTCTCTAATGATCAGTGACGTTGAGCTTTTTTCATATAATTGTTGGCCAAATGTATGTCTTCTTTTGAAAAGTGTCTGTTCATGTCCTGTCCTTTGCCCAGTTTTTAATGGGGTGATTTTTTTTTCTTGCAACTTTGTTTAAGTTCTTTATAGATGCTAGATATTAGATCTTTGTCGATGCACTGTTTGCAAAAAATTTCTCCCATTCTGTAGGTTATCTGTTTACTCTGTTGATAATTTCTTTTGCTGTGCAGAAGCTCTGTAGTTTAATTAGGTTCCATTTGTCAATTTTTGCTTTTGTTGCAATTGCTTTTGGCATTTTTGTCACGAAATCTTTGTCTGTGTCTATGTCCTGAATGGTATTGCCTAGGTTGTCTTCCAGGCTTTTACAGTTTTGGGTTTTACATTTAAGTCCTTAATCCACTTTGAGTTAATTTTTGTATATGGTTAAGGAAAAAGTCCAGTTTCAGTCTTTTGTATATGAGTATCCAGTTATCCCAGCACCATTTGTTGAATAGGGAACCTTTTCCCATTGCTTGTTTTCATCAGGTTTGTCACAGATCAGACAGTTGTAGGTGTGCAGTCTTATTTCTGGGTTCTCTATTCTGTTCCATTGGTCTGTGTGTCTGTTTATGTACCAGTACCATGCCATTTTGGTAACTGTAGCCCTGTAGTATAGTTTGAAGTCATAAGCAACCAATTTTCATGGTCAAAGGGATTTAAACCTTTTTTGGGGTGAACAGAGTTCCAATATATAAATATGTGCAAGTGCTTTACTAGCTGTTATAGAAATAGGGGTTTACAGCCATGTTTTCTGTCACTTTTAAATGACCTGCTTAGAAACCTAGTGCTCTAGAGGACAGAGATTAGGCTCTCTTTGGGTCCCTCCAGCTCTATTGTTTGCTGGTGCTTGATAAGCAAATATCTACTAGGACAACATGTGTTCATGTCTACTGTCTCCAGGCACTTCGGCAGGCCTTGTGCTATTTATCCTGTGTACAGCTTTGTGAACTAAGTAGAACATTAATTTTATTAAGAATATCCTTCTTAATGTAAAGACTTATCAGTATCCAAGCATCATTTGTCAAGGTTGCAAATATTTACCTAAGTTTCTGATAAAGACCAGAGCAATAAAGCCACAGACCAGCACAAATAAATAGCTAACAAAGCTGACCAACATACAGCACTAGGGAGAAATTATGCGAAAGGAGAGGGAAAAAGGAAGGCTTTCTTCAAATAAACAGTGCTCAGAAGTTTGGTTTCCTGAAAGTCCCAGGGAATTAATTAAATTCCCTGTATTTAATTTGAAAGTTGTATTTACTTTGAAAATTAGGTGGAAAGTATTTTAAACTTTTTTGAAAAAATTGAAAGTTCCCTTAATAAGAACTTTGGCATAAAATCTGAAATACTTTCAAAAATTATTATTTTAAATTATGGTAAAATACACATAACATAAAACTTACCATCTTAACTATTTTTAAGTGACACTTTCAATGGCATTAAGTATGTTTACATTGCTGTGCAACCAATACCACAGTCCATCTCTAGAACTCTTTTCACTTCACAAAACTGAAACTTTATGCCATTAAACAGTAACATTCCTCCTTCCCTCCAGCCCCTGATTACCATCATCCTACTTTCTGTCTCTTGAATTTGATCTAGATATCTTATATAAGTAGAGTCATACAGATTTTGTCTATTTTCTGAATGGGTTATTTCACTTACCATAATGTCCTCAAGGTTCATCCATGTTATAGCATGTGTCAGAATCTCCTTCTTTTTTGAGACAAAGTCTCACTCTGTCACCCAGGCTGAAGTGCAGTGGTGCAATCTCGGCTTGCTGCAACCTCCACCTTCCAGGTTCAAGCGATTCCCTGGCCTCAGCCACCTGAGTAGCTGAGATTACAGGTGCCTGCCACCACACCTGGCTATTTTTTTTTTTTTTTTTTGGGATTTTTAGTAGAGACAGGGTTTCACCATGTTGGTCAGACTGGTCTTGAACTCCTGACTTCAGGTGATCCACCTCTATCGGCCTCCCATAGTACTGAGATTACAGACTTGAGCCACCGCGCCCAGCCCAGAATATCCTTCCTTTTTAAGGCTGAATGACAATTCATTGTTTGTGTATACCACATTGTACTTATCCATTCATACATTGATAGACGCTTGGCTTGCTTCCACCTTTAGCTATTGTGGATAATCTGCTACGAACACAGGTATACAAATATCTTTGAGATCTTGCTTTCAATTCTTTTGGGTATATGCATTCTTAGAAGTGGAACTGTAAGATCATATGGATGAAATACTTTTTATGGCACAGTTTTGTTTTGTAAAATTCTTAAATATATATTGCGAAGTAGCAAATACTCGCAGATTGATAATTTGGTGATTTCATTTTATAGCTTAACAATAGGTATAAAAGAGAAAGCAACCGGGCAAAACTTTTAGAAGATCAAGTGGCTTCTTTCCTGTTCATGGAGATGTAAGCAAATAAGAGTTCAATTGTGTTCTAGGCTTGCATTTGTGTAAGTCTTACAATCATAAAATCAAGTGCAAGGGATCCATAGTCTAACTCAGGTTTAACTTGATGCACGGGTCCAAGAAAACAACGCCGTGCTTCAGGAATGAAACAAAGAGGAGCTTCTTCAGCAGTCAGGGAGAGACTGCTGGGCTACCCAGATGTAACCTATTTTTGCTTGTCTAGCCCACAGACTTCCTTTTCTGTCCAGATGGACATAACGACAATAGGAAACATGTCTCCATTTCTTCCTCAGTGGAGAAAATAAAAGCATCTCCTTGTGAATATGGTTTCATTGTTTGAAAGTTATTTGCATTAAAGCTTCCAAATTTAGTCAAATGTAATTTCTTAGAAACAATATTTCTTAAAGGGAGTTATGTGTTCCTTGAAATTTGCACCAGCTACTAAAACAATCATGCTTTCAAACCAATAAATGTGGTATTAAAATGTCTTCCAACTCTATCAACTTCACTGAAAAAAGAAAGCTAGCATTTTTTTTGGCACATAAAACAGCAGTAATTCAAGCACAAGCCTCATATTGTGTTCTCGGTTGTGACACACAATAATTGGTGTTGGAGTACTTGGAGAGAAACAGTTTGTATCTCCCTACAATGAAGAAAGGACACACTTTGGGTCAGGGCTATTCGTCCCTGAAAAAGCTGGGAGTGTTTCAGAGGTGGTAACGAAGACACTGTCTCGTTCACACACTCATTAATAGTATCACCTTTCATTAGTTGGGTAACAACAGATAATGAAAATTAATCAAACAAAACCCCTTTTGACAGAGTCTTCGATGGTGATGTCATAGACCATTGAATATGCAATGCTTTTTGCTCCAGAGACTTCTTTCTGGCTGTAAGTGCTGTACACTCCCAGGATGATTTGTGAATCAGGGACTAGGTTGGTTTTGCTGGAACAAAGACGTGGCTCACGCCTGTAATCCCAGCACTTTAGGAGGCCAAGGTAGGCGGATCACTTGCGATCAGGAGTTTGAGACCAGGCTGGCCAACATGGTGAAACCCTGTCTCTACTAAAAAAAAAAAAAAAAAAAAAATACAAAAATTAGCTAGGTGTGGTGGTGCGTGCCTGTAATCCCAGCTACTTGAGGGGCTGAGGCAGTGAGAATCACTTGAACCCAGGAAGCGGAGGTTGCAGTGAACCGAGATCGTGCCACTGCACTCCAGCCTGGGTGACAGAGTGAGACTCGGTCTCAAAAAAAAGGCTAAGAATGCTAAATATCTTGCAGAATGTCTTTCAGGAGACTGAAGTCACTGCTACCTTAGACTCTCTTACCTAAACATTTCTATGTTATCATCTTTGTAACCTATGCTTCCACCAAAAATATGAGATTCTAAAGAGGATAATGAGTGAGTAGTTCCTTCTCTACTCTGCCCTGTCTTTCTTTCTCTTTCTTCCCAGGGGCAACTCTTTCTCGCCTGTCATATGTTACCATCATCCTCTTGTGTATGCATGTGATATATGTATCACTGCCATCTATGGGGCCAAGACGGCTAAAGAACATTTGGGCTATGAGCATTCTTGTCTCTGGTTCTTTCCTCCTAGTACAGTTAGGGCCAACCTTTAGTGTGCATAAGAATCCCTACTTTAAATGCAGATTCCTGGACCACCCCCAGGGATTCTGATTTACTAGTTCTAGGATGAGACCCAGGAATCTGCATTTTAATAAGCACCACAGGCAATTCTGGATAGGTGGCCTCTTGACCTCACTTTGAGAGGCCATGTCTCTGAGTATGACAGCCTAGCATCTCTGCCCCAGCCTGGAGCTCAGTCTCATCAGGGATGGGTTAGTGCCCTTGGACAAGAGCAGCAGCTCCCAAATTTCCTCCAGTGTGTTTGAGAGCAGCTGCATGTTTCTGTAAACGCATTTTGCAGATCATTTTCTGGGGTTAATCATTGCAAAGATCTGATTCAGACAGTAGGTTTCAATCACACTTTTTCATGGCTCAATATAATTAAGGGCGGAAGTTGCTGTGTTGGGTGTTCCACGGTGGCCACGAACCGTGACTGACAGATTGGACAAGCAGAAGTTCCAAACAAAACACCAGCTCCCACAGAGCTTTGTGAGCTGGGAAACTGGCCAATTCCTTTTCCTTGGCCTCAGTTTGCTCATGGGTAAGGGAGCTATGTCTTACCTCTCATAGGTGTTAGGAAGATAAATGACTAAAAAAGCCATTGGGTCAAATGACATGCCACCTTTGACATCTAATATGAGGATTTAGCAGAGGGCTCTGCCGCCACTGTGAAAACTCCTATCTTCTAAAAATCTTATCTGGAAGAGAAAGAAAGAATCCAGTGTAAAGCACATACTTTGAATCAGATGTCCCACTAGACTCCTCCTTAATCTTCACAACCCCTTGAGATACAGTAGTGGGTTACTTAAGTTCCACTAGGGTACAGGAAACAGAGATTTGCAAACTTTACCCTAGGGCTTGGTCCACAGAAAAGAAACACAGGCAGGTAAATGAAAGGTCTAGAGCAGGGGTCTCCAATCCCCGGGCTGCGGACTGATATGGGTCCATGGCCTGTTAGGAACTGGGCCACATGGCAGGAGTTGAGCAGCAGGTGAGTGACTGAAGCTGAGCTCCACCTCCCGCCAGATCAGTGATGGCATTAGATTATCATGGGAGTGTGAACCCTATCATGAACTGCGCATGTGAGGGACCTAGGCTGCATGCTCCTTATGAGAATCTAATGTCAGATGATTGTGAGTTGTATAATTATTTTATTATATGTTACAATGAAATAGAAATAAAGTGCACAATAAATGTAACATGCTTGAAGCATCTGGAACCACCCCCCGCACCACCCAGTTCACTGAAAAATTGTCTTCCATGAAACCAGTCCCTGATGTCAAAAATGTTGGGGGCCACTGGTCTAAGGGAGAACCAAGATTTAGGGATCCCAACGCAAGCCCTTTCACTTTTAAAAAGTTACACATTGTAATTGCATAATGAAGTAACATGTGAACCAATTCCTCTCGTAAATTCATTACAAGATGGAGTTAAATTCCTCTTTGTCTCTCCTTCTGTAAATGTCCACATTCTTCTAGGAGGATTCACTGCTTTAGGTTTGCTGAATATTTTTAAAGACCTTGTGCTATGTAAGCACATACAGATATCTGTACCCCTGGAAAACCTACGGAGTGATTTTATGCATATGTACCCATGTTCTGTGTATGCGTTTTTAAAGTAGAAATGGAACCACGTCATATACATCACTCTGCAACTTGCCTTTTGCACTGAACAATACCTCTGGAGGATTTGTTATTACCTGTACATGTCAGTCTACTTCACTTGATTTAACTGCTGCTGAAGCTTCCAAGCTTTGGGTATCCCCAGCCTATTCAGCTGTTCTCTTATTGGTGGACATTTTGGTTGTTCCCAATTTTTGCTAAAACAAATGTAGTGAACACCCCATACACGCCTCTTTGTGCACACATGTCTTTCTAAAGTAGATTCCACAAAGTTGGATTGCTTCATGGTATGCAGGGTATGCCCAGTTTTATTTTTTAGTAGAATTGTCTCCAAAATAGATACATGTATTTACACCAGTGGTGTCTGAGAGCATATTTCCCCTGTTTTCTCGGCCAATATTGATATATCATCAATTTAAAAAAATGTTGCCAATCTGCTGGCAAAAAAAGAGTATGATCTTTCACTTAAATTTACCTTTTCCTGATTACTGGTGAGGTTGGGCATTATTTTATATGTTTGTTGGCTATTTATGTTTCTTCTTTTGTAAAATCCCTTAATCTACTTTTTACCCATTTTCCATAGTGTTGCATAGCTTTTTTTTCTTGCTAAATTTTTGGAGTTCTTTATGCATCCTGAATCCTAACCTTTTAGGATCTATTTTCTCCTGGGTTACTTGACATCTTAACATTATAGTATATTTCTCTCTCTCTCTCTCTCTCTCTCTCTCTCTCTCTCTCTCTGTGTGTGTGTGTGTGTGTGTGTGTGTGTGTGTGTGTGTGTGTTTTCAAACAGAAGTTTCTAACTTTGATATGATCATATACTACTGAGCTTTTCTTTTATGAATTTTAATTTATGTTCTGTCTATGAATGCCTCCTCTATCCCCAGGTCATAAACATATTTTTTCCTATTATGAAGCCATGTATTTTTCTGGCCAGGGCATAGCATGAATCTATGTACCTTCTATCAGGCTCAGGGCTGCTGCATGAGCAAGGATACTGACATTCTGCCTGGAGAGCAACCATTTATACTTTAACTTTCAACTGGATTCAGCTGCAGGGTGATCCTCAGGAATATGCTTCTTAGGTAGCCTAAGGGGACTGGCTTAGGCCGTAGCAAGAAGCTTTTGAGGGCCATCATCAAACAGAAACATTTAAACCACAAATCCAGTAAAGGTATGGAATGACTTTCTTCAGAGATAGCCAAAACCCAGATGGATTTATTATCTTAGGATATTTAGGGTAAGTCCACACTTGAGAAGGTTCAAATGATCTGCTACAAGTTACTTGGCCTTCCCACTGGCAGCACTGTCTAATGGAAATATAACTCAAGCTGCATTAGTATTTTAAGACTTCTAGTAGCCACATTAAAAAATAAGTAAAAAGAAATAGGTAAAATAATTGTAATGATTTAACCCAATATATCCAAAATAGTATCACTTCAACATGTAATCAAGATTACATGTTATTAACATATTGTACATTCCTTTTTTTGTATGAAGTCTTTGACATTTGATGTGTATTTCTGCTCAAAGCCCATATCAATTCAGAGAGCCACATTTCAAGTATTCAACAGCCCCATATGCCTAGTGGCTACTGTATTGGACAGAGCAGCCCTAAGGATTAAGACTGCAAAAGATCTATGATGTGCTGAAAGGCATCTTCTCTATTTATATTAAAGTGATTAAGCAACCACAGTCTGAATTTTTAAGTACCTCCTTCACCCTCCCCCCATCCTTTGTTCTCCTAACACAAGTGTATTATAACTTCAATTGATCCCACCTACTGATGTAGACTAATCTTCCTAAAGCAGTTTTGTTTGGATTCTTTCCTGGAGAGGATGTTGCTGCCAAAGAAGACTTTTAGGAGGAGGTGAAGTTAAGCGGAAACTTGGAAGGTGGGCAGGAATTAGCCAGATGTCAGAGGGAACTGTGTGATTGAGGATGTGGCTGCGGTGTATAGGCTGAGAGTCAAGCAGACCTCAGATCCTACAGAGACGTATAGGTCCTGCTGAGAACTTGAACTGGATTCTGAAGATAATGGACTCATCAAACATATGCAGTAGAGAGTATGGGAGAGAGGCAGGATTTGAGGCAAGGAAATTGGTTTGAAGGAAAGTGCAAGGTCCAGGTTAAAAATAAATGAGGGCCTAAGCTAAGGCAATGCATTCATTCATTCATTCATTTATTCACTCTACAAATACTTATTGTCTACTGTGTGAGAGTTGATGTCTCAGGTGCTGGAGGTTAAGTAGGAAAAAAAGCATGCAAAACCCTCTGCCCTCACAGAACTTCAACATCCTGTGGGGAAAGGAAGTAGATGGTGATGAAAAACGGTGATCCTCAAGTTTCAGGTCTTGCTTGGTGAATGATGGGACCATTTTCTGAAATAGATATTACAAGAGGCAGAACAGGCTTTCGGAGAAATAATGGGTTCAACTTCATCTGTTTGACAAAGGTTTGGATGTTTGGCAGATATTCAAGTGGAGCTACCCAGCAAGCTGCTGGATATGCATATTTGGATAATTCTGGAATAGATGTGGAAGCCATGGCATATCAATTGTATAAAATCCCTGGGAGTGAATGAGATAACCCTAGGAGGATGTATGGAAGCAAGAGTCACAACTCAAATGATTACAGGGCTCAGGTGAGTTATGAATGTATGTGAATTGGGTCATATGTGAAATAGAGTGTTGTTTTTGTGGCTAAACAGAGAGTATATTCTGTCTAAGGCAGCAAGATTTGGCTGGTGGACCACCAGTTTGCAATTCCTACACTTTTGGAACTTCTTTCTATGCCTCTTGTCTCATTTTTCAAATAAATATTTTTATGGCAGGCAGCTAGCTGTTCATGAAAACCCATTTCCTCTTCTGAGATACTCATTGCAGTTCCTAGCCTCCTTGCCATTACTAGTGGCCGTGACTGGGTTCTAGCCAACGGGATATGAGCTCAATTTTCAGCCAATGCCTTAAAGAAGAGGGTGTGCCCCTCCATACTCTCTCCTCTTCCTCTGGCTTATATACATGATGACGAAGTCTAGAGGATTTTGGAGTCACGAGATGGAAGGAACCAGGAATAAGGCCACCTCCCAACCAGGACATCTTCTTTTGACTATTATCTGAGTGAAAAATAAATCTTTGTGATGTTTGAGCCATTATACAAGTTTGGCCCTGTTTGTTACTACAGCCTAGCCTAACTTAAGAAATCCACTGCTAAACCACACTAATCCTGGCTGTGACATCTCTAAGGTCAGGGACCATGTCTGTCCAGTTCATTCATGGATCCTCAACACATAGCCCAGGACATAGCATGCAGTAGGTACTTAATACAATTTCTTGACAACACTAGCTGTGTTTTATTGAGCATGTTTTATGTGCCAGTCACTGCACTAGATCTTTTATATATTGTGCATTATTTCATTTCATGTAATGACAACTCTATAAAGCAGGTTCCAATATTATACTTTTTTCCTCGTAAGAAGATTGAGGGTTGGAAAGCTTATAGCTGGTATTTGAAATGAGGCAGGGTGACTCCAAAACACACACTCTGAAACACCAGTACATGACCACATGCATACTCATTTCAGCATTTTAACTCAAGTATTTTCTCCCACCAAGAATGCCCTCAACCCCTCCTCCCCAATTATTGAAGCCTGCCTTCTGCATCCTTCCTAGCACCCATACAATCATTCTACCCTTTAATTAGTCCAGCAGGAATTTCATATATATCATTACTACAACAGGGATTCCATGTATTTGTCTGCTTCTAGAAATAAGTTATCTTGAGGGTAGCACAATATCTTAGACATTATTCATCTGAGTGTTCCTTAAAACATACGGGAAGATGGAGAACCTGCCATGTGCCAGGCACCCTAGGCACTGAGGACTAAACTGCAAATAGGACAGAGACAATCTTCTCTTTTGAAAAGCTCTATTCTTGTGGGAGTAAACAGACATAAAAAACGCATCACAGCACAATGTAACCTCCACATTAATAGACGCAGAAGAAGAGCGGGGAACCAGTTCTTTCTGGAGGAGGAAAGAAAGGACTCCCAGAGCAGGTGACATTTACCTGAGCTTCTGAAGAGTGAGTAGAAGTTCTCCAGTTGTTTAAGAGGAATCTCAATTAGTGGGAAAAGCATGTACAAAAGTGTGGATACATCAAGATGCAGGAGTTCTTCTGGATGGATGAGGTATTGGATTGCTAAAATGTAGGATTCCTTCATGGATTCATTAATTTATTCAACAGATACTGAGTAAACCTAGAATGTGTCAGGGATTGCACTAAATGTAAAGGATTCAAAAGTGAGCAAAACAGACATGATCCCTACCCTTGTGGAGCTTAGAATCCAGCAGGGATGGCAGCTGACTACAAAGCTCTAGCAATCCTGTGTGAGAGGAAAGGAAGAAGGGATAGCCCACATGTAAGTGAGAAGCTGGAGAAGTGGGCTGGTCCAGATTGCAAGAGACCTTTGACACCATTCTAGGGAGAAGGAAATCTCTCGTCAATCTATCACCAAGTCCTGCCTCTCCTGCCTCCTTGATAGCTCTCAATTGTGTCCAGTCTTCTCACCGCCACTATTCTCAGTATAGGTCATCATCTCTTCCTTGAATGAACGAGATAGTCTTCTAAAAGGCTTTCTTGCCTGTCATCCCCCACCCCCACCCATTGTCCTCAATGCAAACAGAGGGATCTTTAAAAAATCAAAATCTGTTCATGTTATGCCCTATGGTAGGCAGAATTCTAAGACAGCCCCATAATCTCCATCTTCCTGGGGGCTACTTTGGTGATTATATTACAGTACACAGCAAAAGGGGTTTTTCAGATATAGTTAAGGTTACTAATCAGTCAACCTTAAGACAGAGAAATTATCCAGGTAGGTTTGACTAATCAAGCACTTTAAAAGCAGAGTTTTCTCTAGCTAGTGGCAGAAGAGGATGGTAGATTGATTAGAAGCAAAGGAGGACTGGATGGATTTGACATGTGGTTGCTGACTTTAAAGTTGCAGGGAGGGGGGTGGATATCCTACAGAAAGGATCTGAGAGAGTTCTGTAGGAGCTGAGAGTGACCCTGGAGGACAGCCAACAAAAGAATGGGGACCTCAGACCTACAACTGAGAGGAACCAGATCATGCAAACAACCTGAATGGATTTGGAATTGGGTATTCCCCCAGAGCCTTCAGACAGGAACTTGAACCAGCCTATACCTTGCCTTTTGCCTCGGACATCCTGAGCAAAGTATGCAGCAGCCATGCCAAGTTGGACTTGTGATCTACAGAACAGTGAAGTAATAGATGGGTGTTGTTTTAAGTCACTAAGTTTGTGATAATTTGTTACATAACAATAGAAAACTAATATACCTCCGACCTTTCCAACCCCCCAATAAAACTACTGGGGATTTACCAGGCCCAGGCAGTTAATCGCTACACCAGTTCCATTAGGGAGGTATTTTTATTATCACCATTTCACAGACCAGGAAACTGAAGCTCAGAGAGATTAATACTTTTCCTAAGGTTATAGAGCTAGTACGTGGTGCTGAAATTTTTACTTGGCTGTTCTGACTCCAGATTTGCACTCTATGGGTTCTCATTGTCTTTAAGATAAATCCAAATACATAAGCATGGAATTAAAGGCCCTTCCTGATCCCATTCCTGTTCAATTATCCAACTTCAGTTTTAGGCACTCCTCTCAAATTCCTGACAGCCCCCATAACTAACATGCTCTTGATTCCTGACTGCACTACAATCCCTTCTAGAATGCTGCTTGTCCCTCCCCTCCATCTGCTTTCCTTTTGGCAGACTCTAATGGTCCTTTGGGTCTTGTCTAACACACCTCTTCTAGGGAAAGCCTTCCTTGCCCCTCCAAGATGGGTTGGATGCCACTCCAGGGTCCCCCAGAACCTCATGCTCTCCCTTATCAGAGGACACAGGACATTGTGTTGGGAATGTTTACTTGGCTGTGCCCTCCCACTAGACTGTGAACTCTTTGCAAGCCAGAACTGGCGATTAGTTCATTGTCAAATCCCTAGCGTAGGACCTGGAGCAGAGAGGTACTCAATAAATATTTGCTGAGTGAATCATTGAATGAACAAAAGTGCTTTAGCCAAGAGGCAATGGGGAGCCATCTAAGGTCTTGAAGAAAGGGAGTGAGCTTATTATTACACCTGTGCTCACAAGGACAAGTTCAGGGCAAACCTTGCACTCAGTGGACCATCCTCATCAGCAGTTAAGGATGAAACAAGTTCATTTGCATTGTGGCCTTGGGTTTCTTGCACTGTAAAGCTTGGCTGTTATCTCTTCTGGACCACATCTGAATATTAGAAAATGCCAGAAGCCTTCACAGTTTCCCCTTATGGAGGTGGAAAGCATAAAAATAGCTTGTGACTTGGGTCTGGGCCCTGAACTCCCACTAGAATGAGGAGCCCCTCTCCCAAAAAGGCTGTGGGAAGCTGAGGTGAAGGTGACGTGGAGACCCACTTACGTGACACTACAGGGAACGGGCAGCCGCCTCTGAAGGTCTGTCCCCCTCCAGCCCATACCGTTCCATGCCTGCACTTGCTCCCGGAGCACATTGCCGAATCTTGTTCTCCTTAGATATGCAAATATTGCTTCCTGTCGAGAAGGACTGGGAGGCCTTCCGCTTTAGAGGCAGCGCTTATAGCGCTAGCTGGTCGTGGAATGCGATTACAGCGTCTCCATTGGAGACCGCTGAGTGCCTCGGTTTCCCTGTCTGTGCAAAGTGCACTCCCCAGACGCCGCTGCCTCGAGGGACCAGGAAATGCGTCTGGGGGCGCCAGGAAAGATGAGAAGATAAAGTCACGATGCGTCCAGCTAGCTATAGACACAAGCAGAGGAGCCAGTAGGCCAAAGGAGACGCACAGCTGATCCGTGCCGAGGCGCGGGCTCCACTCCCTGAAGTGGAGGGACCCTTGAATCTTTCCTTGCGTAGGCGCGCGGCAGAGCAGCGATTTGGCGAAAAGGGCCGAGACTCAGGATGCCTGCAATGCGAGCGAGGGGCGGACAGGGCGCACGGGGCGCGGCAAGGCTGCGAGGGGCGGGCCTGGGCCCTGAGCCTCCTGCACTTCCAGCCACAGCTCTGGGCCTTGGGGGCGGGAAGGGGTGGAGCCACGTGGGGAGGAGCAAAACCCGGAGGTCCCGGGCACCTTGGGCAGAGCCAGAGCGGCGGGAGCCGGTCCTGGGCGCGTTGCCCCGGGAGCGCCCGTCGTCCGGGCAGAGCGCAGCCGCAACCGCGACCACAGCCGCAGTCGCTTTCCAGCCTGCCTTCGGTGCGCAGCGGGGGAACAGGGCTAGTGCAGCCGCCGGAGGGGGGCACGGGCTCCTCTCCCATCCCAGAGCTACTGGGCTGCCCTTGCTGTCCTCGCCGCCCCAGCAGACCCCGGCCGGACCTGCCACCTGCGCCCTGGTTGCGCCATGGATCCTTCGGAAAAGAAGATATCGGTGTGGATCTGCCAGGAAGAGAAGCTGGTGTCCGGCCTCTCCCGCCGCACCACTTGCTCCGACGTTGTGCGAGTGCTTTTGGAGGACGGCTGCCGGCGGCGACGGAGACAGCGGCGGAGCCGGCGGCTGGGGTCGGCCGGCGACCCGCATGGCCCGGGAGAGCTGCCCGAACCCCCGAACGAGGACGACGAGGACGACGACGAGGCGCTGCCGCAGGGCATGCTGTGCGGGCCCCCGCAGTGCTATTGCATCGTGGAGAAGTGGCGCGGCTTTGAGCGCATCCTCCCCAACAAGACGCGCATCTTGCGCCTCTGGGCTGCCTGGGGCGAAGAGCAAGAGAATGTGCGCTTCGTGCTAGTGCGCAGCGAGGCATCGCTGCCTAACGCCGGCCCCCGCAGCGCCGAGGCGCGCGTAGTGCTGAGCCGAGAGCGCCCCTGTCCGGCCCGCGGGGCCCCGGCGCGGCCCAGCCTGGCCATGACCCAGGAGAAACAGCGGCGAGTGGTGCGCAAGGCCTTTCGCAAACTGGCCAAGCTCAACCGGCGGCGCCAGCAGCAGACACCGTCGTCCTGTTCGTCCACTTCGTCGTCCACTGCCTCGTCCTGCTCTTCGTCGCCGCGGACCCACGAGAGCGCGTCGGTGGAGCGCATGGAGACGCTGGTGCATCTGGTGCTTTCCCAGGACCACACAATTCGCCAGCAGGTGCAGCGGCTCCACGAGCTGGACCGCGAGATCGATCACTACGAGGCCAAGGTGCACCTGGACCGCATGCGGCGTCACGGGGTCAACTACGTGCAGGACACTTACTTGGTTGGGGCAGGCATCGAGCTCGACGGGTCCAGACCGGGAGAGGAGCCAGAAGAGGTGGCGGCGGAGGCGGAGGAGGCGGCGGCGGCGCCCCCTCTAGCCGGCGAGGCGCAGGCGGCGGCGCTGGAGGAGCTGGCCCGGCGCTGCGACGACTTGCTGCGGCTTCAGGAGCAACGGGTTCAGCAGGAGGAGTTGCTGGAGCGCCTTTCAGCCGAGATTCAGGAGGAACTCAACCAGAGGTGGATGCGACGGCGCCAGGAGGAGCTGGCGGCGCGGGAGGAGCCCCTGGAGCCCGACGGTGGCCCCGACGGCGAGCTGCTGCTGGAGCAGGAACGGGTCAGGACGCAGCTCAGTACCAGCCTTTACATTGGGCTGCGGCTCAACACGGACCTAGAGGCCGTCAAGTCGGACTTGGATTACAGCCAGCAGCAATGGGACAGCAAGAAGCGCGAGCTACAGGGCCTTCTGCAAACTTTGCACACTTTGGAGCTGACGGTGGCACCGGATGGGGCTCCTGGCTCTGGCAGTCCCTCGCGGGAACCTGGGCCTCAAGCCTGCGCCGACATGTGGGTGGACCAGGCCCGTGGACTGGCCAAGAGCGGTCCTGGCAACGACGAAGACTCGGATACGGGACTGAGCTCTATGCATAGCCAAGACTCGGACTCCTTGCCCATGTGCGAATCCCTTGTGTAGGGGTGGGGGGCGGGGGGCGGGGGGCGGGAACAGGGGGATTCTTTTTTCTTGCAGAATGCAGTGGGCCAGCCGGCTCGCGGACTTGAAACCAGGCTGTTGCGAGCCCAGAGCTCCGGCTGGGCAGCAGCGCTCTGCGCAGCCTCGCGCTCATCTGGCTCCGGGGTGAGTGCAGAGCAGGGTGAGGGTAGAAGAAGTAGGATCCTCAATACAAGCTCATTAAAGAGAGGGAAGGAGGGAGGAGGCAAGAACCCCCTATACTGGAAAACAAACAACCCAAGGAAATTGACGTGGTCCGAGCCCATTTTCAAAGTAAGGAAGTATAATGGAGATTTCGCTACTCTTCTGTATGGGAAGGACTGATGGCAGCTAGAACTTTAGTTTGTGGTATGAAGTGCTTTAAAAGAAACACTTGGATGAAAAGGAAATTCCTTGAATGTTAATTGTGACTGTAAACGTGTTAAAACTAGCCAAAGAGGACGCACTGGTGTCGGTCTCTGCCTTTCTTACCTCTTTGATAAAACCCATAGGCACCAAAATCCTGGCTGTTTACATTTCTGCAGATTTGGGAATTACCCATCTGCTAAATCATTTGTCTTTTATTTTCTTTCAAAGGCTAAACTGTATCGAAGTCTAACCCTGTATTTCCTCCTAGTAAACACAATAGATGTTAAAAGGGAATTCTTTTCCCAAAATAACCTTTTATTATTACAAAAGCCAAACATAATCATTTGAGATATAAAATCCTGGCAAACATAATCGTGGTTAAAATTTAATCTGGGCCCTTTGGGATCTGTCCCTTCAAAGGCAGGTGAGTTGCCCTTTAATTCGTATTGCCACTTCATTGACTCAATCACTGTTATTTCAGAAAAAAATAAAAGGAAGTAGCAGAATTCAAGTTACGCAAAACAAAACTTGCTGTCTAACAAGCACTCTTTGAAAGCAAAGATGTTTTAGTGTTCAGCTTTTAAATTGAGCTATGTGATTAAAACCAACCATGACCTTAACGGATTTTACCCAAACTCGTCTAACTTCAGTATGTTTTGTCAGAGATTAATCAGTTACTTGTTCAAACTTAAATTGAGATAGTGTAAATATCAGGGTTTCCTAGATAAGGACAGAAAAGAAAAAAATAAAACAATCTCATAGTACTCCTTGGGTGAACAATGTGATTAACGATGGCACGTAGTCATGGAAAAAAAGATAAAAAGTGAGTTAAGAACTTGAATTACTCTTGTCTGGCACACGCCTATGCACATGCCAGGAGATGCAAGTGCAACACCATCTCAGTAGCTGGCGACAGAGCTGGTGGGGACTCCATGTAATTGTTCCAGTTGTTTCAATTAAAACTTATCAGTTGTAGCTAGTTGTTGGCCCCGCGGAAGGAGCCTGCTGGCCGATTTCCCTCTGCAGCTCAGTACTTCTGAGGAATGTGGGATCTAATCTGTCCTGAGAAGGTTATTAACAATGGGGCATGTGTGTGGTACCAGCATGGTGCAGAAGCCTCTTATCAACCTACTCTTGAGGGGCTGGCTCCAGTTTCAACACTACATGTGAAGATAACTTAAGAGGTCTTGCTTTATACAGAAGTTCCTTCCCTTGCAGAGATTCTCTATCTGCTTGTTGCCAATGGGAGCCTGCCCTTATGACCTCCTCAAACCACTGTTTGTGCTGTCTCCTTTTTAGAGACAGCACCCCCCACCCGCCCCGCACTACCACCACCACTGCCCTGGTATTACAACATGTGTGCCTGTTTGCAGATTTTCAAGTAAAAATGGGAATTTAAAGGCCATTTTCTTAATTGATGTTTTCAAAAGACATTAGCTGGCATAACTATGGTTTTTTAGTTTCATCTGATGCAGGAAATGTCTATGCATTTGGTCTTGAACATGATAAAAATGAGGAAGGGACTGAAAAAAACCCACCATCCCCAGACAATCATTTGATCCCATAAACACGAAACCTAATGATAGCTTTCATTTTGAGGCAGAGGTAAAATCCTCATTAGAGTGTGACAAAATGCTACTTGTCTGAATGGTTTATGCTGACAATGGGCTGACCTGGTGGTTTTAAAATTATTGTGCTGTTTTTCCCCCTCAGGGTGGTAGGGGAGTGATTCTTGGACGTTTATTAACTCAAAAAGAACGCAGAAGTTGGCAGAACAGAACTGCCTGGAAGAAAGGGGCTGTTTTCCTTTTCACTATTATTATTTTAAACTTTGATGGGCTGCTGACGTCAGCAAATATGCTTGACGCCTGTAAAGCAAATAAGCCACATCACAAGCAGAAAGCCTGTGGGATTTTCTGGTGCCCTATTTCTAGAACCTTCCCTGTTCTGACCATTTGAAGGTGCTTATTTAGTCAACCGTTCAGGCAGCTGCGAGGCTTTATTGATAACAAATGGCAGCCTATTTGGCCCATTTTTTTTCTTTTATCCAAATCAATTATATTCCTAAAAGGCACTCTCTGTGAGTAGAAGAAAGGAGTGTGTAGAACAGGCTGACGTGGGGGAGCGGGGAGGAAGGAGACAATAGTTCTTTTTACTAAGAGCTTTCGCAAGCCTGAGAAAGGTGAAATAAAGGTATAAAAAGCACCAAAACAGTGCCTGTGCATAGGAAGTGCTTAATAAATGCTAAATACTTCAAGTTTTAATTCACATTTATGGTCACCATGGCATTAAGAATGAGAATAAATGCATGACAGGGAATGTACCAATGTCAGGATTTCAGCGCCCCTGGGAAAATTAACTCAGCTCCTATTCTCCAGCTCTAATGGAAATCCTGGGCAGAAACCAGCAAACTTAAGAAGGGTATGAAATGTAGGTCCCTTACCAGTCAGCCCCACCCTTTTTTTTTTTTTTTGGTAACTGAGATAATTTATTGTATTTTTGATCTGAGTTATCCTAGTCTCAGCCATCTCCCAAACCAAAAGATTCCATATGGCATCTTTATGTTTGTTTATTTCCTTATAAAGTGTGTTTATTTTTTGCTGATTAGAAAAGTTGTGTACACGATAGTCCTTACGATGAACCTGAAAATAACATAAAAAGGCAAGAAAAGTCACTCTAAATCTCTGTACCAAAAACCTGTCACTACCAAGATTGGTATATTTACTTCCAAACCTTTTGAATTGTGCAGATTTCATATTTGCTTCTGTATTTAAAAATATATAATTTTGATAAGATTGTATATACATGTTTATACTCAGGTTTGACAGACTCCCTGTAAACAGATCTACCCATCTGGTGGATATACCATAGTTTACAGAACTGCGCATGTTATCAGTTTGTTTCCCATACTTTTTTTTACTGTTATAAAATAACACCGTAATAAGTTTCTCTGTGCATGTATCTGTTTACCTAATTAGACTCCCACCCTCCCCACAATAAGATAGGTTTCCAGAAAGAGAATTCTCAGGTCAGAGTACAAACATTTAGAGGCTTGATACTCACTGCCAAATTGCTTTTCAAAAGATTTGTTCTAATTACAATCAGCTATGCATGAGCATGCCTGTTTCACTACAGCTTAGCTTTCATTAGATATTATATTTTGTTAGGAAAATATTTTAATCAAAATTTACTAATTAATTCTTCGTGGCCTCAGGAAGCCAAAGCTGACAATCACTGACTTAAAATATTCTTACAACAGCAAGGGTGGGCCCGTGGATCAGAAGTGTTAGTTAAGAGGGTGTGGTGTTTTCTCTCCTTTCCATTTTTTTTCCTTCCCTGAGTATTTGCTTAAGGTAATATTAATAGAATTTTATCTCATATCAGAATTGGTCAATGATCTGAGAACAGAAGGGACAGAAACTCTACAGAAGCAGGGCTAAGGAGATAACAAATTGAATCAGAGTTATAAAAAGAAAATATTCGTTATCTTTTTCATCTTGAGTCTAGTGGAAAAGGCTATTCTTAGAAAGCAATGCCATGAAACATATTTGATTTTGTGCTTCTCCATACCCACCTCTAGCAAAAATTAAATCAAATGAAACACATAAACCAAGTTGTTTATAAGTAGTCTGTAATGAACAGTTTAGATTTTTCTAGGAATTTCTTTCTAAATATGATATGCACTTGAGGTTGTTCTTAATATCTTGAAAAGAGAAGATTTGATTATGACAATCTGTGAAATTTCCATTGTGAAAATGCTTGCGAAATTTGTTTTCCCAAGCAGAAAAGAAGGAAGATGAGGAGAAATCAAGTTTTGTTGAGTTTTTTTGAAATGCCAGATCCTCGTGTTTTTTCACATGTATTTTCTCTGCATTAATCTTGTGAGATAGAACGTTTTAATCTCCAATGTTTACAGATAAAGGAACTAAAGCCATTCAGTTCATAAGTAAGAGATGCGGGATTCCAACCCAAGCCTGACCACAAAACCTGTGCCTTGTTGCTACACACACCTGATGCATTACGCACAGTAAGTGTTCAGCACATCCAGAAGAAAAAGTCCCCGGGACTCCAGAGCGTTGCCATTGGAAAGGCTTCAGAGATGATCAAAGTCTTGTCCAGGTATTTCTACCAGGAAAGTGGAGTACTTTTCGGAAGATCACACTTTTGCTAAATCTACTAGGTGAAGATTTAGTAAAATACAGAGGAGGGGAAATTCTTATGTAAATATTTGGGTGGCTGTCTGGGAGAATGAAAAAAAATTCTTAAAAAACGAATACTCCCTGTGTTAGCTTGGAGGTTTTGACTGAATGCCCCATGGACTGTTGTTGCTCTACAAAGCGCAGGTGCATAGTCAGTCAACAACGTGGACTCCTCAGCCATCAGGGAAGACAGCTGTGTGCTAGTCAGACTCACATCTGGAAGGTGGTACCAACCATGACCGTGCTGGTGGGAGCTGTCCCCAGCACTTTTAACAGGCTTTATTTCTGTTTGAGCCTCTGGGTACATGAGGATGTGGGAGGAGTCGAAGGAGGGAGTGCCAGGCTTTCCAAGGATCTTTGTGTGTGGCATTAGGTATGCACACCTGGCTGAATGCATCTTTGGCCACAATGACCCCATCGTGCTCATGGAGACCTTGCATGGATTGCTTTGAAGGCCTGCTTCCCCCAGCCTCTCCCCTTCTCATCCATTCCCATGCAAATCTCCTGTTTCAGACACTTCTAGGATTTCCCATAGCTTTCAAGATAAAATCCACATTTCTTAGCAGGTTTGTGAAGGTTGTTGGTTTTCCAGCTCAAGATCCCTCCTTTAGGTCCACCCTCCCCAACTTAAGACCACGGAATTGAGTTGATCCTATTTCTTCATTCAGGTCACACTATCATCCTCCTTTTATGCATGTGCCCTTTTCTATCTTCATTTTACTTCATGTTCTCCTCCCTCCCCATTCCCACTCCCATTTCCCTCCTTGCTCTTATGATAGGCCCCTATTCCAATGTATTAATTTACAACCTTCCAAACCATCTTATATATTCAAGGCTGCCATGTTGCATACCCTCAAGGGGCACCATTCATGTTGTATTCTGGCATCTTTCCCCAGAGGGCACCATTTGCATGGAAAACTGTGTGAATGGTAACCCTGAGGCTGAGCAATGTGCCAGCACAGTTCATATGGTTGTGTATGTATATGTATCCTTGACAGTAGACTGAAACTGTCTGTATGCTTGTGTTTAATATATATGACTTTATTGAGCTATAAAATTTATTATGTTTCTTTCTTTTTCACATGACATTATGTTTGTGCAAGCATTCTGCATTGGTATATGCAAATTTAGACCATTATTTTTTTACCTGCATGGTATTCTGTCTCTTTCTGTATTTCCTTAGTGAGTGATATCTAGGTCGTCACCAATTCCTTGCTATCTCAAACAAGGTGTCGATTAACACAGATAGAAATCGGTGGACATATGTGAGTGCTGAACTGCAGGATTGCTCTGCCAAATTGCTATACCCGGTTAGGCTCTTACTAGGAGTGAAGATTTCCATATTCCCCACAAGCACTTGATATTGATCAACCTTCTACTATTTGCAAATCTGTTTTAATTTGCATTTCTTTAAAATCTAGTAAAGTTAAGCTTCATCTGCTTATTATTCTTTAGGTCCCCCTTTTGTTAATTGCCTATGTTGTTATTGACCATTTTTCCTTTGGTTTCACTTTTCTGGCAGATTTTCAGAAGTTCCTTACATATTCTGAACATTACTTTCTTTTAACCTTAGAGCTAGTGTGAATATCTTCTATCTGTCCTCCATCTCTAACTGTGTCCCTGGTATCTGTTGTTGAAAATGTCTTTACTTTTAATGTAGTCAAATTTAGCATCCACCTCCCCTGTGGCTTGTGGTTTGGGGTTCTTGTTTAAGTAATGAAGTCACAAAAATATGGTTCTATATATTTTCTTCTACTAGCCTCATACTTTCTCTCTCTCTCTCTCTCTCTCTTTAGTTCTTTCTTCCTCTATCCCTCCTTTCTTCCTTCCCCCTTATTTCTTCTTCACAGATAAAGTGAAATACTTCTGTGGAAATAATCTTTATCTTATCAAGTTTTACCCTAAAGAATAGTTTAAATCCTGATTATCCTGAAATGTAGACTAAATTTTTGTATTTTTGGTAAAGACAGGGTTTTGCCATGTTGGCCAGGCTGGTCTCGAACTCCTGGCCTCAAGGGATCTGCCCGTTTTGGACTCTTACAGTGCTGGGATTACAAGCAAGAGCCACTGTGCCCAGCCTAACTTTCTTTTTCTTTTTTTCTTTTTTTGACAGTCTTGCTCTGTTGCCCAGGCTGGAGTGCAGTGGCATGATCTCGGCTCACTGCAAGCTCCACCTCCCAGGTTCATGGCATTCTCCTGCCTCAGCCTCCCAAGTAGCTGGGACTACAGGCGCCCGCCACCATGCCTGGCTAATTTTTTTGTATTTTTAGGAGAGACAGGGTTTCATTGTGTTAACCAGGACAGTCTCGATCTCCTGACCTTGTGATCCGCCTGCCTCGGCCTCCCCAAGTGCTGAGATTACAGGCGTGAGCCACCGTGCCCGGCCCCAGCCTAACTTTCTTACATTTTATTTTTATTTACCAGTGTTCAAAATAATGGGGTTGTCCACTAGCATTCTCCAAAGGTGACTAATAGTTCTTCTTGTTTGTTCATTTTTTTAGGATAATTATAAAATTTTAAATTTAAAGTATTTCATTTTTTTCAAACCATTGTGGTTATTAATATTACTGATGCTCCGTTTACCTATGTAACAAACTTGTACATCCTCTACAGGTTCCCTGGAGCTTAAAATAAAAGTTGAAGAAAAAAATGCTGATGCTCAAATTGTCCCCTCTTTAGCTACTGGGAGCCTTTTCAGGTCAGCTTCTGAATTCTTTTCACACAATTTTCATAGTCTTTGATAGCGTTCTTTGCTCTCTAGTAGGTCAAACTATTTCAGGCTCCTACTATTCATTTTCTGTGCCAGTCCTGCAATCAACCATCACTATAAGGAGTCCTGATTCCTTTTAGTGGGAAATGATATTTAGAAGCCACAATCTGGATGCTAGGGGTCTAGGTTAGTGATTGCTTTTAGGACTTTTCAGAGTCAACGTGTAGAAAATATGTTTTTGTTTTATTATTATTCTTTTGCTTGGTTTTTGTTTTGTTTTCTATTATTTTTAAAATTGTGGTGTAATATATATAACATAAAATTAATCATTTAAACAATTTTTAGGGATGGGCATGGTGGCTCACACCTGTAGTCCCAGCACTTTGGGAGGCCAAGGAGGGCAGGTTGTTTGAGCCTGGGAACTCAAGACCAGCCTGGGCAACATGGCGAAACCCTATCTCTACTAAAAATACAAAAAATTAGCTGGGTGTGGTTGTGCATGCCTGTAGTCCCAGTTACTTGGGAGGCTTAGGTGGGAGGATCGCTTGAGCCCAGGAGGCAGAGGTTGCAGTAACCTGAGATCATGCCACTGTGCTCCAGCCTGGGCAACAGAGTGAGATCTTGTCTTAAAATTTTTTTTAAGTGTACAGTTCATTGGCATTAAGTACATTCACAGTGCTTTGCAATCATCACCACTATCCATTTCCAGAAATTTTTCATCTCAAACAGAAACTCTGTATCCATTAAACAATAACTCCCAGTTCTTTCCTTCTCCCAGCCCCTGGTGACCTGTATTATCTTTGTAAAGAATGCCTATTTGAGCCATTTCACCATTTAGAATTGGGTTTTTGAGGGGGATGGGAATTGTTGAGTTGGAGTTCTTTATTTACTTTGGATATTAATTACTTATCAGATATGTTATTTGCAAATATTTTCTCTCATTCCATTGTTTGCCATTATTGAGTGTCTGTATTAGTCTGTTTTCATGCTGCCGATAAACACATACCCCAAACTGGGGAATTTATAAAGGAAACTTTAATTGACTCACAGTTCTACATGGCTGGGGAGCCCTCACAACCATGGCAGAAGAGCAAAGGTTGTCTTACGTGGTGGCAGGCAAGAAGAGAGCTTGTGCAGGGGAATTCCTCTATATAAAACCACCAGATCACATGAGACCTTTATTCACTATTATGAGAACGGCATCGGAAAGACCCACCCCTGTGATTCAATTACTTCCCACTAGATTCCTCCCATAATATGTGGGAATTGTGGGAGCTACAATTCAAGATGAGATTTGGGTTGGGGACACAGCCAAACCATATCAGGGTCTTTGATGCGCAAACAGTTTTAAAATTTTGATGAAGTCCAACTTATTTATTATTCTCTTTGTTGTCTGTGCTTTTGGTGTCATATCCAAGAAATCCTTACCAAATCCAACATCATAAAACGTTCTCCCTGGGTTTTCTTCCAAGCATTTTATAATTTTAACCCTTTTGTGTTTAGGTCTTTAATCCATTTTTAGTTAATTTTTGTAGATGGTAGAAGGTAAGATTTCAACTTTATTCTTTTGCATATGGATATTTAGTTTTCCCAGAACCATTTGTTGAAATTGTTATCCTTTCCCTATTAAATGGTCTTGGCACACTTGTCAAAAATTAATTGACCACACATGCAAAGGTTTATTTCTGAGTTCTCTGTTCTGTTCCATTTGTCTATACATCTTTCCTTAGTCTAGTTCCACAATGGTTTAATTGCTATAGATTTGTAGTAAAATTTGAAATCAGGAAATGTGAGTTTTCTGTATTTTATCCTTCTTTTAAAAAATCATTTTGGCTATTTTTTGGAAGTACCATATGACTTTTAGGATGAGTTTTTCTGTTTCTGCAAAAAAAAAAAAAAAAAAAAAAAAGCCAGTGGAATTTTGATAGGGATTGCAGTGAGTCTTTAGATACCTTTGGATTGTATTGTCATATTAAGAACATTGTCTTCTAATGAATGAACATGAGATGTCTTTCCATTTATTTATGTCTTCTTTAATTGCTTTCAGAAATGTTTTATAGTTTTCAGTGTCCAAGTCTTTTGCCTCATTGTTAGAATTATTCCTAAGTATTTTATTTTATTCTGTTTGATGTTATAGTAAATGGAATTTTTAAAAATTCCTTTTTAGATTGTTCATTGTTGATGTATAGAAATGCAACTGATTTTTTTTGCATTGATTTTTCATCCTGCAATGTTGCTGAATTTATTAGCTCACTTTTTTGTGTATGGAATCTTTAAAATTTTCTATGTGCAAGATTATGTCATTTGCAAACAGATATAATTTTACTTCCCCTTTTCAATTTAGACTCCTTTTATTTCATTTTCTTGCCTAATTTCTCTGCTTAAAAGTTTTAATACAATATTGCATAGAAGTAGTGAAAGTGGACATCCTTGTCTTGATTTTGATCTTCAGGAAAAAACTTTCAGTCTTTCACTATTGAATATAATGTTTGCTGTGGATTTTTCATATATAGCCTAAATCGTGTTGAAGATGTTTCCTTCTATTCCTAGTTACTGATTTAAAAAAACAAAAAACAAAAAACAAGAAAGGGTGTTTCATTTTGTCAACTGCTTTTTCTGCATAAATTGAGATGGTTATTATTATTTTTTCTTTTTTTAATTGTGGTGTATTACATTGATTTTCATACATTGAACCCTCCTTGCAAAACAGGAATAAATCCCACTTGGTCATGGTACATAATCTTTTTAATATACTGCCAAATTTGGTTAGTATTTTGTTGAGACTTTTATCTCAGTATTCATAAGAGATATTGGCCTGTCGTTTTCTATTTTCTAAGTGTCTGTCTGGTTTTGGTACCAGGATAATGTTGGTATAGAATGAGTTGGAAACTGTTACTTCTCCTTGAATTATTTTTAGAAGAGTTTGGGAAGAATTGGTATTAATTCTTCTTTAAATGTTTCATAGAATTCACCAGTGAATCCATCTGATCCAGGACTTTTCTTTATTGGGAGGCTTTTGATTACTGATTCAACTTCCTTACTGGTTATATAAGGTCTATCAAATTTTCCATGTCTTTATGATCTAATTTTGGTAAGTTGTGTGTTTCTAGAAAATCATCTATTTCATCTAGGTTATCCAATATGTTGGCATACAATTATTCATAATATTCTCTTATAATCCTTTTTGTTTCTATAAAACCTGTAATAATGTCCCCACATTTATTTATGATCTTAGTAATTTGAATCTTCAACCTTTTTTCCTTAGTCAATCCAGCTGATTTGTCAGTTTTGTTGATCTTTTGAAACAAGTACTTTTGGTTTTATTGATTTTTCTTTTTTGTCGCTCCATTCTCCATTTCATTTATCTGTGCTCTAATCTTTATTATTTCCTTCTTTCTGCTAGCTATGAGTTTAGTTTGCCTTTCTTTTTCTAGATCCTTAAGGTGTAAAGTTGAGTTATTGATTCGAGATCTTTTTAAAAAATATTTATGTTTAGAGCTATAACTCTTACTGTTAGCACTGCTTTCACTGAATCCCATTAGTTTTGATGTGCTGTTTTTTTGTTTGTTTTCATTTGTCTCAAGATTTTATAATTTCCTTTGTGATTTATTCTTTGATTTATTAGTTTTTTAAGGGCGATTTATTTAATTTCCACATATTTGTGAATTTCCCAGTTTTCGTTCTGTTACTGATTTTTCGCTCATTCCATTAGGATCAGAAACGATATTTTGTATGATTTCAACTTCTTAAATTTATTAAGACTTGTTTGTGGCCTAACATATGATCTGTCCTGGAGAATGTTCCATATGCACCTGAGAAAAATGTGTATTCAGCTGTAGTTGGGTGCAGTGTTCTGGATATATCTTTTAGGTGTAATTTGTTTATGGCATTGTTCAAGTTCTCTATTTCTTTATTTCTCTTCTGTCTTGTGTTCTATCTGTTATTGAAAGTGGCATATTGAAGTTTATTTCAACTATTATTGGAGAACTATTTATTTGATTCTGTCAGTGTTTGCTTCATATATTTTGGGGCTCTGATTTTGGTGCATATAGGTTTATAATTGTTATATTTTCTTGGTGAGTTTACCCCTTTATGAATAAACAATGTTTGTCTTTGTTTCTTGTAACAGTTTCTGACTAAAGGTTTATTTTGTCTAATGTTAGTATAACTACCCCAGCTCTCTTTTGGTTACTATTTGCATGAAGCATCTTTTCCCATCTTTTCACTTTCAACCTAGTTGTGTCTTTAGATTTAAAGTGAATTTCTATATTTTCTATTTGTTGTGACAACATCTTCATACTTTCCTTTAGCTTTTAAGATATGGCTTCCTTTGTTCTTTGGACAGCCCTAAAATAGCTGATTTAGTCTTGTTTAGTAAGTTCTGCTTTTGAGCTTCTTCATTGATGGTTTCTATTGGCTGCTTTTTTCCCCCATGAACAGGCCGTACTTTCTTATTTCTTTGCGTGTCTCATAATTTTTTGTTGAAAACAAGACTTTTAAAATAACATAACATTGCAACTCTGGAAATCAGATCCTTCTCTTCCTAGGGTTTGTTGTTGGTGCCATTTGTCTTTGTTGTTTTTTCTTTTTGTTATTTTTGTTTGTTTGTTTAGTAACTTTCTTGAACTAATTTTCTAAAGTCTTTATCCTTGTCATATGACCACTGAAATCTCTGCTCAGATAGCCTAGTGGTCATTAATGATTGGACAGAGATTTTCTGAAATGCCTGTAACTAATAAGCCTCTCAGCCTTTACTGAGGGGCTATGTGTGTGTATGTGTATGAGTTGGGATATGTTTTCACTATTGAGGGGCTCAGTTTACAACTCTGCTTTAGCTCCCACTTTCTACTTGCTTAGAGCCTAAAGGTCTGTCAGAGTGGGGAGCTTAGGACTTTCTCAGGTCTGTCCTGAGCATGTGCACATTCCTATGCGGGTGAAACCTTCTAGATTTCTAGAAATATTTTAGAGCTTTTCAAAGCCCCCATGGACTATCTCATTCACCAGCTTTTCCTTTTAACTAACTTGATCAGCTTCTTAGTTTTCCCAACTGCAATCACTGCTTCAAGCAGTTGTGATGTTAGATAATTGTCTGTAGTTGCTTTTGACAAATGTCCCCGAGGAAAAAGCTGTTTTGCATTGTGCGAGATCTGAGTCGGGTCAAATAAATACCAGCCAGGGAACTGCCAGACAGGTCAAATATTGGCAAATCTCAGAATGGTACTTTAGCCAGCTCCTAACACATTCTCTCCCTTCCAGTGGTTCCTGAGCTGCTGGTTTTCACTGTGATTATGGGGCTGCTAATTTTCACTGTGATTGTGGGGTTGCTGATTTTCACTGTGATTGTGGGGCTGTTGGTTTTCAAGGCTACTGTGGAGCTAGGGGCGGGGATGGTAAGAGGGCAAGTTAAAACGCTAGAAAGCATGTTGTTCTTACTAAGATTCTGTCATTTTTCTTTATTAAATGCTCTTTGGAGCCTTGTAAGCTTTTGGTTAATTTGAAAAAACTGGGAAAAGTTGATTTTGACAATTTTTTTGCCTGTATTCTTGTTGCTTTTATTGCCAAGTGGCTTTTTGGAGGTTCTCAGTCTGCCGCACTGACATCACTTGTCAAGATTGTTTTCTTCTTTGTTCCCTCTTTTATAGGATGCACAGAATTTTCTTTGGCTGACTTGAAAGTTGTACATTTAATTTTACTCTTCTGTTTCTCCAGACTTACTAAGAGCCATACTTATGCTTATTTTTCCTGACCAATCTATAATCTTATCGAATCTGTGTTTGCCTCCAGGCAAGACAAGACCCTTAACACACTACTCTCACTTCTCTGGTCTCTCTGTCTTTTCATTTTGGCATCATCTACAATTTTAGTTCTAGAAAATCTTATTTAACTAATAATAACCTTTCTCTGCCTATTTTACTGGGATTGAATTAAATGTATACATTATCTTGAGCAGAATTGGTATCTTTAGGATGCTGTATCATTCTATTCGAGAATAAGATAATACTGCAGTGTAACAAATCTCCCCCAAATTCAGTGTGTCTTAAAATAACAATAATTTATTCTCATGCATGCATCTGTGTGAGGCAGCTGGGGCTTAGTTAATCTAGGTTAATTTCAGCTGAACTTGGCTACAGTCTATGAGTTTTCTTTAGACCTGCTTCATGTATTTCTCGTCCTCCTTGAACCAGAGGCACAGAACTTTCCTAAAGCTCCCTTGGAGTTGTTACAGAGTGGTCAGGCTAAACTCTTCTTTTTTCCTCTGCTTCTGTGGGCCTTGGCTTTTTCAATCCAAGTCAATACACAAATATCACATGATGGCTATGCACCAGGCCTAAAGTTTGGGCCTGCAAAAGCAGAGATAAGTAAAACAGATAGCATTCCATCAGTAAAAATACTCTCTGAGACACTGATAGTAGGATTTTAAATGGATTCAATATCCTAGATTTATACTTTGTAGGTAACAGTTCTACTTTTAGGAATCTACAGAATATTTGCACAAGCAGTTAAGGATGTAAGTTAGTAATCTTCATTACAGCAATTTTTATAATAATTAAATATTAGAAATCGCCTCAATAGAAGACTAGTTATATAAGCTGTAATAATCATATTATTTTATGTTATATAGCTATTAAATAATGTGAATCTGCATTTCTGATGTAGAAGAACACCTATGATATGTTGTTAAATAAAAAAAAGCAAGTAAGTGGAAAGAGTATAAACTCATTACTTATTTTTGTAGCTCTAAAAATCACTATTTCTTAGCTCTGACCACTGTTAAGTTCTGGAATCAATGACCACCAAGTAGTAATGAGCACCCTAGCACCAATGCTGTGGCATTTAAATATTATTTTTCATTAATAGGGTAAGTGCCCTTTAAAATAATGGCTGATTTCAAATACAGGGCAGGACATGAATAAAATGGGTCTACTACACCTTACATACTAAAAAGCAAGAAAATGGTTAAAAACGTTGTGGTTATGTCTAAAGAACTCAGGGCCAACCTACCAGGCTCCCAATAGCTAAAGATGGGAAAAATTTAAGTTTCAGTGAGAATAAAACTGTAATGGACTCGTCAAAAATATAAAAATCCTGAGATTCACAATGATACCACAAAAAAGAAATTAACTCATTAACCAACTTCAGAGATTGCTAGAACACCAAGTTGTTTTTCTAGAAATCAGTAATAAAGAGAACATTTATTCTGTCTTTTCTGTACACACTGTGTTTCTAAGTCATCAAACAGTTGACGAAGGAAAGTCTTTACAAAAGAGTTTTAGCTAAGAAATACAGAAGGAATAATTGAATTAGAAAAGAACCCTTATGCAACTCCTAAAAAGTTGATCACTGATGGATGCTAAAGTGAGTAGATGTCAAGAAAAATTTATAGTGGATATATCAACTGACAAGATTGAAATCCAGGGATCATCCAGTCATGCTTGCCTCTTGGTATGATAAAATAGGAAGTATTCAGCCTTACCTATCAAATATTGCACACAAAATAATTGAATCTGAATCTAATCAAGAATCTAGTTCTATTGAGATTACAGGAAATTGTCAGACTAGAGAACGTGTGGAATGATATTCTGAGTATGTAATCAGCCAAATCCATACTGTGGGAAATTCTACAGAATTAAAACCTCATTTCTTTAGTAAATCAATTTTCTAAAAGAAGGAAGGGAAATGTAACTATTGTAACCATTATAGATGGAAAGAGTCTTAAGAGACATATCAATCATATGGACTTTGGATATTAATTCAAACAAACCTAAGGTAAGAGAAAAAACCCCACACATTTTAGGACAAAGAAAAGAAAGAACAGAATATTATAAAAGATTATTATTTTTAAATATGATAATGGTAAAATCTTCTTATTTTTAAAATATTTTACCTGTTAGAAATACATAGTAAAGTACTATGGTGAAATAATATGATGGCTGAGATTTACCTGAGATGTTTCAGGAAAAAATTGGAGGTAGTGGAGAAAGGATAAATATTAATAAAACAAAATGGGAAAACTGTTGCTATTTGTTGAAGCTTGTTGATGGGTACATGGGATTCATTATGCTCTTCTCTGCATTTGTTTATTGGTTTGATGATTTCTATAATAAAAAGTGAAAAAAGTAAAAGAGAAAAAGAAAACGAAAGTCAAGTTGTGGAACAATGTGTATAGTATGCTTTAATTTTTTTCTTTTTAAAGAACAGAGTAGAACAAAGCACTGTTATACTATTATCTGTGGTTATCTTTGGGAAATGGGACTGGGGAATGATGTAGGAAGCTTCTGTTTTTTATTTTATAAACTTTGATTTCATTTGAATTTTTAAATAAGTACATATAACTTAAGTAACTAAAAAAAAAGAGAAAGAATAAATAAGATGTCATAAGTAAGGTATGAACAAAGTACTATGGAAGCTTGTTTCCTGTGCCCTGGCTGAACATAGCTGCTGAAAGGAGGACCTGAGGTTGTGAGGGTGCATGGAACACTTGAAGTCAGTGGAGCAGCCTTACACGGACCCCACACCAACTCACCTGCCGTGCTGTGAGGAGGCCTCAGCGACATGACCCATGCTGTCTGGGAAAGGCAGTGATCGCAGTTCATTGTGTGACAGCTAAGCAGGCTTTACAGTAGAGTGAGTCCATGATTAGCTGCCTAAGGGAATGTATTAGATCTGCTCACTGTGTGTTAAAATACAAATTTGTATCATTCTGAACAAATCTCTTAATGGCTGAGTAGACTACTTTGTTATAAAGATGTTACCAGTTATTCGTTTTTTAACCATATCTTCCACGTCAGTGAGTTTCCTGTGTTGGTCCAGAGCTGGGAGGAGAGAGCACCTGAAGGGCATAGAGGGCCTGGATGACTTTGGCATCAGTTGGTTTAAACCGCTGGCTCCTGCAGAGGCTGTGGAGATTTCCCAGGGGGCTCACAAATCCATAGCCATGCCAGGCATAATCTAAGCATCATAAACCATCCTTCACTTTCATGTACTGCTAGTTTGTGAATTTTCTGTAGATGGCATTGCGATCAGTTGAAATCCTTACTGAAATTGGAAGATTTTAGGATCTTCTGCATCAACTACCATGACATGGGATGGGGGGTGTCTGGGCTCTAAACTATTTGATATTTGAAGAGATCTTCATATGGTAAGAAAATAGGGACCACTGGTGTGGAGTTATGAATTATTCTTAAACTGCTCTTCAGGGTTGAAGTTTGGGTGCCCTTTCTGTTTGTTTATAATAACATCCTAGGCATATTTCTGCCGTAATGTCCACTGAGACACCCAAGGCTTCTCCTTGCTCCCAGAGCAACTTACACAGAAATCCATTACAGTTTTTATAACAGTGATATATGATAGCTCAGTGTTATGTCTCCCCCACTAGTGGGGTGGGGCGGAAAATTTGGAGAGATGAGAACAGGGATTCATTTATTCAACAAACTCATGAAGCCACTGGCTGAGGACCTAGAGGCAGAGAGATGAACAAGATCCCTCACAGAGCTCGCTGAGTGACCATCCCGGTACAGTATGGGTAAGTGCTGTGGCTTTCCTAGGAAAACCAATGAGGCCTCTCACACAGATTGTGGAGGCCAGGGATGGTGGGAGCAGATGATGGCTAAATTGAGATTTGAATGACCAGTTGGAGTTTGCCAATGAAATGAGGGAGTGGGGGGCAATCTATATAGGAAAACTAGAAAGTGAAAAAGGGCAGAAGAAGAGATGATACAAGCCAAGCTGAGAGGTGGACAGTGTGGGGAGGGGAGGCTGGAGAGGTTGGTTGGGGCCAGACCATGATGGGTCCCCACCAAGGTGACATGATGAAGACTTGGGCCTTTAACTTGAGACAAATGAGAAGACACTGGAAACTTAAAGGCAGAAACCCTAAGATGAGCCAATTTGCCTGCTTGCGTGACTTGGGCAACAGTGTGTGTGCTGGCTTGTTGTGTGCAAAATGGAAGTGAAGACAGGAGTCAGGCAGCTGATTCCTGATGCAGGTAAGATTCAGGTGGGGGTCTGAATGAAGGCAAAAGTGGTTGGGATGGAGAGATGAGGACAGGCTCATGGGATGCCGCAGAGGAAGAATAGACTCAGCTTGGCACTGGTTTGGATGTGCAGAGGGAGGAGGAGGGAGGACTCAGATAATGACTGGATTTCCGGCTTCAGAAACAGGTGGCCATTCACTGAGATAAGGAATACAGGAGGAGGAGCAGGTTTGGGGGAAGACAGTGCAGGAACTCAAACTCTCTTTGGGTGATATTTTGTCTATTTTAGTATTTCTAAGAGATAGCTAGCTACCAGAATCATCAAGAAGGTGGATATCTCAAGCCACGGAGGAACATATAAATCTTCCTGCCTTTGGTTGCCAGGGGCAGTTTTTGAAATGTACATACCAGGACAGATGCCTTAACCTAGGTAGCACAGGACCACACACTCTTTGGAAAAGCAACAGTGAAGACAACCTTTGTGTTTTGAGGAAATGAAAGCAGTTTATTTCCTGAGGGGAAAAAGTGTCATTTAGAGACAATACTGCTCAGTAGAGTAGAAGATCAATGTGGCTAACATCAGCTTTTTAGTAAGACCTAAAAGTAATGCAACTGCTGGAAAAAGCTCTATGATTTGGTGGAACATTTAAGGTTTGATCCCAGTAGTTCAAATCCAGGCTTTTCCACTTACTAATTCTATGACCTTAGTCAAATTATTTAACCAGAGAGGTTAAGAATAATAAGTGCCTAAAACAGTTGCTGTGACAACAGAGATTAGTACATTTTAGTGTTGCAAACATATTATACTGAACTGGGCGATGCCAAGTGCCTTGTCCCATTTGTCCATTCTTTCATTCATAGAGTCACAAACACCTACTACAGGTATCTACTAGGTGACAGACACTCTGGCAGTCCCAGAGGACATCAAGTTTACTAAGACGTGGTCCTTCAGAGTCAAGCAAGGATGAAAAAAGAAAAAAAGCAGAGAACCCAGGAATCAGGTGGTCCATTTTAGAAGAGAGTTGAAAAGGACCTGAACTAGGGCATGGGAAAAACAGACATGTACGAGCTGTTTAGGAGCTAGCCTCATTCACATGTCATGATGAATCATTGGTATAGGGTGAGAGAGGAGTAGCCTAGAATGAATCTCAGTATTCCAGCTTGGGCATAGGGAAAGATACGGGTGGGGGCTCCTTAGATGGTGTGGAATAGGTCTTGGCCAGCAGTGGGGGTAAGAGGTGGTGAAGTTACTTTGGAAGATATTGAGTTGAGGTGTGTGTGTGTGGATATTATCTGAAGACAGGACGGGGCAGCCATGGACAGGGATTTAGCTGCTCAAAGAAATGTGTAGAGTGGGAAGGGAAGAAGACTGAAGATGGGGCTCTGGAGAAGACTGATATTTAAACAGTAGATAAAAGGAGAGGAATACACAAAGACTAAGAAAGAACAGAGAAGTAGGAAAAGAAGGAAAAGGTAACATTGTGAAAATGACCTTTGAGGGAGTGAGTTTCAAGACTAGATGGCCACCTGACCTCATCAGGTTTGGCAATGTATAAATATAACCTTGAAAAGAGTAGTGCGAGTAGATTGGTGGAAACCAAAGCCACATTCAGTGGCTTGAGGAGCAAGTGGGAAGTGGGAAGTTGGAGACAGCAAGGAATAAGAACTCATTTGAGAGGTTTGGTATGATGGGGTAAAGATACGACTGTAGTTGTAAAAGGATGAAGGTCCAAGGAAGAATGGCAGACAAGGGGGAGGGAGATCCGAGATGAGGCTGAAGAAGTAGGTGGGAGGCACAACATGCAGAGCCCAGGAGGCCACAGGAAGGAGTTTGGATTGTATTTGCAATGTCCTGATTATCAGGGAACAGATTTAAGCAGGTGAATGATGTGACCTGACCCCTCTGGCTGCTCAGTCAATGACAGAGGAAGGGAACAACCAGGGTTTGACTTTCTCAAGGTGGAGACGGTCCATAATGAGGCCCTGGCAGTGGGTGGCTGAAGAGGTCTGCTGAAGGTGAGGGTCACCGAAGCCAGAAGCCAAAGCTGTTAGGAGACCCAAAGGACCCACGGTGATGCCAGGAATTGGAATGGAGAGAGGAAAAGGTCTGGGGTGAGGGAACAGCGGGAGGTCAGTCAATGGAAGCAGGGTCGTGACTCGGGAAGGTTTGCACTGGGGCAGTGGCTAAGGACAAGGGGACAAATGACCCTGTAACTCTGAGCATGTTCCTCCTCTGTTCAGCATTCATCAAAACTCTCTATTACCCACTGGAGAATGCCCAAACATCTCAGCCCTGTCCTGCACAATACATCTTAACAGCCTCATCTCCCACTCCACTCTCCCCCAGACCCATTGAACCACTTGAGGTTTCCTGAACATGCTATGCTGTCCATACCACTCTCCGTTTGCACACAGCACTCCTCCCATCTGAAATATCTGTCTCTTCTTCCCTCCCTTGCAAGAACCCCTACTTATCCTTTATGATCTGTTCAAATATCACTCCTCTGTAAACCTTTTCTCAAGTGCCCCGGCCATTCAGGGAGCCAATATTTACTGAACACCTATCACATGCCAGGCTCTGAGCAAGGCACATATTTATCTACTCTCTCCCCTGTGCTGCTCCATGCAAACGTCCCAGGCCTGCCAGCGAGTGGTGTCTGGCCCTGTGCCAGAACTCCCAGACTTGGCTCAATAATCACTAAATGTGAGAACCAGTCTCCATTGGAATCTCATCAACAGGAAGGGCTGGGCAGGTTTCTTCTCATTTCCTTGCCTTAGCTCCCACCTCAGCAGCTTCTGTGGCTATAAACAACAAAGGACACCTAGTGTGGGAGCTTCCCTGGTCTGTGAAACAGTGTTCTTGATTCATGGGGACATTGTGATCAGCTTTTACTGCAGTGCATTTTCCATATTTTGACTTATGGATACCTCAGTGCATGGCCTATTTGTATCTGGGCACCAGATGATTTTTCCCCAAGAGTCATTTGCTTTGCTGTAAGCAGAATGGAAGTAACTGAGAGAATCTCTTTGGGGGATATTCCTCTTAGAGTAGAGACATATGTAAGGTGGCAAAAGCACTCAGTCAGGGGCTGATATTTAGTAAACAAATATTTCATGAGATGAGTGCTGGGCCAGGATATGAGCTAGGCACTGAAGGACAAAGATGAACTTGGTCCCAGCCCTCTGGAATGTCAGAGCTGCTGTTCAACCTGCAGTGGAGCTGTTTCCCTCACCCTCCTCTTGGCATTGACACTCTCACTCATCTTTCAGCTTCAGCCTAAGCCTCCCCTTCTCTGGAAAGTCTTCCATGGGGCCAGCAGCTATGACAAGTTGTCTATCCAATACCTTTTTCCCTTCTTCCTTATAAATAAACTCTGGTTATATGGTATATTTTGAGTAGTATTGTATATAGTTGATGAATTTCATTTCTCAATCTCCCTGTCATTGAAATGCAAGAAGTTGGGTGATGTTTCTGACAAAGTGCCTTAAAAGGAAATGATTCAGCTGAAAGGTGCCCCCTATTTGCCCTCACTCACTTACTCCCTTTTCATTTCTGGACCTCAGATGTGATACCTGGAGCTCTTGCAGACACCTTGAACCATAAGGCAATCTTGCCAATGTAAGACACACTAACAATGGCAGAGAAGAAATATAGAGGGTGCTTGATGATCTTGAAACTACTCTAAAAGTCCTGGACTGTCTACCTCTGGATTTCTCCATGTCAGAGAAACAAACAAACCTTATATTATGCCACCTTTATTTTTGTTGCCTGTCCTGTGCAATTAAACCTGATCCTAACCAAAACAACCCCTAGGCTGCTTTACTCCTTTATCCTGATTTTTTTTTTTGGTAGCCCTTACTACTATCTAACATTTTTATTGGTCTCTGTTGCCCATTAGAATATAAGCTCCATGAGAATAGTGATTTCTCATGACCTAGAATAGTGCCTGGCATGCAATACAACCTCATTAAAAAGTTGCAGCACTTGTTATTGTTATACACACCCAGCACATTTCTTCTGTACAGTCATCATACTAATCACACTTGCAACCACGCAGTTAACATCTGCCTTCCCCACCAGGCTGTATACATCATATTGACAGGGAATATATATACACACACATATATATATATACACACATACATATATATATACACACATATACACGCTATATATATATACACACATATATAGTGTCTATATATATATATACATACACACATATATAGTGTCTATATATATATACACACACATATATACTGTGTATATATATAGTGTGTGTGTATGTGTGTCTTGCTCTGTGTTGTATCATCAGCATCTAGCTTAATGCCATTACATAAAGAATCCATAGAAATGCTATAAGTGGAGAAAATATTAATTTGCTGAATTGTGGGCAGGAGGAGGTGGCTGAGGAGGTAAGGGTGGTCTGACAGCAGTCTCTGTGAGAGGAGCAGTCCAAGTGGGGGCGGGAGGTGAGAACTGGAATATGTCTTCCAGGGAGCTGGAGGAAAGAGGGTCTCTTGGGAGGATCCTGGGATGGAAACTGTCCAGGCTTCTGGAAAGAGGTGAAGTGAGAAAGATGGCAGCTACCTGATGAGATTGTTCCCTGCAACCAGTTCTCCATCTTAAATTACTAAATGCATGAAATTCCTGATCTTATTAGGTGAGTTGTTGAAAATATTGAAGACATGGGGTAATGGGTGCTGTGTGTTGTAACAGGAGCAGCGCATTTGAACACAGGAGAGGAAATGCAGATAAACAGGATGGCGTAGGCCATGGCAATCACAGAAATTCTGTGAGAGACTCCTGACTGCTGGAGTGTCTGAAATGAATGGTTATGGACAAGTAGACATCATTTCCCATTGTTATGGCTTGAATTGTGTCCCCCGGCCCCTGCAAAAAAAATGTCGAAGTACTAATCTTCAGTACCTCAGAATGTGACCTTATTTGGGAATAGGATCTTTACAGAGGTAGTTACCTTAAAAGAAAGTCATTGAGATGGGCCCTAACCCAGTGTGACCAATGTCCTTATAAAAGGGGAAATTTGTGGGAACAAATTGTGAGGACAGAAGAAAAAAATTTTTTAAAAAAGGGAAATTTGGAGACCAGGTGCAGTTGCTCATACCTGTAATCCCAGCACTCTGGGAGGCCGAGGCAGGTGGATCACTTGAGGTCAGCAGTTCAAGACCAGCCTGGCCAACATGGGGAAACCCTGTCTCTATAAAAATACAAAAATTAACTGGGAATGATGGTGGGTGCCTGTAATCCCAGCTACTCGGGAGGCTGAGGTGGGAGAATCACTTGAACCCAGGAGGCGGAGGTTGTAGTGAGCCAAAATTGCACCACTGCTACTCCAGCCTGGGCAACATAGTGAGACTCCATCTAAAAAAAATGTGGGCAAAGAGATAGGCACAGAGGAGAGATGATGTGAAGATGCACAGGGAGAGGACAGCTATGTGACAGGAGTAGTGTCTGCATAACCAAGGAACATCAGGAACTGCCAGCAGACAGCAAAGCCTGGGAGAGACAAGGCAGGATCCTCCCCTTGAGCTGTCAGAGCATGGCCCAGCGACACCTGGCCTCCGGAACTGTGAGACAATACATTTCTGTTGTTGTAATCCACCCAATTTGTGGTGCTTTGTTACGGCAGCCCTAGGGAGCTCATAGACCCATGAAGTATGTAGGCCCAGCTGACATCTGTTACAAAACTTAATTAAATTGAACTGAATTAGTGTTGCTTCCTTTTTAGTGGAATGATAGAAAGCTGTCCCAGGGCAATGGCAGCATAAAGTAAGTGGGCCTAACTCTGCCTAAGAATATCAGGTGGGTTTTACAGAGGGGGTGTCATGAAACAAAGTCTTAATGGCTAAGTAGATGGTCACTGAATAGGTAAAGAGAAAAGGAAGCCTGGGCTGAGGAAACAGACAGGAAAGGACATGGGAGGAAACAGGTCATAGGTGTGTTCAGAAAATGACTAGTGCTTTTTACGGTTGAGTGTAAGTTCCCTTCAGGGGAACAGCAGAGAAAACACTGCAGGGGACAGCTTGCTCAGGTTATGAAAAGCCCATATTTCTAGCTAAAGAGTTTGGATAGTGTCCTTCAGACAATACAGAGTGATTGAAGGATTTTAGGTATCAGAATTCTATTATTTCATCTGTGTTCTAGAATACCAACCAGTGGCAGAGTGGAGGATGGTCTGGAAGGATGGATTATAGTCAGGAGACTGATTGGTGAAATAGTCCAGTGTGATAATAATAATAATAATAGCTAATATTCAATTAGCATTTTATTGTCTATGTCTACATCTACTTTCTGATAGCCTTGTCAGTGCTCACCCAAAGCCTGAAAAATAACCATTAATGATAATTATCCAGGCCTTAGAGTTGGGAAAAGCAGACACCTGCAGTCTAGATAGACACATACATTTCACAGTGAGGACAAAAGGGTAGCAGGCAAGTGCATGGATTCTGGTGCAGACTGTCTCAGTCTAAATGGGGCAATTCCACTTCCTAGCTGGGTGACCTTGGACAAGTGATTTAACTCTGGTCTCAGCCTTTTGATTCATACATGAGGCTAAAGACAATAATTACTCCTTGGTTTGTTGCAAGGATAAGATGAGTGTGCAAAGTGAACAGAAAAATGCCTGTTGTATAACGTGCTATTTGACTGCTATTATTAAGAAGTGTTTTGAGAAGGCATTTCCAGGGATATAGAACCATAGATGATGGTATTACTCACTCCCCCTGGTGGGATTTGGAAAAGGAGAGGGGATGGGACCGAAAAGATGTATGGGAGCCTGCTGGGCAGCAAAGAGGAGGGAAGGCATTCCTGACACGGGGAACAGAGTGTGCAAAGGCATGGAGAAATGAAGAAATGAAGACAACTGCATTTTAAGGGAGGATGGAGAGTTTGAAGCATAGGGTTTGCCTGGAACAGGTCGTGATGTAAGTGTGATAGGCTGGGGCCAAAGCTGACGATCCTAGAGTTGAAGATGTGTGTAACAATATCAGATCTGTCCTGTGTTGGCCATGTGTGGAGGGAAGAGACAATGGGCAGAAAGACCTAGAAGGAGGTAAACAATGAATTGGGGCCAGAACTAGAATTATAAACAGGGTTTGTAAATATGAAGAGTAAGAAACAGATGTGAGCAGCATTTCTGATTTGGAATGGACCAAATTTGATGCCTGTATGTGGGAAGTGAGAAAATAAGAATTGAGGAGGAGTAAAAGATGACAGGTACCATTCATTTAGACAAATAATTCAGAGGGATGCCTAGACTTCAGCTGGGCTTTGCACATGCTGGATATAAGGCGCTTTTCAGACATCCACTTTGGTGGAGGAGTGCAGAAGACAGTTGCAAAAATCAGTTTGGAGTCTGGAAAGCCAAGTGGGAGCATGATGCTGACTGGGGACCCATCGGCATGTAAACACTGGCTGAAGCTGTGGAATTGGCAGAGCTTGTCTAGGAATGTGTACGATGAGAAGAGGAGACGGAGCAAACCTCCTGCAACAAGTCATGGTTTCTTAATTTGGCTCATTCAGCAAAATCTACATCCAGATTAACAATGTGGAACTCAGCAAATATTCTCTTTACTTTTAGCGCACTGAAGAATGAGCTGAAGATGAAATAAGTTTGAGTTTTGAATAGGAGTGGTTCAGGAACCAAGACCTGATATTAAAGGGAATGAATAGAAATGAATGATCATTATAATACATTTAATAACTTAATATACTTAATAACACCTGGCATTTATAGACCACTTTTCTCCAAAGGAACTGGAATCTCTCCCCAGACACTATGAATCTTTAGAGAAAGTTTGGGAGGTCTGTAAGAGGCAAGGGAGATCATATTAACTTGTGGCACGCAGAAAAAATGGGGCTCTCAGAAGACCAGGAAATTCTGTTTAAGAACAGAGCAAAGAGTGTTTTGTGACTGAACAACCATTGCTCTAAGCACCTTCCTTGTGGCCAACAGTCTGACCTACCTTCTTGTCTAGATCTGATAACACAATCTTGTGCACTTATGATGTTGCAAAATCCTCAATCTCAAATCCTGTCTCAAACCATCCCAAGTATATGGGCTTCATACATTCCAGAAGAGGACTCTATTGCAACAAGATATGCCCTAGTGCAGAAAGTAGAGTATTTAGAACCACACCCACCTGGGACAAGGGCCACAGCTGCTATTTACTAGCTGTGTGATGCTGGGCTATTTATTTTATGTCTCTGGGTCTCAGTTTCCCCAACCTCAAAGTGAAGATAACACTTCCTACTTCAGGGTTGTATGAAGTGCAGTCAAAAAACATTTATTGAGCTATGTGCCTAGCATTGTTTAAATTTCTTGGGTTATACTGGAAAACAAAACAGAGATCCTTACCCTTGGGCTCTTACCTTTCAAGGAGGTAAGAGGTGGGAGGGAAGGAAAGATGGATGGTAAACAATGAAATAATAGACCAAAGAATCTGCTGTGTTGGGAGACTATGTTAGAGTTCTGAGAAAAGGATAGATTGGGTATGTTTGTCACTGAGCACCCTGTCTAGCTAGCACATAGTAGGCATTCCCAGAATTGGTGCCACTATTATTGCAACTAAGGAAAGAGTGAATGAAGTGCCTGAGGCAGAATGATAGGCTGTAAATTTTTATGAAAATGTGTCTATCTCTTAAACTTCAATTAGGAGTAAGCAGAAAAGTTGCCAAGGAGGGATAACAGTAGAAGATTACAAAGTGAAAAAAAAGACCTGAAATGCTTTTAAGTAATGTGTAATCAGTTGCATCTATTCTAGTGACCACCAATTAAGCTGTCTCATGCAAGCTCACAGAGAAAATCACTTGCCCAAACAGGTAGACTATGAAACGCACATTATAAGACCTTCAGCATTAAACTCATGAGTTTCATTTTTTACCATAACTCAGGGAGCAGTTTAGAAAGTTAGCCTATTTTATTCTAACAAGCATCCTCTACAAGCGACCACTTAAAACCCATATATTTTTAGCTGTATTTTAATTAAAAAGTCGACATTATATCAATGACATTTTCTTTTCTTTTTTTTTGTTGAGATGGAGTCTAGCTCTGTCACCCAGGCTGGAGTGCAGTGGCACGATCTTGGCTCACTGCAACTTCTGCCTCCCAGGCTCAGGCCGTTCTCCTGCCTCAGTCTCTGGAGTGGCTGGGATTACAGGCGCATGCCACCACGCCTGGCTAATTTTTGTATTTTAGTAGAGACAGGGTTTCGCCAGGTTGCCCAGGCTGGTCTTGAACTCCTGACCTCAGGTGGTCCACCTACCTCAGCCTCCCAAAATGCTGGGATTATAGGGGTGAGCCACCGTGCCTGGCCAACATTTTCTACTACATTTCGTTCATGATGCCATCTTCAGTTGGCTTGAAGGGTCACCATCAAAGGTTTCGGTCGTTCATTTATTAGTTTGCCTAACAAACATTTATAAAGTTAATAATAAAAATGAAAGTTAAAAATTCTTCAACATAAACCCGTTACCATGTCAAATATTTATGTGCAATGCCAAATTTAATATTCTCAACAACCCTGAGAGGTGGATACCTTTTAGATAAGAAAAGTGAGGCTTAGAGAGATTAAGTAAGTTCACATGATCAAATAGGTTAAAAAAAAAAAAGGCAAAGTCAGGATTTAAACCCAAGTCTGACTGGCCACTGAGAACTCATAGTTGACTACTGTTATATATGACAGACCTCATGCTAAAGGGTAAGGTATGGTTATGGTCTTGGAGGACCTAGTTATTCAACAGGGAGACATACAAGTAAGCAAATAATTATGAGACAGTATGGCAAGTGCTAACCTAAACATACTAGGCATACTCTGGGAACCAAGAAAAAAAATATTTGCCTACTCAGATTGATTGCATTGGAGAAATGTTTCCAGAAGTGATTCTTAAGGTGGGTGTTGATGGATAAGTAGGAGTTTGTCTGAAAGCAAAGGGCGGGTCATGAAGGAAAGAGCATATTGAGCAAGTTTTCTCTGGCTCTAAAGCCCATGCTTTTACACACGATGCGAAACTACCTCCATACATCCCACGATTAGTCAGACGGTCACTGAATATTCTGTAGTACGCTCAGGTCTTTTAGGGAACCAAAAAGAAAAGAAAGAAATTACTCGAGTTAATATCTATAATCAACCCAGAGAATTCAGGTCTTACTCATGCATATTCTCCTTGTACATGTTTGCCCCCAAGGATTTTGAAATGAGTCACTTATCTGAACTCTGCCCAATGAGACAACCAGCTCTGACAGGCAGAGTTCACAGGGCACTGGGGACCTGGCTGTGTATCCCAGAAACTGATCACAGTGGGCTCTCACCCTGAAGCTCCTCAGTGAGTACCTGGTACACTCTAGACACAAAAAGTAAACGACAGGGAGCAGTTTAAGATAGGGTTGATGCAGCAATCTCAGAACAAGTGGTCAACGGGAACATGGTGAAATTGGTTTGGTTTTTGGACTTGTAGTTGTGTATGATAAGAGAAAGAATGATTTCAATGGCGACTGTGTAGCATTGTCCCGCTAAAAGGATAGCTTTGTAGGAAAGAGTTTTTCTGTTCTCTGAGAAATGAAAATGTGTTTGCATTTCTGTTGAATCATGGCAGAGATAGGCTCAGCTGTAGATATTCCTGTACTAAAGGCTATAATTACAATGGGAGCCCTTACATAATGCTTATTGCAATTGGGCTTGAGATTTGAAAGCTGAACAAGGGAAATATAACGTCTCACACAGAGGTAGGAACATGGTTGGTAGACAACGGTTATTTGCTAAATCAAATAACTAAAATATTAAGTATTAGAAAAGTCAAATGAATAGATAAATTTATTTGATTTTCCTTTGGTGTGGACATTTTAATTAAAAGTATGGGTTATTTATGATTCCAAAGAAAAAGAATCAAGCACTGAAGCAAGAGGAATAGCATGTACAGTGGCCCTGGGCAGGGGAACATATGAGGTCCCTAGGGAAATGCAAATATTCCAGAGTGGAGTGCAGGAGTGGAGGGGGAGATGGATTCCGCCACATTAGGCTGGAGAAGGTGAGAGGTCCAGACTCGTGATTAAGGAGTTGAGAACAATGGGAGTATTAACGCGTTTTAGGTAGAAATGATTTATGTCTTCAGAGGACTCCTCTGGATGCTATGTGAGAAAGGATTGCAGGGAGCAACAGTGAATTCCAGGACAGCTGGCCACAGAATTCCTGAAGGTTTCTCAGTAAGAGGGGGATGAACAAGGGGGTGGCAGGGACATGGGCAGATGGGACGGATTAGAGACTGGGCAAGTAAAACTGGCAAGGCTGGAGGGAAAGAGAGAAATCATCATCAACTCCTGGAATTTTCACTTGATCACCTGGGCAAGGGTGGTGGCACATCCGGAGATGGGAAAGAGCAGAAGCAGAAGGTGAGAACATCTGGAGGAGAGGATCAAGAGGTTGGTTTTGGACCTAGTAGGTTTTGGATTGCTGGGGTGACATCCAAATGGAGATTTCAGGCATAAAATATGGAGTATGGGGCCCATTGGAATGGTTTAGGGATACAAATTCAAAAGAGATCGCGTGTGTGTGTGTGTGTGTGTGTGTGTGTGTGTGAGATACTAAACAGAAATAGATCATAGGCTCCTACTATACAGCAATCTGTTTTCTTGGTCTAAAATATTTCTTGTGCACATTTCTTTGATAACCTATATAGAATTCCCTTATGTTTTAAATGGCTGAATGGTATTCCATTGTGTAGATATGCCATGTTTTAATTAAAAATTTTACATTATGAAATATTAGAAAAATAGATAAGTACAGGATGTATAACAGATATCCTTACACCTAACAGCTAGATTTAATAGATGTTAACATTTTCACTTATCAGTCTCGGTTCTCCTTATTTTGGGTTTAGAAAACTAATAGTTCAGATACAGGTAAACTCCTGCTCCCATCCCTCTCATTCTTTTTCTTCACCCCCCGCCCCTTATCCTTTTTCAGAGCTAACTAATTATCCTAAAGGTGGTGTGCATGTTTTCTGGGCATGGTTTCGTACTTTCCAATATGTGTTTGCTTCTGTAAGTAATATATAGTACAGTGTTACTTTAAAATTCACATACATGGCTTCATATAGTTACATATCCTCTTGTAATCCATTGTTTTCACTCAGTATTGTATTTATGATGTTTATCCATCTTTAAAAACAAAGTCCTCCAGGCTGGGCGTGGTGACTCACGCCTGTAATCCCAGCATTTTGGGAGGCCGAGGCGGGCGGATCACGAGGTCAGGAGATTGCGACCATCCTGGCTAACACGGTGAAACCCCGTCTCTACTAAAAATACAAAAAATTAGCCGGGCGTGGTGGCGGGAGCCTGTAGTCCCAGCTGCTCGGGAGGCTGAGGCAGGAGACTGGCGTGAACCCGGGAGGAGGAGCTTGCAGTGAGCCGAGATCGCGCCACTGCACTCCAGCCTGGGTGACAGAGCGAGACTCCGTCTCAAAAAAAAAAAGTCCTCTATTGATGGACACTGTAATTCTGTTTTTAATCTGCATATTCCAAAATAAATACAAGGTGGTTTAACATGGGTACAACCTCAGGGACATAATCCTGAAACTGCTCTTTAACCATGTGCCATCCATGAACAATGGCATGAAAATCACATGTTTATTTCCTGAGCCTAACACTGGAGCTCCAGTGTTGGATACTAATCAGAGACACCCGCAGCAGCTGCTGCAGGCTGAGCAGGTGTTATGTAATGAAATATTCTGGTAAGAATGCCCTAGAAGTTGCTTTGTCATCACATCAGCTCAGGACAGGAAAGAAGCTGTGGATTGAGACGCAGAGAATAGGGCCTAGGCTATTTCTTCTGGGATGGGAGTCAACAGAGCTGTTCCCTAGCATTGCCCTACTCTTAATCTTGGCCCTTTCGTATTTTCCTTAATTGCTCAACTCTGAAGCTGGCCAGCCAGCTCTTACACCAAACACTCACTCTATACCTGAGAGACTTTTTTTTTCTTCTCCTCTTCCTTCTTATTTCTTTTTCTTTTTAACGTACACCCAGCACCTCCCAGCTATAAAGAAAAACTGAATACTTTCAGTCTCAAACAAAGCTTTATAGATTTGTTGGCAGGAAATCTAGAGTGGAATTTGCTATTAAATCTTAGTAAAGCAATTCTTCAAACAACATGTACAGAACAATCAAACACTTTTAGATGTCAATCCCCAACAAAAGCATGCATTGTCCCTGAAGAACACCCAGTGGCCCTAACTTTCTTAGAGTGAGAAGAGTTTACAAAAATGTAACTTATTTCATATCTCAGGTTGTCTGCTGAATGGACTCTTCCACAATCCATCAAGAGTAAGGCTTCCTGATAGCACATTTCAGCTCAAGTAGCTCCATAATGGATGGGTTTTTCTCCTCTTAGGTAAAAACAGAAGCATTTTTACAAATTGAAAAGTAAGTTTGTAATGATGACAAAGTCAAGTAGCAGGTGTAGTATTGCTCGAATTTTCAAGCCTTCTGGAATATAATATTTAATATTTGTTGAGTACTTATCATGTATCAAGCACTGTTATCTCATTTAAGCCTCACAACAGCCCTTTGAGATAGATATTGTCACCATCTCCACTTTCCCCATAAGGGAACTGGGACCTCACAGAGCTAATGAAATGTTAAGGTCACAGAGCTTGTAAGAGAGGGCAGCAGGTTTTAAGTTCAAGGAGTAGGACTTCAAAGCCCATATTCCGAATTACTGTACTGATTTGATGAATTCTGAAAAAGCTTTCAACTTTTCAGCATGATAGGAAAAAGGACCAATGAATACTGAGTACCTACTAGGAGCCAATATTGCACACATGCTCTCTTATTTAAATCTCTCAACATGTTTATGAGGATAATGTTCTCTTCTCTAATTTATGTATGAGGGGGTGGAGTCTACAAGAAAGGTAATAGGTGGTTGGCTGACAAGCTGAACCCAGGTGCAGTAGGAAGAGCCAGACCATCCTATCTCCTGGAAAGGGATTGAGCACATAGAAGTTCCTTGATAATGCTTTAGGTTTTACAGGTCTTCTCTCATTCTTGCTCCATCTTTGTAATGTAAAAAATGTGCATGTGATTCAGTGGGAGAATGTCTGGCTCTTTGAAATTATAAATTTGTTTACATCAGAAAAGTATTAACTTATGACCCAAATGTAAGAGCCTGCAAGTAAATCAAAATGTCTTATTATGAAAGGTAATAAAAGAAGAGACAAGCTGGTGGAAAAGACCTTCTGTGACCTGAGGTTTTCTCCACTGCAACCATTCATAGCTTTTTCTGTCACCTCCATGCCATTGGAGGCACACGTGATGTGTATGGGCAGGATAGACGTTACACATATGAGCCTATGCAAAATGATCCTGCTCCCACCTGAACCCCACCCTCCTAAAAATGAAAACTTTTATTTCCCTTACTTTAGATATTCTTTAGAATTTTCTCACATATCCCCAAACATACACATTAGGAGGTCTCCTGATGGGTTATTTGATACACGAACCAAAGTTAGCAGCAAAACAAGAGACCGGGTGAAACTATGTGATTGGGTATGACGCAAGGGTGTGGGAGCTGCTGGCCTTTGATGTTGTGATGTCAGGCTCCAGTGCATGTTACGAGGGAGGCAAAATCCTCACCTTTGTTTTCTTTAGGCTCTAGAGCAGTTGTCAGGGGAACTGTGTTTTGATGAACTCAACCTGACTCCTGCTGAGGTTGGGGTGAACTCTCCTTTGGAGGAGGTCCCCAAGGTCACCACCATAGCCCTGCAGCATCCTCTGTCAACAAGCAAGGGGAGCCAATGTGTTATTGTTCTTTCAGTCTCCATGGCTGGCCTGGAATTCAGGAGGAGAAATGGGAAAGGAGGGGTGGAGGAGAAAAGGATTTGTTCCAGCTCTAGAGCTGGCTAGTAAACATCGCTAGAAATGCAAACAGAGGGAGTTTTTGCAATGAAGAGTGACTTCACTACTTTTAAAGGTATATGCAGTATATCCACATACAAATATTCAGAGATAGAAGCAGACCCTTAATGTCTGTCCTGCTGGGGACACAACGCCCTCAGCTGCATCCAAGCCCCTTCAGCTCCAAGAAGGGTACTTGGTGTCAGGTGACTCAGGACAGCCTCTTTTAAAGAATACAGAGCCCAGGAATACACTTGACATATATTCTCTGAGGTGTTAACACTGGCAGCGAGTTACACTCCACATTTTCATCTATCCCTCACACAATTGCTGAATACAAAATACTCTTGAATTCAAGCAGAGAAGTCTTGTTGAGGGCCTTGAGCAGACTGAAAGCAACAGAAAGGCAAGGCATTTGGACAGCACGTAAAAGCTGAGCTGACCCAATTCTAAAATTCTAATTTTGCCAAGTATAGATTTAAGCCTTCCCCTTTCCCATGTAGGTGCATGGTTATTTAACACACAGAAATTTTAAAGTAACCGCATTTAAGACCCTTTCACTCCTTGGGAGGCGAGAGTTTCTACTTTTTAAAATCTAACATACAGATTAAAAAATCCAATTCTATGGAATTAGGAAATCAGACTTTTCAGGATTCAAAGAGGACTCCACCTGGACATTGTTTGAAAAAACTCCGAATTCCCATAGGGAGAACTTAAGTGCCTTCCAGAAGTCCTGGGAGACTCCAGGCACCAAGCAAGACAATGTCTGGCCCCTGGGCTGTGTTTTATAAGTGTTTACAAAGCTGTGAACCTACAGAGAGGCAGATGCCATTCAAGGGGTAAGGCCAGGGCAGTTCACACTTTATTTCCATTATCCCAGAGAGTTCTCTCAAGGGCAGGAGGAGCATTTCTTATTTATCGCTCTATCTTCTCCTCAAGAGTGTCAGGTGCACAGTCAGATGCACGTAATTGTTTTCAAATGAATTAAAAAGTACTCTTAATTTGATTATTGTAATTTCACAAACACAGTTGCTGTACCCTAGAAAAGGACAGGGCAACCATCTGAGCCCACTGATCAATCTCAGCATCACTTGCTAAGATACTATTCACCTTACAAAGGAGGAAATGGGCTCAGAGTGGGACGCTCAGCACTGCTGCCTCTGCTGCAGTCCCTTGTGAAGCACACAGCACCACCTTGAAGAATCAGTGCCAAAATAACTGAAGCTGATCACATGTTTAAAGCCAACTTCTAGTTGACAGGAATTACAGGGGAGAGAGAACAAGTGCAATTTCACCATAAGGAACCAAATAAACTAACCCAAAATGTGGGACTTTCTACAGGACAATGGACCTGGTTCTAACCTAAGCATTGGCTTTAAAAAATAAGGGAGTGGCTTGAGAAACTACATTACCTAAAATGATTTAAGAGACATAACAACCAAATGCAGTGTGTGGATCTGAAATTGTGATTCAAACATGCCAACTGTTGAAAGGAAGGAAGGAAGGAAGGAAGGAAGGAGGAAGGAAGGAAGGAAAGAAAGAAGGAAAGGAAGAAAGGAAGGGAGGGGAGAAAAAAAAGTAAGCCAACTAGAGAAATTTGAATATGAATTTGGCATTAGGTGATACCAAGAGATTGTTACGTTTGTCTGATGTAAAAACAGTCCCATGGTTGTGTGAAAAAAAATGCCCATTTTAAAAAGATGCAAAGTCGAGAGTGAAATAATAGTAAATTAGGAAATTGCATTAAACATATATAGATGAAGACAAAATGGCAAAATCTTGCTAACTGTTGTATACATTGATTTAGTGTAAGTTTCTCTATTGGGTCACTATACAATTATACTAGTATAATTGTATGTTTACAATTTTTCACTATTAAAATTTTGAAAAGTTTTTAAAAACACAAAACATATATAGGCCAGGCGTGGTGGCTTATGCCTGTAATCTCAGCGCTTTGGGAGGCCGAGGCGGGTGGATCACCTGAGGTCAGGAGTTTGAGACCAGCCTGACCAACATGGTGAAACCCCATCTCTACTAAAAATGCAAATATTGGCCGGATGTGGTGGTGGGTGCCTATAATCCTGGCCACTCGGGAGGCTGAAGCAGGAGAATCACTTGAACCCAGGGGGCAGAGATTGCAGTGAGCCGAGGTCGTGCCACTTCACTTCAGCCTGGGTGAAAATGCAAAACTCTTTCTCAAAACAAACAAACAAACAAACAAACAAAAAACAGAATATATATAGCAAAGTGTTCAGTTTCTTGATCTCGCTACTCTCCTTTCTAGTTGCAGTAAAATTTAGGCACCTCAGCTCTACCATGCTTTTGCTATCATGCCAAAACTGGATGGTGAGTTCCACTTGCTCGGAGTGATAATTTGCTAGTCTTTAAGACTATCCTTTAATCTCTTGCCTTACATATTTTCAATCAGGTCTGAAAATAGTAAGAAGACTTTACATCTCCTAACCATGGTGCAAAGCATGGTCAGGTTTGGCCAGGGAGAGGTAGGAAGAAGGAGGGAGACTCTGTGGGAGGGAGCAGGCAGAAGGGCGAGCAGAATGCCAGGTTCCCTCCCCTCTGAAGCTGACAGAAGGTCCTCTAGGCAGTGTCCTGGAGGCTTGCTTAGAAGCTAGCCTCAGAGGGGAGAAATAATGGCAACAAAACTAAACCAAAAACAGCATGAGGTAGCTATAAGATAGTGAAAAGCCATTACTGTTGGAATGAGCTGTTGGGCCGGATGACTTAACCTCTCTCAGCTTCCGTTCCTTTCCCTGTCAAGCTGCGATGACAATACTCTCTTCCAGTGTAGCTGTGAGGAGTCGATGAGGTGACACTGGTGAAAATTCCCAGCACTGGGCTGGATACCTAACAGCTACTCAGTGAAGATAAATTGGATCTCAATTGAGAAAACAAATATTTATTAAGCAGGTATTATGTGTCAAGCATTATTATAGGTAGTATAGACGAAGAGCATGAAGATGAACAAAATAGGGTTATTGCCTTTAAGAAACTCTTATTTTTGTACATATTTGGGAGTGGTGGCAGAATGAGCAAGGATATGGAAATAAGCTAAAAAATGAACTAGCATTTGTTGAGACCCTGCTGCATGATAGTCATTCTGCTCTATGTTTTGCCTATGTTAGCTCACTTTATCCTCACAGGAACATGCCAAGGTATTGTTCACTTCACAGAGGAGGAAACAGGCTCAGAGAAGCTCACTACATTTGCCAAGATCAGGATATAAAGTCTCCTCAAACCCCCAAGCTACTCTCCCCCTCCCTACATTCTGGATCCTATGGATCCAAAAATGTGCAATAAAAATAAAATCCTAAGTTCCTTAACCTTCTAAGCAGACCCCCACTGGCCAAAGAGACCCCAGAAAAACTTTGAAAACTGTTCCTAACCGTGACAAGAAGGGAGGCCCATTGTGTCTCAATGCCTCTTTCCTTGCTAACCATTACCAGAATTTTTTTCCTAAGAGTTAAACAGAAGCCAGCCCTGGAAAAGAAAGAAGGGAAGACTCATCCCTCCACTGACTTCAACCAACCGCCTGACACCATGGCTAGATTCCCCTCCCTTTTTGCAATTTTGACATGACAGCTAACCAGCTAACAAAGTATTCCTTCCTGATCCGTGACCATCGAGTGGTTCTGGCCAGTTTACTGAGGGTGCACACGAACTGCCTTTGTGTCCTGTGTTTCTCCTTTTGACATACAGAGCCTAGTTTTACTGCATCTTAAGGTTGTCTCCACCCCTTAGTGAACATGGGACATATGTTACATGTGTGTTTGCTTATCGCACATGTGCCTACCCTCTTTCATGAATATTCATAGCTCTTCCTATAACCTGTTAAATCCGTGTGTTATTTAATAACATACATATTAATGAAACTCCTGCCCCAGCCATTCCTCTCTAGAAGTATCTGCTTTTGGTCTCAGCCAGACCCTGCTTCCCAGCCTGCAGATTGCAATCCTTCATAAGAAAGCTCTCCTTTCCAAATGTATAAATCTCATGATTTTAAGCAGACAGAAGCTAGCTGACTGGAACTTCCTCATTTTAGCACAGCCAAATAACAGATTCGTCTATACCAGCATCTATCCTGTTTCTTTCCTTCTGGCACTATAAAGGAAGTGTGCTTCTTGGTATCACTTGGATTCTGGATCCTGTAACTTTTCTTGGACCTTGCTGTGTGGATTATCTTCTCTCGACTCCTGCATGTCCAACCAAGACTTTTCCACTGAATCCTTCCCATCAGGCATTCGACTCTCTAGGTCTCCAATATTAGAAAAACCTCCAGCCCCACATGACTCTCCAGCTGTCATTCCATCACTCTTCTTCCCTTCACATGGAAGCTCCTTGAAAGAGTTGTCTACACCACAAAGGTATCCATCTCCTTCCTCACTTCCCGTTCCTCTGACCTAGTCCAATTTACTTCCTGTCTATACTTCTCCAATAAAATTGCTTTTGCCAAGGTCACAAATGGCCTTCATGCTTCCTGATCCATCATTTTGTGTATGTGTGTGTTTTATTTCTTTATTTTTTTAAAATTGCTTTTTACAGAGTAATGTTTTCCTGCTAAATGTTGTTGTTACCCAAATATTTAAATAAAGAACAAACTTTTAAAACCATCTTGATTGAGATATGTTACATACCGTAAGATTCACCCATTTAATGTGTACAATTCAGTGGCTTTTAGTCTATCACAGAATTGTGTAACCATCACCACAACCTAAGTTTAGAATATTTTTCTCACCTCCAACCCCAAACACTTACCCATTAACAATCACTCCCCTTGTCCCCTAGTCCTATGCAAGCACTAATCTACTTCCTGTCCCTATATATTTGCCTGTTCCGGACATGTCATATAAATTGAGTCACATAATGTGTGACACTTTGTGGCTGGTTTCTTTCACTTAGAGCATTAGGAAATCATGTTTTCAAGGGTCGTCCATGTTGTAGTGTGTGTCAGTACTTCATTCTTTTCTATGGCCAAATAATTCACACCCGTTGAATGGATATAGCATGTTTTGTTTATCTGGTCATCATTTGATGGACATTTGCCTATTATCCACCTTCAGCTTTTATGAGTAATGCTGTTATTAATATTCAGGTACAAGTTTTTGTGTGGATTTAGATTTTCACTTCTCTTGAGTATAGGTGTAGGAACAGAATTTCTGAGTCACATGGTAACTCTATGTTTACAATTTGAGGAACTACAAGACCGTTTGGCAAAATAGTACGGCTGCACCATTTTATTTTAAATTTTCTTTTTTTTTTTTTTGAGACGGAGTCTCACTCTGTCACCCCGGCTGGAGTGCAGTGGCATGATCTTGCAACCTGCGCCTCCCAGGTTCAAGCGATTCTCCTGCCTCAGCCGCCTGAGTAGCTAGGATTACAGGTGCCCGCCACCACGCCGGGCTAATTTTTGTATCTGTAGTAGAGACAGGGTTTCACCATGTTGGTGAGGCTGGTCTCGATCTCCTGACCTCGTGATCCACCCACCTTGGCCTCCCAAAGTGCTGGGATTACAGGCGTGAGCCACCGCGCCGGGCCGGCTGCATCATTTTAAATTACACCAGCAGTGTATGAGAGTTTCCGTTTCTGCACATCCTGCCTAACACTTGTTATTGTCTACCTTTGGTCTTTATCCACAGCTTTTCTTTGTCTTTTATAAAATTGACATATTTAAAGAATACAGCTGTTTTCCCGTTTGTGTTAATAGAATGGTCTTCATTTTAGATTTCTGATGTTTCTTCATGATTACATTCAGGTTGTACATTTCTGGCAAGAACGCTGCCTAGATGTGTCCTTCTCAGGGTATCACATCTGGTTGCTCATGACATCCATCTGTCCCTCTCGATGATATTGATTTCAATCACTCAGTTGAGGTGTTGTTCAATGTCTCCACTTTATAATGGCTATTTTTTTCCTTCCTTGCAACTAATTACTAGGCTGGTGCAAAAGTAATTGCATTTTTTGCTGTTATATCCTTTCAATGGCAAAAACCACAATTACTTTTTAAAATTATTTATTTATTTATTTTTTATTTTACTTTAAGTTCCAGGATACATGTGCAGAACGTGCAGGTTTGTTACATAGCTATACATGTGCCATGGTGGTTTGCTGCACCTATCAACTTGTCATCTAGGTTTTAAGCCCCACATGCATTAGGTATTTGTGCAAATGCTCTCCCTCCCCTCCTCCCACCCTCTGACAAGCTCCGGTGTGTGATGTTCCCCAACCTGTGTCCATGTGTTCTCCTTGTCCAACTCCCACTTATGAGTGAGAACACAAAAACCTCAATTACTTTTGCACCAACCTAATAACAGTCTCTGGGAAACAAAGATAGTTCAAAATATTCTGCTCCTAGTCAAAATTCCCCTCTAGATTTAGCTTTCATTTGATGGTCCTTGCCTAATTCTATCTTTACTATGATGTTTGTAAAGTGATCATTTTCCAGCTATAGCCCTTCCTGCACATTTATTAGCTGGTCCTTGGCAGTTGACTGTAAGCAAGAGCTCTCCCTTCTCCACTTATTTATTCATTATTGGTGAGGATTCATGAATTCCTGTTGTTGTTTTTTTTCCGATGAGTTGTAATTCATTACTATACTTAATGGATTTGGTTGGTGGGAGTCACTCTGACTCCTGCATCCTTGTGACATGTTCCAATCTTTCCCTCTCTTTGTCTCTCTCTCTCTTGTCCTTACTTCCTGACATAATAAGGTGTTCTAGGTTCATCTTGCCCCTACCCCACCTCAACTCTGGAACCAGCCATTTCTCTAAGGGTCTGGTTCCTTTTACTGGGGAATGGTATTAGATACCAAGATCTGGGCGCTAAGTGTGCTCATTGCTACTGGTGTGTTTTTGCTTTTTGATGCTTTCAGTAGACAGAGCTAGGAAATATATGCACTTAAAATATGTATATTCACACACATACACATGTTTTAGAAATCATGAGTTTATCTCCATTTCCACCCCCATTGGATTCTTTCTTGCTTTCTTCCAATTCATATTTGCATGCTCCTTCTTCCACAGTGAAACCCTAAACCTTAACAACATCAATATGCTGTTCACTCCTTTCTCAATCCTGTAATACATATACACTCATTTCAGAATTGTTTCACCTATTCCATTACAATAAACAAACTTACTAAAATAAATTCTGGATTTGTTTGTAATTCTTAAAATTCATAAAAGTGTTAGTGGTCAATAGTGAGAAATCTAAGAAAATACCCTGGAGACTCAGAAACCCTGATTAAAATCTGTTATAAGCCTAAAATCCAAGTTCAATCCTCAGTTCAGGGTTGACCTTTGGATATTTTCTTCCTAGGGTGGAAGGCAGTGGTAGTTTCCTGAGAGCAGCTTTAATTGAAGACACGTCTGCAATCCACTGTGTGATCCTAGAACTCGTTCAAATAGGCATTTACGCTCAATATATCTTGAGTTTGGTCTTGCTGGAGCATGCCACAGACAGCACAACCACCAGCCACATTTTATTAAGCTAGACTGCGCCAGACTGATCACAGTGGTGGATCTACCTGGCAATCCAAGGAACCATCTCCTCTTTCTCTCAGGCGAGACTGAACTCTGCTTACCTTCCTCTCTCTTCAAAAAATGCAATAGAAGTATCAAAAACTGTCTTAAACTGGGCCCAGACCAATCTGGTTATAAGCTTAATACTCCCTCACCCAAATTATTTCGTGATTCCTAGTTCACATTTTTTGATTCACCTTGTGTACTGCAAATCCCCCTATGTTTGTTGACTTCTAGTCTTGATGCCAGAAATGCTTAGCAATGAAGAAAGGACTTTGAGCTGTGAAACTGAAGAGGAGAATCTCCCAATCTGGATAAGAGATTGTTAATGAGATTGAATGTTCAGGAACATGATAAATTCCTTTCATGGGGCCTGATAAATTTCTCTCTTCTTTTCCCACTCATGTTAATGTATCAGTTGAGGGCTAGGCACAGAAGTCAAGCAGATGGGGCTCAACATATCTTTAGAGGGAGTACAGGGTACATGTTATGTTGCACTACCCAAGTCCCCTTTAGGAAATGAGGGAATCATTCTCCCAGCCGCAGGGAGTACTCCCAGAAGATCACCCTCAGCTGACAGCCGTCTCTGGGCTGGGGATTGTTTTGGCTGAAGAAAACTGTCTCATCCAGGGTCACACCTTCCAGAGGCAGCCTACATCCAGTGAGTCATTCAACTTGGAGGTATAAAGGTCCAGCCCACTCTCTCCAATTTGGGACATGTCTGTGGAGTTTCTGAGGCCTTTGCTGGGACTGCATTGCTTTGTTGGACTCTCCCTCTGACCAGTCTGCTTTCTTCTTCTCTCTTCCACAGGTATTAATCCCTAGAGAACTCTCTTACAAATTTCCTAAACGCTAATGTCAGAATTTGCCTTCCAAAGGATCCAGCCTAAGATGTGTCCAGTTCAGGAAAGTGTCCTGAAACATTACATTCAGCTGAGTTGTGGGCACTGAGAGAGAGAAACGCAAACAGAGAGTACTTATGATTCCAGGGATCAACTTAAGTGAAGACCCAGACGACTTAAAGACTCAACACCAAAACTTTGAAAACCTTGCCTGTCTCATCTGGGGCCTGACACAGTCTTTGTTGAATGAATTAATAATGATAGGTGAGCTTTTTCTATTTATTTCAGATTGCAGGTTGCATTTGTTTATTTGTTTACAACAAAAGTGCATGAACAAATCATACCAAGCAGGAATAATAATAGCTATCATTTATTGAGCTCTTACTTTGTGCCAAGCACTTTGTGTATACTGTCTTATTTATTTCTCATAATGATCCTGTGAGGCAGATACTATTGTTATTCTAATTTTATAGATAAGAAAACTGAGGTTTAACTAAGTTAAGATGCTTGCTACAGTCAAAGAGCCAGTGAAACTCTTGGCCACACATACTAGACTCCCTGGGGACAAAGAACCTCAAAGGAGCACCGCTGAGAGCTGCTGGAGCCCAGAGGGGGTTGCGCCCTCTCTGCCAGATGTCCATGGATGCCTGGCCCTTTGGATGGTTCTGCCTCATGCAGCTTGAGGCTAGGAGAGCTGAGACCAGGCTACGGTTTGGCTTCTGCCTCTTTATTTCGGGGAATGGCATGAAGATCAAAGTGCTCAGCTGCTGGTGAGAGAGCCATAGTTCCAAAGCTGTAGATAGTTGCCTCTGCTCAAATGAAGGGAAACTTGATAGACGAGTTTTTCCTGCCTTTGGCAAAGAAGGTGCCAGCACAAGGGTAATATTTAAAGATCACACAGGGATTTTTTTTTTTCCAGGAGATTGTGTATTGAAAAAGGGTGTGGGGTTGGCGAGGTGTAAGGGGAGGCCTTTAACAAAAAAAGAAGCTTGTACATAGGTTCCTTTGCTGGTGGGATTTTGTGCACAGAAGATGCAACATGCCTCTTGTTTTTTTCTGCTCATCAACTCAATCATCTGTTCCACCCATGTCTATTGGGTGCCTACTACATGTCAGGCACAGTTCAAGACACTGGGATGTAGCATTCTAGATTGTAGCTTTCATGGAGCTCATATGCTACTGCGGGGAGGATAGGCCTGCCTGTGCAGAGAGCTGGGTTGCAATCTTGTAGTATTTTCTCATGACAATATCGAGTGCTCAGAATTGCTAGCACTAAGCACATGGGTAAGCGCACAAGTGTAACAATGGGTTTCATCTACGTAAGCAGAGGGAATTACAGAACTAAGCAGGAAAGTCCATGGAGTGCACAAATGGGTGATTGTAAATCCCCTTGATGCATCTGGCAGGACACTTAACAGTGGGGTGCAGGAACGATTTAGAGTAAAACCTTATGAATAACGGGGATGGGGGAGCCAAGGCAGCCAGCCTAGAAGTTGTCCTATTCCCATCAGCAGTTAAAGAGGGCTATAAAGGCCATCTCTTTCAGCATGATGAAGAGCAGAGGTTTTCTAACCTTACTAGCTAGGTTTACTAGCAGCAGGCACTGGACCAAGTGGATTTTCACTGGAGGAGAAATACAGCCTACACATTACATTTGTTGTGCAATTAGAAACAAGAACAGTAAAGGTCAGAGTTAGGAAGATGAAGACTTTGCAGGAGGAAGGACCGAGAGAGCTCACTGACTATTACTGCTTCAGACCTGATACAATGACAGGATGTGCCCTGTGAAGGATCCTGGTGGCACGTGACCCAGCACAGCATGCAGGAGATCCATGGATGAATCACAAGGATAACTGAAGAAGAGATTGCAGAACAGATTCAGGGAAGAGAATGTCAAAGGCCTTTTGTCTTGTCCTAGTGGAAAGGGGCAGGTAGTGAACCCCAGGCCCATGTGGTTGTTTTCATTGTGTACTATTTTTTCCCTACAATAAGTATATTTATGCTTCACAGTTTGAAACATGTGTATGGGTCATCATATATTGTGGACTCTTTATTTTTAAACAAGTCTTTTTGCTGACATGCCTATAAGTATTGACCAGGAGGGGACGTGAGTGGGCATATCCCCTCTCCATGGAAGTTGCCTGGTGCCCACCATGGGCAGACTAGCTGAGCTACCACTTAGAGGGCGGGTCTGACCAAGAGTTAGGAATCCACCATCGTGGTTCGCTCTTTGAATTTCCTCCTGTGTTTTCTACAGTTGTGAAAGCTGCAGTCAGCCCTATCTGTGGGAACTTTAAGAAAGTGACCCATCCGACCCTGCAGCAACTTTCTGCCTGGTTTTTCTAAACTGCTAAGATTTTTGACAAGTGATTTCATGGTCCTTTTATTCCTGTGTGTCAGATGCACAGTATTTACTTTGTACTATGATTTGGATATGCAGAGAAAACATACTTTACTTTTTCTCCACCTAATATAACCTTCCTTTAAAGTCCTCACCCAGCTGGTTAGCAAAGAGAAATTTTGTGTTCAAATTAAGGCTTAAATCAATATTAAAACCAATATTAAAGTATATTTAGATTAATCTCTTTTGGACAAATGGCTCAATCTTTCAGATAATATTCTTCTTCCTTCTGGTATATTCTCATCTGGTGTGTCCAGATATACGTGTGAGGGGTGGTGGTGGTTTCTGCAACCTCACGAGGGCCATGGGGAAGATTTAGGGTCTTTGTGCCTGTGCCCTGTGCTTCCTCTGGCCTCTGAAGAAGTGTAACACATGATCTGGCCCCTCTCAGCTGGATCAGAGCCTGGGAGCACCCTCTGGCTGACTCATCCCGACCTTGGCTCTCTCTGGCATCAGACAACTCTGATGAGATTCCCATTTGGCTTTGGCTTGGCTGCTCCATTCAGTGGCCCTGGGTGCTCAGATCCTCCACCCTTGTCATGTCAAGAACTCCTTTGCTGGACTCTTGGGTTCTCCTTCACTGGAAGCAAAGGCAACTCAGCAAAGGGAGCCTTGGAGTCTGCCTCTGCTTTACTGTGCTGGAGCTACCAGGGAGAGGCATCTGTCTGTCAGCTCAGTGTAGGCACCTGGGAATTAGCTTCCTCCTCTTCATCTTTACTGGGTTGCAGAATAGAACCTCTGCGCTTCTTTGAGTTCTCAGATTTATCTAACACATCCGCCCTCAGTCAGCCAGGAGGTAGCGGATGAGGGCAACAGCCTTGCTCTCCTGCCTCCCCTGTGTTCCTTCTATCTCCTGCTATTCCTGGACAGATTGAATGTGGTGGTAGGGAGGTGCTGAAGGGAAAGGAGGTGTCAAGCGTGGCTCTCAAGCTTGTGCTTGGTCCAGTCAGATGGATGGTGGTGCCATTTGCCAAGGTAGAGAACTCTGGAAGAGAACAAATATGAGAAGGTAGATTATGAGTTTATGTTTTTAACATGAAGTGTTGTTGAATAAATGGATACACTAGAAAATAAAAACCTTGAGAAAAACAAACATGTAGGCCTACACACACACACACACCATTTGCTTCCAAGAAGAGTTCTGTGCGCTTACATCTTACTCTTAGAAACACCATCTACTGTTGTAGCATTATGGATTTTTACCTCCTTCTGCTGTACTGGAATCAGCCTCCATGACCTACATGATAAACACATTGAAAAGCTTTAGCACAGAAAGATGTGAAAAGAAACCCAGGGCATCTAGTGAGAACGGGCCCACACACTGTACAGGAAGTGATTAACCAACACCCAGCAGCCACACCAGCCTCAGATGGTATCATTCACTAATCAGAGATTGAAGAAACCCCAGAGGTGATGATGGTAAGTTTGGGAGGTGAAGGTGGTGGGGGAGCTGCGAGATGGAAGGCAGAAGATTAATTTAAAACTGAGAAAGAGTTTTCACCAGAAAACAACTTTGCTAAAAAGAATCTGCTGACAAGCCTAAGCCAATCTTTTAATTCAATCTAAATTCATCAGCTGAATGTGGTCTCTTACAATTATGCTCCACTCTGCCACTAGCTAGGACTACCTCCTGCATGACCCCTTTGAAATGTTGATTTTCCCACACATATGTTCATTCCCCTTGACTCAATGAGTCTAAACTTTGGACTTGATTCTAAGGAATGTATCCAACAATAGGAAGAAGCTGTAGGCATAATGTTCATTGGCACAGTCTCTATGATATAAGAACGCCCTTCATGTTAGGAATGTGCATCCACTTCATGAAGAACATTAACTGTGATCATTAGGAAAGCTATCCTGCAGCATGGAAAAATGCTTGGATATTCCCTTTATTGAAATGCCACCATGTGGAAGCACTATGCCACATTTAGATGCAAAACTATAAATGGATACACAAGGGAATAACAACCCTAGTGCATCTATTTGTTAAGTGATTGGATTCCCTGGTATATCAGTTTATTCAGATGAAGATGAACCATAGAGATGATAAGTCCCTTTAAAAGGTTACACATTATAAGAGAACTGAGATTTGAACCCAAGTTTGTCTTTCTATAAAGCCCATGATGTATTCAGACATTCAGTCAACAAATATTTATTGTCTTTACTATGTGCCAAAAATTGTTCTAGGCCATGCACTTTGGATGATATTATATTCCCTGGAAAGAAAAGTAAAAATGCAGCTTTTCATATTCAAATGCAATTTTTTTTTTTTTTAGACAGGGTCTTGTTCTGTCTTCCAGGCTGCAGTACAAGAGTACAGTGTCATAGTCATGGATCGCTGCAGTCTTGACCTCCTGGGCTCAAGAAATTCTCCCACCTTGGCCTCCAAAGTTGCAAGGACTGCAGGAGCATACCACTATGCCTGACTAATTTTTTAAAAAAATTTGTAGAGATGGTGTCTCAGTATGTTTCCCAGGCTGGTCTCGAACTCCTGGGCTCAAGCCAGCCTTCTGCCTCAGCCTCCCAAAGGACTGAGATTATAGGCATGAGCCACTGCACCTGAAAATCATACAACTTCTTATCAGAGGATGGCAACAAGAAGAGCAAGACTTAAATGTTTTAGATGTATTTTACAGTTTTTAGAAATTCAGTCTTGTCTACTCACCATCTGCTCATACCCTACCCATCTTCAAGATTTCTCTCAAACTCCCTTCCCCATCTCCTCTAGCTCCACCTGGCCTCTTTCTTTCCTAACTCCCTTTGCCACACAACACACACCTTATTAGAGCTTGCTGAGTACTGATTGCCAGTGCTAGATAGCTACTCTGAGTACTGATTGCCAGCGCTAGATATCTACTCTTAGGTATACATTTTGGTATACACTGTCTTGCTCTTCATACATATATATATATATGTATGTATTTTTCTTTCTTTCTTTTCTTTCCAACAAGGCTATAAGCACTGCCCCAATCAATTGAGAGTTGTTAAGGCTGGAACTTCTCTTAGTAATAAACTTCACAGTGGTATTGCCTTACCAAAAAATCTCTATATTCAAACTAGAAAATGTGCAACTTTTTAACATTCTTCAACCCAGCAGCTTCAAGCCCACAGAGACTTGAAAATCAACAAAGGCACTTTAAAATATCTCATTTAATTATTTCAACAACCTATGTATACCTATGTAATGAGCTATAATAACAACCCTCAACTCTCAGTGACTTATTTCTTGCCAATGCTGCATGTAATATTTAGGTCAATGGGGGCTTTGTTCCATATCATGCCCACTCAGAGACCCAGGTGATAGAGACTTTACTATCTGAAACATTCCCAGTGTCTAGGGTAAGAGGAAGAAGTGGTGATATAATTAAAGTCTTCCATAGTTCATTGGTGAAAGCAAATTAGATGGCCATACCCGAAATCAAGGAAGAATGGAAGTGTAATTCCACCAATTACTCAAAGAAGAAGAACCAGAAATATTCAGTGAAGAGCATTAATGAGTACCACAATATTATTGTTATTATTGTTCTTTCTCTCTTTTTACTTTGTAAACACAATTAAACCTCACGTAGGTTAAGTAACTTGTCCAAGGTCAAATATTTAACCACAGTATTAGTCAACTTGGGTTGCCTAATACAAATAATATAATATAATTATATAATAGTAACATATAATACAATTATATAACAATTATATTATATATATAAATAACAAAATACCACAGACTAGGTGGTTTAAAAAACAGGCATTTATTTTCTGGAAGACCAAGATCAAGGTATGAGAAAGGTTGGGCTCTGGTGAGGCCTCTCTTTTTTGCTTGCAGAAAGCTGGCTTCTTACTGGGTCCTCACATGGCCTTTCCTTTGTATGTGTGCATGTCCAGGGAGTTGTGGGGAGAGAGGTCTCTGCGTCTCTTCCTCTTCTTTATAAGGACTTCAGTTTTATTGGATCAGCGCCCCATCCTTATGACCTCATTTAACCTTAATTATCTTTTTAAAGGCCTTATTTCCAAATACAGTCACATTGGAAGTAAGGGCTTCAAAGCATGAATTTGGGGAGGGACATAATTCAGTCCATAACACCATAGAAAAGCCATGATTTGAACTGAGGTCTGTCTTATAGTTGAGTCTATGCTGCTTCTGCTCTACCACACTGTTTCTGCTTTCCAGGAAAGATGTACTGCGTACTCCTCAGGTTCTGGCCAACCTAAGTTATTATTCCCAGTGGGGCTTTTTGTTCACTAATCTCAATCTCTGATTCAGTTCATGTGTACCCTTTCCAGATATTATGCCTATTTGCCTTTCTATTAGCCTATTTATTGTTCATTTCTTATTTCTAAAAGACCCTACTATGTTTTCTTCAAAATAGTATGTATTGGTAATACCAAGATCAATAATTCATAATTATAGGCTTTAAGGGTCCCATCTTCTAGAGGAGCAGCCAGTAAAACTAGCAAATAATTCCAAAAGCAATGTAATAAGCACTATAATTATGTTCTGTCTAGTCAGTTTTTGAAAACAGGTATCTCCCAAATTTTTGTATTCTACTCATCTGACAAAGGGCTAATATCCAGAATCTACAGAGAACTCTAACAAATTTACAAGAAAAAAACTACCCCATCAGAAAGTGGGCGAAGGATATGAACAGACACTTCTCAAAAGAAGACATTTATGCAGCCAACAGACACATCAAAAAATGCTCATCATCACTGACCATCAGAGAAATGCAAATCAAAACCTCAATGAGATACTATCTCACACCAGTTAGAATGACAATCATTAAAAAGTCAGGAAACAACAGGTGCTGGAGAGGATGTGGAGAAATAGAAACACTTTTACACTGTTGGTGGGACTGTAAACTAGTTCAACCATTGTGGAAGACAGTGTGGCGATTCCTCAAGGATCTAGAACTAGAAATACCATTTGACCCAGCCATCCCATTACTGGGTATATACCCAAAGGATTATAAATCATGCTGCTATAAAGACACATGCACACGTATGTTTATTGCGGCACTATTCACAATAGCAAAGACTTGGAACCAACCCAAATGTCCAACAATGACAGACTGGATTAAGAAAATGTGGCACATATACACCATGGAATACTATGCAGCCATAAAAAATGATGAGTTCATGTCCTTTGTAGGGACATGGATGAAGCTAGAAACCATCATTCTCAGCAAACTATTGCAAGGACAAAAAACCAAACACCTCATGTTCTCACTCATAGGTGGGAATTGAACAATGAGAACACTTGGACACAGGAAGGGGAACATCACACACTGAGGCCTGTTGTGGGGTGGGGGAAGGGGGGAGGGATAGCATTAGGAGATATACCTAATGTAAATGACGAGTTAATGGGTGCAGCACACCAACATGGCACATGTATACATATGTAACAAACCTGCACGTTGTGCACATGTATGCTAGAACTTAAAGTATATATAAAAAAAAGAAAAGTAAAAAAAGAATGAAAAGACAAGCCACAGACTGGGAGAAAATATTTACACACATATATATATACACATGCATATACACATATATATGTGTATATATATATTTATACACATTTATATTTTTATATATTATATATCACATGCATATATATATATTTTAAAATATAAATATAATATATAGAATATAAATATATGTGAATATATATTTTTATAATATATAATATATATTTATATTATAAAAAAATATAAACACACATATATGTTAATAGATTTGTATCTACAACTGTCAAAACTTAATAATAAAAAAACAGTTTTTTACAAGGTAAGAAATTATAACAGATGCTTCACCAAAAAATACGTGTAGTGACAAACAAGCACATGAAAAAATTCATTGAACATCTTAGGAAAATGCAAATTAAAACCATAATGAGATAACACTACATACCTATTAAAATGGCTAAAACAGGCCAGGCATAGTGGTTCATGCCTGCAATCCCAGCATTTTGGGAGGCGGAGGCAGGAGCATCACTTGAGGTCAGGAGCTCGAGACCAGCCTGACTAACATGGTGAAACCCTGTCTATACTAAAAATGCAAACATTATCTGGGCATGGTCGTGGGCGCCTTTAATCACAGCTACTCAGGAGGCTAAGGTAGGAGAACCGCTTGAACCCAGGAGCAAAGTTTGAAGTGAGCCAAGATCGTGGCACTGCTGCACTACAGCCTGGATGACAGAGACTCTGTCTCAAAAAAAAAAAAAAAAAAAAAAAGCCTAAAACATAAACAAAAAAACAAAAAACCTGACCTTAATAAATGTTGGTTTGGTGGAAATATAAAATGGCAGGAACATCTCCTACATGATTCAGACATGCCAGTACTAAGTCTTTACCCAGGAGAAATAAAAGCATGTGTTCCTATAGAGACTTATATGCACGTTTGTAACAGCTTTATTTGCAACAGTCCTGAACAAGAAATAGCCCCAAAGCCCACCAACTGGTAAACAGATAAACAAACCATGTTCTATTCATACAATGGAATACTACTACTCAAGACTAAAAAAAAAAAATCAATCTACAACATGGAGAAAGCTCAAAATAGTTATACTTAGTGAAAGGAGATAGACAAAGTGCATACCTTTTATTTCACTTATATTAAACTATAGGAAATACAAACTAATGTACAGTGATGGAAAACTTATCAGCTTATCAGTGGTTGCTTGGGGATCTGGGAAAAGATGCATGGAGAAGGGCGGGAAGGAGGGATTAACAAAAGGTAACTGGAAACAAACCTTTGAGTAATGTTTATTTTTATTATCTTTATTTTGATGATGGTTTCCCAGGTGTATATTTATGTCAAAAAAGTCATACACTTTAAATATGTGCAGTTTAGAGTATGTCAGTTATACTTTATAAAGCTATTATGAAACAATGGAGAAAAATAAGTCCTATTAATTATCTTAATTGTTCTTCCCCAAAGCATTTGCAGCCTAATTATTTAGCCCACTACTAAGTGGTCGGTGGGTTAAAGAAAGAAGACATTTATTTCATTCAAATGCTTGCAATCCAGTTTTGGCCAGAGGTGCAATGGATAGATGAGGATGTATACACACAAAACAATGCATCATTATCTAAAGCACTGTACTGATCACTTGTGACATGCTGAGGTAACAATTTATTTTTACAATTGAAGTTAAGATTTATTCTCATATGGAATTATAAAATCGCTGCTATTTTCTGACAGCCAACAATTGTCTGATTGTTCTAGCGTGTCTTTGAAAGGAGGCATCATTCTTTAGCTAAGTAGCTGTGGAACCTGTATGTAGCTTTCCTCCATCAGTTAACCAATTTCTTTACCATCTACTGTGCTCCAGACAGAGTGATGGGCATCAGAGTCACGGCGATGAGCAGAAAAAGCTAGAGTTCTTCCCTTCTTGGAGCTTGCAATGTCAGGACTCCAAGTTATTGAGAGGCTAGCAAGTCATAAGTCCCCTGGGACCCTGTGGAATACCTAGGCTGAAGGTATGATGTAAGGAGAAGGTTAGATTAGATCAGATCAGTGTTTTTCAAACTGTAGATTGCAACCCATTAGTGGGTTGTGAAGTCAGTATAGTGGGTTGTCAGTGAAGACCAGCATTTAATAAATAAATAAATGGAATACAGTATATTAGAGTACATTACATACATTAAGAACAAGTGAGATATTTCAATCGTGTGTGTGTATACTAAATTGTGAAATAAAGTAAATTTCTTACTATAGATTATGATCAAAAAAGTTTGTAATACTGGCTAAATGAATCACTAGAGCCCTCAGCTCTACTGTTTTAAAGAATTCTGATAATGATTCACCCCTTTTAAGTAGCTGGGGATTATATTTGGAACCATTATTTCTTTCATTGATTTGGTCCCAAATTTTCCTAACTTGGATTCAGCATTGGTCTTTTAGTGTCTATTTCTACTTTAATTTAACAATGTGAACTTCTTAAGGTTAATTCTTGTGTTTTATTTGTCTTTTTTTAAAAAAATATTTTTTGTGTGTAACCCAGAACTTTGCACACAGAAAGTTTTCAATAAATAATGGATTTTATTTTTAAGAAGTACTTTTGTTTAAGTCTTCAAGTACATATCAAGTGCCTACTATGTGCAGGACAAATACCTTCTGCTGTGCTAGGCGTGAGAAGTACTATGAACATAAATAACTGAGCTAACCTTTATTTGTACCTCTTCAACTGTACTTTCCAAATATTCAGAGATTGTTCAGAATGAAAGTCCAGTCAGCCTCCTGGGCCACACAGCACAGCTGTTGTACCAGTGCCACGTATTCATGGTTAGGTATACTATGGCCTATACCGAGCAACTGGGCAGTGTCTGTCGTTTTGGCAAGAGAAACCCCTGCCCTCACCACCACCCATCCTCCTTGGCCTCCTGAAGGAGTAACAGCTCCCGTTTCCTTTTGTGCCTTGTTCCTTGACTCACCTTAGAATCCTCACCTGGAGTCCCATCCTGATTTATCTCCATAGACCTCTGCAAACTAACAATGCCCTTCCTTAGCCTCTCTGGCTGCCACCAGTGGAAATCAAGAGAGTGTCCTACAGCATTCTCAGTGGGATGCCCTCCTCCCACCTCTACACTGCCATCAACAGGAGTCCAGAGCACAATCGTGAGCTCTACGTGCCCCTGAAACCCCCCTTCTCCCTACCCTGGTTTATTTCCAACACTTCTATTTTATCGCCATTGTCTGCCTTGAGACCATCTCAACAAATCTCATTCGTCCGTTTATATCAGTCACCACAAGAGACCCAATGCTCCAGGTGACTCTCATCTCCACGTGGCTCCAATGTTATGTTACTGATGAGGCCTTCCTAACTTCACTAATTAAAAATGCAACCCACCCCTCTACAACCCTCCACACCTCCTGGGCCTTCTCTCTATTTTATTTTTCCCCATAGCACTTACCATTATTGAGCATACTATGTATTACTTGTTTTATTGTCTTTTCCACTAGACTAGAAGCTGCATGAAGGCAGGAAGTTTGGTCTGCTCATGGCTGTATTCCCAGTGAACAGTGCCAAGCACATAGTCAGCACTCTGCAATGATATGTGGAATGAGGAATGTATACTGTGTTAACATTTAATTGTTGAGGGAGGTGTCTATGATTTTCTTCTTCAGAAAAGGTGGAGACTCCAGTTTGGGAATGTAACCTGCCACTAGGTCAGTAGGGTGTCTTTGAATGGCTCAGGGGCTGCTACTGGGGGAAATATCTCACAGAATCTCAGGGACCATGTGTCAGCTGCCCCTGAGCACTAAGCCAGATCTGCCCCCTCGACCTCATTCTCCACACCACAGGCTGGAAGACCCAAGAGGCTGGAATGTCCCCTTGGCCAAGGATGTTCTCCCTCAGAGCTGCCCCTCCTTCCATTCCCCATCTCAGGAAATGCTCAGACATGCTCTGTCTGAACACTGGGACTGATCTGTGCAAGCTTTCTTTAATCTCTCCCATCGAATCCATCCCTAAGACCTGTCTCCTATTCCTTCCCAGTACGTTCTGAATCTGAATGGTTTTCATCACTTCCGCCATTTCCACTCAGTCCCAGCCAACACATCACCATGCAGTAGCCATAGAATTACTCCCCTGCTGCTATTCTCAACTCCACAGTTTATTCCCCATGGAGCAGAGATCTATTCATTTGTTTACTTCTCATGTTATCAAAGAATATTTTAGTGACAGGAAATTGGTGGAATGAAATGCTAGATGAAAAGAGCCAGATACAAAATGGAATAAAAAGTACCATCAAAATATGAATATATGTATAGAAAAAAAAGCCTAGAGGGAAACACATGGGTATTTTAAGAGCAGTTATCTCTGAGTAGTAGAATTATGAACGGATTATATTTTCTTCCTTATACTGTTCAGTATTTTACAAAAACTCTACAGTGAACACGGACAGTCATTAAAAAAAAGTGAATAAGAAAAATGTTGAGAGACCAAGGAAGCGGTACTAATGATGAGCAAATTTAGTTGAGCAGATTTAAGTTTTTTAACTTAAAAATGAAATTAAAATTGGATTCAACTCACTTTTACTGATCACCTCTTGCATCTCAGTCACTGTGCTATGTGCTTTTCCCGTGCTTTATTTCTGCAAGGAAGGATTTTTGCTGGTTTTGTAGATAAGAAAATGAATTTGGAGAGATTAAATGGTTTGTCCCAGGTCTGCAGACAGTTCATCCCAGGCCCTTTCCACTCCCCTACCACTGTCTGGTCTTGCCCCAAGGGCTGGCATTCAAGCAGACCCCAGGAGAATTCCTGGGGACAGGGGCTGCTGAGCAAAGATGGTGGGAGTGAAATTACTAGCTCAATAAGGGGAGAAAACAGACATTCAATGTAAATCAAGCGACTAGAGTACCGTTTTATTTATATTCAAGATGTATTTAAAGTTGAAACTTATTGGCAAAGTGGATTTAATAATCACGAGTAAAAGCAGCATAAAGTTAAACCTTGGCTTGTTCCGCTTTCTTGCCCTATAAAAACAAAGCCCCAAGCTCTGGGGTTGACGCGTCTGGCAAGAGCTGGGCTAAGTTCTGGCACATCTGCAGAAAGTCCCACCTACTGAGGGGAAGGGGAGAAGAGGAGGGAAAATGAGAGGGGCACTTGTAATTTCTTTTGGCACTCCAGAGAGACTAATCTTTTAGAAACAAAGCCCCTTCCCATTACGCTTAGGATAACATCCACGTGTCAGGTCCCCAAGGTCTGGCCCTGCCTATTTCACCAACCCCCTTTCTTCCCTTTCGGCACTTTGGCACTCAGCCCTGTCTCACCTGCCTCTCCCTGTCCCAGAGAACTTGCTTCTTCCTCAGATCTTTACCCTGCAAGCTCCCTCTCATTTATCTGATTTTAGCTGAAATATAGAAAGCCTTCTTTGATGACTTCATCTAAGATACCCCTCCCTCATTCCATCACAAACTTTTATGAGCAGAACTTTTTATTATATAGTATTGTATTCAAAGAATATATGTAAAGAATAGGTATGTTATAACACATAATGCAATGAACACTATGAACGTGTCAGCCAACTCCAGATCTAGAATATTAACAATACCCGATTTATTTTTTGCATAGTACTTATTACTATCTAAAATTATATTATGTGTGCATTTATATGTATTTATTTTGTCATCCCTACTGAAATGTAAGCTCTGATGTCGGTCTTGTTTATTGCTATATCCCCCGGAGCTTAGAATAGTGCCTAGAAAACAAATATTCACGAATAGAAGATGAAGCAGAAAGGTCAGAGCAGTGCGGGGAGTGGTGGTGGTTGGCCTTTTGCTGTCTCCAAGCAGAGATCCATGAGCCCCTGGACACGGCTGCTCCTTCCCCGTGTTTCTTCAAAGTCTAGTTGATGTGCTGTTGTGTAATGTGGAGTACAAGGTCCAGTTACACAGACAAAAGCACACAAGACTCTTGCCGTTTCAGACTCAGTTTCTGTCTCTGGTAAAATAGAGACAGTAATACCTACTTGCAGGATACCTGAGTTAGAGATACAAACATTCTCACCTCCCTTCACCCTCATATGAACTGAGGGGCAGGACCAATCAGTGAAGGGGTGCTGCTGGCAGCTGACGGCTTCAGACCTGGAAAGAGAAAGAGAGACAGACAGGCTCCGGGTTGCAGGAGTGAGGTCGACAGAGACCCAGGCCACTCTGAAAACCATGGGGGAATATCTGTCCCCACAGTAGCAGATATTTAAGCCTCCAACTGGGTCCGTGAGGCTAGGACCAGGCCCCCAGAGCAGTGAGATCTCCTGGCCTGGGCACTGCTTCCCTAAAAGAGGTGGGAAATTTCTCAGGGAACAAACACATGGTCTCGGTGCATGAGTGGAGAATGTTAAGTCCCTGATAAGAGAAATGAAATCTCTTTTCTCTTCAGTGAATCAGGGACAGACTTAAGTAGAATCTCGGTGTTTTTCTCCAGTACAAGTGCCCTGATTGAGCCGGTCTGTCCCCATATTATGTCCAAACATTCTTCAATGCCCCTCTTTGCCTGATAGGTTAATTAATTAAGTAATTCAACCAACATTCACAAAGCAGCCAATATGTGTCAGGAAGCCTAACACAGACTTTGGGATTAGAAGATCCATAGATACTTGAGAGGTTTCCAGGCCAAGAGGAAAATAAGCAGATGCACAACAGTGACCTCTGCATTAGCCCGAGAAGGGTAGAGCCCAGGGGAGGGAACTGCCAGGTTGGCTGAAGCTGAGGGCAGAGTGGGGGTGAGCAGGTGGGAAAAGGAGTTGCATTGAGCCTAAAAGAAGATGGAGAGACAGCACAACAGTACAGACTGAGCTGTGGATGGTGAAAAATAGGAACTGCGAGGACATGTGGCAGGAGGGAAAGGGAGTCCTTTTGTGGATGTGGGCTGGAGCCATATCCTGAAGACTTTGCTTCCTATGTCCTGAAGGCAGCAGAGCAGCATAAACCGGGAGGTCAGGGAAGATGTTCCTGAGGAACTGACAAATGAGGCATGCACTGAAGGACCTGTGGGAGATGGATGGGTAAAGGAGTGGGGGTGGGGATCTCGGCAGACAGTGGGGACAGCATGATCAAAGGCCCTAGTGTACCGTGGAACCTCTTGAAAAGCTTCATCCCCGTAGGCCCTCCCAAGGGGTAATAGGGGAGGGCGGGGTAAGAAAGGCAGCCCAGGAATTCAGTCCCAACCTCCCTTGGCCCTTGGAAGCAAGCGTAGGACAAGTAACAGCTTTGCTTCTTTCCTTAGTACCTCAGTCCTATTACTCTTCCTCTTCTTCCCCCTTATGACAAACCCCCTGCAAGTGTTTTCTGTTGGAGATGGCAAGAGGAGCAAGGGTGTTACCTAGCCCACCTCAACTGCTACCCTACTCAGTTTGAAAGCTCTGTCTGTTCCCCGTTTCTTTCACAGAAGGAAGGCTTCAACTAGGTTTATTCAATTACATCTAACTTGCGTAAGGTTATAGTGATAATTCGTTGATTGTTTTTCCTGATTTGGATTTAAGCCAAGAATTTAATTTTGTGTAAATAATAGACACATTTAAAAAGTCAGAGCCCATTTAAGAAATAGACTTTACATATCTCACCAAAAACATAAGTGGCAAAAGAAAAGAAAGATAAGATGACTTTATCAAAATTTAAAACTTCTGTGCTGTGAACATGTCATCAAGAAAGTAAAAAGACACCTCACAGAATGCAAGAAAATATTTGCAAATCATAACACTGATAACAGACTTATATTCAAAATATGTAAAGAACTTTTACAAGTCATAATAAGGTAAAGGACTCAATAAGAAATGGCAAAAGACTTGAATAGGCATTTTGGCAAAGAAAATGTACAAATGGCCAATAAGCACATGCAAAGATGTTTAATATCATTAGTCATTAGAGAAATGCAAATCAAAACCATAATGAGATACCACTTCACACCCACTAGGATGACTCTCATAAAAAAGACATAATAAGAAGTGTTGGTGGGGGTGTGGAGAAATTGGAACCCTCATACCTTGCCAGTGGGGATGTAAAATGGTACAGCAGCTTTGATAAACAGTGTAACATTTCCTTAAAATGTTAAACACAGAGCAACCATGTGACCTAGCCATTTCACTCCTAGGTATAAGGTGTACCCAAGAGAAATAAAAACATACGTTCACACAGAAACTTATACATGAATGTTCAAAGCAGCATCTTTTGTACTAGCCAAAAAATGGGAATAGCCCGAAGTCTACCAACTGATTTCATTTATATGAAATGTCCAGAAAAGACAAATATATGAAGGCAAAGTTTCATCATTTCCTTTAATGGGGAGAGGGGGCCAATGGGAGGAAATAGAGATTGACTACTAATGGGCATGGGGTTTCTTTTAAGAGAGATGAAAATGTTCTAAAATTAGATTGTGGTGATGGTTATATAACCTTGTGAATATTCAGAAAAACCCATTGAACTGTATACTTTAAGTGGGCGAATTGTATACTATGTGAATTATACCTTAATAAACCTGTTAGAAAACAAAAGAAGCAAGCTAATGACCCAGAGTCGATCAATCAATATTGTCAGAGTCTGCCATGTAAAGTAAATTTACCCAGATTCTTGGCATAGTAAGCAAGTCAGGCAGAGGAAACTTCCTGAATGGAAAAGTATGGCAATAATAATAATAATAGTCACATTATTAACAGTAATAACTCAGATCGATATGATCTTTATGGTTAACAAACACTTTCTTATTTATTTGATTAAATCCTTCCACTCACTTGAATCATACGAGGGAGGCATCATTACACACATCCTGCACCTGAAGGAACTGAGGCTCAGAGAGTTTAAGAGCAAGTGAGATCACCAGATTGTAAATGCTAGGCTGGGAGTAGAGCCCTGCCTCCAAATCTGGTGTCACTCCACCAAGCCTGAGAGGGCAAGGGGCCATGTTCAGTCTTGTTTATGCTGATATCCCCTGTGCCTGGCAGGATGAATGAATAGATGAATGAGTAGGAAACTGCCACTTTTTGAACTCTGCAACCAGGTAATGCAAAGTGGGCTCCAGCTCCTCCTAGAAAAAGAGAGACCAGAAAGGACATGTTGGAGAAAATGTGCACCACAGGGTTGCAACATCACAGGCACTGGCCAGGAGCTCAGTCCAGATGTAACACCGATTTCGATCCCTGTACAGATTGAAGGGACCAAGCCAGGGAATATCTCAGAACAGAAGGCTTCCTATTTCTAGCTGCCTTGTGCATTGTCCTCAGCCAACCGATGCCCTACTGGGATGGAACTAGGGGCACCCAGATCGCCTCAGCCCCATCTCTAGACTCCTGCCATCTTGAATTCTTTGTCAACATTTCCACCCCAGAGGGAAGCTGCAGCCCTCAAGCCTGGGGACTTCCAATAGCCAGTTTGTGCTGAACAGGCACTATGAAGAAGCTATTATAGGATCCCACAAAGAAGATACAGTCTCACACAGCCACAAGTGTCTACTGCTGGAACTTGAAGGGGACAGAGATGGCTTGTTTTCTGTCTCTATGGAGGGCTCGCCCTTCTGCCTAACATGCTGAGTTGGCTGATGGTTGAGTTTGATAGGCTGTGTTTCACATGGTAGTGGAGGAAGAAGCAAAGATGCTCTTTTGCTGAGGTTTCCTTATTCACGGGCCAGAAATTATGGAGCCAGATGTTCTGGAAGGAGACTTGGATTTGGAAACACACCAACCTGAGTAAAAAAACCATTTCTGGCATTTACCCTGGTGCCTCTGTGAGCCCAAGTTCCTCATCTACCAAATGAAAATCTCACAGGGCTGTAGTGAGAGAAGTAACTTACGCAAGGCCCATAGTCAGTAAATGGACAGAGCTTGGACTTGACCCCAGGAGTCTTGACTCCGCTTCCATAAGGGCGCAGTGGGTAAGAGATGTGTAAACTGCACACAGAAGCACTGGTCGTGATAACTGCAGATGCCTCCTGCCAGGGGTGGAGGCTAGGAAGGAGGAATGGGAGCAGACGAGGTTTGTGTTTCCCATTGGTCAGGGCAGAGTGTGCGCTCCATGCCCTTAAGAGAGTCCATGGCCTAGAAGAGTTCTTACTTTGCAGACTTGGCCACAGGAGAGGCTGGGCTCTGGCTCTGGCTGTACACCTTAAATGTATATGGTTCTTATTTGTCAATTATACCCCAGTAAAGCAGGGGGTGGGGAGGAAGAAAGGAATCACCTGGAGATGCTGCTCAAATGAGCATTCTTCCCAAGCACATCCTTGGCCTGGCTCCTTCCACAGTCCTTCCATTTTGCAACCATTGCAGCATTTGGGCCATACCAGGAAGGGATGGGAAGCAAACAGTGACCCTGTTCCCCCAACGTGGTCCATCTGGATTCTTTATGTCTAAATCACACTTTGTTCCTTTGGCGATTCTGTTTGGAAGGCCACGTGGAACTGAATGTCTTACTTTCCTTCTCTGGGCTGTTAACCAAGGAACAAGCCACAATATTCCCTTAAACTAAAGCCTAATACAGAGCAAAGTTCTAAATCTCTTCAAGTCTATGAAGGCTGAGAGAGGTAAGAAATCTGCAGAAGAAGAGTTTGAAGCTAGTAGAGGTTGGTTCATGAGGTTTAGGGAAAGAAGCCATCTCCATAACAAAAAGTCCAAGGTGAAGCAGCAAGTGCTGATGTAGAAGCCACAGTGAGTTATCCAGAGGATCTAGTTAAGATCACTGATGAAGGTGGCTATACTAAACAACAGATTTTCAATCCAGATGAAACAGCCTACTGTTGGAACAAGATGCCATCTAGGACTTCATAGTGAGGGAAGAGAAGTCAATGCCTGGCTTCAAAGCTTCAAAGGACAGGCTGACTCTCTTATTGAGGCTAATGAAGCTGGTGACTTTAAATTGAAGCCAATCCTCTTTTACCATTTTGACCATCCTAGGGCCCTTAAGAATTATGCAAAATCTACTCTACCTGTGCTCTATAAATGGAACAACAAAGCCTGAATGACAGCACATCTGTTTATAGCATGGTTTACTAAATATTTTAAGCCCAGCTTTAAGACATACTGCTCAGGAAAAAAAAGATTCCTTTCCAAATATTACTTCTGATTGACAGTGCACCTGGTCACACAAGAGCTCTGCTCAAGATGTACAGGGAGATTAATGTAATTTTCATGCCTGCTGACAAAACATCCATTCTGTAGCCCATGGATCAAAGAGAAATTTCAACTTTCAAGTCTTATTATTGAAGAAATACCTTACATAGGGCTATAGCTGTCATAGATAGCAATTCCTCTGATGAATCTGAGCAAAATAAATTGAAAACCTTCTCGAAAGTATTTGCCATTCTAATTGCCATTAAGAACATTGATGATTCATGTGGGGAGATTAAAATATCAATTAACAGGAGTTTGGAAGAAGTTGATTCCAACCCCCATGGTTGACTTTGAGGGGGTCAAGACTTCAATAAAAAAAGTAACTGCAGATGTGCTGGAAATAGCATCAACTAGAATTAGAAGTGGAGCCTGAAGATGGGACTGAATTGCTGCAATCTCATTATTACATTTGAACAGATGAGGAATTGCTTTTTATGGATGAGCAAAGAAAGTTGCTTCTTGAGATAAAATCTACTCCTGGTGAAGATGCTGTGAACACTGTTGAAATGACAACAACGGATTTAGAATATTCCATAAACTTAGTTGATAAAGCAGTGGCAGGGTTTGAGAGGACTGACTCTAATTTTGAAATAAGTTCTGCTGCAGATAAAATGCTATCAAACAACACAGCATGCTACAGAGAAATCTTCCCTAATAGAAAGAGTCAATTGATGCAGCAAACTTCATTGTTGCCTTATTTTAAGCAATTCCCACAGCAACTCCAATCTTCAGCAACTACCACCCTGATCAATCAGCAGCCATCAACATTAAGGCAAGACCCTCCATCAGCAAAAAGGTTACAACTTGCTAGAGGCTCAGATGATCCTTAGCAATTTTTAGCAATAAAGTATTTTAAAATTACAGTATGTACATTTTTTAGACATAATGCTATTCCACACTTAATAGAATACAGCATAATGTAAGTGTAATTTTATACGTATTAGAAAATAAAAAAAATTGTACTTGCTTTATTGTGATAATCACTTATTGTGGTGGTCTGGAATCAAACCTGCAACGGCTCTGAGGTATGTCTTTATAAGTGAGCTCATGGGGTATTTGTCATTATATGCCTGGCTTATGCTGAAGCATAATATCCTTTAGGTCTATCCATGTTGCCGCAAATGGCAGGATTTCCTTCTCTTTAAAGACTAAATGATATTTCGCTGCATATGTGTCTATAGATATCTATATATCTCTCATTTTCTTTATCCACTCAACCATTGATGAACACTTAGGTTGATTCTATATCTTTGCTATTGTGAAAAACGCAATGAGTACAGGATTGCAGATATGTCTTTTGAGATATTGATTTCATTTCCTTTTTTAAATATCCAGAAGTGGGATTGCTGGATCATATAGTAGTTCTGTTTTTAATTTTTAAAGGAATCTCTGTGCTGTTTCCCACAATAGCTGTACCAATTTATATTCCCACCAACAATGCACAAGGGCTCCCTTTCCTCCACAGCCTCACCAATACTTATCTTTCATCTTTCTCATGATTGCCATCCTAACAGGTGTGAGATGATATCTCATGGTGGTTTTAATTTGCATTTCTCTAATGATTAGTGATGTTGAGCACTTTTTCATATACCTGCTGGCCATTTGTATGTCTTCTTTTGAGAAATGTCTATTCGCATCTTTTAGGCATTTTTAAATTGGATTATTGGAGTTTTTTCGCACTTGAGTCATTTGAGTACCTTACTATTTTGGATATTAACCCCATTATCAGATGTATCACTTGCAAATATTTTCTCCAGTTCTCTAGGTTGCCTGCTCACTCTGTTGATTGTTTCTTGGGCTGTGCAGAAGCTTTTCAGTTTGATGCAATCCCATTTGTATGTTTTCGCTCTGACTTCTTTCTTGATGGCAATCTACTCAAAGAAGGACGCCGACTTCAAACACTGTGAACCCAAGATGGTCTGTACAGACCTGCACTGAGTTCTTTGTCATATATGGGGAGGATTTAACTATGTCTTGGATGAGTCTTAGAAGGAGAAGGAGGACTGGGAATTGTTGGGGGAATTAAAGACAAGGTAAGGAAAGAGCCAGCTGGGAGTGTGAGAGTAAATTAACAATAGTAATAGTGATAATCATGACACCTCATTTAATTGAACACTTACTATGTGCCAGACCCTGCTGTAGGAGCTACATATGTTACTTAAATGTTAACATATCCCTCCTCCTATCATCATCCTCATTTTGCAGATGAAGCAACTGGCTGATAAATTTCTTGATGTGCCAGTAACAGAATTGAACGTACGTGTCACTCCAGTGCTCTAGAGACAGGTGTGAGGGGGGAGAACGTGGAATTTAGAGCTGTCCTATCCTGGAGATCCCTCCCATGAGAGGAGCTGGCGTTTTTTTCTGGTTCTTGAATGAATCCGGTTGAGGCAGGAGGTACAGACTTCCTCAACCAGAGGGCCTGCCTCCCCAGCTCAGGCGTGAGCACCTCAAAGGCAGGGCCTCATCTGCCTACTCTCTGGATCTGCCAGTGCGGCACCTAGCATGGACCCAATCTGTGTTTGTCAATGAAGGTGATGAACACTATTAATACGATGTTGCCCTTTTCCTTGGGGAGTCTTTCTGAGGTGAACACGGTGATGTGTGTAGAGCATGTTACAGTTGACAAAGCACTTTCCCATCCAGTGTTCTGGAGGCCTCAGTGCCACACTAGACTCTCCACTCCTCCTCACTGCTGACCCCTAATGGGTGACCAAATCCAGCCAATTCTACCCTTAAAGTTGGACTCATCTGGTCCTTCCCCACTGCCACCCTCTACATCCAGGTCTCTTTATCTTCTTTCCACAACATCTCTGTGACTTTTCTCCTCACTTCCCATTCTGTCTGGCACTAAGCCCCATTTTTCCATACAGTAGCCAGAGAGATCTTTCTGAAATAGAAATCTGTCCAGGTTTCTCCTCCCTGCCCTTAGGGGCAAGTCCAGCCTTGTCCACAGGGAATGAGCCCTTCTGCAATCCAATCCTCATTTCCTTGGTGCCCAGCTTCTCTTTCTCTTACCAGGCCCCAACCCTTCACCCACCCCGTTCCCGGCCACAGTGCCGAGAGTGACCCATGATGCCGCATGCCTGAGTCATCTGGAGCTGCTGCGCACATCAAAGGGCAGGAAAAGCAGGGCTCTGGTGGGACTTTCCATCCCTCCCTGCACGTCATCCCCCTGCCCGCACCAGCATGTTCTTCTCGCCTGGTGATGTCACTGGCCTGGATGCATGTTGTGGCCAAAGCAATTGGCTCACATCAGGGCTCCAAGGTGGCATAGGAGGGAAATGGATGGGGATGGACGTCCTCCTGGTCTCACTTCAGAGAGATGATTACGGTGCAACAGAAGGTGAAGTAAGGCTTGGCACAGGGCACAATGGGGTGCTCAGGCCTCCCATTTTCTAGGTGCCACTAGGCCCTCAAAACCTCTTAAGTAACAAATGAACATGCAACCTTTGATAAACAATGTCACTAATAACAAACATAACACTTGTTAAACAAAATACTTATATGGTACTGTCTTCACTTATATGGTACTGCTTCACTGTTGTAAGCAGCCCACATGACTTTATCTGATTTAATCCTCATACAATCCTGTGGGGAAGGTTACTAGTTATGATTCCCATCTTACAGACAAGAAAACTAAGGCACAAGAGAGGTTAACTCACTTGCCTAAAGCAACACAGCTAGTAAGTGGTTAAGCCAAGATTTGGCTCCTGAGTCTGTGCTCTTGACCTCTATGTTATTTTGACAATTTGCTAGAGTCAGGCCTGCCATCCTGCCAAAAGGAGTGTCTTCCTGCAACCCCACACTTATGGTGATTGAGAAGTGGCTGCAGAATAGAGATTCTGCAGTGTGCAGCTACAGTGTGGGTCTAGAGAGCCCCAGATGTGCCCTCTTGGCCTCGCCTTGCATGTGCTGTTATTTAGTATTTCATCACTCTGAGTCCTCATACTATTTCTCAGTGAGGCTTTATTGTTCCCATTTTGTGGGTGAGCAAACTGAAACTCAGGAAGATTGCTGCAAGGCAATCCACAGCATTGCTGGGGTTTGAAACCAAGTCTGTCTATCCATAGAACCGGTGGCTTTTCCACTCCTCTAGAAGAAAGAGCTGGTTTGAGGGCAAAGTGAGGCCTTCTATCTGTCCCATCTCAGACATGTGATATCTAAAGCACCATTGAGGCACGCAAGCAGCCACACCTTGAGGGCAGCTCTAGAGAGCATGGAGCTGGAGATGGAGGTTAGGGAGTTGTCTGCCCTGGGTGATGGTTGAGTCTGCAAAGGAGAGATTAGGAATTGAAGAGAGTATAAAACAAGTCTTGGGGAAGGTTTGTTCACAGGTGATGAGTTAAAGAAGAAAGAGCAGAGGTTGGTTTGGGGGTTGGAGGACCGGGATAGTAAGCAGAAGAAACAGAGTAATAAGTCCTATTTGTAGATCAGTCCACAGTTCACAGCGCTTTATCATGTTCCTTTACTCTTACCACACATAAACACACACTTCCATCAGAACCCTCAGGATCCAGTGCTGGCAGCAGGCTAAGTGCTATCTATTGTTTGCACAAATTTCCAGATGGGAAAACTCAAAGAGGGCAAGCGACATGTTTCAGGTATAACAATGAATAAGCAGCACAACTGGTATGGGAATCTACGTGTCCCATGAAACTGCCTCCATGGTGATGGAGCCACAGAAGGAGAGGAAGGAGGAGGCATTGATTGAAGAGGAAATCTTCCTGAGAAAAAGCCACACATCTGGCCCACAGCAGCCTTGTAGCGGCAGGGTCAGTGGGAGTGAGTCCAAATGGAGGGGCAGTAGGAGTGGGAGGTGGGAAGGCAGCGAGGAGGTGGAAAAAGCTGGAATGGATGCCTTCTTAGAGAAACTGGCAAGAAAAGGGAGAATCAGGAGGCTGCTTCAATTCCTAACCTCTCCTTTACTTGCTGTCTCTTCTCCTGCTGACCCAACAATCACCCACAGCAGATGTGCCCTAAACTCCACCTCCAGCCCCATGCTTTCTAGAGCTGCCCACTAAGCTTGGCTGCTTGTGTGCCTCAGTGGTGTTTAGATCCCATGTGTTTGAGATGTGAGGCCCTCTGCCCTCATTTCCCCTCCCGCTCCCTCTCTGCCTGGTATCTCTCCCCGTCTGTCTCCTGCCCTGTCTCTCCCTCTCCTTTTTCCTCAGCACCAGTGACCCCCATCTCTGTGTTTCCACTTCTCCCTCTTTTCCATGGATTCTTTTCTTGCCAGAGTCCTTCATTGGTCTTGCCTCTTTTCCATTCTTCTCTTTTTTCTCCACCCAGCTATCTACATCTGGAAATCTAAGACACGTTTAGTGTCAGGTTTGCTCACCGAATAATGTTTTACACTACTTGTTTTTTTAATTTAAAAGGCAGGAGATCTGAAATGCTCTTCCTTTCTCTCTCACAAAGAAAAACGGTCTCTCTCCAAAAGGGAGGTGCTTTTAAAGTATCATCCTTGATGAGTTTCATGGGTGAACAAGTGGCTCTCAAGGGAAAAATGGCAGGCCCCTCATCTCTGTGTGAAGTGCCAGAGAGAGAAGAGAATTTCTGGATGGAGACAGGAGAAGGGAGGCCACTTTTCTTACTTTTGTTCCAAGTGAGACAGGCTCTCATAGGATCTTCTCTGTGATGAGATCACCCAGCTTGCCCAGCAAGGTGCTAAAAAATAATTGCCCTCGATGAAGACATACAAGTAAATCATTCTGCTTGGCAGAAAAAATTCAAGTGTGTTGGCAAAACATGCAGGCAAAGTGTCTTTCCAGCTGCTGATCTCTGAGGACAGCTGTGCTGTGACCTACCTAAGGCAGACCAGGCCAGGAGCTGCATAGCCCACCCTATGCAGCCCCCAGAGCCCCAACCTCAGTCTTGGAGGACAAAGGGAAGTGACTCTACAACTCCCCCATTCCCAGAAGCACACACTCGATGGGTGGGCATCAGACACCACCTCCTTGTGGGGGAGTTGCACAGCGTGGTGCTGTCATGGCAATGCCTCAACCTTTCCTTCACCCCCTACCCTCTCATTGCTGTGCCCTGAAGGTGACAATGCCATGCAGTGGCTCTTCATGGCTGAGATTTTGCTGCAGGGACAAGCCCCTTTAAGCCACCCCTACCCCAGTCAGAGGACATATTAGAAGCCTTCAGAGCTTTTGCATAGCTCATGCATAGAGCTAAAGTACAATCCTGTGGGATCCAGATATGTTTGGAGGGAGGAATGAGACAATACCTTCTCTCTCCCCATCACTGCTATCGGAGGCATCTTTGCTTGCCTCATCTGAAGCCCTTAAACCACTTTTGCCAACATTAAGTAACGAGATAGTCACTTTTTTGATACAGTTGACAGAGAGTTAAAAGGTTACTTGTTATCCAATAGGAGAAACAAAAATGTCTAAGTTTTACCTTGGATTTATTTCCCAGAACCAGATTCTTTCACCTGTGAGTCATTTTGCTGTCTTCTAAGACCTGAGACAATGGCACCTTAAGGTGTGCCCACAGAATAGGGCATGCCGGCTGCTCCTGAGGGTGACTCGCAGGGCTGAGGAAGGGAGGCAGACACCCCTATCCAGGTCAGCTCCTGGCTGGGAGCCATGAAAGGAGGACAGCTAAGTGACAGAGCCTGAGGCTGTGCTCTACATGTGGGGGAAGAGGGAAAGCAGGTAAGAGGACAGGAAAGAAAGGAGGAGGAAGAGGAATGGAGACAGAAGTAAATTCTCCTAATCCTTCCCTAGGTGTCTGCCTCTGGGATCTCTCTCTTCATGATTTCCTGTCTATACAAAGCCATACACTGAGAGATGTGATGCCGGCTTGACATGCCACCCAGGAAAGCTGCCCAGTACTGGGTCAGTGTTTGTTGGTCCGGTCAATCTGTCCAAGAAATTTTCATTTCTGGCTTGGAAACTTTCTTAGTTTGGGTTCCCTTAGAAGCACTTTCTGAGACTGCATAGTGAGTGCCAGGGGAGTCATAAAGTGAAACAGGGGAGCGAAGGCAGCCATCAAGGCAAATGGATCTTCTTCCCTCCAAGTGGCTCTGGGAGCCAGCGTAGAATACTTGCTTCAGATTTATCCTACCCAAGGAGCCAGGGGCATGTTCCTTAGATGCCAGCTCCCATCAGTCGTTGAGAGCTGCTCCTGGGGAAAGGGGAGGTTTTGATTCCCAGCACCTGATCTGCTCCTGGTGTGTTCTAGCAGTGGGAGAAAGCCTGCAGACACAGGGACCAGGTGTTCAGGTGGGAAGTAAGCTGGCATGCATGGAGATGGGAAGGGGGCACGTCTGCAGCCTTTCCCAAAATGACTATGGCATATAAGGAGGCCTGGCACTGGGCAGAGGGTCCCCAGTCCAGCCAGGAGAAGCAAGACCACATTACATTTTGGACTCACTCATGTAACTATTTTGAGCTTTGAGTCAGGGCTCAGAAACATCTCTGGTCTTCAGGGTCTCCAGCATCACGGAGGCACAGGTGGGAAAAAGGAAGGAAAAAAAAAAAGGGAAAGAGATGATCAAACTAGAAGAAAATAGGGAGCACAAAGAGACAAAGAAAAGCAAAAATGATATAACCCACAGAAAAGCCAGCAGAACTCCAAAGAAGCATGAAGTGGGTCACACAGATGTGGTAGGTTCAGGAAGTTGAAATAAGAGACAAGCCTGGAGAGAGATTTCAGAGCAGTTGGTGAAAGGATTCTAGGCAGCATTTAGCCCAGGATGCTTCTCTTTCTTTCTGGGGGGCTAAATCCAAGAAGGTGTATTAAGGTCTGTCATAAAGAGAGAGCTGCACCTCTAATGTATCTATGATGGGACAATTAGCAATACAGAATAGAAATTGCTAGGGCAATAGAATCACAACAGTCTATGTGGTTGAGAAGTCTGGCCAGCAGCATTTTTGGTCAGAGTGGTGCCCAGTGTGACACAAACCAGCAATGGCTGCCAACATCTGGATCACCATGAGCTCCGAATGTGTATCTGCAGGCAGCGTGTCAGCCAAGGAAGACGGTCTCAGCTGGTCAGCGCTATTATTCCACTAGCTCTTCCTCATTTGAGAGCCCCAGGGCATTGGATTTGGTCATGTAAAATTATGTTAAATGGAACTCTTTCTTATGACCCCAAATTTTGGCAAAGAAGCCTTAAAGTTGAAGACATGTGAGAAGTCCCCACATACTCCAGAGAGGTGCTAAGCATACCCATGCATGTCTTACCCAAGGTTAGTAAAAATAGGTCCAGTAACTATTAGCCCATCCAGGCTTATATAAAACAAACAGAAAAGAAAATTGAAGGAAGATATTTAGGAGAGTGACTGAGGTGAAGTGTTGTCAGCTTAGCAGGGAATGTTGCAATGTTTCCCCTGAATTTCCCATCACCTCCAAACCAAGTGAAGGGCACAGATAGAAACTGACACTGAAAAAAAGGAGGGCTGGTATCCCACAGTCCTGAGGAACTGCAGAAATTGTGGGTCCATCTTGAGAGAGTTGTTGGGAGAAAGTGATGTTTGTTTCCTGGAGTTTGGAGGAATGTTTCAACATAAAGACTGGTGCCTCCTACCAGCCTTGTCCCCTTGTTAAATTTGGAAGGCAAAAGAGTGACTGAAGTTATTCATGAAGGCAGGGTAGAGAGTGAGCAGAGGTAGACCACTGTTTATGTGAAAAGCAAGTATGATCTTCCTTTGGGATAAGTGTACACTGGGGAAGATAACTAGACTCGAAACATGCTAGGGCACTGCCAGAGAGGGTGACAGGGAAAGGTGGCAGGGAGTGTTGCTGAAGGAGTTGCCAGATGTTGGCCAGAAAGTGCACCCCACTTCTGAGAACCCACAGTGGAGCCAGCCTTTGAGCACATGTGGCTCCCAGAGGGTGTCAATGCTCAAGAGTAAAGCACCTTTGGACAGGCAAGAATGAAGATGCTCTCCTCCCCTGCCCACCGTGAGGAGTCAATGGCAGGGAGTGGGGAAGAAGCTCAGAAACAGGGAAAGAGTGCAGCACCCCTCTCCTCTCCACTGCAGATCCCCATGCCCCAGGGTAGGCCTGAGCTTTGAGGAGGGAAAGTAGGAAACACTTTGAATTGGATGTATGATTGAATGTTTTAAGCTTTAAGTCAGACTGCACCGTTTAAATCCACAAAAGTGCCCAGGAAGCCATGAAGAGAAGGCAGTGTGGTTGAAGGCAGTGATGAGAGAAAAATGAATGTGTTTCCCATTTATACAACTATTGAATTCAGCCCATTTAATAAGCTGGTTTACAGAAGTTGATGACAGATCTGTGCCATAGTTTTGCTTTATTACTGCATGTGTGTCTGTGGGTGTGCATGTATTTATATACATTATACATAGTTCATCCCCTCGTGTGGGTTTATCTCTTAGCCAACAAATTGTTTTGTTATCTTTAATTTATGATCCTCAATAAAGAATCCCTCTAGGTATCACTAAGGAGCAGGACCTCAGCCAGGTGAACCCAATCAATATTAAAATCCCTATTTGGGGGCCTCAGGTGGGCAGAGCAGGCGAAGAGCAGTTCCAAATGAACTACTAGCAGGTGGGTGGGAAAATTATGTCTTTTTGGTGCCTATGGAAGGAATGGCAAAGGGGCCTGAGTTCTTAACTGGGAACAAAAAGCACATACTTTGCTGTGACGTCTTGATTAATAGACTGAAAGAACTTTGATTCTGCATGAATCCAAGTGAACTTACCCCCCAGCCAGCCCCTGCCTCATCCAGTCTCCCTATCTGATTTCCATTTTGCCCCTGGAGAACTGTCCTTTCTGCCTGTCTAGAGCTGTGGTTTTCAGACTCGGCTGCATATTAGAATCACCTGGGGAACTGGTATTTTTAAACTGGTATTTCAAAAGTAAACCAATGCCAAGGTCTTACCCCCACTGAGTCTCTGGAAGTGTGGTATGGGCATCAGTATTTTTTAAGAAGCTCCTCTGGTGATTCTTATGTATAGGTTAGGTCTAAAAGATTGAAGAGAATAGTAGCAGAGGCTGACTGTGTCCAATTATACAGGGAAGCAAAGTTCTGCGGAGCATGGCTCCAGGCTGCCACTTCTGGGTCTGGCCATATGAAATGCAGAAATTCATTCATTCATGTATGCATACATTAATTCCTTCACCAGATATTTATTGACCGTCTACTATGTGCTTTGTACTGAGGATACAGAAATGAACAAAACAGACAAAACTCCATACCCTCATGGAGCTTCCATTCAAGCTCTAGAGAGAGTGTTCCCGATTGGGAAACACAGGTGAGGCCTGAGAAAACCCCTCCCCTGCCTCCGAGGTGAGTGATGTCTGGGGAGCACATATCTGAGTATTAACAGGCTGCCCGGGTTTGTAAAACACCCTCACAGCTGACTGTATCCTCACACAGCTGCTCCACGTAAGGCTGGTGAGCATCTCGTGCCCAGGCTGATAAGAGTCCCAGAGGCACTGAGTGGTAGGAGAGCCTGTGATGTGGTATTCGACCTTGGTATGTTCTCTTCCGGCTTCCATTCACAAAGGCTTATTGAACCAGTGCATCATAGAGAAGACGTGTGAAACAGGTACTAACATGTGTGTGCGTTGGGATGATCCCACAATTGGATGATGATGATGGTAGGGATGATGATGGGGATGGTGATGATGGTAGGGATGAGGATGGAGACAGTGATGGGGACGATGATGATGGGGATGATATTGGTGATAATTAGCATCTCCTTTATTTTTCAGATCAGAAGTCTGAAGTAGCGTCAGTCCTTGACCTCAAGTTCCAGTTATGCATCCAAGCAGGGTCCACTGCTGCCTCTAATTATGAAAGTAGTAGGAAAATTCCCAGATTAATTCAACAGAAGCTGGCCTTCTTGAGACCAGAAGAAGGAGGCCCTAGGAACTTGCCTGTGTCTTTGTTTACCCCAGGCTTCGTGACTTGGCAAATCTCTTCTACTTGTTTTCCTCAGGATGAGGGCGAGTGCTGTGCTTGTCCATCAGTGAAATGGGCAGGAGTGTGTTTCTGGTGAGAAGTACAATTAGAGTCTTGTGGTGCCTTGGAGGGCTGATGAAAGCTGGGCTAAGTGCTGAGCAGATAGCATCAATGTGGAGCAGTAAATGTCTACCCAGCTCAACCCTGCCTGCTGGGCTCAGAAGGATGGAACAGAGAGGGTGGAGGAGTTTGAAGTGCTGAACATGTCCACCTTTTCCTAGGACAGAGGATGCTTTTGGTTTGCCCCTTCTGCCTTATTTGCTGAGTATTCCGATTCTCATTTCCTGGGCACTCCCCTCCACTGCCATTCCTTTTCCTGCCTTCTTTTCCATGGGTTGTGCTCATGTCTAGAGCCTTTAGGCTGGGGTACTGAGCAGCATCTGCATTTTTAGTGACCAAGAGGTGGCTGGACCTTCAGGCCACTCTTCCTGGTACCTGGGAATACAGACTCTGTCCTACCCACCTTGGAGCTCTTTAGAGTCTCCCTTCTGGGTTCTGAATGCCAGTGGGAGACAGTGAGAGCTGGGTAGAGAAAAGGCATCATGACAGCCCTTGGGGGAGCAAAGAGAAATATGTGAACACAGAACTAAAGTGCCCCAAAAAGAAAAGAAAATCCTTTTGTCCCGTTGCTTTAAACCCTTTGATGGTTGACACAGCTTACTATGTGTCTGGAGTTGTGCTAGTTTGTATGTATTACCTCATTTAGTCCTCACAGCAGATCCATGAGGTAGATCTTATTTTCCCACTTTACACTTGAGAAAACAGGAGCATAGAAATTGTAGGTAATTTTCCAAGGTCACACCACTGGCAGTTGTTGGATTCTCTAAAGCCCATATATCTGGACTGGATGGGCTAGGGGTTGAAAAAACTGTCTTGATACGAAGACTCAGGAATCCAAACCCAAGTGGTTCAGTCAGCAGCCAGCCCCAAGAGAACGAATATGGTGGCCCACAGGCAACTTCCAAATTCCTCCCTGGGCAGTGGGCAAGGGCAAATTTAACCACATGTTCAGATCAAGGGTAGGCAAGTAGACTGGTGGGCAGAGAGATGGGAAAGAGGCTTCAGCCTTAAAGAGGAGAATGCAGTGGAATCTAGGTCAGGAACTGGGGGCTTTGTCCACTGGCTGAGATGCAGGGCAGGGCCCCTGGCTAGGGAGGAGGTGTAGCTCCACCTGAGGATGAAAGAGAAGAAACCTACACAGAGGCCCAGGCTTTGAAGTGGGGCCAACACAGGAGTAGGTAAAGTGTTGTGTCATAGGGTATGGAGGATACACAGATGCCTAGAGCTATCTCCAGTCCAGTGGTTCCTGGGTCTAACTGGCATACAGGGAGACCTGGAGCAAGGGGCACAGGAGACTCCATGCATGGAGCTGGACACCAGATCCAAAGCGGGGTTAGGAACTCCATCCTAAGCCCCTTAAGCTAGAGGCCATTGGGAAATGTTCTGCCTCATTTTGGATGAGCTCATGTCCTGAGGTAGCATGGAGATGCCCAAGTTGGGAAGCTGGGAAGATCAGGGTATGGGGCAATGAAGAGGCTTATGCCTGCTGAGATCCCAAAGGAAACTTCCTCCTAAAGTCTATCTCATTTCTACCTAATTGATGAAGGCCCTCTGTTTCTGGTAGAATAGAAAGCGAGGTAGAAAACAGCTGAAACACAGTCTAGATCATCTGAGTTGACACAGAAAAGTCCAATATTTTTAAAAATTGTGGCTTTATTGGCTGAGACTTCCTTATTTCAAGGTGGAGAATGACTGGTAACTTAAGCGGAATCAGCATAAAACAAAATAATAGCTAATAGAATTGCATGGTCACTACATGCCAAGCATAACAAAACCCCATGAGTTCGGTAGTATGATCATCTTTACTGATAAGAAAACTGAAGTTCAGAAAGTTAGTGACTAGGTCAAGATCACACAGCTCATGAGTAGGCGTCCCAGGACTTGAACTCAGACATAAATCTATGCTCATGGCCACTGTGTAATGCTACCATTCTGCAGAAGCTGCAAGCCACAGGCCAGGGTCTCATAATATAGTAGGTCACTGAAATTGTATATTGGATGGATGAATCAATGGATAAATAAATACACGCACTCTCCCAAAGAATATTATGCACATGCTGAGCAGCCCAAACAGGTCCAGGGGCAATGGGGTTAAACATGAAAACTGAGTGTTGAGCCCCCACCGGTCACATCAAAATTCACTGGAACATGTCCCAAAATGAAGTCAAAGGCCACAAACCCATCAACTGCAAAAGAAAGGAGGAAGCCCAGCTACTCTATGCCCTTGATGTTTCTTCGGTATGATTCTCCATAGAGAACATGGTCCTGGTCATTCTCAAAAACATCAATGTTATCTTCATGATGTTTCAACTCTTGTCTTCATTGTTCTATATTGTTAAATGTAAATGCTTAAACTGGGAGCCCCTACCAGAGTTTTAGAAGCAAACTTCTGGTTCCAGAATGGGTGAATCAGGGGAACAAACCCCTGGATAAACTTAAGCCCAAAGAAGTCTTCCTCTCTCTAGATGTGCAATTTTGCACAGACAAAGCAATTCAGAAATGGTCAGCATTCAGAAGTCCATGGGAGATTAAGTGCACTGGGGATTCGAGTAGAGGCTGAACCCCAGGAAGACTGAAAATCAGGACCCAGCTCTGAGAAGAGGATGGGTGTGCACATGCAGGGTCTGGGATTTAGTATGGAGGATGGGCCACTAGGCAGCATAAATGATCTGGGATTTTAGGAAGGAAGCAGATGAAGCTCAGACCACATGGTATCCCCAAGGAGAGTGGAGTGCTCTGGGGAAGATATGCATAGCGCATGGAAGAGAAGAGTGGTACTCCAGATGGGGTCCAATTGCACTGAGCCACAGGGTCATGGACAAGGAAGCCAAAGCCAATGACCAGAGTCTTGTCTGGGTGAGGATTACTCCACGGCCTGGACTAGCTGCCTGGGGTACCCTGAGGCTGAATGGGTGGAGAAGGGGGTCACCTTCTCTTGTGTGCCCCTCACTACTCTTGACTCACTTAGTTTGGAGGGTTTCTTGCTTCAGAAACTTAGTCCTACTGAAAGAATATTCTTGATTGTTGCTTGTTATGCTCAGTGCTAGTGTGAGATTTTTCCTCTTGCTAGCTGTCTGTTGGCTTTTGGGTCTCCATTCTCTCTGTGGACTCTGTGATGTGGGGCACATAATGGCAATAGGAAGAAGGTTTTACTCCTCTTTAATTGGCAAGGGTCACTTTCTTTTTGAAGTTGGTTCTGAGAACAGCTTCCCCCAGGATATAGAACATGGCCCCTTACATTTTTGTGCACACTAGGCAATTCCTCAATGCCTGGAGCTGACAGCCCAGCACCTCCCTGATTGCCAGCTTTCCATCCATGGGTGCATGGGTTATGCCTGCACTGCCCACTTGCTTTCCTCACCTGCTGCTGCAGAGGACAGGTTGCTTTTTTGGTTGTCCTCTCTGCTTTGCATTCTTTCCCAGCCAGTCTGGACTTACTCCCTTTCCGTCTTCCACCTGTTGTCAAAAACCCAGAGGCTTCAAGTTCTGTGTAGGATGGTAAGTATCAGAGAAAAACAAAAGAACTTCCAAGTGCCCCAGTGCCAGATCTTTAAGGATTTTCCTTCCCTCTCTTCTTCCTTTCCTTTATGCTACTTGGAGACTCTCCGTTTCCCATCCAACAATTCCTCACAGTTTACAGAATATCCAGATTATTTGTTCAGAAACAATATCTGGTTCTACCTTTTCCTCCCACCCTTTTCCTCTTCCACCTACCCTTTCCCTTCCTCTTCCTGGTTTCCTGAGCACCCACACAAGAGTCTCCTCTCAGGTTGGATGGTGGGGATCACAAGTCAAATGCCCGGGGCAGGCAGCTGTGGGACCGAAAGCTACTATAAAGGAGCTAAAGAATTTGCAAGCCTAGGATTTCTGTTTTGTTTTTTCTTACAACAAATCATCATATAACTTGATTAGCCAATTTGCTAATTCCAATACAATCAGCACAATTAATTAAAGACTACAGTATTCAGGTCAGAACACATGCAGGTAATCAAGGCACTGGGACAATGGCTCTGAGACCTGTTCCTGATTCCAGGCAATCCTACGGTTAGTTCCATTGAATCTGATTGGGCTACAGATGCCCTGTATAGTCTTGGGGCCAGTGGGGGTGGGGTTGTCCCTCTCTCTGATATATACTGCAAGCCTCATGCATTAAAAAGCGCTGTAAAAAATTTTTTTTAAGATATATACTATAAGCCATATATTTTTCCACCCAATATGAGAGCACCCAGATTCATAAAGCAAGTCCTTAGAGAACTAAAAAGAGACTTAGACTCCCACACAATAATAATGGGAGACCTTAACACCCCACTGTCGATATTAGAAAGATCGAGACAGAAGGTTAACAAGAATATCCAGGATTTGAACTCAGCTCTGCACCAAGCAGAACTAATAGACATCTACAGAACTCTCCACCCCAAATCAACAGAATATACATCCTTCCCAACACCACATCGCACTTATTCTAAAATTGACCAAATAATTGGAAGTAAAACACTCCTCAGCAAATGTAAAAGAACAGAAATCACCACAAACTGTCTCTCAGACCACAGTGCAATCAAATTAGAACTCAGGATTAAGAAACTCACTCAAAACCGCTCAACTACATGGAAAGTGAACAACCTGCTCCTGAATGACTATTGGGTAAATAACGAAATGAAGGCAGAAATAAAGATGTTCTTTGAAACCAGTGAGAACAAAGACACAACGTACCAGAATCTCTGGGACACATTTAAAGCAGTGTGTAGAGGGAAATTTATAGCACGGAATGCCCACAAGAGAAAGCAGGAAACATCTAAAATCGACACCCTAACACCACAATTAAAAGAATTAGAGAAGCAAGAGCAAAAAAATTCAAAAGCTAGCAGAAGGCAAAAAATAACTAAGATCAGAGCAGAACTGAAGGAGATAGAGACATAAAAAACCCTTCAAAAAATCAATGACTCCAGGAGCTTGTTTTTTGAAAAGATCAACAAATTGATAGACTGCTAGCAAGACTAATAAAGAAGAAAAGAGAGAAGAATCAAATAGACGCCATAAAAAATGATAAAGGGGATATCACCACCAATCCCACAGAAATACAAACTATCATCAGAGAATACTATAAACACCTCTATACAAATAAACTAGAAAATCTAGAAGAAATGGATAAATTCCTGTACACATACACGCTCCCAAGACTAAACCAGGAAGAAGTGGAATCTCTGAATAGACCAATAACAGGCTCTGATATTGAGGCAATAATTAATAGCCTACCAACCAAAAAAAGTCCAAGACCAGATGGATTCAAGCTGAATTCTACCAGAGGTAAAAAGAGGAGCTTGTACCATTCCTTCTGAAACTATTCCAATCAATAGAAAAAGAGGGAATCCTCCCTAACTCATTTTATGTGGCCAGCACCATCCTGATACCAAAGTCTGGCAGGGACACAACCAAAAAAAAAAAAAAAAGAGAGAGAGAGATTTTATACCAATATCCCTGATGAACATCCTTGTGAAAATCCTCAATAAAATACTGGCAAACCAAATCCAGCAACACATCAAAAAGCTTATCCACCACGATCAAGTCAGCTTCATCCCTGGGATGCAAGGCTCATTCAACATACACAAATCAATAAATGCAATCCATCACATGAACAGAACCAATGACAAAAACCACATGATTATTTCAATAGATACAGAAAAGGACTTTGACAAAATTCAACAGCCCTTCATGCTAAAAACTCTCAATAAACTAGTATTGATGGAACATATCTCAAAATAATAAGAGCTATTTATGACAAACCCACAGCCAATATCATACTAAATGAGCAAAAACTGGAAGCATTCCCTTTGAAAACTGGCACAAGACAAGGATGCCCTCTCTCACCACTCCTATTCAACATAGTGTTGGAAGTTCTGGCCAGGGCAATCAGGCAAGAGAAAGAAATAAAGGGTACTCAACTGGGAAAAGAGGAAGTCAAATTGTCCCTGTTTGCAGATGACATGATTGTATATTTAGAAAACCCAGTCGTCTCAGCCCAAAATTTCCTTAATCTGATAGGCAACTTCAGTAAAGTTTCAGGATAAAAAATCAACGTGCAAAAATCACAAACATTCCTATACACCAATAACAGACAAACAGAGAGCCAAATCATGAGTGAGCTCCCATTCACAATTCCTACAAAGAGAATAAAATACCTAGGAATCCAACTTACAAGGGATGTGAAAGATCTCTTCAAGGAGAACTACAAACCACTGCTTGATGAAATAAAAGAGGACACAAACAAATGGAAGAGCATTCCATGCTCATGGATAGGAAGAATCAATATTGTGAAAATGGCCATACTGCCCAAGGTAATTTATAGATTCAATGCCATCCCCATCGAGCTACCAATGATTTTCTTCATAGAATTGGAAAAAACTAAAGTTCATATGGAACCAAAAAAGAGCCTGCATTGCCAAGACAATCCTGAGCAAAAAGAACAAAGCAGAGGCATCATGCTACCTGACTTCAAACTATACTATAAGGCTACAGTAACCAAAACAGTATGGTACTGGTACCAAAACAGATATATAGACCATTTGAACAAAACAGAGGCCTCAGAAATAACGCCACACATCTACAACCATCTGATCTTTGACAAACCTGACAAAAACAAGAAAGGGGGAAGTGATTCCCTATTTAATAAATGGTGCTGGGAAAACTGGCTAGCCGTATGTAGAAAGCTGAAACTGGATCCCTTCCTTACACCTTATACAAAAATTAATTCAAGATGGACTAAAGACTTAAATGTTAGACCTAAAACCATAAAAATCCTAGAAGAAAATCTAGGCAATACCATTCAGGGCACAGACATGGGCAAGGACTTCATGACTAAAACACCAAAAGCAATGGTAACAAAGCCAAAATTGACAAATGGGATCTAATTAAACTAAAGAGCTTCTGCATAGCAAAATAAACTATCATCAGAGTGAGCAGGCAACCTACAGAATGGGAGAAAATTTTTGCAATCTATCCGTCTGACAAAGGGCTGATATCCAGAATCTACAAAGAACTTAAACAAATTTTCAAGAAAAAAAAAAAGCAACCCCATCAAAAAGTAGGAGAAGACACATCTCAAAAGAAGACATTTGTGTGGCCAACAGACATATGAAAAAAAGCTCATCATCACTGGTCATTAGAGAAATGCAAATCAAAACCACAATGAGATACCATCTCACGCCAGTTAGAATGGTGATCATTAAAAAGTCAGGAAACAACAGATGCCGGAGAGGATGTGGAGAAATAGGAATGCTGTTACACTGTTGGTGGGAGTGTAAATTAGTTCAACTATTGTGGAAGACAGTGTGGCGATTCCTCAAGGACCTAGAACTAGAAATAACATTTGACCCAGCATTCCCATTACTGGTTATATACCCAAAGGATTATAAATCATTCTACTATAAAGACAAATGCACAAGTATGTTTATTGCAGCACTGTTCACAATCGCAAAGACTTGGAATGAACGCAAATGTCCATCAATGATAGACTGGATAAAGAAAATGTGGCACATATACACCATGGAATACTATGCAGCCATAAAAAAGGATGAGTTCATGTCCTTTGCAGGGACATGAATGAAGCTGGAAACCATCATTCTCAGCAAACTAACACAGGAACAGAAAATCAAATACCACATGTTCTCACTCATAAGTGGGAGTTGAACAATGAGAACGCATGGACACAGGGAGGGGGAACATCACACACAGGGGCCTGTCAGGGGGTTGGGGGATAGGGGAGGGATAGCATTAGGAGAAATACCTAATGTAAATGACGAGTTGATAGGTGTAGCAAACCAACATGGCACATGTATACCTATGTAACAAACCTGCACGTTGTGCACATGTACCCTAGAACTTAAAGTATAATAAAAAAATTTTTTTAAAGATGTATACTATAAGTCACATGTTTTAATTTTTCTAATCACTACATTTACAAAATAAGGAAAAGAAGATCAAAACAATTTTAATAATATTTAACCCATATATCCAAAATATTATCATTTCAACATGTAATCAATATAAAAAATGTTAATAGGACATTTCATTTTTTTTGTTCTAAGTCTTCAAAAAGCCAGTGTGTATTTTATATTAATACCACATCTGAGTTCAGACTATCCACAAGGAAAGTGCTCAGTAGCCAGATGTGACTAGAGCCTACCTTACTGGACAGCACAAATCTAAAACATGCTTTTCAAGTCCTATAGCTGTACTGTAATTTATTTAATTTATTTAACCCCATTGCTAGAACTTATCATTTTTACAAAATTTTGCCGTTATAAATAATAATGCAATGAAGATTCTTGTATTTACATCTGTGCATATTTTATGATTTCATTATTATACACTTTTTGGGATGGAATTGATTTATCAGGGTTATCAAAGTTATAAGCCTTAAAACTCTTAATGCTGCCAAATTGCTTTCTACAAACATTTTACCGATTTCCATTTGCACCAGCAGTATACAAGATTCCCACACTTCCACCAACAATGAGTGTCACCTCTATTAACACTGAGTGTACCCCAGAACTCCCAGTCTTCTACTGTTTCAACTTGCAATGTAACAGATAACCAAGGACCACTGCTGTGCCAGCTACCTTCTTCCTGTCCCTCCAGATCTACTCTCTGCCCTTCTCCTCCCTGCTCTGTACCCAGGAAGCTGGCAATTGTGGACTGCATCAATGGTCTTGCTTGCACCCCAGCTTCCTGTTGGGTAATGTCAGTGGAAAGTACTGGTGGGAGATGGAAGGAAGCAGGAAAAGTGAGGTCAGAATATTGATTTCGCTGGGTCCCTCCCTTCTGAATTGCTGTGGGTTGGTTACGTCCCCCTAAAAGAGGCCACAGCTCCTGTCACATAACTCTCCCTATGCAGCTACCTGCTGTGGCTTCCTGGAACTCCCTCCTCTTGCCCTTTCTGGCCTAAGGAAGATAAGGAGGCTTCTAGCAATTGCTAGCCCCAAGACTCTGCATTATCCATCCCTCATTGGTTTCTCTACACTTTCCTCACACCTTTGTACATACTCTCTTTATTAAACCCTCCTTGAATACTCAGTTGAAATTCATCATCAGTTTCCTGTGAGGACCATGAATGGCACAGCCAGACAGACATTAAATAACCTGACATTAAAAAGAAAGGCCAAGATTGACCAATAAACTTACTTCAAAGGAAACACGTACTTTAGAACAGAAGAAAACTTGCTATAAAAAGAAAATTCTAATTCTAATTAATATCTTCAAAAAATATTGAGACAATGTTATAGCCATAAAATAATTATTTTAAGAGTAACATTATGAAAACAACAACCAGAAAGAAAGATTTTGGAAATGAAAACAAAATTAATTGCCAAAACAAAAAAAAAGTTAGGGTTAGACGATAAAGTCCAGAAAATATTTTAAAATGTGAGAGCTATTAAAATTATCACAAATATGAATGAAAACAGAAGAAATATAAAGAATTGACACAAATGATCCAGTGTCCAACCAGTGGGAGTCCTCAAAAGAGAACAGAACAAAAAAAAACAAGGGAGAGGGAATTAATAAGGAAATAGTACAAGGAAATTTTCCATAGTAGAAGGAAGACATGAGACTTAGAATTTGAAGGCCCTGGAAGCTCTGAACAAGACAAAAACTAAAAATCCACACCTAGAAACATTAAAAAAAAAAAAAAACTTCTAAAGAAATGAAACAGCCACAGACAAAGGAATAAAAGTCAGGCCAACATAAGACTTCCCATCAGCAACAATGGATGCTAGAAGATCCTGTCCTCTAGCAAGCCATCATCTACTCTGCAACCAGAGTCACCTTCCTTGAATTCAAATATCACCAAGCTACTTTCTTGCTTACAAATTTGCAATGGTTCTCTTTGGCATTAAGCTGAATTTGGAGTCTTCAGTTAGCTCATGTGACTCTCTATAATCTGCCCAGACCAGCCTCTCCTGCCTATTCCTGCCTCTTCAGCCTTTGCTCCACCTTGATGGGGCTCCTTGTGGTTTCCTGGACACATCATGCTGTTTCATGCCTTGCTGTATTTGCAAATACTGCTTTCTCCTCCCAGTAAGCTCATTCTTCTATTTTACCTAACAAATTCTCATGTTCTTCAAAACTCAGCTAGAGTAGCAGCTTTTCTGTGAAGTTTTCCTTGCTTTGATCCCTGCCCTAGGTGAAGCCCACAGCTGCCATTTGCCTGAGAAGAGAATTTGGGCAGAAAGCAAAACCTTTTTCAGTGACTTTCATGTGCCAAGAATTGTGCTGGGGACACAGAGTTTACATAGTTTCTCTTAAAGCTTACAGTTTTGTAGGTGAACCGGAAAAGCAAAACAAACAATTACATCAGTGTGGAGTTGTTGCAATAAATATTTGGTGCTAATGGAATACAGAAGTGGAAGCCTGGGTAAGTGAGAAAAAGCATGACAGGAAGGATTAGGGTTGAGTTCACTTTGAAGTAGGCTTTGGTAAATTTGCATTAGAAGGAAACTGGATAAGTTGGAAATGATAGAAAAGTTAAGACTCCCCTACAGCCAACTACATTAAATGCCTGGCATTTTGTCACCACTTCTTCCTTTCATGCCGATGCATCTCTCTCAAATGAGTGACACTGAGCCCAAACTCTGACTCAGGACTGATCTTCATACAGATGTGCCAGACATTGACCATTGACTGATCACAGTTTCTTCACTAGATAAACGCCACCAACATCCTTTATCAGATTTGCATTTGAAAATGGGTCTCTGGCAGAAGGGTCGAGTCCCTAAAGCCATAGGCCTACAGCTAGCCTCAGTCTCCAAACACTACTTTAGACATTGGAATGTAAATGATAAAGAGCTGCCACTGCTAGGCATTGCAGTTAGATAGTCACTGTAGAAAGAACCCGAGCCATGGTGGCCTGGTGTGCATTGCCCCATTCCTGTATCATGCGTCTTCACTGGTTGATAGCCTCAACCAGAGGCTATCATGAGACTCTCGTGTCATCTTTGTGCCAGGTGTGGATTTTATTTTTCTTTTTTCTTTTCTTTTTTTTTTTTTTTTTTTTTTTTTTTTTGAGACGGAGTCTCGCTCTGTCGCCCAGGCTGGAGTGCAGTGGCGCGATCTCAGCTCACTGCAAGCTCCGCCTCCCGGGTTCACGCCATTCTTCCGCCTCAGCCTCCCGAGTAACTGGGACTATAGGCGCCCGCCACCACGCCTGGCTAATTTTTTTGTATTTTTTTAGTAGAGACGGGGTTTCACCGTGTTAGCCAGGATGGTCTCAATCTCCTGACCTAGTGATCCGCCCGCCTTGCCCCCACAAAGTGCTGGGATTACAGGCGTGAGCCATCGCGCCCGGCCAGATTTATTTTTCTTATTTAGGATCAAGGAAGATCCTTATTATTCATTTTCCAGGTGACTTGGGCTGACCTTTCATAGTCAAGACAAGTCAAGGATGTAATATAGTGAGACTATTATAAAGGAACCTCAACTTAAATACCAGTGGCCAATGCAAATATAAATAAGCTGTGAGTTTTTACCCATTTTTATGGCAAAGATTTTAGCAATAAAAGAGATGACAAGGATGTAGTGAAACAGGACTCGCTGGTGGGAATGTACATTGGTATAGCCATCTTGGAGAGTAAATCTATAATGAAATCTTTATTGAATAAGCTAGACTCAAGAAGGTACAAGCGGAGATTATCTTTTATTCTTCCCCACGGTTCCTGTTGAACCTGCTTTACCAAACAGTCATTTTTCTGCTCACAGAAGCTTCAAACACAATGGAATACCAATACAAAACCCAATGCTGTTGGCTGAAATGTATTCCCCCAAAATTCATATGTCAAAACCTAATTCTCAGTGTGATGGCATTTGCAGGTGAGTCCTTTGAGAGGTGGAACCCTCATGGATGGGATTAGTGCCCTTCTAAAAGAGGACTCAGAGACCCTTTTTCCCCCTTCTGCTATTTGAGGAACAGTGAGAAGACAGCCGTCTATGACCCAGGAAGTGAGCCCTTGCCAAACACTAAATCTACCAGAGCCTTGATCTTGGACTTTCCAGCCTCCACAACTGGGAGAAATAAATTTTTATTGTGTAAGCAAACTAGTCTGTGATATTTTGTTATGGCAGCTAAAGCAGACCAATATAACTAATAAAAAATGTGTATGGCCTAATAAGAAGAAAATGATTAATTTTTCAGAGAGAGATAAAAATGACCCAAATAACCCTGGATTGGGAGGTTTGGTATTGTGAAGATGGGGATTCTCTTCTAAAATAATAGATATTTAATAGAATCCTACTTAAAGTTACAAAGGAGTATTCCTTTACCTTGACCAGCTGATTCAATAATTTCTCAAGAGAAGTTATGTTGGAATAACAAATATTTTTTGGACAAGAAAACAAAAAAAAAATACTAATGTGGGTGGGCTAACTGTAATCCTAACTCTGACCCTGACCCTGACCCTGACCCTGACCCTGTGTGCCTATGTGTATATGTGCATGTGTGTATATATATTGAAGGTGGCATTTAATGGTATTTAAGTAATGAGATATTCATCAAGCAAATAAAGTTAGATCCTTACCTAGCACCATACACAAATAAATAATTTCAGGCAAATAGATATTAAAAATTTAACAAAGTATTTGTGGTGATCACTGTTTTTTTGTTTTGTTTTGTTTGAGACACGGTCTTGGTCTGTTATAGTCATGGCTCACTGCAGCCTCAACCTCCCAGGCTCAAGTGATCCTCCTGCAGCCTCCCACGTAACTGGTACTACAGGTGTGTGCCACCCCACCCAGCTAACGTTTTTGTTTTTGTTTTTTGGTAGAGCTGAGGTCTTACTATGTTGTTCAGGCTGGTCTTGAATTCCTGGGCTCAAGTGATCCTCCTGCCTCAGCCCCCTAAAGTGCTGGAATTAAAGGCATGAGTCACTACACCCAACTGATCACTGTTTTATTCTCCCTCCTTCCTCTGACATCAATTTATCCCAAAGGATTAATCTAAGGCAACCAGGGTAATCACATTTCCCAGGGAAGGAATTGGGCAAAGACAAGAGAAATTTCTTGAGCTTTGGAAAAAGATTTCCTTGTTTCTAAGAAGGAGGTAGAGGAAAATACAGTGCTTTTTTTCCCTCTGGATTTGCTGTGAAGTCTGCATATGAATTCTGCACCTGCTGATATATAAATGATAGGACACTAAAAAGATAAACACCAAAATGTTAGCAGTGCTTGCCTTTAGTACTATTTAATTCTACATCATTTGAACTTTTTACAATGAGAATGTATTCATTAACTAGTTGTGTCAACATTTTTAAAATTGTAATTATGCTATTTAATCTTTATTTCCTTAAATCCTGCTTGCTTTCTTGTTCTAAATATTTGCCTGACATATCACTGTCCCATCCTTTTATTTTCGACCTTTCAGCATCATTTTAAGTTATCCTTAGTACACAGTCATTGGATTACTTTGTTGTTTTTACTCCAACTGAGAGTCTGCCCGTTATGAAAGGGAGTTTAAAAGTGTTGACATTTGTTGATAAAACTGTTACACCTGGTGTTGCTTTAGTCATCTTATTTTATGACTTACGTTTTCTTTGTTTGCTATTTTGTCTCTTGCTGTATGTATGGTATTTTGTTTGCTTTTATCTTCTACAGTTATTTGGAAACTAGACTTCCTGCTTTAAATTCTATGAGTAGTGACTAAATTATAAACTAATTCTTTTAAAATATATCAGCCAGGATTCAGTCAGGAAAATGATGGTCCAGGTGTTCCAGGAATGAAAGGTTTAATTCAGGAACTAGGGGCTGGCACACACTTTGGACAATCAGGTATGCTAAGGTCAGCAAATCCACCATCAAGATCTGGGCCAGAAGGTCTGAAGCACGTGGTTCTCGGGACTCACTGGAAAGCCAGTGTGAAACTGCAGACTCCCCATTGCTCTCAGGAGGAAAACGACTTCTCCTTCCAGACTTCTCAAGAGTGTCTCCCCAGGGCAGAAGCTACCCCAGCACCATATAGGGAAGGTAGTTCTAGGAAAGGTTGTCCCAGGCTACTCTTCAGCAATGCAGAATGTTAGCAAGTTGACAAGAGAAAAATAGAAGAGCATACTTATCATTTTATTAAAAAATAAATGCTAATTTTTCTCCTCTTTACATGGAATGAGGAGTCAAATGTTCTTGCTTCCTCAGCTATCATTATTTCTAGTAATTTTTAACTGAACAAATTAAAATGTAATTATCCTTTTCAGTTTATTTTTTATTTTATTTTTAGAAACAGGGTCTCGCTCCGTTTCCCAGGCTAAAGTGCAATGGCACGATTAAGGCTAACTGCAGCCTCAACTTCCTGATCTCAGGTGATCCTCTCATCTCAGCCTCCAGGGCAGCTGAGACTATAAGCATGTGCCACCACAGTTGGGTAATTTTGGTATGTTTTGTAGAGATGGGGTTTCACCATGTTACCAAAGCTGGTCTCGAATTCCTGGGCTCAAGTGTTCCACGTTCCTCAGCCTTCAAAAGTGCTGGGATTATAGGCACACAGGCCTCAGTCTATTTTTATATCAAGGCCCTATAAACACATTGATAATAATTGTCTGTGTGAATAACTGGTTTTAGTATTAGTTTTCAGTTCTTTTCTTCTACTTGTCTTAACATCTTACCTTGGGCTCATTTCATGATGTTCTGGTAAGCATCTGGAAGAGTAAATGAGACATACATTTTCTTAGTTCTTGCATTTTTAAGAATATCTTTCCATTTTTATGTCACATAAATTAATAATTTTCCTGATTTTATAGGTAAGGACTTCATGTCTATAGATCTCTGTGGACCTTTCTTATTACCTTTTAACACTCATTATTGTGAAAGGAAGGTCTAAAAAATGCCAACTTTTTGTTTTTGTTTTGTCAATTGCCTCTTTACTTTTTTAAGATTAGATAATTCTTTATGTTGAAAAGGACTTTTGAAGCTGTTGATTATTTTGGATAAAATGCATTGAATACATACTCAATTAGGTTGATTTTGCTTGTAAGGTCAAGATTATTTTCATTTATTATTGTTTTAGCTTCCCTTCCTCACTAGTACTAATAAGATAGATCCTGGGCTCTCTTTTCCATATTAGCTATTTCTAATCTTTTATTTATATTTTTATTCTGTTTCTGTTATAATTTTTCTAATTTATTCTTTCATTAGGGCTGGGCATGGTGGTTCATGCCTATAATCCCAGTACTTTGGGAGGCCAAGGTGAGAAGATTGCTTGAGGCTTGGAATTTGAGACCAGCCTAGGTAACATAGCAAGGCCCTGCCTCTACGAAAAAAAATAAATAAATAAAAATAGCCAAGTGAGGTGGTATGTGCCTGTATTTCCAGCTACTCTGGAGGCTGAGGCAGAAGGATCACTTAAGCCCAGGAGTTTGAGGATACAGTGAGCTATGATCATGCCACTGCACTCCAGCCTAGGCAATAGAGTAAGACTTGTCTCTAAAAAAATTTTTTTTAAATCCTATTATTAATATACTTTTTCTACAGTGTTATATTTGTTAATTTTCTACACCAAAAATGGCTGCCAATGTGCACTACATTTTAAGTCTTATAAAGTCACTTTTAATAATAAGACACTAATTTAGCTAGTTGTATTTTTAATAAGCCTTGTTCCTAGTTAGTAGGATAATTTCAGTAATATCTTACTGAAAACACTAGGCAAATAGTTTCCCAAAACATTTTTATTTTATACAAAAAAAATCTGCTTCAGAAGGAGAAAAAAATCTACATTTTACTCCAGAATATTCTCCCCTTTTTCTCCTTCTCTTGAATTAAAGCTTATTTTCATAGGCCTGTGTTAATTCTTTTCTCTTTGGGCATCTTTTTAGATGAGTTATATTCAGGCCAGGGCTGGAGACATGAATGTAATTCACCCAGTTCCAGTTTGGAAAGGGAGAGGACAGTAGATTTTTTTATTCACTGAATGACCAGGCTCCATATTGTAAGACCTATATTTATACATTTGACTTACTTTGAAGATTCTTGGACTCTGTTAAAGATGGATGCTTCGAAGAAAGACTCTCCATGAAGCACCTAATCCATTAAATGCCCACAAATCGAATGGTAAGTTCTGTCCTTGAGTAGAAATTAAAATACCTTGAGTGACTAGAGCTAGAAATCCACCATATACCGCAGTGAGAAATTATGAAAAAGCTCAATGCTGACTGCCATCTCTCAAGAGGCTAGATGTCAGTTCTGACCCATTGTTAAGGACATTACTTCATTTTCTTCAGAATCTTGAGAACGCACAAATCTTGCTTATATATAACAAGGATGCGGTGGGGTAGTATAGTGTCTAAATTCTTGGGTCAAATGTGAAAAAGATGTGATTCCCTTGGAAGCAATGTATGACCACTTATTCATGCTCCTAGAAATATGAAAAACAGGCAGAAAGGATTGAAAACAAAAGTGGAATCATTTCCAGGCAGAGACTGAGCCAAGAAAGGGGCCCAGGTCCTCTCCTTTACCCAGAGTACCCTTCAGCTTTGGCATCCCGTCCCTTGAATCACAGTCATTGTCTGGCTCTAATGCAAACACTGGCTCCATTGTGATTCTGCAGGGGCACAGCCCCACATGCACTGCTTTCTACCCGCCTGGGGCTTCTTGAGCTTATCCCATTGAGCTGTGACTCAGGCAGTCAGCCAGAAGAGCCTCTATGTAGGGTGGTGCCTGGGGATCTGTGCTGATTGCACAACGGCTGCCAGGTAAATCCCTTTGCCATCCCATGGGAAATGTCAAATCAGGGGCAAAGTATGGGTGCTCTGTGTTTGAATCCAAGGATTTGGGTCAGAACAGATGGTAGTGGGAACTTTCATTCTTACCATCTGCCTCTGAGGATACTTGGATGGACCTCAGACTGCCTGGAAACTTCTAGAAAAATTCTAGGTTCCACAAGTCAAGTGTCAGAGGAATTCTCATGAAGTCTAGGGGATGGGGCAGAACAGTCTGAAATACATGAGGTTCACAGGTGGCTTCGTGCAATACTTCTCAGGCTTCCTGTATGTTAGACTTATCTACGGAGCCTATAAACATGCAGATCCCTGAGACACATTCCCTGGGATTCTAATTCATAGGTCCTGGAGTTGGGATTAGTAATCCACATTTTTATGAGCATTCCAAACTGATTCTAATGCAACAAGGTCATATAACAAACTCCACTTAGAAAAACACTGATTTATGAAGGTGTTGGCAAAGTAAGCACTTAAATCAATCTGTTATGGTAAGTATCTGGACCAAGAATGGGTTCCTCAGGAATTATAGGAGGATGACTATCAGCAACTTCCCCTGTTTGAGCACTGCCTTGTGCCTAAGCAGACTTCCTCAGCAACCAGGCTTCTGACAGCCTTTAATCATATGCATTCCTGTAGTTAGGTGAAGCTATCCTAGAGGTCAAGGATGGTAGCAAGTAAAGGGAGGAAACCTTCTTTCTGTTGGGGCCAGACTGATGAGCTCAGTGGGGAAATCCCAGTGATGGAGAGTGAAATAGAGCATTTCCATATCAACCAGTATGTCTGGCCACACCCCTCTAAGGGATACTACCACACGGGCAGCCCCCCATTTCCAGGTGGCCATATTGAGTACCATAAGAAGGTGCTTCCCTAACCACAACTGATTAGAGACCAAGGGTGGGTTGAACCCAAGGCAGCCAATTATCAATTATAGGATGTGAAGTGGCATGAAAAGACATTAATTAGGCCAATCAGATTACCACTGTTGGGAACCGGGAAATGTGGAGAATCCAAGCCAGTCATCAGCAGGTCAGATGTATCAAAAAGTCGTGTCATAACAAAAGAGGCTGGGGAAGCCATAGTGAAGTATGTATGCAGAGAGGATTCTGGTCAGCTGGAAGAAGAAAGTGGAGCAGATGCGCAGAGAGAAATAGAAAGTTAAGAAATTTTGAGAAATAAGAAAGATGGACTGGGCATGGTGGCTCGTTCCTGTAATATCAGCACTTTGGGAGACCGACACAGGAGGATCACTTGAGCCAAGGAGTTCAATACCAGTCTGGGCAACATAGTGAGACTTTGTCTCTACAAAAAAAATAAAAATAAAATTAGCCATGTATGGTGGCATGCACCTATGGTCCCAGCTACTTGGGAGGCTGAGGTGAGAGGACTGCTTCAGCTCGGGAAGTCGAGGCCGCAGTGAGTCGAGATCACACCATTACACTCTAGCCTGGGCAACAGAGGGAGACCTTGTCTCTTAACCGAAAAAAAATAAATAAATAAAAGAAAGAAAGAAAGAAAAGAAAGAAACCTGGTTAATAGCATCAGGTAAAAGCAGGTTATAAATGCTCTCTGGCTCAAGGAACACGTAGCCTTAATTTGAGCAAGCTTAAGAGGGCAATGAAATACCTGTCAACAATGAAATGGAAGCAATATTTAATGAGCCTTTATTGTATGCAAGGTACTTGAGGAGCATTTCATGTATTCTCTATCATTTTTGCTCACAATAGCACTAAAAATATGCATTATAGTGCCGCCTGCTGTACTTTATCATCTACTTTTCCTTACTGTAGAGGTAAGAAAAATTAATGGACTGTCTAGCACCTGTCCAAATGATAGTCACTTGTCACATGTGGCTATTAAGCACTTAAAATGTAGCTAGTGCAAATTGAGATGTGCTGTAAGTGTGTAACACACCAAATTTTGAAATAGAGTACAAAAATAAAAAAGAATGTAAAATATCTCATTAATGATTTTCAGTTGGTAACATGTTGAAATGATATATGTTGGATATAGTGGGTTGAATAAAATAAATATTAAAATTAATTTCACCTGTTTCTGTTTACTTAGTGAATGTAGCTACAAGAAAATTAAAAATTACATATGTGGGTCATATTTGTGACTCACATTATGTTTCTTCTGGACAGTGCTGGTCTAGTTTGTTGTTTTATGAAACCAGAAACAGTGACATATAAATAGAAGAAAAGTGTAAGCTTCCTTGATTAGGCCATATTCACCGCTAGTCCTCATATTGGAAAATAAATTCCATACATATTGAGCAAGTACATTGTGCTAGTGTCCAAAGATGGTGGCCATAATTCTTCTCCTCCCAATATAAGCATGCCCCTCCTCCCATCAAGAAACAGAGCCTATTTCCCCTTCTCTTGAATCTGGCCTGGCCTTGTAACCTGCTGTGACCAATAGAATGTGATGGAGGTAATGGTTATGCCAGTTTTGAGTGTAGCCTTTAAGAGGCCTGGTAGCTCCTACTTTTGCTCTTGGATAATCCGCATGCTGGAAAGAAGCTTTGGCTAGACTCCTGAATGGAAAGAAAGGCCAAGTAGAGGAGTGCTTAAATGCTAGACATGAGTGAGGTCTTCAAGACCCTTCCAGCATAGCCAAAGTGGCCTGCAACACAGCGTAACCAGTGACCCAGCAGATGTCACGTAGAACAGACAAACTGCTGTGCCAAACACAGCCAAAAGGTAGAACCATGAGAAACAATAAACTGTTTCAAAGCCACTAAGTTTCAGGGTGGTTTGTTACACAGCAATAAATAATTAAAGTGTGCCTTCTGCGTGCAAAACTCTGTGATAGACAGACCCTGGGAGTGACAACATAACCAAGAATGCTTCCTGCCCTCAGTTTGCTTAGAATCTCAAGGGAGACATCAGGCACATATTAAAAATAACTGTAAGCCGGGCGCGGTGGCTCACGCCTGTAATCCCAGCACTTTGGGAGGCCGAGGCGGGCGGATCACGAGGTCAGGAGATCGAGACCATCCCGGCTAAAACGGTGAAACCCCGTCTCTACTAAAAATACAAAAAAATTAGCCGGGCGTAGTGGCGGGCGCCTGTAGTCCCAGCTACTTGGAAGGCTGAGGCAGGAGAATGGCGTGAACCCGGGAGGCGGAGCTTGCAGTGAGCCGAGATCCCGCCACTGCACTCCAGCCTGGGCGACAGAGCGAGACTCCGTCTCAAAAATAAAAAATAAAAATAAAAAAAAAAAGAATAAAAATAACTGTAGCATGGGATGGGGTAGGTGTTTTAAGTTTAATATTGCAGTGGTTGTTTGGCCTCACACAGGATTTCATACTTTCTTGGGCCCTGGCTTGCTTTCTAGGCTCTCTTTGCTGACTTACAGCAGGTCCCAGGGACTCAGACTTGGCCTTTTCAGCAGTTGCTTCCACTTATTGGATACCTTACGGCCCTTTTCTTCCCCATGTGAGCCTGGTGAGGAGGGAGGCAGCAATCTCTCCTGGCTCTCCATAAGGACAGATTCACGAGTCTAACTGCTGCTTCCAATAGAAGCACAGGCAGAGAGAAAAAGAGTTACAAATACGGGGACGTAGCACAAATGCTGGACTCTGTAAGACTCAATAAGTAAAACTATGTAAGGTTTTTATTTTCTACTGGGCCAGACTTCCTGACCTCTCCCAGAATGTAGAGAATAGATTCTGTAGGGCTTTTAACCTCCACTGTTATTCCAAGGATGGGGCTCAGCTTCCTTCTTTTCCTTTCTGACTCTGTCTATATCAAGGGTCCCGTGGGTTGTTCCTTTCCATTGTGGTCTCACTGCCCAGCTTTAAGGCACCATCCTGGCACAGTGATAGGTTTACCTTTGTCTAAAAGTGTCCATTTGCATCTCTGTGGCCTTCTTGCCTGGGTGACACCCACTTGATTAGGCATTTGCCCAGTGTGAGATCAGAGTCCCTCATTTACATTTCCCCACAATAGTGAATGGCTTACAGGCTGTTCAAATACAGTTTCTAAACAGTGAATAATTCAGCCAGAAAGCCAGCCTTTTAAGGTTTGGATTTGGGGCATTTCTGAGAGCTCTAAACCCTTTGCATTGACACTGTGGACTACCACTGAAAGTAGAACCAGAGCAAGAAAACAGAGGAACTCAGCTGGGTTACTGCAGACCCTTCACTACTTCCCATGCAGGGCTTCATCAATAACTCAGGGAGAAAGGCTCTCTAGTTAAAACCAAACCCACAAAGAAGAGTCACTGTTTAGATTCTAAATAGAGTGCATGCAAGAGACAAAAATCACATGTGGTCAAAATTATCCCTCAACATCATTTACAGACTGCAAATAGAGAAGACATTGTTGTGCATTTACAACCCTGGACAGTAATTCTTACGGCCATTGGAAGTGTAAGACCATCGAGTGATAAGCCAAAAACAAAAAAAACAAAAAAAAAAAACAAAAACAAAAAAAAGGAAGAAAACTAAAGTCTACCGAAAGATGTCTGCTTTCAAAGTATTTTGCCTCTGAGATAACTCCTAAATCCCCAGCCGTAGTTATTCTTATTCTTCACACATCTCTAGTAGGGAATGGGGACTGAGTAGAAAATAATAACAGCAGGCAATGCTCATAACAGCAGGCACTGTTCTAACTGCCTTATATTAGCTCGTGCAATCTTTACTACAATAGGAAACATTATCCCTATTTTACAGAAGAGTAAACTGAGGCATACAGAGCTGGTGGAAATTATCTGAGGTTTCTCACTAGAATACTCAGTGAGACCGTGTTCAGGAGTGGGTGGCTGACAGGACTGACATCCTACAGGAATGGCATAAAGACTATTTTAAAATGAAGATATTTGAAATATGGAAGATGCAGAAAGAAGCCTTTTCTGAGCTTCCCTTATCGGACTAAAGGCAGAGCTCCTTGAAAATGAAATTGCCATAAATCCCCTCTCCAGGAGAGCTGACAGCCAAGGAGACTGGTCATTAGCACAAGGCAGAGAAATTGCATAAATACACATTATCACCAATTGTCATACCCTCCATTTATCTCCACTGAAAGCTCATTTATCCTCTCACAGAAGCCCTTTCTCCCCACCCCCTTTCCCCAGTGAAGTTGGTATATAAACCTTTATTCCTCACTGCTCGGCTATCAATGCTCCCACATGCATGTGGATTTAAAAGAAAGTTTTTCTCCCAACGAGGTGAATGGGTTACTCGTGAAAGAAATGCAGGATTTCAATAAATGAAACTGAGAGGACCAGGTGTGGTGGCTTATGCCTGTAATCCCAGAACTTTGGGATGCTGAGGTGGATGGACTGCTTGAACGCTGGAGTTATTGAGACCAGACTGGGCAACATGGAGAAACCCATCTCTACAAAATATATAAAAATTAGGCAGTGTGGTGGTGTGCGCCTGTGGTCCCAGCTATACAGGAGGCTGAGACATGAGAATCACCTGAACCCAGAAGGTGGAAAATGTAGTGAGCAGAGATTGCACCACTGCACTCCAGCCTGGGCAACAGAGTGGGACTCTGAAAAAAAGAAAGAAAAAGAGAAAGAGAGAGAGAGTACTCCAGCCTGGGCAACAGAGTGAGACACTAAGAAAGAAAGAAAAGAAAAAGAGAAAAAGAAAGAAGAAAGAAAGAAGGAAAGAAAGAAAGAAAGAAAGAAAGAAAGAAAGAGAGGAAGGAAGAAAGAAAGAAAAGAAAAGAAAAAAGGAGGAGGAGGATAGGAAGGAAGAGAGAAAGGAAGAAAGAAAGGAAGAAAGAAAAGAAAAAAAAGAAAAGAAAAGAAGAAGGAGAGGAGGATAGGAAGGAAGAGAGAAAGGAAGAAAGAAAAAGAAAGAAAGAGAAAGAAAGAAAGAAAAAGAAAGAAAGTAAGAGATGTTTGGATGGAAGCCATGTGAACAAAGGAATAGAGGAAGGAAAATACAGGGCAGGTTCGGGGAATGTTCTGCTGTGACTGGAGCAAAGGGTGAATGGAAATCCAGTATAGGAAGCTGAGGCTGGATAACCAAATTACAGCCAACTGGTGGGAGAGTCTTAGACCTTGAGATTTGGGAGGATCCCTAACCCACCTTCTTCATTAGAGCAATAGAAGAGAAACAAGACCAGTGTCTTGGAGAGTATCAATGGCTGGTCAATACCAAAAGGCAAGTAAACGGCAGAGATGGAGGCTAAAGCTCCTGACTCTGAACTCCCTCCCCAGTTTCTTCTTCGCTGCAGCGTGCTGCCTCCTTTGAGATGGATATGGGAGGCAGGTGGAGTTGGTGATGGGACAGAGCTCTCCTGTGTGTTGCCCAGCCTCATTGCCTGCTTTCCTTCTCCAGACACAGTGTAATATCAGTGTTGGCTCCAAACAGCCAGGAGTGGCCAACATGACACGTACCCCTCTGTCCCTATCCTGTGCTGTCAAGCACCTTGTATATAGGCTGTTCCCAAGAGCAGACCAGGAGTGAAGTAGGGCAAGGGGCCCCATTCTTCTCAGCCCAACCAGCACTGGCCATTTCCTCTCTTGGCATGATTTTAGAATTTCCCATTCTCCTCCCTACTGCATTTCCTGCTCAAAGTAGATTTTTTTCCTAGGTCAACTCAGCTGCTCTCTAATTCGGGCAAAACTAGAGATGCAGAGAAAAATGAGAACCTGTTGGGGTTATTTTGGCCTATTGTTCCACACTACAGAGACATTAGATAACGACCTGATCCTGTACCTCTCCTACTCCGCCCCATCCCACGACCCTGGAAGGCATTGTTTGAGTGTTTTGTTTGCATTGTTCAGAGGTTCTCTTAATCTAGTTCAAATTTAAACCTTGATGAAAAAGACAGGTGCAGGCAGCTCTGTGGCTCTCAGTTATTGACCACTCTGTGCAAAAGCCCACACCATGCACACACGTCTTTGCACTGTCCACCATTTGTCCCCCACTTCCTCTTCCTCCCTGTCTGTCTTCCCCACTATTAATCCTTTGCTCCTATCCAGCTGGTCTCTGGATTATTCCCTGAACTTGCCTTGTGTTTTTCCACCTAAAAGCCTTTGTCCCCACCACCTGTCCCCATAAAATGTCCTCCCCACTTTTTTCCATCCAGCCAGATCAGATTCGTTTCACCCTCATTCAACGCCAACTGTTAGTTGGCACTGGGCCAGCACACGTTATCTCATCCTGCAAGGCCTAGCATACATTTATTCTTATCTGGGAAGCTTTCTGGGGCTACCCCAACTGGAAGTGACTACTTCCTCCTTTCTCTCACACTTATTGTCTGTACTGCTCATTTGGTGCTTAATACATCCTAGTACTTTACAATTAATCATTCACTTGCTCATTCATTCATTTAACAAGTATTTACTGAGTGATTATTATTTTGCAGACACTGTGGTAGATGCTGGAGAGATGCAGATGCAAAAGACACCCTGGTTGTCCCCTAGAAACTCACTCTAGTGGTCAAAATTGACACATCAGAAGCTGCTTGTCATAAAATGATGAGTATAGGTCACACTTCAGAAGTCCAGCAGTGGGGCTCCATGATGAATGAGTAAACAGTGGCTCTGTGAAGGTGGAGAGAAAGCGCATTTTCGGAAGGTAGAGGAAGAGCAGGTGCCCAGAGCTGAGGAGCATTGGAATAGGGCTACAAGCAGCACTTGCTGCTGGACCAGAGAATGTTGCCAAAGTATAGAATGTGCAAGATATCATTGGAGGACCTGGAGTTCCAGTCTTAGAGCTTGGCTTCATTCTGAGAGGCATGTTGTGCCATTGAGGGTTTTAAGCAAGGGATTGATTCAAGCTTTGTGGTTTAAGATCACTCTGGCTACTTTCTGAAGGGTGGATAAAACCAGGGAGAGATTTGAGGCAGGAAATTGTTAGGAGGCTGTGGCAATAACCCAAGGCAAGAGACATGAAGGTGGTAATCTCTGCCTGAGAAATGAAGAGACTCGATTTGAGAAATACACAGGATGTATAAAATTATACCGCAGTCACAGCTCTGGAGGCCCTCACAACCGAAAAGTGTGCATAAGTACAATTCAATGTATGGAACCTGTCAAGGATTAAAAAAGTGCTACCAGAGCACAGGAGAGATGGCAGATGACATTGTCTAAGAAATGTGGACCATGTCACGGACTTGTCATTCCTATAACATGGCTATTTATGCACATGTGTCAGACCTCTTCTCCTAGATTTTAGGCTCACTAAAGGCAGGGGACATGGAAAAGCTAAAGGACATCAGCTCTTGTCACAAGCAAGGCCTCTCTGCTCTCCACATTGTGGGTAGGGGTGTCCCAGGGAACTATGTTTGTAGCAGGCAGGTCAGGAGTTTCTGCAGCAAGGGCAGGGCAGGGAAAAAGCATCAAGACATGCTATGAACAGGCCACAGGGGTGATGTCCAGAGCACAGAATTGGAGCCAGGCTAGTCTAAGTTCACATTTCTGCTCCGCTGTCAGCCAGCTATGTGACCTTGGGCAAATAACTTAAGTCAAATTCAGTACTGAGTCAATTTCAGTATTATGTGAAAAATAAATGGAAATCTCTAGGCATGTACCTAGTACCTCTAGAGTACTCTTTGTTATAGATGTAGGTATCACTGATGTTGGCATCTCTTTTCTTATCCCTTCCCCTCACTAATCTGGGAGATCCCTGAGTGCAGCAGAGACTACATCTTACTCATATTTTACCCTCATTTTCTGCCACAGTACTTGCTGCACAGTAGCTGCTCAATCGATGTTTGTTGAATGAGTTCATATGAGCACTTACAATGTTACTTCTGAGCCCAGTAAAATTCCTTAATTTAGATTCACTGCCTACCCCTGAGATAGCACAGAAAAGAAACAAATTTGACAAAGACATTGTTCCTGCCCTCAAGGGGCAGAGATAATTTAAATCAAAGAAAAACTTTAGGTTCTTCAAGGCGCTGTCCTGTATGTTGTTCTCTGCCCACCTCATCTCTTCTCTTTCCTTTCCACACTGTGGTTATCTCATTCATTCACAAGACTTAAATCTATAGTTGATGATTTTCCAATGTATGTCTCCCACAGTGACCTCTCTCTGATCTAGATCAATATATCCAGCTGCCTACTTGACATTGCAAGTAGATTGACATTATCTACTTGCAATCTAATGTCTTAAATTGCACCTTGGACATTTCCACCTAGACTTGCTACTCCTCCAGCATGGCTTTTCTCACTGGGAGGCAGGTTCATCCACCAGATGAATGGTCCAAGCCATTCATCTGGGAGTAATCTTTAACACCTACCTCTCCCTCATGTCTACATCCGATAAAATTTCAGGCTCCCAAAGTAGATCTAGATCTAGGTTCCCTCCTCTTCTCCCGACTCCCACTGCCACCACCATCTCTCATGTGGAGATCATATGACCTCCTCTTGGTAGCCCCATTTTTACTTTTGCTTCTCTTTTTAGATAGTAGCCATAGAAGTATTTAAAACCATTATTCAGACCATAGTACTGATTTAAAAGCCTTTAATGATTTATCTTACAGTTGGGAAGAAATTCGAAATGCTTACCACGACCTGCTGGCCCCATGTGATTGGACTTCCTGCCACTCTCTTGCCTCCTCGCACTCCACTCTGCTTCTTCACTGTTTCAGCTATGCTAGCCTCCTTGTAGTTCTTCAGACACCCCATCCTCCTCTGGCCTTGTGGGTTTTGCATCCCCTGTTTTTCAGAGAAGGCCCTTGGCCCATCTCTTCTCTTAGGTAACTGACAACTCACTGATCCATTAAGCCTCAGCTGAAATGTTCATTCCTCTGGAAGGCCTTTCCTGGTCTCCCTTTCTAAACTAGATCCTTCTTTAAAGTACACATTCGAATTTTTTTATCCCTTGTTCCTTTATCGTACTTATAATTTGTATATGTATATGTTTTTGTGCAACTATTTTGTTTAGCATCTCTGCCCTCATTCTTACCCCAACATGTGCACACACATACACACCCAACTCTGTTGTTTACCATTGCATCTCCAGAGCCTAGCATAGAGCTTGGTCCATAGAACACAGTAGGTCTTTGTTGAATTAATATGTTCAAGGCTGTGAGGAAGAGACAAACATGGGCTGGGAGAGTTCAAAGGAGTTGAACCACCTCTGAATGGTGGTTCAGGCAAGGCTTCAAGGAAGATAAAGCATTTGGTGAAAGATTTGAAAATTGGGTGGAATGAAAAAGGCAGAGGGGAGTGGCACTGAAGGAGTGGGTGGAGGGAGGGGCTTTCCAGGTAGCTGGACAACCTGGCTGGAGAAAGCTGGGTGGTGTCTGAGAAACGATGAGTAACCGGGGTGTCTGGAATACAGGGCTTGTGGAGGGAAGAGGGCCAGAAAGGGCCTTACAAAAAGTAGCTTTTGGACCTATTCTTGAATCTCCAGGAGGTGATGATAGCAGGAGGAAGCAGACAAATCCCTAGGCAGATATTTCCCCAGTGAAACCTGACCTCCAAAACAAAGACAGTTTAAAGCTTGAAAGCCAAGCTACTAGTCTCAGATAAATCCACAGACCAGAAAAGAACCTCTCTTCCCATTTGGCACACTTTCCTCTGATTGATTCCCACCCATCACCTATTTTACAAGTACCTATCTTTCCCTAATTGGTTTTTTACACTGTTGTGCCCATCTTTGGGTGGTGCCTTAGTTTTAGCCTTTTTTGCATACTCACAAACCATTCAGCACGCACACCTGCATTCTGAGCCCATAAAAGCCCTGGACTCAGCCACACTTCAGGGGAACCACTCACCTTTGGGTTGGGGAGACTACCCACCTAGAGTCCCCTTTCTGCTAACAGCTGTTCTGTCACTCAATAAAACTCTTCTCCACCCTTCTCACTCTCTGGTTGTCCAAATAATCTCATTCTTCTTGGATATGGTACAAGAACTTGGGACCTGCTGGATGGCAGGTGCCAAAGGAGCTGCTGTAACACTGTAGCCATCCACCAACACTAGGCAGCCACCCTCAGCAATGGGAAGCAGCAGGAGGGCTGGAGCCATGGGGTACCTCCTGCGGTGAGCCCAGATCTGAGTGGGGCCCAGGCAGGGACAATGCAGGCTGCAGAGGTCTCTGTCTGGTGAAGCAGCACCAAGAAAAAAAAAAATCCTGCATCAGTGATAGATGGCCAAGAGGCTTCCCTGAACAAAGTGACTTTTCTCTTCCTGGAGTGTAGGTACCTGGTATATTTCACAAGCATATGTTTCCTTTAATAAGCTCCCACCCATGAGTTAGGGGACAATACACCCAATACTTTTCAACCTCTTCTGCCTCCTGTCCCACCCCTGCCCCAGGCACCTGGCTGGAAGGCTTGAGCCATTCCTATTAGGATTGGAAATGGAATGCTTCTGCTTCTGTCATGTCAATGGTTTAGTCTAGTTCCACATTAGAAAACTTGGGAATGTGGACAATTTATAGGGAAAAAGAAATTAGGACAGAATTCAAATAATTCCTCCATAGGCATTTGACTCATACTTGAATCATGTCCAGGTGTGGACCCTTTTGACTCACTGAGGCCACTAAAAAAATTCTTTCAGCTACACACATGACTTTCTGAGCCTGTGACCCTCTGTTGGAAACACATACAGGCTCCTCTATTCAATAGATTACAGTTTTAGCCTGGCATGGTGGCTCAAACCTATAATCCTAGCACTTTGGGAGGCCGAGGCAGGCAGATCACTTGAGATCAGGAGTTCGAGACCAGCCTGGCCAACATAGTGCAACCCCATCTCTACTAAAAATACAAAAATTAGCTGGGCATGGTGGCACACACCTGTAATCCCAGCTACTCAGGAGGCTGAGACAGGAGAATCGCTTGAACCTGGGAGGCAGACGTTGCAGTGAACTGAGATCATGCTATTGCACTCCAGTCTGGGCAACAGAGCAAGACTCCATATCTCAAAAAACAAAATAAATAAATAAATAGATTACAGTTTTAAAGGGAGTGCTTATCATCCACTCTGTCAGGTGCTTTCCATGAGTTACTTCATTAGTCCTCATACCCACCTCATACTCACTCATCAGGGAAGCAATCAGATTCATCTTCTAGATAAGAAAACTGAAGCTCAAAGAGATTAAGTAATTTGCCCAAGAGGTGAAGGCTGCTTTTGCATTGAGGTCTGTCTGGCCTAAAGCCTATACTTTCAGCAATTCTGCTATGTGACTTTTTCAAAGACAAGATATAGTGACTGGGTTTGGGGGAGCCATTAAGATCACTTAAAAAAAAAGCTTTACTTTAAAATAATTACAAATTCACAGAAAGTTGCAAAAAAAAAAAAAAAGTAGCCTTCATTCAATATCCCCAGTAGTAACATATTGCATAACTACAGCACAGCATCAAAACTAGGGAACTGACATTGGTACAATCCAGAGTTTATTTAGATTTCGCCAGTTTTACTATGAGAGTATTAGGGTTACTTTTAAAGTCAAATGAAGTTGGGAAGGGGCGGGACAAGAATTCACCTTTTGCAAGGTCCTTTGGAGTCCCGACTGCCCTAAATACTTTCACCCAAAGTCCTGGGTTACTTGAAACAGCAGCTCTGAAGAAGGAATGAATCAACAGATATAGAAATGTCCATTTTTGCTGTCATAGGTCGCAGGAAATGCTATATTCTCAAGGGAACTCATAGACTTTGTGTTTTTTAAATAGAGAGTGACCTGGTGAGAGTGCCTGAGTCTGCTTGTCTGGAGGCCTCTCAAATCCCTTGGGGCTACCTGAGGCCTGGCTCAGCCAAAATGCCTCTCTGCCCCCATTGTCTGTCTCCTGGCAGCTGGAGATAAGCGATAAGCCTGAGAGATGAAGCAGGATTGGAGTCTGAATCACTGCTTACCCATCAGGAGGTTTGAGGCTGTGAACCTGTCTGAATCACTGGCAGCCAACCAGGACAGTTTTATCTGGAAAAACTCTCCCCAGGACAGCCCCAGCCTGACTGAGGGAACAATGGCGGGAAATGGAGGCTCAGGCTTGGGTGTTAGGGCCCTGCCACCCACACTGCTTTGCACTGTTATTCCTGGCCAACGCAGAGATTTGCTGTCGCTCAGAGAGACACTGTGGGAAGAAGTGCAAATGAGGCTTGGAAATTAAAAGGAAGTGGTATGATGACAAAGAAAGTGATAGGAGATTGTTTTCCCAGCTTTAGAGATTTAATTATGAAAGATTCTGAGAACAGCCTCCCTGGATGTATAATGGTTGTTATCCCAGTAACTATGACAGTTCCTTGACCACCAGGCCAAATGTTGAAGCCACTTGGGGCTTAATTTTCTTGCCAAGATATTTCACTTCTGGATTTTAGAGATCCTGAAACACATGAGAAATTAGACCTTACAGTTAAGTAGACAAACATACATCACCCTTTGGTGTGGTCTTGGTCTTTGGCCCCTTTCCTTCTGTCATGTAAATCTAGTTACTCATCTTTAACCCTGGGACAGTGGGTGGGGGCAGAAAAAGTGTGATACCTTTCCTTCCCATAGTCAGGGCCATGGCCGATGCTCCTACAACAAAAAACGGGTTAACAAGAGAAAAGCGTGACAGATTTGCTTAATCAAAGTTTTATGTGATACAAGAGGATTCAGAAATGAAGACCCAAAGGCACCGTACTTTGGGGTATCGTGTTCTGAGCCCCGACAGTAGGCAATCTGCTTAGATTGACAGTTTGTTCTTAGTGTGCTCAGATTGGTTTCTAGAAATGACTGGTTGTTTTACCAAATGCTCAAAAGCTCTCAGTTATGGTTGTGTTCCCCCAAAATTCATAGTTGAAGCCCTAAGGTGCAGTGCCTTAGAATGCGACCTTATTTGGAAATAGGGTCAGTGCAGATGTAAGCACTCAAGATCAAGTCGTACTGGAGTAGGGTGGACCCCAATCCAATATGACTAGTATCTTTAGAAAAAGAGGGAATTTGGACACAAACACACACACACACACAAACAGACAGTGTTATGTGAAGATGAAGGCTGAGTGCACGGTGATGCTTCTACAAGCCAAAGAATGTCAAAGACTGCCAGAAAACCACCAGAAGCTAGGAGAGGGGCAACCCTGCTGACACCTTGATCTCAGACTTCTTGACTCCAGAACTGTGAGACAATAAACTTCTGTTGTTGAAACCACCGAGCTTGGTATTTTGTTAGGGACTTAATAGAATATCTTAAAATTTTTGTTTCAGAATCTTTCTCAGAATTGATTGCAAGACCACTGGTCTACTCTCTGTGAAACCCACCTCCTTTTCACTTTTAATATTAAATGGATCTTACCATATTTATCATCCCAAGATTTTTCTTTTCTCAATAATTCCTATAAGCAAGATCAAAACAACAAAAAATCAGTAAAATGTTTGCAAGCAATTGTGCTCAAATTAGTGCCAATTTCCTCTTTCTGAAAAACAAAAGCAAAAACAAAACAGAACTAAAGCCTGGCTGCACCCAACCTTTCTGACTGGCTCTTAGTTCAAATGGATGAGTAAATTGATGATGGCAAAATACTACCATGTTTTCAGCAGACATATTGCACCTGAACTGGGGATAAATGGCTTCTTTTTCTCAGAACTCGGGTGCATGCACAAGGAGGAGTCACACTAGAAACACTGCAGAACAACTGTTGCTGGCAGAAAGAGGACCTGAGAAAATGAAAGAAGCTAAGCCGGATGTGGTGGCTCACATCTGTAATCCCAGCACTTTGGGAGGCCGAGGTGGATAGATCACTTGAAGTCTGGATTTCGAGACCTGCCTGGCCAACATGGTGAAACTCCGTCTCTGCTAAAAATACAAAAATTAGCTGGGTGTGGTGGCACATGCCTGTAATCCCAGCTACTCAGGAGGCTGAGGCAGGAGAACTGCTTGAACCTGGGAGGCAGAGGTTGCAGTGAGCTGAGATCGTGCAATTGTACTCCAGCCTGGGCAAAGAGAGCGAAACTCCGTCTCAAAAAAACAAAAGACAATGAAAGAAGCTGTGTAAATAGGACCCGCAGCCCTGTTGGAGGGAGGGACCCTCTTGATGAATCTAACACAACAGCGCACTTCAGACAGAGACAACTGGGACACTGGGCTCCAGGGAGGCTTAGCAGAAATCTCTGTGACCCATGGGTCACTGGGACCTGGTGCACATGTCTCCCAGTCACAGGGACCTGGAACTTCTGCCCCAGCTCCAAACCCTACTTGCTCTGGAGTACTGGCTACTATAGACATAGGTCAATTAATCTTGATGACACAGTTTCAGAAGCCTCAGAATGTCTTCTCCTGTTTTGAGGTCCCCTTGGGGCCTCCTGTCGGAGTGTAGGCTAGAGCTTGGGCAGTTGGCTGCAAGGCTCAACAGAAGGGAAGGGAAGCGTTCATCAGGTTTCCCTCATCCCTTGCTTGGTCTTTGCAAGAGCCTCTGCCTTCCCTGCCTAAAAGTGGTTTTGTTCTAGGTGGGAGGAGAGAGAGGGTACGAGGTGTGGAGTATAGGCAGGGCAGTTTGCCGGGAGTCTGGGCCTGTATATTCCTACAAGCAGTACCAGGTTTAAAAGATCTGAGTGGGGTCCGGGCGCGGTGGCTCACGCCTGTAATCCCAGCACTTTGGGAGGCCGAGGCGGGCGGATCACGAGGTCAGGAGATCGAGACCATCCCGGCTAAAACGGTGAAACCCCATCTCTACTAAAAATACAAAAAATTAGCCGGGCGTAGTGGCGGGCGCCTGTAGTCCCAGCTACTTGGGAGGCTGAGGCAGGAGAATGGCGTGAACCCGGGAGGCGGAGCTTGCAGTGAGCCGAGATCCCGCCACTGCACTCCAGCCTGGGCGACAGAGCGAGACTCCGTCTCAAAAAAAAAAAAAAAAAAAAAAAGATCTGAGTGGGTTCTTCGAGGAACCAGCCAGAATTGGGCAGCTTCTGGTCCACACTGCAGCTGCCTCGACCCAACTTATCCATACTCTAACCCTCAGCTGACGCATTCTCTAAAGGGTACCCAGAAGGTAGGGAGGAAGAAGCAGATGGGGAGTGTCTGGGGAGCTGCCTGAGGATCCCAGATGCCAGGCACTCACCAAGTGGGGGACTGAGCTCCTTAAATGATGCCACCCCTTTGGGCCATAAATCCACTCACTGATCAAACAGGGCCCACCTTGGGGACATTCAGAAGCCCTTCTCTGTTTTCTTTCCCACCCTCATCACCTCCCCCAGAGTCACCTCAGTCTTCTGCTCCCCCTCTATTGTGCCTGGCCCCAGCTCTGTTTCAGGAAGGCATAGATTGTATCTACAGTTCCTGGGACCTCTAAGAAGAGGCTCTGGTCTTTCATAGTCTTCAGAATATGACATCCTAAAAACAAACCTTTCTCTTGCTAATATCAACTACTTCCTAGCTCAACTTGGATGACTTGTCTTGCCGACAAAGCCTGTTTGTTTAAGCAGCCACAAAAAAACCCAGGAAGAGGTGAGAAGAAAACTGTCCTGCCACAGCAGCATAGCAGAGAAGAAACCATCTGAGTCCAGCTGCACTCTAGGGTGAAGGGGAGAACCTTGCCAGAGGGTCAGGGTGCACACTCTCGCTGAACTTTCCTGGAAGGGGACACAAAGAGTTAAAGAAATGCATTTAAATGAGCACTGTAGCTTGAAACCAAAGCTCCCAGGCCTCTTTCAGAACCTGGAGCCAGGGAAGTGTCTATTGTCAACAAATGCCACCACCGGACCAATAGCAAGCCAGAGTGTGGCTCTGAGAGAGGGGCCTCTGGGTGTCACCAGGCAACAGGCACAAAGGAACCTGGATCAACTGCCCAGCAGATGATGACACTGCTCCACAGCTCCACCCACTGTCCCCCAGCAGCTTCTGCTCCAGCACAGCCAGGTGGGAGAACAACACGCTCCAGATACTCCCAAGATCAAATGACCATCAGTCTTGGGCTGTGGGGGGAAAGCAGGTGGTACAGAAAAGGCTTTATTTGGAAACTTTATTACAGTTTTTTGAAAAGGCTGGGCAGACGGCAAAGGTGAAGATTTGTAAGTAAAAAAGGAAGTGTTGCTGCAAACTAAAGCAAGACGCATATGTCTTTCTTCTGTTCATGTTCTTATAAGTCAAGAGATGGGCACAACCTGGTGGCTTTCCCTAGATGCTGAGTGAGAAGCTCTGGGCAAATTTTCTAAATTACACTGAAGGAGACTGTAAAGTGAAACCTAAGGATGCTTGTTTCTCATTGCCACAAAGTACACTCCCTTCAGGTCACAGAGCCAGAGGAGGGTAAGCAATCACCCATGCAAAGCCTTCTTATCTCAAACTAATGAAAAGTTGAAGAAATCCTTTCATTCCATCAGGCAGTTTTTCACTGAACCTTTACAGCAACGGCAGGGCCTGGGCTAGGTTCTGGGGCTGCAGAGATGAATTGCTCCCTTTCCCCTCAGGAGGTCTGGCCATTCCCAAATGTTCACTGTCTTATCCACCCTATAAGCCAAAGACTCTCAAGTTTATATTCCCAGCCCATTCCATACCCTCCTTTTCCAAAACACCAACCCAATGTATCAAATACTTTTCTATATATCTTCTCATGGGTTTCCACAGGCTCGCCAAGCTCAACATGCCCCAAGCTCAAGGATTCATCTCTCTATCGGCAAACCTGTTCTACTGCATGAGCTTTCCTCTGTGGGGGTCTTAGGGAATAACAGTACCTTTCCCCATTTTGTGGGTTGAATTGAAAGCTAAGAGAGAGGCCTGAAACAGATCCTTCCTTAGTGCCTTCAGAAGGTGCATGACTCTGCTGACACCTTGATTTTAAACTTCTGGCCTCCAGAACTGTGAAACAATAAATGACTGTTGTTCTAAGCCACGAGTGTGGTGTACTTTGTTATGACAGCCCTTGGAAACTAACACACTCCCATTAAACATTGTTCAAGAAAGGAGCCTGAGAGCTTCCACCCAGTCTTCCCCTCCATTGCCACCTCTATCCTTCACCTGCAGCCATAACCAATAAGCCACCAAACCCATCCATTTTACCTGCAGGATACCACTGCCAGTACCCATTTATCTTCATTCCCGCTGTACCCCTATGGAGCAGACCACCATCCCTTCTCATCAGTCTTTCCTAACTGCTGTCCCTGCCTCCAGTAATATCTCCTGCTTGTCTGTTCTTTGAGTTGCAGCCAGAATTATCTTTCAATGTGCGAATCTGAGATGCCATTTCCCTGCTTAAAACTTTTCAGAGGCTCCTCATTGCTCCTAGGAGGAAGTTTAGACTTCTCAAAGGGCTCAAAAGATGCAGAATAATGCAGTCCTTGGTCTCCTCTCTGCCCTCATCTCTTGCCAGACTCTTGACAGTATTATTCTCTGGTAATACTGGGCATCTCTCTCTCCTAAATGTAATGATATGTGAGGAATGTTTTCTCTTGCCACCAGCATTCCCATATGCCGTTCCTTCTGCCTGGGGCGTATTTCCCTGCACTCTTCATCTTCAGAACTGCTACTTCTCACAGTGCTTTGCAATTGCCTCTTGATCTGTTGGCATCCCACCCCAGATCCCAGCTCCTAGGGGAGAGAAGTCTTGTCTATCTTGCTCATGGGGGTATTTGCAGTGCCCAGCACAGTGTCTGGGATAGAATAGGTACCCAAGAATCATTTGTTGATGAACTGACTGATTGACTGACTGACTGAAATATGACTCCTGCCCCCAATGGGTTCAGCCCAGAGAGTAGACAGTAGTGTGGCAAAGCAGTTCAACAGCGCAGAAATAGGACTCAGATTCAGCTTGAGAACATTTCACATAGTTGACGAGCCTTCAAGTTGGGCCTTAAAAATGTGTAAGTGTAATAGGTTCATTGCCTGATGTGCATGGCAAGTCAATACACTGAGACCCTGGGTTGCAGCAGATAAAGAGGTTTACTTGTGAGGCTGCTGGACAAGATGATGGGAAGAAACCTCACATCTGCCTCCTTGAGGAGTTTGGGGCTAGGGTTTTTAAGAGTTTTGGAGTGGGCCGAAGTGTGGTGATTGTTGATCGGTAAGATTGCAGGCTGAAATCATGGAACAAGGAGATAAAGAAACCATATTCTCAGGCTGTTTTTATTCTTCTTTGGGGTCTTTAAACTGGATGATGTCAGCTGTTTCGCTGGAATTCCGGATGTGAAAAACATCTTAAGCAATTCCCAAATAAAAGCCTTAAGATACTAATATCAGAAACCCTATTTTTAGGAACAATAGGAATGCAAATGGTGAGTATCTAGTGTTATCTGGCTTTCAGCTATAAGGAAGTGTGTCAAAGTGCAGCATGATTAATGCTTAATTGTAACTATATTCTGTCCAGTTCTTGTTCATCCTGTGAGGACAGTTTCAGGTGAACAGGAATTGGCCAGAATAGAAAGGGAGCAGGGTGGAGAAGGCCATTTTACGCAAAGAAGATGCTGTGGATAAAGAAACATGTACGTTTGGGGGAATGGTGGGAATATTTTGTGTGCCTAGAGTATGGTCTGCAGAAATTGAGCTAATGTAGCCTGGGATTGAAATGTGAATCCTCCAAGGATTTTTTTTTTTTTTTTCATAAAAACCTCAATTACTTTCCCTCAACGTGAAACAGCATAAAGCAAGTTAGTGATTCCTTTTTATAATCAGGAGAGTGAAGACACACACTGAGTAGAAGCGTTGTTCTGTGATTGTTAGTCTTTTAAGACATAAGAATAATTTGTCTATATCCCCTGCGTAAAATTATTGCTTATCCTTGAGGGCAAGAATTAAACCACCCATTTGCCTTCTCTTTCTGAAGAAAACAAATTTGATTCCTTAACTGTGTTCTTACCAAATCCATTCCCTCACTCTGAAAACTTAATTCCCTGAGATCATTTTAATCTCTCTCTCTCTCTGTCTCTCTCTGTCTCTCTCTCTCTCTTCCTCACCCTGAACCCTATGGTCCAATTGCATGAACCAGAACTGAAGAGGAAACATAAAAGCAAGTGAGTCTTTCCTAAGATTGGTGAGGAGGACCTGTGGGCAGGCAGAGCAGGAAGAGTGATCTATCCCATAGGAATGTCTGCCAAGGTCCAGCAAACCTCGAGAGGAATCCAGGGGCACAGAAGTCACCACGTTGGTTGGAGGCAGGAGAGAACATCATTGGTCAGACAGCTCATCCATCTTGCACAGCAACAGTTAGTCTCAAAAGCCCTCAGAGGAGATAGGCATAGCCACTCCTGGAGGACTGCCGACTTATGTGGTGTGAAGCCTAAGGAGGGTGCACTGCTAAGAAAAGCCTGCACCACGCACCACCCTTGCGTCTATAGTCTGGAGGTGGTTTTGTGGTCAGAACATGGGTGGGCAGGAGCCTAAGCACAGGCACACATGCAACTTAAGCCTGAGGGCCAGCAGCAGCCCAGAGCCACGAAGTCACCCTTTGTGGTATAGGAGTGAGATTCACTCAGAATCAGCATGTTGGTAATGTTGTTGCAGCTCAATCTCACACAAAAGAAATGTTGTGCAAGCCAGCAGGAACAATCAGATTGCCAGGTCACTTTCCTGGAAAGGGGGCATCTGGTTGACTCCACGCATGGGGTAGTGGGTCAGAGAGTGACCCTGAGGGACGAAGCAAGGACAGGGCCCACACAGGTCCCATCTGGGATCACAGCTCTCCACTTAGGTAGCACTGCCAGCTCTGTCTGTTCCAAGCACCAGAAAGGCACTTAGAACATTTTGAGAAAGTGACTCTAATGTGTGTTTGTGGTGACCAGGGGTGGAGGGGCGGGGAGTTCTTCCATAGGTGGACCATAACTTGGAACCTAGGTACAAGGCAATATCACTTCCCGGCAGCAAAGGGCTGGGATGGAGAGCATATGGGGCAGAATCTGTTGAGCAGACCAGAATCAGGGAGAGACCAACTCTGGGGCAGGGCAGGACTTGGAAGAATAAATTGAAGATTAGGGTTATATATGTGTCTATTTCCTGCCCTACGCTGTGAGCTATAAATGGAGAGATCATGCCTTATGTCTTCTCTTAACCCTTTATGTCTTAACAATGCCTGTCTCCATGTGCATGCTGATAAATGAAAGGATAAAAAGATAAATGCCTGAAAAGTCCTGACTTTGCCTATTGAGATTGGCTCAGAATTTGGGACAGGCTTGATTGACCCTGCAGTTAGAACCATCAGCAGAACAACCTGCAAAAGGTAGAGAAAGTAGAAAGAGGAGGCAGATCTGAGAATAAATGTCCCCTTCTCCCACACCCCAGAAACATCTGATCACAGGTTTCACTCCCTCAGTGGTTGTGACTCAGTGTTGCCCTCCTGCCACCACCCTATTTTCTCAATAACAACAGCATTGCTCAGGGGCGACTCTGCCTCCCATCAGGACACAAAAGCTCCTATGTTTCCCATTGCACCCCATCACTGTCACAGCAAGTCACTGATGAACTGTGGAACAATCCAATGGGTCACTCTTGCTTTTTAAAATGGTTCCCTAGCCAGGCGTGGTGGCAGGCCCCTGTAATCCCAGCTACTTGGGAGGCTGAGGCAGGAGAATTGCTTGAACACGGAAGGCAGAGGTTGCAGTGAGCCAAGATCGCGCCACTGCACTCCAATCTGGGTGAAAGAGTGAGACTCCGTCTAAATAAATAAACAAATAAAATTAAAAATAAAAAAATAAATAAAATGGTTCCCAAGTGGGTCCTCCAACCAGCAATAGTAAATTCATCACCCATGTTGAGCCACTCCTGGGATCTATCAATTGCTGTTTGCAGTTACTCAAAATCTCTAGGTTCAAATAATTAACAGCTCCCTTGGAATGCTTACTTTTGCAAAATACTGCATGCTCATTTGAGCATAAAGAGGCTCCCTAGAGGAATATCAAAACTGCTTTTGAAAACTGGATAATTTATGGGTATGTTCATACCCTTCATTAAGCTCTAGGTGACAGCTTGATATGCAATTAACAAAGCAAAGCAAAACCTGGCCTCTGATCTGTTAAAAAGCATGCTGAACAGGCCTATCTCATGGATGGTGACTCTCAGCTGAGAGTGGTTTTTGGGAGGAGAGTGTCATTGGAGAGGAGATGCAGTAAATATGAAGGCAGCTGCTACCAGCTCTGTTGGGAAAATGAGATTTAAAGCCCAAAGCTGGTGTCAGGCTGGGGTGGATATCAGACACTATAGCTGGTTTTCGGGGGAAGCTAATGCCTTACTCTATGAAGTCCTTCTCTGAGTTGTAGGGTTATAGGATTCCTGCTGTGACTGTACCCACCCAGTTTAGTAGTGCCTGCAGGCAGACCTCAGGACAAACTAGCCATAAAGTACTCCCCCGTAGCAGTACTTTGGCCAGTAATCAGCTCTACTTTTATATCAAAATTCCAAACAGTTCTAAAGCTGGGTAGTCCCTGCCATGTTCCTCCAGGCTTCTTTTTACATGTAGAAACGTCTGTGTGTCAACTCCCTCACCCAAAGATAATAAGACTCCCTGGAAATAATATTAATAGTAACAGCTAACATTAATCCTGCTCTCAATAAGTATCAGAAACTATAGTAAGTTGAAACTACACCAAGAAGCTACACTAAATATTTCTGTAATTATAACTTACTCAGCATGTGCCTAGTTCTTTTGGCGGTGCATTACACCATTATTACTCATTCAATCTTTACGTTAAGCCTGTAAGCTAATTCCATTGTTATGCCTATTTTTTTGATGAAGACTCTGAGTCACAAAGAGGTTAAGTGATTGCTTCGGACACATAGCTAATGAGTGGTGGAACCAGGATTTGAACCCCCACAGTAAAACATGTTTTGTAGGGCCTTTAACACTATTCCACATTTTCCTAGTCTTTGCATTCATTGTATCACATATTCTGAACTCTGCCTAATTTTTAGCTCTGTCTTGAACCATCCTCTGCCCTAATCTCTGCATTCTAGCTGTACTGGCTTTTTTATTTCCCAAACCTGCCAGGCTTCCCCCACCATAGGACCTTTTATATACTATATGAGACAGGGATTTAATTTCTTTCTTTTGCATGTGGATATCCATTCATTCAAGCACTATGTGTTGAAAACACTATTCTTCCCTCCACTGCATTATCTTGGTATTCTTCCCAAAAATCAACTGGCCATAAATGTGAAGACTTACTATATTTCTGGACTCTTAATTCTATTCCATTGGTCTATATGTCTATCCTTATGCCAAAATCACACTAACTCAATTACTGTAGCTTTGTGGTAAGTTTAAAATTGGGAAGTATGAGTCTTCCAACTTTGTTCTTCTTTTTCAAGATTGCTTTGTTTATTCTGGAAACTTTGAATTTCCGTAGGGATTTTAGGATTAGCTTATGAATTTCTGTAAATAAGCCAGCTAGAATTTTGATAGAGATTGTGTCCAATCTGTAAATTAATTTGGGGAGTAATATCATTCCAACTTTAAGTCTTCCAATCCATGAACATGAGATGTCTTCTCATTTATTTCAGTCCTCTTTAATTTCTTTCAATAATCTTTAAAGTTTCCAGAGTATATGTTTTATTTATTATTATTGTTATTTTGAGATGGAGTTTCACTCTTCTTGCCCAGGCTGGAGTGCAGTGACGTGATCTCGGCTCACTGCCACCTCTGCCGCCAGGGCTCACGCAATTCTCCTGCCTCAGCCTCCCGAGTATCTGGGATCACAGGCACACATCTCTGCACCCAGAAAAATTTTTTGGTATTTTTAGTAGAGACAGGGTTTCACCACATTGGCCAGGATAGTCTTGAACTCCTGACCTCAGGTGATCCACCCGCCTTGGCCTCCCAAAGTGCTGGGATTATAGGCATGAGCCACCATGCCCAGCCCAGAATATATGTTTTAGACTTCTTTTTCAAAACTTTTCCCAAAGTATGTTATTGTTTTTAATGTTATTATAAGTAGAATTATTTTCTTTATTTTGTTTTCAGATTGCCTATTGTAAGTGTGCAAAAATACAATTGATTGTTGTACATTGATCTGGTATCCTGAAACCTTGCTGAACTTGTTTATTAGTTCTGATAGAGTCTTAGCGAATTCCTTTGGATTTTCTACAAGATCATGCCACCTGCAAATAGAGATAGTTTTACTACTTTTTTCCCCACATGAATGCCTTTTATTTCATTTTCTTGCTATCTCAGGCTGAAAGCACTGTTGTTACACAGAAGTGATGAGAACACTGTTCTTGGTCTTGTTCCTGATCTCAGGGGAAAGCATTCAGTCTTTCACCACAAAGTATAATGCTAGTTGTGAGGTTTTCATGGGTGCCCTTATCAGGTGAGAAAGTTTCTTTCTATTCGTAATTCATTCTTATTATGATGACAGGATGAATTTGTCAAATGCTTTTTCTGCATCTATTTAGATGATCATGTGTGTTTTGTTCTTTATTCTATTGATATCATACTACATTAATTGGCTTTCAGATGTTAAATTTTGCCTTCCTGGGATAAATTTCATTTTGTCATGTTGTATAGTTATTTTTATATGTTGCTAGATTTGGTTTGCAGTATTTTGTTGAGGACTGGCTCTTTTGTTCTTGTTTTTGCTTCTTCTGCCTGGCCTATGTGTTCTTTGTGTGATATGTCTTCTTCAGAACAGTAAGAATCCAAAGACTGAGGTCATAGCTGGGTTGAGAAGCCAGGCAGGTTGGTAGTTGTCAGGAGCACAGCGTATAAGAGGTACTGGAGTAAATACAAAATACAATAGCAGTTAACTCAGATTTCTACAGACTGCTTCTTACCTCAGTTGTTCTCAGATTGTAGTGTGCAAAAAAAAAAATCACCTGTAATACCTATTAAAATAGTGATTCTTGGTCCAACCCCCAGTTTCCAATTCAGGAGGTCTGAATGGAACGCAATATTTGCATTTCTAATAAACTTACAGGTGATGCCAATGTTGATGGTCCATGGATCATACTTTGGTAGCACTCTCTTACATGATTGGCTAATTGTAAGTTGCTTGATTTCCCTCTGGTATACATAGAACCTTCCTAGGGAAGTAAAAATACCTCTCATGTCTTGAAGCAGTGACACCCACTAGCAAGGAGCACACTCATTATCCAGAACTTGGCTTCTAAGTACCATTCTCCAATACAAGGGAATAAATGGCTGACTTTAGGGCTGGAACATAGAAAATGCAAGATGAGCTTGGAGCATCTTGTAATGCCAGAAAGTAAGGAAGTGCAAAAAAAAAAGAAAAAAGAAAAAAAAGATGGGAGCATATCAAAAGAATAGAAGATCTAACCTGAAAAAACTCCACATGGCCAAAACTGGAACAATTTGAGCAAAAAAATAACACAATAGTATTAGATTACAACCTAACAAATTAAACAAATATTCATGAGTCCAAACTGATATAAATAAGTGAATGAATAAATAAATAATGGGGGAGAAGGAAAAACTTTCTTACAGAAGAATTTAAATAATATATGGTGATATTTCTCCTTTCAGGGGGTAGAATTTAATTCTTCTCCCGCTGAGCATGGACTACTCATAGAACTTCCAAGTAACAGAGTTTAGAAAAGGTTTAAAAGACTTTATAGGGGAGAGACTTGGAAGATACCCCCATAACCAAGTGGTCAAAATTGCTGTGATCTAAATGTTTGTGTTCCCTTCAAATCCAGAAGTTGAAATCCTAACCTCTAAGGTGTTGAAATTGGCAGGTGGAAATTTTGAGAGGTGATTAGGTCATAAAGGTGAAGCCCTCATGCTTGGCATTCATGCCCTTATAACAGAGACTCCAAAGAGCCAGCTAGTCCTTTCTACCATGAGGACACACCTAGAAGATACTATCTATGAACTAGAAATAAGCCCTCACCAAACACTGAACATGCCAGCACCTTGATCTTAGACTTCTCAGCCTCCAGAACAGTAAGAAATACATTTCTGTTGCATATAATCCACCCAGTCTGTGGTATTTTTCTATAGCAGCCTGAACAATCTAAGACAAATGTTGACATCACTGTGATAAGTCATGTCAATATTGTGTATTCTGTGATATGATGGTAAGAGAAAGGTACCTCATCTCTGTGATATTCCTCTATGATTCCCATAATCTTAGTTTGATCATTTAAAAAATCTGACAAAATCTAACTGAAACTATACACTGGAAGAAAACATTTGCAAATTATATAGCTGATAAAGGACTTGCTTCTGGAATACATAAAGACCTCTCAAAACTCAGTAAGAAAAAAATAACCTTGACAGTTACGGAAAGCATACTAGTGATCATCTGGGAACAGGAAGTTAAGGGTGGCAGAGAAAAGCAGAAAGGAGCAATTACAAAGGAGCATTAGAAAGCTTTGGGGATGATAATGTATTTGCTATCTTGATTGTGGTGATGGCTTTACAGGTATGTACATATGTTAAGGCTTATCAAATGGTAACCTTTTAATATGTGCAGCATGATTTACTCCCCAATGACATTTTCCTAACTCTTCCTAGTTTTCCACAGGACAGGAATGAGGGATGTTATCTTACTGGTTAGATCCAATTGACCACGACCTTTTATCTAATATGAGGGTCTTCAATAAATTCATGAAAAATGCATATTGTGAAAAACTAGGCATAGAGTTCAATTTTTTCTACCAAAATAAACTTATACTAACTTGTTATAACATGCCTGAACAGAAACTAGTTTAAAGCACTAAAGAGGATAAGACCTAAGTTTGAAAAGAGCCTCTATTAGAGCAACATTAATTCTGCTAAAATTGAAGCAAGAACAAACATCACATTTATAGTGAAGTTTGGGTGGAAGAGTGGTGAAATCACTGATGCTTTATGAAAAGTTTATGGGTATTAAGTCATAAAGAAATCAGCAGTTTACAAAAGAATAACTCATTTTAAGAGAGGATGAGACAATGATAAAGATGAAGTCTGTAGCGGCAGACCATCCACACCAAGTTATAAGGAAAAAAACTCATCTCGTTTATGCCCTAATTGAAGAGGACAAACAATTAACATTAGAAACAATAGCTGTCATCATAGACATCTCAATTGGTTCAGCTTACACAATTCTGACTGAAAAATTAAAATTGAACAAAGTTTCCACTTGATGAAACTCAAAACTGTTGCATCCAGATCAGCTACAAAGAGCAGAGCTTTCAATGAGAATTTTAAACAAGTGAGATCAAGATCCAGAAACATTTCATCAAAAAATTGTAACAGAAGATGAAACACGCCTTTACCAGTATGATCCTGAAGACAAAGCACAATCAAAGCAATGGCTACCAAGGGGTACAAGTGGTCCAGCCAAAGCAGATGAGTCAAGAGTGAACATCATGGCCATAGTTTTGGGGAATGCTGAAAGCATTTTCCTCATTGGCTTCCTGAGGGCCAAAGAATGATAGCATCTGCTTATTATAAGAGTGTTTTGAGAAATTTAGCCAAAACTTTAGCAGAAAAGTGCCTTGGAAAGCTTCACAAGAGAGCCCTTCATTTACCACAATGCTCCTGCTTATTTCTCTCAACAAACAAGGGCAATTTTGTGAGAGATGGGAAATCATTAGGCACCCATCTTACAGTGCTGATTTTGTTTTTTCTGATTTCTTTTTGTTTCCTAATATTAAAAAGATCTTTAAGGGACGCCCATTTTTCCTCAGTTAATAGTTTCAAAAAGACTCCATTGACATGGTGAAATTCCCAGGACCAGTTCTTTAGGGATGGACTAAATGGCTATCATTGATTACAAAAGTGTCTTGAACTTGGTGGAGCTTATGTTGAGAAATAAAATTTATAATTTTTATTTTCATCTTTTAATTTTGCTTTTCCACAAACTTTTTGAAGCCCTCCTATACCATATTACTGGGAAGGCAGAGCAACCAGCATTTATTGAGTAGTTATTATGTTCCTGGGACTTTCAACAGTAACCTTGGTTGATCCTCACAACAACCCTGAGCGTTAGATGACACTACTGCTGTCTTCTAGATTAGGAAAATGAAACTTAGGCAGTAACGTAACACTTTTTTTGTCATACAAGTAGCAAATCATGAAAAAAGGGTTCAAAAGAAGTTTATTCCAAACCCAGAGACAGGAGAGGGTTGGGTAAGAACTTGTGTAACTATGTTATCGTAAATTACCTCAACCCGTGACAAGTAACCTAGTGCTATCCAACTAGGAATGAGAGAAAAATCATTGAAACAAAAGAAACGTTTAAATTAAAATAAAATATTATGTGTTTATTATATAACAATGCTTTGTTTTAAAACTAAAGGGGAACTTTTAAGTGCTTTACCATTGACTAGGTCACTCTGGTGGCACTGCATTAACAAACCTCAATGTCAAGCCTCACTTCCCTGTGTTTCTCTGAGTAACCATTTACGCTTTGCTGAGAAGTACAGTCATGCACCGCATAACAACATTTGTGCAATATCAAATGACGGGCACTTCCAATGGAAATGGAGAGTGGCTACCGTCCAACTCAGCAGAGAGGGAGAGAAAGCCTCCCCCTATTTCATGTGGTCAGCCGGAACAAAGCCTTCACCACTGGTTAGTTTACAAAGGGCACAACTAAGACAGACACACATATTTGCATTCGTCACATGGTGTTATTGTAAGCACAGTCAGAAATGCTTCGGGCTAGGAGGAAAATGTAATTTTATTACTTCCCACTGTCAAAGAAACAGCCCGCAACTGAAAGAGACCTCACCTTGATGCACTAAAAGCAAACCACTCATTCCTAAAGATGAATTTGGGCAACAACATTTTGCAAAACTTACTGTAACACAAATGATTCCTGCCCTAAAAGCCCATAACCCTAAAGCCTATAACACTTCCTTTCAGTACCCAAATAATGATGGCATTATCCCTAAAAGCTTGATTGTGAGTGTCCCTTTGGTCAAGAGGCTGAGGTGGGAGGATCACTCGTGCCCAGGAGTTTAAGGCTGCAGTGAGCTATGATTGAGCCACTGTACTCCAGCCTGGGCAAAAGAGTAAGACCCTGTCTCAAAAAAAAAAAGAAAAAGAAAAGAAAAGAAAAGTGTCTCTTTGGTGATTTAAGAGAGCTCCCAAAGGGATGCCCCAATCCAGTCTCTCAGCCAAAGACATTGTGCAACAGGGCCCCTCTTCCTCTCCTGGTTGACTGCCCACTCTTCCTGAAGCTTCCCTGAGCTTCCTGCCTGTCATGATAATGCCCTTTACTCTACCTATGGGGCTTTCCCTTGGAGTGGCTAGGGAACTACAATCATGCCCAGCATAATGACATTTCAGTGAACTACTGACCACGTATACGACAGTGGTCCTACAAAATCATAATGGAGCTGAAAACTTCCTATCCCCTAGTGACATTGTAGCCATTGTAACATAGTCATAGGGCAAGGCATTACTCATGTGTTTGTGAGGATGCTGGTTTAAACAAACCTACTATGCTGCCAGTTATATAAAAGTATAACACATACAGTTATGTACAATACATACTTGAAAATAATAATAAACCGCTATGTTACTGGTTTATGTATTTGTTATAGTATATTTATATCATTATTTTAGAGTATACTACTTGTACTTACAAAAAAATAATTAACTATAAAACAGCCTCAGGCAGGCCCTTTGGGAGGTACCCAGAAGAAGGAATAATATCATAGGGGATGAGAGCTCCATGTGTGTTACAGCCCCTGAAGACCTTGCAGTGGGACAAGATGTGGAGGGAAGGCAGTGATATTGATGATTCTCATCCTGTGTAGACCTAGGCTACTGTGTGTGTTTGTCATTGTTTTTAACAAAAAAGTTAAAAAAGTAAGAAAAAAATGTAAAAATAGAAAAAAGTTTATAGAATAAGAATTTAAAAAAAGAATTTTTTTTTTACAGCTGTACAATGTGTTTGTATTTTAGGCTAAGTTATTACAAAAGAGTCAAAAAGTTTAAAAAATTAAAAACTTTATGAATTACAAAAGTTACAGTAAGCTAAGGTTAATTTATTATTAAAGAAAGAAAATATATTTTACATAATTTTAGTGTAGCCTAGGTGTACAGTGTTTATAAAGCCTACAGTAGTATACAGTAACATCTTAGGCTTTTACATTCACTCACCACTCACTTACAGACTCACCCAGAGCAACTTCCAGACCTGCAAGCCACATTCATGGTAAGTACCCTATACAGGTGTGCCATTTTTCATTCTGAGTACCGTATTTTCAGTGAACCCTTTTTATGTTTAGATATGTTCAGATACACAAATACTTACCATTGTGTTACAACTGCCTACAGTATTCAGTAGAGTCACATGCTCCAGGTTTGTAGCCTAGGAGCACTAGGCTACACCACACAGCCCAAGTATGTAGTAGTCTGTATCATCTAGGTTTATGTAAGCACACTGTGATGTTTACACAAAGACAAAATCGCCTAGCGATGCATTTCTCAGAACGTATCCCCATCTTTAAGTGACCCATGACTGTACTGAGATTCACAACTCGCTAGTCACAGACTTGGTTCTCTCATCATTTCTTATCTAGTGGTCACAATCTTAACTGAGCAGCCTCCAGCCAGAGTGATCTTTCTAAAATGCAAAGTTGATTGTGAATTTTCCCACTCTAAGCCTTTGTAGGTGCTTCATCACCCATGAACTAATGCCCAAGCTCTTTGCTTGTATACAAGCATCTTTGAGATCTGCCTCAACCTTATTCTAGTTTTGCTTCCTGTGGATCTCCCCATCCCATACAGCCTCTGGTCCAGCTACACCCACCTCCCACCACCTCAGGAGCAAGCCTTATTCTCTCTAGCCCTTTACCTCTTCCTCTGCCAGGAAAGCCTTTACTCTCTCCTCTCTTGGCAAGCACTCCCTTAACCTTCAACATGCAACCCAGAGGTCACCTTCTCCACAGTGACCTCTCTGACTCTTCCAGCAGTTTTCTATTCCATGCTCACCTAACAGTTCTCAATATAAGCTCCACCAAGTTCAAGACACTTTTGTAAGCAATGATAACCCTTTAGTCCATCCCTAAAGAACTGAGGGTCCTGCAAATTTAGCCATGTCAGTGCAGCCTTTTTGACAGTATTAACTGAGGAAAAATGGGCGCCCTTTAAAGATTTTTTTAAGATTAGGAAACAAAAAGAAACCAGAAAAACCCAAATCAGAACTGTAAGGTGGATGCCTAATGATTGCCTGTTAAGACTCTTATAAAATTCCCCTTGTTTGATGAGAGAAATGAGCAAGAGCATTGTGATGGTGGTGAAGGACTCTCTGGTGAGGCTTTCCCAGGCACTTCTCTGCTGAACATCAATGCGAAAATCCTCAATAAAATACTGGCAAACCAAATCCAGCAGCACATCAAAAAGCTTATCCACCACAATCAAGTCGGCTTCATCCCTGAGATGCAAGGCTCGTTCAACATACACAAATCAATAAACGTAATTCATCACATAAACAGAACCAATGACAAAAACCACATGATTATCTCAATAGATCCAGAAAAGGCCTTTGATAAAATTCAACACCCCTTTATGCTAAAAACTCTCAATAAACTAGGTATTGATGGAACATATCTCAAAATAATAAGAGCTATTTATGACAAACCCATGGTCAATATCATACTGAATGGGCAAAAACTGGAAGCATTCCCTTTGAAAACCAGCACGAGACAAGGATGCCCTCTCTCACCACTCCTATTCAACATAGTATTGGAAGTTCTGGTCAAGGCAATCAGGCAAGAGAAAGAAATAAATGGTATTCAAAAAGGAAGAGAGGAAGTCAAATTGTCTCTGTTTGCAGATGACATGATTGTATATTTAGAAAACCCCATCGTTCCAGTCCAAAATCTCCTTAAGCAGATAAGCAACTTCAGCAAAGTCTCAGGATACAAAATCAATGTGCAAAAATCACAAGCATTCCTATACACCAATAACAGACAGAGAGCCAAATGGAGGGAACTCCCATTCATAATTGCTACGAAGAGAATAAAATACCTAGGAATCCAACTTACAAGGGATGTGAAGGACCTCTTCAAGAACAACTACAAACTACTGCTCAAGGAAATAAGGGAGGACACAAACAAATGGAAAAACATCTTATGCTCATGGATAGGAAGAATCAATATTGTGAAAATGGCCATACTGCCCAAAGTAATGTATAGATTCAATGCTATCCCCATCAAACTACCATTTGACTTTCTTCATAGAATTTAGAAAAAAACTACTTTAAATTTCATATGGAACCAAAAAAGAGCCTGTATAGCCAAGACAATCCTAAGCAAAAAGAACAAAGCCAGAGGCATCATGCTACCTGACTTCAACTATACTACAAGTTTACAGTAACCAAAACAGCATGGTGCTGGTACCAAAACAGATATATAGATCAATGGAATGGAACAGAGGCCTCAGAAAAAGTGCCACACATCTACAACCATCTGATCTTTGACAACCCTGATGAAAACAAACAATGGGGAAATGATTCCCTATTTAATAAATGGTGTTGGGAAAACTGGCTAGCCATATGCAGAAAACTGAAACTGGACCTCTTCCTTACACCTTATACAAAAATTAACTCAAGATGGATTAAAGACTTAAACGTAAGACCTAAAACCATAAAACCCTAGAAGAAAACCTAGGCAATATCATTGAGGACATAGGCGTGGGCAAAGACTTCATGACTAAAACATCAAAAGCAATGGCAATAAAAGCCAAAATTGACAAATGGGATCTAATTAAACTAAAGAGCTTCTACACAGCAAAAGAAACTAGCATCAGAGTGAACAGGCAACCTACAGAATGGGAGAAAATTTTTGCAATCTATCCATCTGACAAAGGGCTAATATCCAGAATCTACAAAGAACCTAAACAAATTTACAAGAAAAAAACAAGCAACCCCATCAAAAAGTAGGAGAAGGATATGAACAGGCACTTCTCAAAAGAAGACATTTGTGCAGCCAACAAACATATGAAAAAAAGCTCATCATCACTGGTCATTAGAGAAATGCAAATCAAAACTACAGTGAGGTACCATCTTATGTCAGTTAGAATGGTGATCACTAAAAAGTCAGGAAACAAAAGATGCTGGAGAGGATGTGGAGAATTAGGTACTCTTTTACACTATTGGTGGGAGTGTAAATTAGTTCAACCATTGTGGAAGACAGTGTGGTGATTCCTCAAGGATCTAGAACCAGAAATACCATTTGACCCAGCATTCCCATTACTGGGTATATACCCAGAGGATTATAAATCATCCTACTCTAAAGACACACGCACATGTATGTTTATTGCAGCACTGTTCACAATAGTAAAGACTTGGAAGCAACCCAAATGCCCATCAATGATAGACTGGATAAAGAAAATGTGGCACATATACACCATGGAATTCTATGCAACCATAAAAAAGGATGAGTTCATGTCCTTTGCAGGGACATAGATGAAACAGGAAACCATCATTCTCAGCAAACTAACACAGGAAAAGAAAATCAAACACCACATGTTCTCACTCATAAGTAGGTGTTGAACAATGAGAACACATGGACACAGGGAGGGAAACATCACACACTAGGGCCTGTAGGTGGTTGGGAGTCTAGGGGAGGGATAGCATTAGGAGAAATACCTAATGTAGATGACGGGTTGATGGGTGCAGCAAACCACCATGGCACATGTATACCTATGTAACAAACCTGCATGTTCTACACATGTATCCCATAACTTAAAGTATAATAAAAAAAATTTTTTTTTAAAAAGCTTTGGCTTTCTCAAAACACTCTCATAATAAGCAGCTGCTATCATTCTTTGGCCCCCCGGAAAGTCAACAAGCAAAATACCTTGATCATCCCCAGAAACTATTGCTGTGACTCTTACTCTTGACTGTTCTGCTTTGACTTTGGCTGGACCGCTTCCACCTCTTGGTAGCCATTGTTTTGACTGTGCTTTGTTTTCAGGATTGTACTTATGAGTACAAAAGCCACATTTTATCTCCTGTTACAGTTCTTTGAAGAAATTCTTCAGAATCTTGACCTTGCTTATTTAAAATTTCCATTGATAACTCTGCTGTTACATGTAGCTAATCTGGGTGCAATGGTTTTGGCACCCACCAAGTAGAAAGCTTTACTCAACTTTAATTTTTCAGTCAGAATTGTGTAAGCCGAACCAAGTGAGATGTCTGTAATGTTGGCTATTGTTTCTGATGTCAATTGTTTGTCCTCTTCAATTATAGCCCAAACAAGATGAATTTTTTTCCTTACAAATTTATGTGGATGGTCTGCTACTGCAGACTTTAACTTTATCATTGTTTCATCCTCTCTTAAAATAAGTTATTCATTTGTAAACTGCTGATTTTTCTGGCATCATCCCCATAAACTTTTCACTAAGCATCAGTGATTTCACCATTCTTCCACCCAAACTTCACTATAAATGTGATGTTCGTTCTTGCTTCAATTTTAGCAAAATTATTGTTGCTCTGAAAGAGGCTCTTTTCAAATGATGTCGTAGCTTTCTTAGTGTTTCATGCTAGATCCTATTCAGAAATGTTACAAGAAGTTAGTAAGAGTTTATTTTGGTGGGAAAAAAAGAACTCTATGCATAGTTTTTTCATAATATGTATTTTCCATGAACTTTTGGAAGATCCCTGTGTTTGTGTGTGCGTGTTTGTGTGTATTGCTATTTATAGTAACTGATTTTAAAAGTGCAAATAGAACATAAGGGTACAAAATAAAGTACCCTTTTCCTTTACACCCAGTGCTGCTCCCTAGAAATGACTGCTTTGAATGGTTTCTATTCTGAGTTCTTCCGGTGGTAACCATCATAACTTTTACTTCCTGCTTTATCCATCTTAGAGGATATCTATTGACTCCTTAATATGAAATATGGTGAAATTAGCATACTTGCTTCATTTCCCACTTCTTTTTTCTATTCCCTCTCCTCTTTCTGGATCTTTGTAAATGACAGTCTTAATTTGAGTTCTGATGGTTATCATTAAATAATGTACTTAAACCTCTTTATCTTGCTCCATTAAATGTATACAAATTTATATATTCACTCTCTGTTAAATGTACCTCCACTGTCATCTACTTCTCTTCTTACATCCTCCTTATTTTAGTTAGCTAACCATATGCTAACATGTCAAGAAATTCATAACATTTGTTTACTGTAGAGTAAGTACAGTTAAATTTGCTTGGCTTATGCATTGATTTTTAAAATAGAAAGCCAATAAATAGAATACAGATATTATACCTAGGTAACTCTTTGCTGTAGGAGCAAACGGTATGATCAGGTTATGAGAGAGGGAAATGGAAACCTCTGTTACTAACCTGTGAACCTGTCTGATCCTAGGAACTTTTTCAATTGTACATCTTCAATTGCCTTTCAAAATCATGCTAATTGGCCGATTCAAGTTTTCCTATTCCTCTTGGGTCAGTAATTAATAATACATACTGTACCAAGCTGTCATCTTTTTCCTCTAAATTCTTGAATTTGTTGCCACAGTATTGGGTCTCCTTTTTTGTTTTCTCTCTTTCTTTAACATATTCAGATTTTTGAAGGAGTTAGCTATTTCAAGGAACCAGTTTTTAAATAAATGTTACATATATTTAATGCAATTTTAATAAATACATTAAATTATAGTTAACTCATTTAATTAATTCTAGCTTTTATTTTTAGATTTCCTTTTCCTAGCTTCACTTGGCTTATTTTATTGTTATTTCACTAATTCCTTAAGACAAGTACTTAGTTCTGTGACTTTTAATTTTCTTCTCCTATAGCAAGGACATTATAGGTCATAAATTTTCCTTTGAGTCCAGCCATTGCTGGGTCATTAGTTTTCACTTTTATGTTTCTCCTTTTTATTGCCTGTTAACAAATAAACACCACCCTTTTGATTTCTTCCTTGAGCCAAAGATTATCTAGTGCATATTTCTGAAATAGTTTTCTCCTCACCTTTAAGTAATTTATTTTTAATGTTATTAGATTATAATAAAAACTGTTGGCTATAAAACTGCTACTTTAAAAAATCTTTCAAAGCTATCTTATTAACCTGACAAGTGACTGTAATCTGTTTGCTATAAGCATGATCTTCAGTGAATCAGGTGGGAAAACAGCTTTCATTGTTCCCAGGATAGGGCTTCATCGCTAGCAAGTGATAATTGTGGGGCTCAGGCTCAGTCAGGCAAACAAAATGGACAGAGCTAATTTGCTACTGAAGGAATGTGATGTCAGTTGATGGCGACTCCATCTATGTTAGTTCTCAGCCCGAGGACTTGGAGTCATCCTTGACTCCTCTTATTTTCTTACATTTCACTCAGGTAATCCCACTGGTTCTACAGAATCCAGAAATCTACCACACGTCACCACCTCCACTGCCACCACCTAGGTGCAAACCCCATTTTCTCTCACCTGCACATCAGTGGCTCTAACGGGTCTGTCTGCTGTCACACTCACCCCTGCAGTGTTTTCCACATAGCAACAATGTGACCCTGTTAAAAGGTGAGGCAGAGAGTGTTGCTTTTCTGCTAGGAACCCTCTAATGCAGTCATACTTTGCTTAACAAGGATACGTTCTGAGAAATGCATCATTAAGCAATGTATACACATTTATCCAAACATAGAAAAGGTGCATTAAAGATACAGTATAAAAAGTTTAAAAATGGTACACCTGCATAGGGCACTTACTATGAATGCAGCTTGCAGGACTGGAAGTTGTTCTGGGTGAGTCGGTGAGTGAGTGGTGAGTGAATGTGAAGGCCTAGGACATTACTGTACACTACTGCAGACTTTATTAAACACTGTACACTTAGGCCACACAAATTTATAAACATATTTTTCTTTCTGTAATAAAAAAGTAACCTTAGCCAACCAGAGGAGGAGGAGGAAGAGGGCTGTGCTGCCTGGTGTCCGCAGCTGAGAGACTGGATTGGGGTGCCCCTTTGGGAGCTCTCTGAAATCCCCAAGGGACACTTTGAAGGGAGCTATTTATCCATAATCAAGGAGCTGTGGTTAATGCCATCCTTATTTGGGTACTGAAAGGAAGTGTGACCTTCTTTAGCGGTTATAGGCTTTTAGGGCAAGAATCATTTATGCTACAGTAAGTTTTGCAAAATGTTCTTGCCCAAATTCATCTTTAGGAATGAGTGGTTTGATTTTAGTGCATCAAGGTAAGCCCTTCTTTGTTTGAGAGGGAAAAATAACAAAATTACATTTTCCTCGTAGCCAGAAGCATTTCTGACTGTGCTTACAATAACATCATCTGATGAATGCAAATGTGTGGGTCTGTCTTAGTTGTGCCCTTTGTAAACTAACCAATGGTGAAGGCTTTGTTCCAGCTGACCACATGAAATAGGAGGAGGCTTTCTCTCCCTCTCCACTGAGTTGGAGGGCAGCCACTCTCTATTTCCATTGGAAGAGCATGTCACCCGATATTGCACAGACTGGGATGAACACAAGAGGCCTTTATCTTGGTTACTGGATCACAGTCCTGTGCAATTTTCATTACCTGATTGGCTGCAAGAGAAGGGAAGAGTTTCCCAAGGAAGCTACAGATATGAGAGCACTCCCAGGAATTCAAAGACCTCTTAGTTAGGGGCACTGGCCGTCCCTATTGTGAGCAAAGACCAATGCCATTTTTTACCTAACAAAGCTCACACTAGTGTATGGGTGCTGTGTGGGGAGTGGCATGTGTATGTGTATGTGATACTCCCAGGATCTATATAGTTTATCCTCTTTTTATACTTCAAAAATATTTTGGAAAGGAACTTCTCTACAATGTGCCTCGGGCTGCTTCCTGTTCCCATTTCCCTGCATAAACACAGGGTTGCTTCTGTGAATAAAACAAAAACCACCTCAGAAAGCAAAGTCTAACAGGCACAGGAACCTCAGTCCATGTGCCAGCTGCCTGCCTCCCATCAGGAGGGAAGGATATATACCCCATATATATTGAGCATTTATGGTGAACCAGACACTTTGCATGTTACTTACCTTAAACTTTGAGTCTTATGATCTCTTCTATAGGGTGCACTACTGAGATAGGTTATCTGAAACTGCAGAGCCCCTTCCTTAGCCCAAGCTTCCACCCACTTCTTGCCTGGATTTTTGCAATGGCTTTCCAGGTGATCTCCCCACTCCAAAATCTTTTCACAAGACAGCCAAGACAAAGTTTTCAAAGTACATGTCTGGTCAGGTGACACATATATACTCTTCACTCCCACCCCCACTGCTAAAAAGCCTCTCATGTTATCCAGTGCTTTTAGCACAAAGACCAGATCCCCTACAGTAGCCAGAGCAGCCCTGTGTGATTTGATCCCTTCTCTGTCTTCAGCTTCATGTGGTCCTGCTTTTTCTCAACTCGCTGAGCTCCAAACACACATTGCTGTGCCATGCTCCTGTCTGGCACAAGACCTTCCCATGAACTATTACTTCTGCCTGGGGAACCACGCACAGGCCCACTTCTCTACCCCATCCCAGCCTTCCTCAACCCTGTGCATCCTTAAGCTCACAGTTGCCATGTCACTTCCTTGTCATGCCTTGGAGTCCTGGCTATGCTACCTTTGCAGCACTTTTCACAATTTTTAATGAACGTTTGATTATCTTCTGACTTTCCTAGTAGACTGGGACTTTTGTCTTTCTCACCAATTGTATTTTGAGCATTTAGCACAGTGCCTTATGATTGCATATGAATTAATAAATGAATGCTTGAATGAATGACAAGCTGGGATTTAAATATGGTCTGTGCTCATCTCATTGCCACACACTCATCTCCTAAACACTGGCGTTCTTTCTTTAAAGCCATTGGTTAAAATTTCTCCCTCGGCCAGGCGCAGTGGCTCATGCCTGTAATCCCAGCACTTTGGGAGGCTGAGGCAGGTGGATCATGAGGTCAGGAGATCAAGACCAGCCTGGCCAACACGGTGAAACCCCGTCTCTACTAAAAAAATACAAAAATTAGCCAGGCACGGTGGCAGGCGCCTGTAATCCCAGCTACTCAGGAGGCTGAGGCAGGAGAATTGCTTGAACCTGGGAGGCAGAAGTTGCAGTGAGCTGAGATCGCGCCACTGCACTCCAGCCTGGGTGACAGAGCAAGACTCCATCTCAGAAACAAACAAACAAAATTCCTCCCTTGATTAATCTCTTTCCTTAGTTGATGCTAATAAACACATAGAGTCACTTTTATCTCTTTCAACTGCCTAAAAAAAGGTTGCTGATACCAAAACGTTTGCCTTGGATATTTCTCTTGTTAGGAACTTATGTCAACTTTGAATAAAGAAATGCTTTTTCTTTAGCCCCTACTCTTACCCCACACCCCATTTTCCTTCTCTCCCAACCCTCATGGGCTGAGAATGTCCCTTCTTCTTCTGATCAGGAGTCAGAGCTAAGGCACATGTCACAGCAGCTCTCTCCCAAGAGGCAGGGGAGCTGGAAGGGTAAGCCATTATGTACTACAGGTGAGTGGACACCTGTGAGCTGGAAAATTAAGGTGCAGATCAGTAAGAGATCTGAGGTTGAAGCACCATCTTCATGCTATGTTTAGGATATTATGTGACAGATTGAAAAAACAAAAACAAAAAAACAAAGGTACAGTGGACCCAGTCTTCTAGTTCCACAGCAGTTTCCTTGAAAGCATTTAAGTCTTCAAGTCATTATATTTGTAGCTGGAGCACGACTGCATTGAATTCAACCCAATCAATACTTACTCAATACTTCCTGTGATTCAGACACTGTACAAGGCCCTGGGGACACAGGGTTAAACAGAATACAAGCTCTACCCTCAGTGCAGAGGTGGAGAGGACCCAAGACCAAGGTGTGTTGTACACTATGCTAGAGAAAGGGATGACTGCTATAGGAACATGGAGGAGGGAGAAGATAATGAGATCTAGTAGAGAGTGAGGGTGAGGAGACAGCCCAGAGAATGAAGAGAAGGTAACATCTGAGTGGAGTTTAAGGAAAAGATAATTTCACCAGGTAAGTAAGGCAGGAGAGATTAACCCAGACTAAGGGACCAGCAAGAGCAAAGTGCAGAAGCTGGAAAGTAGAAAGCATTTTTGAACAATGAGTATTTTGCATTGCTAAAGCATTAGGTGTATGTTAACAAATAGCATAACTGTATAATTTATTGTCCAAAGTGGATGATTTTGAGAGCGAAGTGGCATGCTATTAAAGAGGACAGGCATGAACCAAGACTATCCCAGGCAAATTAGACTTTGGGGCTTCCTAGTTAGAGGGGAGGAAGTTCAAAGCTGGACATCAGACTGGAACACATGTGGAACGGGGATTTGAAGGGCTTAAACATGCCAAGGAGTCAGAATAGGATCCTCAAGGCATTGAAATATCATGGAGGGGTTTTAGCAGGGTAGTGACCTGATTGCTCCTGTGTTGGAGAAGCATCGCCAGGATAGCTGTATTAGTCCATTTTCACACTGCTATAAAGATACTACCCGAGGCCAGGTGTGGTGGCTCATGCCTGTAATTCCAGCACTTTGGGAGGCTGAGGTGGGTGGATCACCTGAGGTCAGGAGTTCAAGACCAGCCTGGCTAACATGGTGAAACCCTGTCTCTACTAATAATACAAAAATTAGCTGGGCGTGGTGGCGCACACCTGTAATCCCAGCTACTTGGGAGGCTGAGGCAGATGAATTGCTTGAATCTGGGAGGCGGAGGTTGCAGTGAGCTGAGATTGTGCCATTGCACTCCAGCCTCGGTGACAAGAGTGAAACTCTGTCTCAAACAACAACAACAACAACAACAACAAAAAAAAAAAAACATACCACCTGAGACTGGGTTATTTATTTATGTATTTATTATTCTAAAATTTAATTTTACTTTAAGTTCTGGGATACATGGGCAGGACATGCAAATTTGCTACATAGGTAAACATGTGCCATGGTGGTTTACTGCACCTATCAACCCATTACCTTGGTATTAAGCCCCACATGCATAAGCTATTTATCCTGATGCTCTCCCTCTGCCCCCTGCCCCAACAGGTCCCAGTGTGTGTTGTTCCCCTCCCTGTGTCCACATGTTCTAATTGTTCAGCTCTCACTTATAAGTTAGAATGTGGTGTTTGGTTTTCTGTTCCTGTGTTAGTTTGCTGAGGATGATGGCTTCCTGTTCCATCCATGTTCCTGCAGAGGACATGATCTTGTTCCTTTTTATGGCTGCATAGTATTCCATGATGTATATGTACATTTTCTTTATCCAGTCTATTATTGATGGGCATTTGGGTTGATTCCATGTCTTTGCTATTGTGAATAGTGATGCAATAAACATATTGCGTGCATGTTGAATGATTTATATTCCTTTGGGTATAGACCCAGCAATGGGACTGCTGGGTCAAATGGTATTTCTAGTTCTAGGTCTCTGAGGAATCATCACACTGTCTTCCATAAGAGTTGAACTAATTTACATTGAGACTGGGTATACAAAGAAAAGAGGTTTAATTGACTCACAGTTCCACATGGCTGGGAGGCCCCAGGAAACTTACAATCATAGCAGAAGGTGAAGGATAAGCAAGCACCTTCTTCACAAGGCATCAGGAGAGAGAGAGAGAGAGCGCAGGGGAAACTGCCACTTTTAAACCATTGGATCTCATGAGAACTCCCTCACTGTCAAGAGAACAGCATGGGGGAACACGCCCCCATGGTCCAATCACCTCAGACCACGTCCCTCTCATGACATGTGGGAATTACAATTCAACATGAGATTTGGGTGGGGACACAGAGCCAAACCGTATCAGTAGCCATGCTGAGGAAATTCAAGGTGTGCAGAAGGGAGCTAGCCCGTGAGCCTTGCAAGGGCAGGAATTGCATCCTGATATGTAATTTATATCCAGCGTATACCCAGTTGAGGGGAGCACATTGTCTGGAAGCCTTAAGAGAAGGAGCTTAATAAAAATTTCAAATGCAAGGGCTTTCCTAACCTTTGTCTTTAAAACTGCAGCTGCTTCTGCACCCATTATCACCAATATTCACCTTTTCCTTCTTGCTTAATTTGTCTCCATGAAGTTAACAACTCTCTGCATGCTATACAGTGTGTCTGTGTCCTCCCTCTAGAACATAAGCTCTGCGAGGGCAGAAACTTCTTATCTGTTTTACTCACTGCTGTTTCCCTAGTGCCTGGTGCAAGGAAGACACTAAATACATATGTGTTGAAGGAAAAGGAGGCAAGGAGATTTGTTTGGAGTCTCTGACAATGGTATGGTGGGGGAGGATGAGGATCTGGAAAGGGCAGGCATTGTGGTAGCAAGAAAGAGGAAACCTGGAACTAAACACGCAAAAGCCTAGGCCATCCCCTGGGACCATCCTGCACAGGGCCTTTTCATCTTTGTGGTTCTTTCTGTGGGCCCCTGTGCCCGTGATCTGCCATGAGTCAGCGTCTAAGGATCCCCCAGGCCTCCTGTCTGTAAATTATTAACACCTCTCCTGTCCTCTGTTTAACTGCTTAGCCAAGGTCACCATCATTTCCTGCCCAGCCTGACTCCCCAGGTGCTCATAACTTGCCTATGAATGTTTGATGAAGGATGGCATTTGCCACGTGAGCAAGGGAAAGGAACCAAAGTTCACATAGTTCATTTTCAAGCACTCTTTTTTTCAGTCCAAGAGGTTTAAGTGCCTTTTCTCTGCTACTAAATAGCCCCTTTCAGTGGCTCTCTGCCCAGGTCTGCTTTGAGGGCCCTCTCTGTGAGTCGGCAGGCTCCTCTTCCACAGGCGCCTGTTTCTCTTCAGCTCTTCCATTTTTTTATGTGACTTGTTCTTTCTGTGTCTCACCCTTACCCCCAAATAAATTGAACAAGTGGGTTTTGGGATCCTCCCTCAGGATAACTCAGCCATGGCCAACCATGCCCCCAACCACAAATGACTAAGAGTGTGAGGCCCTCCAAGCTGCCCACGTCTCCCTCTAGGCCAACTGTCAATTCTAAGCCATCCTTGCGGTTTCTTCTGGGAAAGCTATGGGCTATCCTTCACATCAACAAAACCCCTGGCGACCTGCCTGGGCCTGCCTGGTCGTGCTGGGGACTGTGCTGTGGTAACAGACAGGGCTTCTCTGTCCCATCCACATTCTACACCACGCTGGCACTGGGTGGGGACAGAGGAGTGGGCTGGGGTTGTTGTGATTAGAGTCCAATGCCCCAGATAGTGCCATCTGGAAAGGGCAGCCCCTGGAGATTACTTGGAAACTAGGGACACCTGGGGACAACAGTTAGCAGGTCTGAGATGGGGAATGCAGGGCTGAGGGTGGAATTTCAGGACATTTCAGTTTTCAGGAATGAGCTAGAAGCTAAGAGATGAATGTAGACCCTGTGGTAGAGTCTAACATGCCGATTCTGCAGAGGACGACCGATGGAACATAGACGCACATTTTTCAGAGTGAGGCCAGTTGGGAGATGAGATTGACAGCCAAAGGCTAAGATTGTGCTGGTGAATGGAGGCTAACAAGAAGGGCACAAGAAAAAAGTGGTGATTCAGGCCCTAGGTACAGCTACCGGGGTTCCCTAACACTCTCACTTCATTTTCAGGAAAGCATAGCATTCAATTTCCATTTAGGACCTGTGCTTCCTTAGAGGCGCCCAGATATTCTCCCGAGTTCACCCTTCTATTGGGATTGATTCTGAAAGCAGCAGTTAGTGGCTCATTCATTCATTCACAAGTTCCCATTGAGTCCATTGGCAGGTCCTGAGATACAATGGTGAGCAAAGTACAATCCCTAGCCTTCCAAGGTCCCAGGCCAGTGGAGAGGGCCGACTAGCAAACGGAATTACAGCTCATTGTGATGAGCGCTAGCATTGGACAGTTCCTCTGAAGAAAAGTCCCAGCTGCAGGAAGCAAAAGCAGTCCCACAGGGCGGGGGAAATGGAAGGAAGCCGGGAAGCCAAAGAGGCATAGAGACTAACAGTAAAGGGATGTGAGGGGATTTGGATGGAGCGTCCAAATTCCTGACAGCAGCAGCCAATGCAAGCTTCCTGGTGAAGATAGACTTCCTAAGGCGGTCACACCGCGCCCTGGAGCCGGGCGGGAGTTACCCAGGATAGGTTGAGAGGACTGAAGGGATGGGTTGGGAAGACGGTAGAAGAGGAAGGGCAGCTCAGGAGCAAATGCCTGCTCAGCAGAGCACAGTGGTCCCTCGTTCAAATGGACTCCACCCCCACCTCGGGCGGCTGCTTTTCCATTTGTGAATAGCAAGATAACAACCTCAGGATATCTAACATTTTTTTTCTTACAAAACAAAACAAAAACATACGATACTACCTAGTTCCCTTTGAACTAGTTCCCTTTGAAGTGTTCTTGAGAATAACGTCTGCTCCAGACCTTGGTGGGCAGTGGCGGGTCATGGCCAGCTCCTTTACAGATGACCTTGATGCTGCAAGTCCCGCAGCATGTCTGCCTCCGCGCGGTCACCCATGAGCACCTGCCGCAGCCCACCGCCCTGGGATCCGAGGGAAGTGACCCCTTTAGAGGAAGAACTGCTCCTTTATTGGCCACACCACCCAAATTCCGGTTCTGGGAAGACAGAAGAGGCTCCTGGCTGGGGGAGGAGACAAACCTCCTCAGAATTTCCTTTGAAAACATTTTCTAAGCGAAGGCAAATTAGCCTGAGGGGACATTTCTCTTGCCTTCTTTCAACTCCCCTTTCAAGTTAACAGAAATCTACACTTTTACACCTTGGTGACTGCGGCACTGAATGGTTCTGCCTCTGGAACATAAATCTAATATTTCTATCTCTGCCTTGAACAGGGCCACTTAATTTTTTAACCTGTAGAATGTCCAAATATCAGTGAAACTATAGAGTGTAAAGTGAGACCAATGCGTTTTGCAGATAGGGAAACTGAGGCACAATGTGGGAAAGTGGTTTATGAGGGGCAACAGGGACAGATCTAGAACATGGTGTTTAGTGGCCTGGTGCCCTTTCCCTTCCACTGTTCTGGGCAGGCCCTTCCAGCTCCAATGTGTGGATGGGAGTGAGAGGTGTAGGAGGGGCAGAGTCCACACAGCCCCCAAGCTAGGCCTTGTGTTCACAACCCCTTTCTCTAGAGCTGCTTTTCCCCATTGTGGCCTGGGCCCTGACTCTCAGGGCCACAGTGGCAGGTCTGCTGGGTCTATTGGGTAGAAGGCCAGGGTTAAGTTTCCTTTTAAGAAGTGTTGTGATGAAGCAGAATGATGAAGGGGTCTTGGTGGCAGAGTCCAGGGTCCTGTTCTTGGAACTTCTTCTGTGACATGGGCAAGGGCATTCTCATCCCTGGACGTCAGAGTCCCCACCTGGAAAATGGGAGTACAGGACCAGAAGACTCTGAAGGAACCAGCTCTGATTGCCAAGGCACCCCTGACTGTGGTGCCCGCTCACTCCTCTTTGCCTCAGACAAGCTGGACTTGTCTCCTTGCTTCACAGTTTGCTTGCCATTCTTGTGATTCTTGTGATGCTGGGTTCACAGTGTTGGTCCCTCCTTACCCTGGCAGGCCGAAGGCTAAAACTGAAATCTGAAATGAAGATGCAGACATTGGAGTGGAGAGGAAGTGGATTAGCCACATTTCTCCCACCCAGAGTGGGCTGCAATCCTGCCAAGGGACAGGGACCAGGCAAGCCAGAGAAACCTGCTTTGCAGCCAAGCCTGCTTATCTGCACTTCCACCTCATAAAAGCTACACTTCCTTCTTGTTCAGGAGGTCATGGATGCTGCTGAAAATCTTACTCCATTAGTAATGGGGTGAAACCCTTCAAGCTGAGCTGGCACTGGGGAGCTGTGGCCATCTCTTAACCAGTCTTCTTAATCCACATCCCCTAAATGGAAGTATTCTCTTTACTGCTCTACTAGAGGCTAAGTTTCTGCTGAAAAACCCTAAATATAGTTTATGACCAAATGAAACTTCTTGTTATGCTAAGTACCTCCTTCACAGGTATTTTCTTCAACTTTTTGGGTCATGCACTTGGTTCTTCTCCATCCTTTTCTCAGAAATGTGTGGTTGAGAGGCAGGGAGATCAGTCATTCACTCCTTAGTGTGCAGACATGCAAAAGTTGTGCCTCACCTCTGGCATAAATGAGTGTTTTTTGTCCCCTGTGTATTAGTCAGGGTTCTCCAAAGAAACAGAACCAATAGAAAGGAGGTGTGTGTGTGTGTGTGTGTGTGTGTGTGTGTGTAGAGAGAGAGAGAAGAGAGATTATTATAAGGAATTGGCTTATAGAATTATGGAGGCTGACAGGTCTCAAGATCTGCAGGGTAAGTCATCAAACTGGAGACCCAAGGGAACCAATGGTGTAGTTCCAGTCTAAAGGCTGGCAGACTCAAGATCTGGAAAGAACTGATGCTACAATTCAAAGGCAGGGGAAACAAACAAACAAACAAACAAACAAACAAACAGCAATGTCCCAGTTGGAAGGCCATCAGGCAGGAGAAATTCCGCCTCATTGGGAAGAGGGTCAGCTTACTTGTTCTGTTCAAGCCTTTAACTGACTGAATGAGACCCATTCACATTAGGGAGGGCAAGCTGCTTTCCTGGGTCTACTAATCTAAATGTTACCATTATCCGAAACACCCTTACAAAATAATGTTTGATCAAATATCTGGGAATCCTGTGGCCTAGTCAAGCTGGCACATAAAATTAGCCATTACACCCCCCTAAAGAAATTCAATTAATTCATAATCCAGGGAATAGAATTTTGGGGAAATTTTGGGGCCAGCAAAATTACACTATATGGAGATTAGTAACAAAAGTCTTTTTACCCTAATGGTTGGACAGCCTCATGTCCTGAAACATTTTGCTAATTGAGGCTTAATGGCGTGATCATTCTCATTTTCCTTATTTTGCCGTCTGTGTTTGAACTTTGAAAGAACGGTCTATTGCGCGAAAATGCTTTGTAGGCACAAGTTTTATCTGACATTAATCCAAGAATAAGCCTTTTTTGAGTTGTTCAGTCATTTACAATTCCTTTAATCAAGAAAGCCATAGCAAATGATTAACATTTCTCTGTGATTCCAAGTTGACTCCCCAAAAAGCAAAAGAAAAATGCTCAGTTGTGAGAACGTTGAACAAGGGTGTGATTACGCTGAAGAAAATTGTCATGTAAGAATCATTTCAAGGAAATAAATAAAAGGCAGATGCACCCTTTTCATCCCCACCTAAAGGAGAAAAAAAAAGTGCTATCCTAACATCTACATCAAGGTAAGGAAAGCTCCAGATGAGTTTGTTGTGGTTACGTTACTAAAGCAGCGGGGTCATGATGCTGCTGACTCTTCATTTAAGCGACTCTGTCTGAGTAGATGTGGGTGACGATGATCTTCCCAGGCAAACAGCAGTAGAAAGTAAGCAGGTATTGAATTCTATATTATTAAATATGGGGCCAGAAGTCTAGATGAGGGTCCTCAGACTGTCTCCACTACCAAATAGAGCAAGAAAATTAAAGCACCGGCATAGGTAGAGAAGTAAACTCAACCCACCTTGCTCCCCTGAATCTTAACTATGCTGCCCCCTGGTATGTGAAGACATAATACAACTGTCAGTGTTCAATTGCAGAAAGAGGAGCTCTCCATCTATCTGGGTGGAAGGGTATTAAATTTACAGAAACAATGGCAGGACTGAAGAAACAGACTCCTGGTTGAGCTTCCAGGAATGACACCCAAAGCCACACTGCAGATCAAGATCTCAAGGAGCCTGCTGCTCCTGTCACAATCAGGAGGCCATCTCTGCATCTGCACCTGCTGGCTCCAGAACTATCACGCTTCTGCTGTGGCCTGCATCAGCAAAATAAAATGCTTTGTGAAACAAATGAAATGCCGCCTCTCTCCCAGAGGGATTCAGTTCCCAACCAGTATCATGAGCGTCAGATTGAGGGTACCTAAATCAAACCCAGAACTCAAGCTAGAAGGAGTCTAGGAAGTGTAGTGTTTAGTGATCAACCTATGCAGTGCAGAACGGCACTCAGGAGAGAGACAATTTACAACTATGACACAGTGCAGGCACTCGTGGTGTAGCAGGAGAGCACAGGTTCAGAAGCACACGCTTTACCTTTTTGAGCATCAATTCCTTACTCCTTAAAAATGGAGATAAAACCTTGTAGAATTAAATGAAGTACATGTTCAAAGTTTTCATAATACTACTACTACTAATAATAATAAGTCCCATAAATGTCAGTTTCCTTTTCAACTTGAACTGGAAATCCAGGTCATGACTAATGTGAATCAGTCAAATTGATTTCTTTTAGGGAAGTTTGTTTAATATTTGTTTTTGTTTTTGTTTTGTTTTGAGACAGAGCCTCACTCTGTTGCCCAGGCTAAAGTGCAGTGGCACGATTACAACTCATAGCAGCCTCAACCTCCTGGGCTCAGGTGATCCTCCCACCTCAGCCTCTTGAGTAGCTGGGACTATAGGCACAAGCCACCATGCCCAGCTAATTTTTGTATTTTTTGTAGAGATGGGGTTTTGCCATGTTGCCCAGCTGGGCTCAAGCAATTTGCTTGCCTTGACCTCCCAAAGTGCTGGGATTACAGGCGTGAGCCACAGCCCCCAGCTATAATAGTTATTTTGAAGCACAAATATTCAATTCTCAATTCAGCCAACACTGGCTGAATTCTTACAGTGTGCAAGGTGCTGCACAAAAGTCCGCTGGGCTACACAGATGGGTAAGCCATGTCTCATCTCTGTCTCTCAGGGTCTCTCACTTATAGAAGGAGGTTGGGCGATCAGAAAAGCCATCGAAAAGGGAATGGTTGAGATGACCCTTAACTAAGGTAACTATCTGATTTATCATTCAAGTCAGTCCCTCTGAGAACGATCCGGGGACTGCTAATAATTACACTAAAGCGACAGGTGTAAACCAGAGCTGTCCTGAAAAAACCAGGATATGGAGTCACTCTAGCCTTAAAGGATGCAGCTATCAAGTCTGTCAGTTTTGCAATAATCCCATAGGTCTTTTTTTTTTTTTTTTTTTTTTGAGAAAGAGTCATGCTTTGTCACCCAGGCTGGAGTGAAGTGCCATGATCGTGGCTCACTGTGACCTCTGCCTCCTGGGTTCAAGCAATTCTTGTGCCTCAGCCTCCTGGGTAGCTGAAATTACAGGCCCATGCCACCACACCCAGCTAATTTTTTTGTATTTTTGTAGAGGCGGGGCTTTACCATGTTGCCCAGACTGGTCTCAAACTCCTCCTAAGCTCAGGCAAACCGCCCACCTTGGCCTCCCAAAGTGCTAGGATTATAGGCATGAGCCACCACGGCTGGCCCCATAGGCCTAACTTAAAATTGCTTATTTCAGGGTCATGTACTGTCTTGGCCTTAGGCTGAAAATAATCAATAGAAAGAAAATGACATGTACTACACTAGACTTGGTTACAAGTGACAGAAACCCAACCCAGACTAGCTTGAGCAACAAGGGGACCTTTTTGGATCACATAACCATGGGGTGACATGGGCTCTGGAATTAGAGAACAGGGCACATGAACTTCATCAGTGCTCTATCGCTCATATGCTGTTCTCTGTTTCTTGTCTCTGCATCTATCAACATATGAACCTTATCCTCTCAAAAAGACTGTATTAGGCCATTCTTGCATTACTATCAAGGAATACCTGAGATTGGGTAATTTATAAAGAAAAGAGGTTTAATTGCCTCACAGTTCTTTAGGCTGTTCCTGCATGGTGCCACCATCTTCTCAGCTTCTGGGGAGGCCTCAAGGAGCTTTTACTTATGGCAGAAGGTGAAGCAGGAGCAGGCACATCATATGGCCGAGCAGGAGCAAGAGAGAGAAGGAGGAAGGTGCCACATATTTTAAATAATCATGTTTTACAAGGACAGCACCAAGGGATGGTGCTGAACCATTCATGAGAGATCCTCCACCCCGTGGTCCAGTTACCTCCCAACAGGACCCACCTTCATCACTGAGGATTGTATTTTAACATGAGATTTGGAGGGGATATCCAAACTATATTACTAACCTTCTTTCCAAGGATGGGCCAATGTTCCCAAAAGTTGCAAGCTCATATCTTCCCTGCATCACCATCTGAGAAAAACTCTTCTCAGCTCCAGTTCAAAAACTCCCAGCAATTATTCTGATTGGTCTGCTTTGGGTCATGTGCCCAGCCCCTGGACCAGCCACTATGGCCAAGGGGGAGGATATCAGTGCACCCTAAAACTACACTGGAGTGAGGGGGTCAAAGCGGTAACCATTACCCCATTTTCCTAAAATTTATCTTTACCTTTTCTCTTTTTCCCTGTGTGTTCACCTCTTACTTAGCTTCTTATGAATGCAAATGTAAACTTTACCCTCCTTTCTCTCTGCTGGCCAGACCACCTGCAAGCATTGCTAGCTCTATATTTGCTTAGAAGTTCAAGGGACAAATTCTTCGAACCAAACCAGGCACCTTCTGGAATTCTCTCCCACCAGGAGATTGTCTCAAGATGGCAGTTAATCCATAATCTGCCCATAATGGCGCTGGCCAGACCACCGATGACCCATTACTAGAGATAAGTTGTGGAGCAAGTCATGTAGACCCTCACCTCCACGCCCTTCTACATAGCCCACATACCAAAATTTCTCTTCTTAAAACCCTGCTTTCTGCCTAGAAAGCTAAAGTGGCTTAGATATGAATCTGGCTCTTTCCCATTGCTAAGCTCTGGAATAAAGTCACTTTCTTTATACCACCTCATGCTTGTTATTTGGTTTTGCCAAGTGGCAAGCAGCCGAAACCGTGTTTGGTAACAAAGGGGCTATTCCTGGAAAAGAAAGGGAGGCTGGATGAACTGGAGAATACAATTACAACAGGGGGCTTTGAAAAGATCTGCATTTCCTAAGTATAAACCACTTATCTGGATATCCTCATTTCTAAAGCAAACTCTTCAGTTTAAGTTTCCTTGTTTGATTGTCTACACTGACCAAGGACTCAGATGATTACCAAAGATCCACTGTGCTCTGGCCTGCCTAGCAAACTTACAGCAAGGATCAGTCATTCACAAAGTCCAGAATAAGGAATAAATCCCCCAACAAGCAGACAAGCATTTAAATAGGCCAAATAAATAAATTCAGCCAATGAAAAATACATAAATTTCATAATAATTTCAAAAACATCACAGAGAGGGAGGCATGGGTAGAGAATGATGGACATACTTAGCATCAGAAAAAACAGACTAATTTATTTATTTTGAGACAGGGTCTCATTCTTTTGTCCAGGCTGGAGTACAGTGGCATGATCATAGCTCACTGCAGTCTCCTTCTGTCAGGCTCAAGTGATCCTCATGTCTCAGCCTCCCGAGCAGATGGGACTACAGACACAAGACCATGATTGACTTATTTTATTTTTTATTTTCGCTGTGTTGTCCAGACTGCTGTCGCATTCCTCAGCTCAAGCAATTTTTTGCCTCAGTCTCCCTAAATGCTGGGATTATAGGCATGAGCCACCAGCCAGAACTATTTATAGGTTGTTAGATTTTGGAAAAGTTCAAATTCTCTGACCCTCAGTATTCCCATCTCTTAGATAGAAAGATTAATACCTTCCTCATGGGTACTGAGAAGGTTAAATAGGGTAACATCAATAAAAGGATTAAAAAGTGTGCTTTCTTTACTTCTGCCCCATGCCAGTCAGGGAGTTTATTTATTTAGGGACGGAATTTCACTCTTGTTGCCCAGGCTGGAGAGCAATGGTGTGATCTTGGCTGACTGCAACCTCCACCTCCTGAGTCCAAACGATTCTCCTACCTCAACCTCCTGAGTAGCTGGGATTCAGGTGTCTCTCACGATGCCCAGCTAATTTTTGTATTTTTAGTAGAGACAGGGTTTCACTGTGTTGGCCAGGCTGGTCTTGAACTCCTGACCTCAGGTGATCCACCCATCTTGGCCTCCGAAAGTGCTGGGATTACAGGCATGAGCCACCACGCCCGGCCCAGTCAGGAAGTTTATACGAGCAATCAAGGAAAGCTTCTGGAATATCTATGTCCAGAAAAGTGCTTTGAGAGAAGTAATGCTCTGTTTCCCAGTAAAATGGCATTAGGGACAACACATGAAGATGACTGATATTTTTTTCATTTATTACAAAGGTGGTTTGGAACCTCTACCTTGTCTGTTTACACCCCTGAAGCAATTACCATGTGCACCACTCCCCTGGCACAGACCACAGATGGCATCGTTCAATTAGCTATTGTTTGGTGTGTGTGAATTCCACCCTAACCAGTGACCTAAGGCACTTAATTTAACCTCTCAGCCTCATTCTCCAAGTTTTAAAACTGAGTTTAATAATACTTCACAGAGTTGTTGTGAAGACTAAAGATAATGTATGAAAAGTACCGGGTAGTGTGCCTGGCACATAGGAGTCCTAACAAGCATTTCTGTCTGTTCTCTTCTCCTGTACCCAAACCTAACCAGAGAATAGAGTCTATTAGAAATCTATGCTCCATTAACATGAAAAATTTGAAGCTTGTTTTACTAACAAGTCCAGTATGGAGTACCTCTGTTGAGAACTACGGACCCCATGTCCCTCGAGTCACAAAATTCCCTATGCCACACGTTTATATCTAGCCAGCATGGATAGGTTTTTGCCTTGGATCATGTCAGCCAGCCACTAGATGGATCCTGATCTAAACTCAGTGGACCTTGTTGCGATTTCCAATGGACTTTGACTATTTCTCTTTGAGATAAATGTAGGAGCCTGTGTTTATCTCCTGTTTGGGATCCTGTTATGTAGACTGTTGATTTTCTCCATTGGAAGTCAGTTCCTACATTACCATTTTCTTAGTCTATTTTGTTCCAGCTTCTTTTTCTTGTCCACAGACTGACCAGCCTCCGAAGCCCCAGCAATGCCTAGTGACTCAATTCCTCCAAGTTTTAATAGTGAACTCTGAGTTTAGACAGATAGGATAGTGCATCATCTAGGTTTTTGAAAGACAGTTTTTGTGGGATTGCTAAATCAGTGTATTTTTATACTATTTGGACTGAAAAGATCATCTATCAATATTGATCGAATCAGATCCTTCCTTATCAATTGCCTTGGATCAGCTTCTTTTTTTCTCTCTCCCTTTATTTAATGAGACAGGATCTCACTCTGTGCCAAAGGCCGGAGTGCAATGGCGTGATCACAGCTCACTGCCGCCTCAACCTCCCAGGATCAAGTGATCCTCCCAGCTCAGCCTCCTGAGTAGCTGAGACTATAGGCACATGCCACCATACTGGGCTAATTTTTACATTTTCTTATAGAGATGGGGTCTTCCTATACTGCCCAGGCTGGTCTTGAACACCTGGGCTCAAGTGATTCTCCCACCTCAGCCTCCCAAAGTGCTGGGATAGGTGTGAGCCACCATGCCCAGCAGGTCAGCTGCTTTAGAAACAGACCCTGAGTCAAGCTTTTGTGTGCAAGGGTTATATTAAAGAAGCACTCCCAGGAGAAACCGGTAAGAGAACCAGAGAAGCAGAAAAAGGAAAGAAAAGAGGCTCGATCAGGGAGAGACTTGAGACCAAGTCACAGAGTCAGTTTGATGCCACAGGGGAGCCTCAGGGGAGATAAATTACATCTTAGAGTTTATCCAAACTCAAGGTAAGGGAACTGGGGTCCCCACAACTGCATCATTGGCACAAGAACACAGAAGTTGGAAACAACATTTGAGATGGTAAAGAGGATGCAGGGAGATCTGGGCAGAGCCTTGGCACTGCCCTCTACTCCAAGATCTCCTGCTGGAGGGTCATATGTTAAATATACCCTGCTTTCACACCTTTGCAAAAAGGAGAACTTATTGTTTTATGATTCATCACTTTTCAGTGTTTAGCAAGGCTAATATTAGCCCTTATTGGGGCTCAAATACATGTCTCTGTAACTTCCACTCATTGGTTCTAAGCAATTAGTCAATTATCAAAACTCATCAGCCATTTATTGAGCACTATTATGTGCTGAGAAATACACAAAGTGCTGGTTTATTCTATCACAGACCATGGTCTCTATTCCTTCTAGCTTTACAACATCTCTAAATTTGATAAGTACATCATCAACTTTTGACAAAAGCATGAATAAAACCACCACATAGGACAGGGTCAAGGATCATGCCACTTGATCAATATTTGGGAGGGTATAATTTTCAACCAGTTGTTCAAAATTTCCTAACTATGTCGAGACCCGTTTTCTCCATCTGGCTCAAAATATTTTATGACTTCACCTTTAGCCCAGATGAGATAAAGCAGCTAGATACCATGAACAAAAATTGGCAATATATCATGCCCATGCTTAGGATGGATGGAATGAGGGTCCTAAGAAATTCAGAGCACCTCTGTACCCCTTTAGTTGTACTGAGAGCACAACTTCCTGGCTTCTTTTCCAGCTCTTCAGCGATGAGGTCCTGTCATCCACAGAACGAAGGACTTAATAGGCCGGGTGCAGTGGCTCATGCCTCTAATCCTAGCACTTTGGAAGGCCAAAGCAGGTGACTCACTTGAGGTCAAGAGTTTGAGACCAGCCTCGCCAACATGGTGAAACCCCATCTCTACTTAAAAAAAAAAAAAAAAAAAAGGAAAAAAAATTAGCTGGGCATGGTGGTACATGCCTGTAATCCCAGCTACCTGTGAGGCTGAGGCACGAGAATCGCTTGAACCCAGGAGGCGGAGGTTGTAGTTAGCTGAAATCGTGCCACTGCACTTCAGCCTGAGTGACAGAGCGAGACTCTTCTCAAAAAAAAAAAAGAAAAAAAAGCACTTAATAAAGCTGTTGAGGCATCAAAAATAAATACATTAATTACAATTAAAATATGTTCTTTAAAACATCATTAATTTTTAAAAATACATTATTTATAATGCTGTTTTGATATTTTCTTAATCTACACATCTTATAATCCTGCCCCCAAGCAATTTGGTTCTTAGTTAATCCATGCTGCCTCCTAGTGACCATTGCATTTTCTGGATGTTCTAATAAAATGTCAAATGGTCATCATCAGGAAATTCTGCTCCCAATATCATCCATAATACAGGAAAAAGTCAGCAACAACAGACTTAATATAAATCTGAATCTCTATGAGAGAACATCTTTCCACCATGCTCCATGCTGAGAAGTAAGGATTTGTAAGCCTCCCTCCTATGGCTGCTTTCCAAATATCTGATTCCAAAGGCCCATCCAATATGGTGGTGGGGTGGTCCTGATAATCACCAATAGATGCATCAGGGCAGTATTTGAAAGTCTTCATTCATTGAACATTTTCTGAGCCATGTACTGTGCTGAGTAATTTTACTATACTGAGGAAGCTTAAAGTCAAATCCTATTGTAAAGGAATGACCTCAGGTTTGTTTTTCTTATCTCCTACATCTAACACGGAGATATAGATTTTACCCTTACAGACTTGTTATGCAACGTGTGTAAGCTAAACACTTAGGTGAGAGCTTTGCATGGTGTAAAAGATTGCTTTTTCCCTCTTTTTAATTTTTTAAAATTCTTACCCTAGAGCTGATTCTACCTGAAAAATGCCTGTTATATAAGAAGAGTTAGATAATCATCTCAATGAATGCCTGAATGGCTTTCGATAAAGTCCAACATCCTGTTTGTAAAAATAGGAGATAAAAACACAAGAATAGAAATAAGCAGACACTGGATTAAAAAAATGCAGCAATAACAATAGCATCTTCTATGAGCAAGGCACTTAGAGGTTTGCAAAGAAATTTACATATATTGCTTCATTGAATTCTTACAATAACCTTATGAGGGGAGCAAGGAAGAGGTTATTTTCCTTCCTATTTTACAAATGATGAGCCTAAGTCACGGGGCTTTTAGGAGACTTGCACTTGAACAGGGTGAGGTTACATCCTTTGAGTAATTGGCATAATTGTCAGAGTCCTGTGGGGATCCCGGCTGGAACTGATGTTTCTTAGATATGTCCTACAAGACTTAGAAAGCAGCATGAATGTTGAATCTCTAAGTCTTTAAATGAAACTAAGGTCAATTTTTAGCCTATGTGCTGCAATTCAATGGGTACAATTTACATGGTGATTCTCTAGTTTTGTGTGATAGGGCCATAATAACACAGCTAATGCATTTTCAAGGAAAATAACCTACATATAATAATGGAATAATAGATTTGGGGCTATTGGGTGGTACAAAACACTTTGACTTCGGAGTCAGGAGATCCGGGTTCTAATCATGTCCCTGTCAGTAACTATATATGAACTTGGGAAAGTTACTTAATCTTTCTTTCTTTTAACTTTCATTTTAAGTTCAGGGGTACACGTGCAGATTTGTTATATATGTAAACTTGTGTCATGGAGATTTGTAGTACAGATTATTTCATCACCCAGGTATTAAGCCTAGTACCTATTAGTTATTTTTCCTGATCCTCTCCCTCCTTCCAATCTCCAACCTCCAATAGGGTCCACTGTGTGTTGTTCACCTCTATGTGTCCATGTGTTCTCATCATTTAGCTTCCACTTATAAGTGAGAAAATGCAGTATTTGGTTTTCTGTTCCTGCATTACTTTGCTGTAAATAAGGGCCTCCAGTTCCATCCATGTTCCTGCAAAGGATATGATCTCGTTCTTTTTCATGGCTGCATAGTATTCCATGATTTATATGTATCACATTTTCTTTATCCAGTCTACCATTGATGGGCATTTAGGTTGATTCCATGTCTTTGCTATTGTAAATAGTGCTACAATGAATATATGTGTGCATGTATCTTTATGGTAGAATTATTTATATTCCTTTGGATATATACCCAGTAATGGGATTGCTGGGTTGAATGGTATTTCTGTTTTTAGGTCTCTAAGGAATTGCCACACTGTTGTCCACATTGGTTGAACTAATTTACACTCCATCAACAGTGTATAAGTGTTCCTTTTTCTTCACAACCTCACCAACATCTGTTATTTTTAGATTTTTTAATAATAGTAATTCTGACTGATGTGAGATGGTATCTCACTGTGATTTTCTTTTCTTTTTTTTTTTCTGAGACAGAGGGTCTCACTCTGTTACCAGGCTGGAGGGCAGTCTCAGTTCACTGCAACCTCCACCTCCCAGGCTTAAGTGAGCCTCCCACCTCAGCCTCCTGAGTAGCCAGAAGTACAGGAAAGCACCACTATACCTGGCTAATTTTTGTATTTTTGTAGAGTTGGGTTTTTTGTAGCGATGTTGCACAAGCTGGTCTCGAACTCCTGAGCTCAAGCAATCTGCTCAACTCAGCCTCCCAAAGTGCTGGGACTATAGGCATGAGCCACAACACTGGGCCTTCCTTGTTTTAATTTGCATTTCTCTAACGATGAGTGATGTTGAGCTTTTTTTCATATGATGGTTGGCCACATGTATGTCTTCTTTTTAAAAGTGTTCATGTCCTTTTGGCCACTTTCTAATGGGGTGGTTTGGGTATTTTTGGAAATTTGTTTAAGTTCCTTATAGATGCTGGATATCAGGCCTTTGTCAGATGCATAGTTTGCCAAAAATTTCTCCCATTCTGTAGGTTGTCTGTTCACTCTGTTGATAGTTTATTTTTGCTGTGCAGAAGCTCTTTAGTTTAACTGGAATGCATTTGTCAATTTTTGCTTTTGTTGTCATTGTCATGAAATGTTTGCCCATTCTTATGTCCAGAATGGAATTACCTACATTGTCTTCCAGTGTTTTTATAGTTTTGGGTTTTTAAGTCTTTAATCCATCTTAAGTTGATTTTTGTATATGGTGTAAGGAAGGAGTCCAGTTTCAATCTTTTGCATATGACTAGCCAGTTATCCCAGCACCACTTATTGAAAAAAGAGTCCTTTCCCCATTGCTTCTTTTTGTCAGCTTTGTCAAAGATCAGATAGCTGTAGGTGTGTGGTCTTATTTCTGGCTCTCTATTCTTTTCCATTGGGCTATGTGTCTCTTTTCATACCAATACCATGCTGTTTTGGTTACTGTAGCCTTGCAGTATAGTTTGAAGTCAGATAATGTAATGCCTCTGGCTTTATTCTTTTTGCTTAGGATTGCCTTGGCTATTTGGACACTTTTTTGGTTCCATATGAATTTTAAAGTAGTTTTTTTCTAGTTCTGTGAAGAATGTCATTGGTAGTTTAATAGGAATAGCATTGAGTCTATAAATTGCTTTGGGCAGTATGGCCATTTTAATGATATTCATTCTTCCTATCCATAAGCATAGAATGTTTTTCCATTTGTTTGTGTCATCTCTGATTTCTTTGAGCAGCGTTTTGTAATTGTCGTTGTAGAGATCTTTCACCTCCCTGGTTAGCTGTATCCCTAGGTATTTTATTCTTTTTGTGGCAGTTGTGAAGGGGATTACATTCCTGATTTGGCTCTCAGCTTGGCTGATGTTAGCTTATAGGAATGCTGGTGATTTTTGCACATTGGTTTTGTATTCTGAAACTTTGCTAAAGTTGTTTATCAGTTGAAAGAGCTTTCAGTTTGAGACTACGGGGTTTTCTAGACATAGAATCATGTCAACTGAAAACAAGAATAGTGTGACTTCCTCTCTTCCTATTTGGATGCCCTTTATTTTTCTTGCCTGATTGCTCTGGCCAGGACTTCCAATACTATGTTAAATAGGAGTGGTGGGAGAGGGCACCCTTGTCTTCTGCTGGTTTTCAAGAGGAATGCTTCCAGCTTTTGCCCACTCAGTACGATGTTGGCTGTGTGTTTGTCACAGATGGTTCTTATTATTTAATGGTATGTTCCTTAAATGCCTAGTTTATTGAGAGTTTTTAACATGAAGGGGTGTTTTATCAAAAGCCTTTTCTACATCTGTGGAGATAATCATGAGGTTTTTGTCTTCATTTTCTGTTTATGTGATGAATCACATTTATTGATTTGTGCATGTTGAACCAACTTTGCATCCCAGGGATAAAGCCTACTTGATCTACTTGATCCTTCATTTTAGTTTCCTCATTCATGAAGTGGTGAGTAATACACAGGGTTTGTTGTGTTAAAAAAGAAAACATATGTAAAGGCTACTGCCTAGTGCCTGATACATAGTAGGTATTCAATAATTATTGGTATACTTCCTGCTCACCATTTTTCCCGTCTTTGAGGGACTTGATTTTATCTATAAAATCAGAATATGTGGTGGATCAGTGGTTCTCAAAGTGTGTGTCCTAGATGAGTAACATCAGCATCACCTGAAACAGTTTTTGAAAAGTCTTGAGCCCCACCTCAAATCAGAAACTCTGCAGACAGAACCTAGAAATCTGTGTTTCGACCAGCTGTGATAGCCAGACTCCGAGATGGTCTCCAATGATGTCCACCTCCTGGAATGTATACTCTTGTGTAGTCCTATTCCACCTGGTACCAGAATTGATCTGTCTGATGACTAAAATGCATCAGAAGTTACGGCTATCTCTTCCGAGATTAGATTACAAATTACACTATGGCTTGATCATTCTCTTGATCTCTTTCTTGGATTACTGGCTTTGGGAAAGCCAGCTTCCAGGTCTTTAGGATATTCTAGCAACCTTATGGAGAGGCCCATGTGGTGAGAAACAGAGATCTCACCTTGAGCCATGTATGTGAGCCCATTTGGAAATGGTTCATTCAGCCCCATTCAAGTCTTCAGATAACTGCAGGCCCAACAAGCACCTTGATTGCAGTTTCAGAGAGACCCTGAGCCAGAACAACTCTGCTAAGCCATTTCTGGATTCCCGACCCACAGACACTATGTGAGACAATGAACGTGTGTTATCTTTTTTTGAAATAAATCTTTTTTTATTATACTTTAAGTTCTAGGGTACATGTGCACAACATGCAGGTTTGTTACATATGTATACACGTGCCATGTTGGTGTGCTGCACCCATTAACTTGTCATTGACATTAGGTATATCTCCTAATGCTATCCCTCCCTCCTCCCTCCACCCCACAACAGGCCCCAGTGTGTGATGTTCCCCTTCCTGTGTCCAAGTGTTCTCATTGTTCAATTCCCACCTATGAATGAGAAAATGCGGTGTTTGGTTTTCTGTCCTTGCGATAGTTTCTTCAGAATGATGGTTTCCAGCTTCATCCATGTCCCTACAAAGGATGTGAACTCATCCTTTTTTATTGCTGCATAGTATTCCATGGTGTATATGTGCCACATTTTCTTTATCCAGTCTATCATTGATGGACATTTGGGTTGGTTCCAAGTCTTTGCTAGTGTCAATAGTGCCGCAATAAACATACATGTGCATGTGTCTTTATAGCAGCATGATTTATAATCCTTTGAGTATATATCCAGTAATGGGATGGCTGGGTCAAATGGTATTTCTAGTTCTAGATCCCTGAGGAATTGCCACACTGTCTTCCACAATGGTTGAACTAGTTTACAGTCCCACCAACGTGTAAAAGTGTTCCTATTTCTCCACATCCTCTCCAGCACCTGTTGTTTCCTGACTTTTTAAATGATTGTCATTCTAACTGTTGTGAGATGGTATCTCACTGTGGTTTTGATTTGCATTTCTCTGATGGCCAGTGATGGTGAGCATTTTTTCATGTGTCTTTTGGCTGCATAAATGTCTTCTTTTGAGAAGTGTCTGTTCATATCCTTAACCCACTTGTTGATGGGAAACAAATTTACAAGAATGTGTGTTATCTTAAGCTGCTAATTTTTGGAGTAATTTGTTACACAGCAATAGCTAGCTAATAGATAACAAGGCCCCCAGATGAGTCTGTTGCATACTTAAGTGTGAATACCATTGGGATAGATGACAACTAAGCTTTTTTCAAGCTCAAAAATTTTGGAATTTTGTGGCCAATGTTGGAAATTAAAATGCAAGCAAGAGGCTGGACGCGGTGTCTCACACCTGTAATCCCAGCACTTTAGGAGGCTGAGGTGGGTCGACTGCCTGAGGTCAGGAGTTGAGACCAGCCTGAGCAACATGGTGAAACCCTGTCTCTACTAAAAAATACAAAAATTAGCCAGGCGTAGTGGTGGGTGCCTGTAATCCCAGCTACTTGGGAGGCTGAGACAGGAGAATCACTTGAAACCGGAAGGCAGAGGTTGCAGTGACCCGAGACCAGGCCATTGCACTCCAGCCTGAGCAACAAAAGGGAAACTCCCATCTCAAAAAAAAAAAAAAAAAAAAAAGCAAAAAAAAGCAAAAAAAAAAAATACAAGCAAGAGATGGCTCCTATCCTTGCACCAGAAGTGGGGTGGGCATTAGCCCCTGGAGAACTTGTTGCAGGCCTGGCCATCAAAATTCAAGGAAAAATTGGCAGAGCTGGAGAAATTCCAGAGAAGGGCAACTGAGAGAAGTTGCAGCTGAGTCCCTACCTGCCCATCGATTCTAAGACAAACAGGACTCTATTGTTGGAAATGCTCAGAGATGATGTTGCCAAAGTCTACAAAATCACAAGGCACATGGTTAGGACTGTGGACTTATTACCCAAGTTCAGGAAAAGAAGAGTTAATGGCAGCAAATGTAGTGGATGTGGTGGAAAGGACCCAGGCTTCAGAGTCAGACGAACTAGGCTCTGCTTCGTAGAAGCCAGTCACTTGGGGGAAAATTCTGTCAACTCTGATTTAATCATCATCTTCACCTGGAGAAATGGGGATAAGAATATTCACTTAGTAGCCCTAAAATGAGAATTCACTTTGCTGTGTTTAAAGAGCATGCCACAAACACATTTTCAAGTAGTGATTACTGTCATGAGAAATGAATGCAATAAAGGGTGGCCTTTTTGTGAGCATCCCTTCGTACATGTCATCTGTGCTTTCATATCTTTAGAGGTAACCTGAGCTGAACCTTCAACTAGAGTCTATGTGGGTTTAAATGAACTTGGGAGTTAGTTTATAATGGGCTATAAGGTAAATGACAGGTGTTTGAGTAGTACCATATATTTTAGAGATCGATTTTGCAGAAATTAAACATCCCATCCTTGGGCACACAGTCCTTGGTACATTAGGACAAGGATTCATGGGGCAAAATCCTGAACCAGTGGATCATCAGAATCCCCAAGGCAGCATCAGGATTTTCAATGATCCTTCAGGCAGATGACAGTGCAGAGGGAAGGATGACATGATAGCATATCAAAACCAAGGGATGAATTTGCTGCTTCAGGCCAGTGTGTCCAGCCAGAGCTTCTGGGTAGCGACTTTTTCTTCCATTCAAAACTTGGGTTGGAACTGGAGAGTAATTCTTCTAATAATCTACACCCACTGGCAGCTATTTTCCTTGAATATAAACTCCTTCTTGCATGTTACAAATATTCCAAAAAATCTGCCCATAGTTGCAAACAACTCCCTTCCCTTAGAAACTATTACAGATTTAAATAAGTAATCACTCCAGAAAGTAGATAATTCATCCCATTTTCCATTTGTGACCCACCTTGCAGCTGTCCCCCTGACATGCCTTAGTTGTTTTCTGTCACAACCCTATTGTTTGGGAAAATATTCTCATCTGGTTACACGACTGTTGAAACTTGCCTGTAAAATGATGAGCCACTTGCGGCAATGCCACAGCCTAGGGAATTAGTTGCTATTAAAATCGTGTTCAAACCAGGGCGTTGCCAAGGTGCCGACGTCTTGGGAAGCTGCCTGGAGGGCTTTGGCTCTCTAACAAAGACTTGAAGATGGCAGAATCTCAGTGGGGTTTCTAAATCATGGACAGGCAGACAATTTGAGGCCACAATCGCCTGGAGACCACTCTAAAAGCCTTAGTGAGTGAAACCTCCTGGGTTTTAAAAGCTTTTAATTCACAAGAGCCAGATGTGGCCAATGTGGGCAGGTAAAGTAGGGAAGCTTTGAGCTGAGAACCAAAGCCAGAAAAAAGAAAGGTGAAGAAAAGCATGTCATTGACCCATTTTTCACTTTCTCCATCATATGCAGCTATTCATAAACCCAGAACACTTATCCAAATAGCAATTAATACACAGACTAGCATGTTCCTGCTTGTACCTGAAAGTTGTAAATGGCAGTAAAGTCAGCCGTGTGTAAATGGTGTAGTGACGTGTGTGAGACATACCAGCACAAGACATGCCCACACTTTTCATTTTTTGTCAAGTCTGGATTAGCCTGAGAGAGGGGACTGTAGGCGTGAATCATACAGCCAAGGACCTGGAGTCTCTCCTTTTGTGTTAGTGTGGGATGTATCAGAATAATGGTCCTCGCAGCAGGCTGGTGCTTCCAGTGGCATTTTTCTCAGGCTAATGTTAAAGTTAATTTGCATTCCCTGATCCCACCCAGACTCTTCTTTCCAGGGTCAGTGAGGTGGAAGGGGGAGTGGGTTGAAGCTGTCAAGAAGCTCTGTAGACTTGTCCTTGTATAAGTGGTCTTCACATTTTTCTTTTACTGTCATACTTTCTAAAAGAATTTTGAAAACCTATATGCATTTGCACATTTTTAAGTTGACATCTATAATATTTCATCATTAAGCAGCTGCAAATCATGTAATTTATGGTACATTGCCCATATTAATTTTTAAAATTAAACTGACATATGATTATTGTAAATGTATCCAGTGGGATGTAAATATTCTACACCTCAATTCCCACCATAGTCTTATGAAGTACTGTATGTATGCAAATCTATGTTAGCTGACAAACATTTAACATTGTTGCTTGCTCTTCTTAAATTTCGACTTTCATTTCATTCCACATACTGTATTTTAACCTAGTATATCATTTTAACCTATTTTAAAGAAACTTATTACTCAATATCTTTTCCGCAGCAAAACTAAGACTACATTGAAGGTTTTATTTATTTTTATTTCCAGTGAAATAGGTGTTCAATTTATCTGATAATCTTTTGGTAAAAGCAAACAAAAAGGAGTCTAGATAAGTGTTCACAATAATATAAAACACTTCTCACTTCTTATGTGTTATTTTTACTTTAAAAAAGGTAACGTTGGTTTGTTTTTTAAGTTAAACATGAAACTTATCACCTCCTTTTCCTTGAAATACAGAACATGCAAATGAGACATGGACCAAGACCAAATGAATGAGAGTTATCTCCAAGCTCTTTCCCTTTGCAAAAAAATAAAGAAAATGCAGAGAGAGCACACTTCCTAGGAAATGAATATTTCCCAGCATGATTTTTATGAATGCTGAGCATTCTAAATCTACAGGAGGGAGACAGAGAGAGAGAGATGTTGGAGCCTTGCCCTGTGTGTATTGGTTAGAGAGGAGACAGGCCCAGCTGCTTCTATTACTTCTCACCTGCACTCTCTGCTGTATTCTAACAGGATTTGCTGTCAGAAGTAAGGCATTCCTTGATAATATTTGCTCCAGAGAAGTGGTTAAGTGAAAAGTGTCACTCCTCCCTCCTGTAACACTCTACAATACATCTGAATTTATAACATCCCTATGTGTAAAGCCACACCTCCCTAAAAGCCACACTTTTCTCTTAATGAAAATATGTACTAGGCAGGAGAAGATATAAAGCCCAGTAACAAATAAAGGAGGTTTCATAAATACTAATATTTGAAATTGTCCCCTTCTTTGGAACCCAGGAGGATTTTTCACTCTGGGGCAAAATCCTATAATAAAATTGGGATGGATGATAGGTGCCCTCTTTCCTTTGTAAAGTAAGAGAAGGGCAGTGCAACCTCTGTTCAAATGCGAAAAAAAAAAAAAGGAAAACAAAACAAAACAAACGAACAAACAAAAGTCCAACTCCAAAGGCCTGCATGAACATGCTTGCCACCTGAAACAGATGAAGTGTAGCTTCTGTCTCGCCGTATTTCACTTCTGCCTTTTGCATCTCATGTGGATATGTCTGATTGGCAGAGCCTAAATCTCATGCAGAACTCTAGCTGTATTGGGTCTGGCAAATACAGACTTTCCCTTCCAGCCTCTGCATTATAAGAAAGCATTGAGAAGATTGGCATGGATATTGAACAATCCAATCCTCACTCTCCATGCAGCTGGAAAAGCCTATAAAGTGACGGCGAGACCTTGAAAGATGGAAAGGTTTAAATGGCCATCTCTAACTCAGCAAGAGATGAATTGAACTTATTGTCTCCGCCCCTGTTTTCCAAACACCTAATCATGTACCAACCCTATTCTTCACCTATGCTTCACATTTCAGTGATGACACCAGTATTTACTCAAGAAATCTGAATATCTGTTTTTGTTCTTTCTCCTTCCTCCCACTCCATTGTATCAATTCTATCCACTCAGATCTCTTATATCTTGTTCCTCCTCTCCTTCCTCATTGCCAATGTCTTATTTAAAGCCTTCATCCTCTCTCATCTGGACATTTGTACTTACTCTCTCACTTGCCTCCCTGCCACCAGTCTCTGAGCTCCATAGTACTGCCAAAGTAATATTATGAAAACATAAATTGATTAAATAATTCAATGATTTTTCCATCTCCTTAAGCAACAGTTCTCAGCCCTGGCTGCACATTAGAGTCCCCTGGGGAGCTTTTAAGGTCCCAACGTCCAAGCCATTTGCCAGTTCAATTCAATCAGAATCTCTGGGTAGGACCCAAACATAAATATTTTTAAAACTCCCCCACCAATGCTCAGCCAAGGTTAAGAACTGCCGTTGCATGCAGGCCATTCTCAGTCCAGCTTCAGAGTCACAGGCTGTCATTCCCCACATGTAAACTCCAACCACACCAAATATCTTTCAGTTCCCAGACATGTTCTGCCCCTCACCTCTCTGGCTTTGCATGGCATGCTTCCTGCCACTGCCTGGAACTCCCTTTCTCCTCCTTTGACCTGGAAAACTCCTACATATCCATGAGTACACTTACCCATGGAGGGTGTGCACCCTACACTTTGCACACTTACAATTACAGCACTTCCCACACTGTATAAGAGTTAGTTTAGGCCGGGCGCGGTGGCTCACGCCTGTAATCCCAGCACTTTGGGAGGCCGAGGCGGGCGGATCACGAGGTCAGGAGATCGAGACCATCCCGGCTAAAACGGTGAAACCCCGTCTCTACTAAAAATACAAAAAAAATTAGCCAGGCGTAGTGGCGGGCGCCTGTAGTCCCAGCTACTTGGGAGGCTGAGGCAGGAGAATGGCGTGAACCCGGGAGGCGGAGCTTGCAGTGAGCCGAGATCCCGCCACTGCACTCCAGCCTGGGCGACAGAGCGAGACTCCGTCTCAAAAAAAAAAAAAAAAAAAAAAGAGTTAGTTTATTTGCATGGTTGTTTCTCCTTTAGATCCGTTGCTCATTGAAAATGGGAAGGAGTCATCTCTCTGTCTCCAGGGCCTAGCACATTTCAGGGGATTCTCAGCACACATGGGCCAAATGAGTGAGTGAATGAATTAATGAATTAATGAGGCATAGATGAAGCCGTTGACTCTATGCGCTTCACCTACTCCTCCAACTCACTACGCTGTTCTAAGGATGTTAATTACAGGGAAGGCCCACGCCCAATTTTTTTCTCCATCAAACATTCTCATTTATATTTCTTGGGCTACAGTGGAACATGAAAACAAATGCTAAAAGCAATACAACGCTGATGCGACATTAATATCTGATTCCTCTTCTTTAGGGTAGAGGAAATATGTTGTCTGGTTCTACGTGGACGCTCAACTCATTTTGTACTATTATTGTGATTACCATTATTATTGTTATTAGGTAATTCTAATCTGGGTCCATTACATCAAAACACACACCTTTAGATGTCAGGGCTTTTATACTCCTTATGGAGAACTCTCGGTCTCGTTGCCTGCAATTATTCAAGTATCTTTTACCTGTAATTCAATAACTCTGATTATCCTGTTGCAAATTCCCTATGGACACCTATGCAATGCTGGAAGTATAGTTATTTTTCTCCTTCAAGATCTGCTGCCTGTATGCTCTTTCTTGACCTTTTCCCCTCTTGCTCTTCTTCACCCACCTCAACCCACCCCATGCCAACTTTCACCTGAGCACTCCCTCGTCTCCCTGTGTCTTGCTTTTCACAGGGGAGGTCAGAGGTTAGGTGCAAGTGAGCACTACTTGCAAAAGTCTCTCCACCTTGCAGAAATCATACTTGGGTTACTCCCTTTATTACATGCTCAGACGCTTGACCAGCAATAAAGAACTGGAAGCTTTTCTGATTAAGCATTTAGTGACCATCAGAGCAGCACTACATTTAGAGACTGGGTAAAAATCGTCTCTTGAATATATTGCAGGAAGTGCTTTGAGAACCTCATGACAGCCTCAACCTGGGCATAACACTTTAAAATAAAGTTTTTTTGTGATCTTTTCCTTCACTACAAAAAAATGGACATTTTTTAAAACTGGAAAATACAGGAATGTATACAGAAGAAAATAAAAATCTCATATAATCCTATCAGTAAGAAAAAAACACTGTTAATTGTTAAATTGCATTAAAAAAACACTGTTAATTGTTAAATTGTATTTATTCTATTTTTCCTATAAATAGGAGTTTCTTACACACAGAGTAAGTAGGGCTTTATACGGTTCTGTTTCCTGATATCTCACTGACATTATAATCTAAACACTTCTTCATGCCATTAGAATGTCTTCATAAACACAAATGTAAATGACACATAATATTGTATTTTGTGCAGGTACCAAAATTTCCTACCATTCTGATACTGATAAAAATGTATTTTGTTTCAATGATGGTCATAAATGTCTGCATACATTATTATTTCACACATTTCTCACATTTCTCATTGTTTCTTTAGGCTAGACTGCTAGAAGTAGAATGACTAGCACAATGAGTATGAATATTTTAAGACAATTGATAAATATTGCCAAATTGCTTTCCAAAACCCTCCAGCAACTTATAATGTAAGCAATAGTGAAAGTCTTCATCTCGTCAAATCATGGCCTAACTTAACTGCATTATTGCTAAAATGAGCATTGTGTGAATAAATAAGTGGTAGAGATTTTTTAATGGGCAGTATATAAATAATCCATTCTAAATGCTGGGGTTCTGGAAATTTTAGCCCTTTCTGGCCACTGTAGAATAGGCTGTAATAGCCTGTGAGGCTGTGACCTCAAATATTCAGTAGTACAGCACCTGAAGTTAGTTTCTCATCAGAGTATTATATGTGTTGGGTGACTCTTCCAAGCAGCTCTCCTTCTCAAAGAGGCTGGCTCAGGAACCCAGAAGGCTTCTGCCTTGTAACTTGGCCTTCCCAAAGCCCTTTACTTCCAGCCCTATGATTGGAAAAGAAAGAGCATGGGGGAGGCACACCCACTTTTAGCTGCCCCAAACTGTAATTATATTTCATTCTTCTCTTTCCTATTCCAAAAAGCAATAATTCAAGCATTCTTCTGGTGTGATATAAAGTTTAGTCTATGTGGTTTCCCTTTCCCAACTTCTTCTGAAAATCTGCCAAAAAACATTCACATGTTCATAAGTCCACCTTAGTTGCCATTTGTTTACTGAGCTCCCCACCTTACCCTGCCATTGCTCCACTCTCTATTCAAGCCTTTCCAGGACACACAAGTTTCAAGCCTTTCCAGGACACACAATTCACCCCATTTGTGGGCACACACATCCATACCTCTCCCATGATGAGCGCTTCTGGTGTTACTGGCTCCAGGCCTGGATGGTCACTCCTGCTCAGCCTCTGCATCTCTTAACTCTGTCTTCATCTCTGCTTATTGCCTGGCATGTTCTCTCCATGTGGATGCCCTCGTCAGCTAACACACTTCTGGTTTAGCAGTCTCCATGCTGAAAGAATGCCTCTTTTCCAATACTTCCTAGGCAAGCAGCAACTACAGACGCTTGCTACTGTGTCCAGACTCATGGGAACTCTTTGAAGATAAGAAGATGGTCTGAGGAGAGCCAGGATCAAGCGAGGGTGGAATATAGGAGGTGGGAGTCACTGGATCGGAGATGGCAAATGTGTGACAAACATGCTGCCAGCACTCTCCTCACCCACAGCAAACATGGCTAATCAATCCTGGCCCTCTTAATCCTTTCAATACAGACTCTACCAGTGAGTAGTTGAAACCTATTTACTGTTTCTACATTAAACTCTATATTCAGCCAGTAGAGTTCTTAGCACATGATAGGTACTTAGTAAATACTGAATTAACAAAACTGAACCAGAGCTTCATTTAATCCAGGAGTAAGCTTAGTAACAGGGTGGGTCAAAGATTAGGAACCTGAAGGTCAAATCTTTTCACAGAGTTAGGAACAGGTGCAGTGCCAAAAGCCAGGAAATCAAAATCAAAGCCCCTAGAATGTCAAGTCACTTGGGCCACTGCAGTAATTCCTAATAGGTCCCCCCACCTCTGGTCTTGGCCCTTCCCACCCTCAACAATGCCTTCTCCACATCAAAACCACCCCTCACTAGCTTCTTTAAAACCTTTGCTGATTTCTCTTTGCTTTGGGAATAAAAACAAGACACTTCCTACGGCTTCCAAGGCTGCCAGCCCAAGCCAATGTCTCTTCCTGCAGCCTCACTTCCACACATCCCCCACTGAGCTAAGGAGCTTTACACAGCTACCTCATCTAATCGCACCACCCAACCATGAACCAGGCTTGATAGTCTAATTTTATCAGTGACAAATTCTCACCTGGTATTCAGGGAGATTATATGAATTAGCCAAAGTCATGAAGCTGCCAAACATAATTTGAATCCATTTCTGTCTGGTTCTGAAGACTGCATTCAGGAATAGATGAGACAATTCCCATTAATTCAGCTTTATTTATCAGGGACTTTCTTTGCTTTTTACTAAAATAAAATCAAAACAAAAGAGAACTGGCTATTGGTCCATTGGAACCCATACACACATATGCAAAGGGAGGGGGACAGAGACACAGAGACAGGGAAACAGACAGAGACAGAGAAAGAGAAACAGTGACAGAGACACAGAGAGATAGAGAAACACAGAAAGAGATACAGAGAAACAGAGAGAGATAGTGTAAGAGACACAGAGACAGAGACAGAGAGACACACACACACAGAGATCTCGTTGCTTGGTTCACTTTCAGCCCATTGTGTCTGCATGATGTAAACAGAGATTTCTAGTTAGTGTGTGTGACTAGCGCCAACTTCCCAAAGAGGAGAATGCCTAAAAGTACTGTTTTCCTTTATGTTCCATTTTTTCTTTTTCTTCCTTTTTTTTTTTCATAGTTTTTCATACCTTCAAGTCTGAAGAGAAGGAATTCCAGGAAAGTGTCCCCCTCAATGAGTGAGCCATTTCTGAACGGGGCCAGAATAGCCACAACTAGGATTTTCCTCTCTCTCACCCCTCTTTCTACCCCCTACCTCCCATAGATTTGATTATGAGTGAAACTTTGCTCCTACACACAGGGAGGTCCTCTTCCATCGGGCTGGGCCCTCACTCAGAATGCAAATGCCCCAGGGCTGAAAAGCACCTTTCACCAGAAATGTCCTAGCTGGAGTCTTTTTAGCCTTGACTGACAAGAGCATCCACACATTACAGGGCAGTGCCTTCTCCCTGGCACTGCCATTTGGCTTAGCTCCAAAAACTAAAGAAATCAAGCCTCAAAGGACGCACAGTGTTGCCTTGCTGGACGGAAGCCCACACTGACCACATGAAAAGTACCATTTCTCCTGTCCAGCAGCCCACTGTGGCACTGCAGGCTGGGACCTGACAGCAAGAGGCTGCATGTCAGAAGGAAGCAATGCAAAAAGGGTGTGGAGCTTGCAGCCTTAGCATTCACCACCATGCTGGCGGACTCCAAAGATAAACAGCGCACCCTTTCCCAGAAGGGGTTCAGGGTTGTTGCAACATCCCCCAGCTATTTATCTCAGGTAAAAGGTGCAGCAGGTCTTCCAGTTTCCTTCTTCCAGAGTAGGTATGCTTGCTTTTATAAACTTGGTATGACTAACATGTAAACTTTACACATCTGAGCAGGGCTATCCCTTTAGGTAACTTTTCCTATGCTCCTTGGAGGAGCTGAGTTTTCATCTGTGCTAGGAAAGGTCTGATTGAAAGGGAAGAGCTTCAGTGGCCACTGCAGAAGAAAGTCCACCTTTGACAGTCTTTTTTAAAGATCAGTCAAAGCAAGAAGTGGGCAGATCAGAGAAACAGTGCAGAGACACCAGGGCCCCGGATCTCAGTGCTAAGAAATTTTACACGAGGTTTTGGGATCAACCATGGCTCACCATGCCCTGTGGTTGACAAAACACAAGCTGTAGGCATCTTAGGGTTACCAGAGCAAGAGATCTACAAAGGAGGCCAGTGATTGTCATGGGCTTGAGTCTTAAGAAGCTTCTGGGGAGACATTTGTTCAAGGGTACAAAATGTCAGTTATGCAGGATGAATAAGTTCTGGAGATCTATTGTGCAGTGTGGTGACTACAGTTAATAATGGGCTGCTATATACTTGAAAATTGCTAACAAAGTAGATTTTAAATGTTCTCACCACAAAAAAAATGATAAGCATGTGAGACAAGGGCATGCTAATTCACTCAATCTAATCATTTCACAATGTGTACATACACTAAAACATCAAGTTGTACACCATACATATATATATAATTTTAATTTATTGATTATGCCTTAATAAAGCTGGACAGGGGAGAAGAAAAAGAAGCTTCTGTGAGGAATGGATGATCTGAGCAACCACTGTGTTATTCTCTGAAACGGGCACATCTTGGCCTTCCAGTTCAGGTCATAAGCATAAGGAATCCAAATTCCACCTGGGTCCATGCATAAACCTAAGATCATTGAAGTCATGTATTTTAGGAGGCACCATCTATACAGAACACAATGTGATCTACTGTACAAGCAGTAAAAATATTCTTGATTTATATCATTAGAAACCAAGGCTCAGAGAATAATTTGAACAAGAACACAAGGATAAAGTAAGGGCTAGAACCTTGCTCAGTCTGCCCACTGATCTTTCTACCTGACCGTATATTCTCTTGTGGCCTGACATAAGGCTTTACATGCAGGAAGCACTCCATAAATGTAAAATGGAACTGGGGCCTTCTGGAGGCTTTCCAAATATCTAGGGCCTTCTGAAGGCCATGACTCAGCCACTGGGAAAAAGAGAGTGCAAGCAGATCTTCAGAAGAATTGGGAGTTTTTGGAACAAAGCCCAAACCAGCAAGTGAGAGACTCCAAGCTGCCCGGTTGCCCAGCTTCTCTCATCCTGGGTAGGACCACAGGCTCTCTCTGAATTGCTGACTTCTCTGAGTTCCTGAATCACCTGCAAACACTTCAAAACATTGTCTGCCCTCCTGATAGAAGAGAAACTTTGACTTTCTTTGGTTAGTTCTCAAAAGCCAAAATCTCCTAGATGTCTGTCTCTTTTCTCAATCTTTGCCTGGGATTTGTGGCTATAATTTCTATGGTCACCATAAGAAAACTTTTTATTTTTTAATGTTACAAATTTTTGCTGTGTGCATCCTATGTGCTAGGACTAGGTTGCGTATGCCTAAAATACATGTGGCTCTTCCTGGGTCCATTTCACATAAGATAGCTGGGAACAGGGAGGGGAAGCTCTACAAACTTAAGCTATTATGGGTATTTTTATAATGTTCTTCTTTTTTTAACACTGAATGTGAAACTTAAGAAAAATAAAATAGTTAATTACAATAGCATTGGCTGGGAGTGGTGGCTCACGCCTATAATCCCAGCATTTTGGGAGGCCAAGGCAGGGGGATCGCTTGAGTCCAGGAGCTCGAGACCAACCTGGCCAACATGGAGAAACCCCATCTCTATTAAAATACAAAAATTAGCTGGGTGTGGTGGCAGGCACCTGTAGTCCCAGCTATTTGGGAGGCTAAGGCACGAGAATAGTTTGAACCCTAGAGGCGGAAGTTGCAGTGAGCTGAGATTGCGCCACTACACTCCAGCCTGGGCAACAGAGTGAGACTCTGTCTCAAAAACAAAAACAAAACAAATTTAAAAAAACGAGAGGAGGCCAACATGGCCAAAGAGCAGTGGGAAATGCAGTACCGGCTTAGGCTGAAGAGGTGGACAGTGGCCACCGGTGCAAGGGCTACTCTAAGTTACCATAAAACGGGTGGGTTTCATTAGATTTTAATTCTACACGTAAAAGTAAGATCTCAAAAACTAAAATTAAAAAGAGAGCTAAATCCTTATCTTCCATAGTGGGAAGTAAACATATAACATCTAAACCAAAAAAATAGGAAGTAACATTATAAACGTTATTTAGAGATAAGTACATTTCTAAAGAATTAAACAGGTTTAAAGTGGTCCCTCCAGGGAAAGGGAAATGGGGGTGTTCCTTCTACCCCCAGGTATTCTCTTACCTTATCCTCTTTTTTCCCCTCAGAGCACCTAACTATCTGAAATCACATTGTCTACCTCACTCCCTTGTGCCTGAAGTGAGAACAAGCTCATGAAGAAGAAACGTTTATTTTCTCCCCTTTAGGATTTCTTCCAGCCTAGCTCCTCCTACACCATAACTTGGAGTTTCTGTCTGTCTCCGCCATGGAGCTATGCACTCCAGGAGAGAAGAGGCTGTGTTACAGTCATTTCTGTATCCATTGTGCCTAGCACGAAGTCCAGCAAATAGCAAACCTCAATTTATTGAATCAGGTTAAATTGCATTGAATTGAATTCCTTTCTGGGTCCCAGGCTACAAGAATCAGTAGCTCTGCTAATGTGTAGCCTTTTAGCCTCACTGCAATGTGCTTTATTTCAATTACTAACTCCTACTTAGCAGGCAATTTTATAAACACACCTCAACAAGAGAAAGGTCAATTGTTTCCCCTTTGACTACACAGCGCATGTAAAGTTTGGAAAGCCGCAGAGGTATCATTTAGTAGAACAAAGGCATACACAAATAATCTGATTTTTAACTACTAATTATATAAATAACAATCTCCTTTCTCCCTGGGTATAACTGGGCGTTGGGTCTTTAGTGCCTGTGTAAGTGCTACCCTTCCTGCTACAGAGGCTGAGAACTTGGTAGGGAAAGAACCCAGGAATGAATGAATTAGAGTTCTTACATCCTAATAATGTTAACAATTACCAACAGTTACAAAGTACTTTATGGTTTGCAAAGTACTTTTCATACGCATCATCTTGTTTAATTTCTACATTTACCCTGTGAGGGTAGAGCATCATTCCCATTTTATATACGAGGACACTATAAGTTCAGAGGTGAAATTAAATGGGCAGAGGCAGGGATTAGGCCAGATCATCTAACTCCAGAAGAAATTCGTGTTCCCCTACCTCATTACTCGCTGGGGAGGAGGGAAGCAGAGAGATGCTCAAAGATTCATGGGAGCTCATGGTCAAAACGAACCTGGTAAACTTATGAAGGATGCTGTTGAAGTGACCTACCTAAGTAATGAGCAAATGCATCAACCATGGCCCCTGTTAGCCTTTGAGCATATCCTCCAAATAACCTACATCAAGCCTCAGGCATCTTACGTGTATGGAATAGAGGGCAAGACAAGGAACAGCTAAAGACTAACCTCATGTAGAGCTTAATATCTGCCAGGACTTGTTCTGAGAATGTTACAAATATTAGCTCATTTAATTATCATAACAACCATAATTTTATAGTAAAACATAAAGAGGGAATAAAAGTAATAGCTAGAGGCCCAGCGTGGTAGCTCATGCCTGTAATCCCAGCACTTCGGGAGGCTGAGGCAGGTGAATCACGAGGTCAGGAGTTCGAGACCAGCCTCGTCAACATGGTGAAACCCTGTGTCTATTAAAAATACAAAAATTAGCCAGGCATGGTGGCGGGCACCTGTAGTCCCAGCTACTCCAGAGGCTGAGGCAGGAGAATTGCTTGAACCCGGGAGGCGGAGGTTGCAGTGAGCCGAGATCGCACCACTACACTCCAGCCCGGGTGACAGAGTAGGACTCTGTCTCTAAATAAGTAAATAAATAAATAAATAAAATAGCTAGAACACTGGTCAATAGGCTGCAGCCAGTGAACCAAACTGGCCCACTGCCTGTTTTTGAAAATAAAGTTTTATTGGAACACAGCTGCAAACATTCATTTACATATTGTCTATGGCTGCATGTATTTTTTAGTAGAGATGGGGTTTCACCATGTTAGCCAGGATGATCTCGATCTCCTGACCTCGTGATTGACCTGCCTCGGCCTCCCAAAGTGCTGGGATTACAGGTGTGAGCCACCGCGCCCAGCCAAATCAATTGTATTTCTGTATACTTGCAATGAACACGTGGACACAAAAGTACTGTACTATTTATAATTGCTATAAAAGCAGGTATAAATCTAAGAAACACGTACAAGACTGGTATGCAGGAAACTACACAACACTCATGAAATCAAAGAAGAGAGAGAAAAACTGTAACACTGGCAAAGTGATAGACACATAGATAAATGAAACAGAATAGAGAATCCAGAAATAGACTCACACAAATATGCCCAACTGATTTTTACAAAGGTACAAAAGCAATTCAATGGAGAAAAGACAGGCTTTTCAACAAATGGTGCTGTGGAGAAACTGAACACCCATACATACAAAAAAACTAAAACTAAAACTGAAATGTCACATCTTATACAAAAATCAACTCCAAATGAATCATGGACTTAAATGTCAAATGTTCAATTACAAAACTATTAGAAAAAAATAGGAGAAAATCTACAGGATCTAAGGCTAAACAAAGGGTTCTCAAACTTGACACCAAAAGCACAAGCCATAAAGGAAAAACTGATAAATTCATTAAAATTATGAGCTTTTGTTCTGTGAAAGATCCTGTGGAGAGGACGAAAAGACAAGCTATAGACTAGGAAAAAATATTTGCTAACTACTTACCTGACAAAGGACTAGTATCTAGAACATATTTTTTAAACTTTCAAAATTAAACAGTAAAAACAAATCCAGTTGGAAAATGAGCAAAAGACATAAACAGACATTTCACTGAAGAGGACATAGAGATGGTAAATAAGCACATGAAAGGATATTCAACATCATTAGCCATTAATGGCATGCAAATTAAAACCATAAAGAGATATCACTGCATACCCATCAGAATGACTAACGGAAAAAATAGTGACAACACCAAACGTAGGCAAGGATGCAGAGAAACCAGATCATTCACACATTGCTTTTGGGAATGCAAACTGGTATAGCCACTCTGGAAAACAGCCACTTTCATTAAAAAACAACTAAATATCCAACTACCATATGACCCATCAATTGCATTCCTGGACATTTGTCCCAGAGAAAGAAAGCTTATATTCACTCAAAAGTCTGCATATAAATATTTATAGCAGCTTTATTTGTAATTGCCAAAAACTGGATGTCCAGATGTCCTTCAGCGGGCGAAAGGTTAAACTATATCCATACCACAGAAGATTACTCAGCAATAAAAAGAAACAATTAATCCACACAACCTGAATGAATCTCTAGAGAATTATGCTGGGAGAAAAAAGCCAATCTCAAAAGGCTAGACACATTGTGCAATTACACTTATGTAAAATTCTGGAAGTGACAGAATTACAGACATAGAGGACATATTAGTGATTGCCAAGGAGGGCATGCGGGCAGATGGGAAGGGGACGTGACTACAAAAAGGCAACATGAGAGATCCTTGTGGTGATGGAAACGTTCTGTATCTTTCATTTGAATATTAATATCCTGCTTGTGACATTATACTGTGGTTTTCAAAATGTCACCACTGGCGGGAACTGGGTAGAGGGTACATGGAATCCTTCTGTAATGTTTCTTACAACTGCATGTGAATCTATAATAATCTCAAAATTAAAAGTTTAATAAAATTTTGATATCTTTCATTTAGGACTTCATAGGCAAATTAAGAATAAGCCCTTATAATTGTATGATCTTTACAGTCTTAAAGGATGTTTCACATTCATCATTTTGCAGAACAACTGACTCATTCATTCATTCATGAATCATTTAAACAAATTCAGGCAATTACTAAAAATGTATTATTAAATTATTTAAAAATTATCAAGCATAGTGCTTAGGCTCAGATTACAGTTATAAACTCTCTAATTCTTTATCTCAAGCTGCTCACAGTCTTTTTATCCTCACTAACTACCTGAGGTGAGTAGAGTGGGTATTATCATTTTTGTTTTGTAACTGAAGAAACTGAGAACCAAAAGGTATGTGACTTGTCCAAAGTCACACAGCTACTTCACCATGAGGCTAGCAGTAGAACTGGAGTCTTCTCCCTGTCTTATATTCTCTCCATTTCACCCGTGTTCAAGCAAAATGGTAAAGAATACAGGCTTTGGAGTTCAGATAGGCTCAGTTCCATAATTTATTAGCTGTTTGCCCTTGGGTAAGCACATCAATGGCTCTAGGCATCAGTTTCTTCTTCTGTAGAATAGAAATGATGGTTCCCACCTTACAGAATTCTACAAGATTTCAATATGTTAATACAGGCATTATGCTTAAAATAGCACCCAACACGTAATAACAGCTAAAAAAAATGCACCTGACATTAGATATTGCCCTTACACCAAATAAGTAACACAATGGGAACTATAATAATCTAGAATTAATAGCTCATACAAATACATGGCATGTCTTCTGTAAGTCTTCCAACTGTCATTAAACATCAGCTAATATCCATACATTGCTATAAGGCAAATGGGTAGAAATATTTAAGGTTTCCGTTTGAGAGAATAGAGAAGTAACATGTGTGGTAGGGCATTAAAATGTCTCAAAGACAGTATTGAGACTGAAGTTAAAAGCCCCTTTTGTTCATGATTATTTTTAAGGAAATTTAAACACAAAGCCCATTTTAAACCATCTCATATTGGCCACAAAGAGAAGCTGGGGTGTCCATTCCTCGTTTGTACCTTGTAATTCTGTACCTTGTAATTCTTTAACTGGTGACCATATGTCAGGATGTGCATGTGTTTTATGCAGCCAGATGGGTGAGACATAAAGACCGTAATCAGTTCCGTCCCATAACAATACCCTATTTTTTTTTACCGTCCAACAATCATGGATTAATTATGAGCCTCGTCTCCCCAACAGGTGGTGCCTGTGATCCCATGACCATATCAGATCCATCTTCGAAATCAAGCAGGTAAATGGTCTATCCAGAATTTCTAGTATAAGTGTTCATCAGCTGTATATGCAAGCAGGTAGGGCAGGTGCGGTCATTAATTTACCAGACTGTTCTTTGACTTGGTATTTCAGTGTCTGGCGTCTGTTGACAGAGTTGACAAGGCAGTTCTAAGCAGCCCCATTATGGATGTCAACTTAAATCAGGCCATACTAGGTCTAACATTCAAAGATTTGCCTAACCATTTCCAAGTGGGACACTGACATGATCCCTTCTCTCCTCACTACCTTCTTGCAGGCACCTGGCACTCACCAGTTTCCCTGGTGGCTTATGTCGGGGATGCATAAAATAGTTCCAATTTCAAACATTCTCTTGGTCAATCACACAAACTACCAGAGCCATTGAAGCACGTACCTTTCAGCCTGTCTCTTGTATCTCTAAATGGCACAAAAATTCTTTTTCAAACTATGTGTTCTAAGATTCAGAATATAAAGTCACCATAGTTTAAGGCCCACAGACTAGAAATAGTTGAGGTTAGATGTAAAAGGAAAGCAAGTTATTTTTCAGCCATGACACTGCTGAAAAGTCATGTAGGATGCTGCACAACCAAGGAAAAGCTCATATGCAATGGCTTAACTTATGAGCTAAACTAACTGCATTCTTCATGGAAAACGACTTTTACCTGAAGGACTGACAGTCATTCGGACCTCTGTATTTGACACACATTTTCTTGAAAATGAATTAAGTGAGCCTCTCACTTCAAGGAAAACAAATGACTTATTTATTTGTCAATATCAAAAGTTGATCTGTCAAGAATTAGAATTTTGGAAAGCTTTCATCAACAGCTATGTGACTTATACAAATATGATAGATGAACATTGGGACCTATGAGTTTGAATGAGATCCCCAAGCAGATAGAAAAGAAGAGGGTTGTGAAAGCGTCCTAGAGGATGGAGAGGGAAAAGAAAAAGCAGAAAGAGATTAAAGATGAGCAGTCAGGGAAGTAGAAGAAGAACCAAAATAGAGTCATGGAAGGCAAGAGAGGAAAGAAATCAATAACACCAAAGGCTGCAGAGAGCAACCACCATTTGTCTACACAGAGGACTTGGCCAACAGAGCCTGAAAGGCAGTAAATGCTGGGTTCTGTTTTTGAGAAATGCTGAGACATCTGGCTGGTAGGCCCAAAAGGGATGTGAGACGGTGGCCTGTTGAAGAAGCAGGAGCATGGGAGACCCAGCTTGCTCGTTGGTCTTTGTGGATGATAGCTCAGGCAAGATCCAGAACTGAGATCAGACTTCAGATCTTCTTGTTTCCGGCCCAGGACTCGATTCTTATTGCGTTTCAGAGCTGTGTCTCTTGCTTCTAATATTTGAAACAGATGTTGTGAAATCTATAATTTCCAGCTTTGAAATGAATTAATATGTTAACCTCCTACTTCTCAGATGCATTCTGAAGAAATAGTACTAAGTGTGACACAAGGTTAGAACATCAAAATATGTAATCCAACTAACCTGGACCTGCTTCTGCTCTAAGGTTCCTCCAGCAAGGGGTCACAAATATTAATACAATGTAACTCTGACTCCCAAAAGCCTTTGTGACTAAGTACTTAGGTTCTCACTGAAAACCTCTACTGAGTTCTCTTGAAAGGGTCCCAAGGAAAGGTTTCACAGGCGCTTCTCAAACCATTGGTGCTGAAGGAGCAGGATTTCGAAATCTCCAATCCATCACGGACTGATGCTTTTGTAAAATGCAATCAAAGTGGATAATTTGAAAAAAACTAAATGAATATATAATACAAGTCCAATATTTATGGCTAGATACAACAAATATAAAATTAAATTTCAATAAATATTATCAGAACTAGTGTAACATAGGAGATTTTAAAACTGCAGAAACTATACACTTTGAAATTGTGCATATGTGAGTAATAAAGAAAATCATTATTACATTTGTAACTTTTGTTGTTCTGTGATTATAACTAAACACTTATGAGTAAAATAGAAATTACCCATAATAAACTCCTATACTCACACTTTGAATAAACAATATAACAGTTTAAATATTTGACATTTTTAACACAGAAAAATGAGCTTGTTGCTTCCTTATTAACATATTTAATCTAGGTTAGAGTGATGAAATATACTTACAGAGGATAATGTATATCTAAATTATTTCTACATTTTGACTCAATATTATTCATAATAGAGAAATCAGTCTCCCAGAGGCCTGTTGACAGGATGGAAGAAGAGATTTAAAGCAATTTCAGGAAGCACAGGATATTCATTTTTAACCTTTACACAAAATGAAGCAAATGATGCTGTATTTCAAAATTCATCTTCAATCCTTCAACAGTTGCCAGTTTTAACATATCCTGTAGAGTTTATTAAATTTAAATTATCTTTTCTTTTTTAGAGACAGGGTTTAGCACTGTAGCCTAGGGGAGTGCAATGGCACCACTACAGCTCACTCCAGCCTCAAACTCCTGCCTCAAGGGATCCTCCTGCCTCAGCCTCACAAGTCCCTGGGATTACAAGCCACCATGCTTGGCTCTAAATTATCTTTTGATAAAAGAAATGGATTATTTATATTGGGTCTTCACTCAGTGGAAAATAAAATTTCAAAACATACTTTCAAATTTGAGAAGTATTCAGAGATAACTTTTCACAGACACACAGTAACAAGATCATCACTTCATTAATAATTGTTGTTACATTATAGAACGTGTCCTAACAATCTATAGAAACTCAGTTCTTCCAAGTTTCTAACTTTTTTATTCCCTTAGATCTTCTCTGCCATTGGAAAAAATGCTGCATTCCCACTTTGCATAGAGTGTTATGATCATTAAAATTATCAAAATATCAGACAAATAAGCAAATCTGGTTATCCAATTAACATCTTTTAATAGTTGACCAAAATGGCTTCTTCTCTTGCCGAAACACGCAGTGTTCATTCCATAGTCAAATATGCTTGATAGAGTTTTTCTTCTCAAAAATAATTGAGCTCTGCATGCAGCAACAGTCATTTATAATCAGCTTCCATATTATTACGTAACAAAAAGAACAATAAATTTAAAATATTAGCTTTTACATGATTCACAATTTTTACTCTATAACTTAATGGAATGTTTAATTCAGCTTGCTTTTTTAACAGCAAAACTTTGTCAATGAAGGAAGCCAGGCATTGATTTACATTCTGGCACAAACTTCTTAATCTGAGTAACTATGCCATAATGCCATTACAAGGAACATACACCTACCCAACACTTAAACTCTAAATCACATTTGTTTATAATGGGATTCTTTGTAACTATAGAAAGTTCAGGGCTAATTGAGTTCGTTGAAAGCAAAAAAAAAAAAAAAAAAGAAAAAAGAATTATTTTTTCATATCACCGTCATGTTCTTCATAACACACCACTATAGTCCAGGCGCAGTGGCTCAGACCTGTAATCCCAGCACTTTGGGAGGCCGAGGCAAGTGGATCACCTGAGGTCAGGAGTTCAACACCAGCTTGGCCAACATGGCGAAACCCTGTCTCTACTAAAAATACAAAAAATTAGCTGGCCGTGGTAGCAGGCACTTACAATTCCAGCTACTTGGGAGGCTGAGGCAGAGAATCGCTTGAGGCTGAGAGGCGCAGATTGTAGTCAACTGAGATCATGCTGGTTCACTCCAGCCTGGGCAACAGAGCAAGACTCTGTCTCGAAAAAAAAAATTAATTAATCAAATAAAATAAATAAAACACCAGCATAAATACTAAAATAAATTGACCATGTTAGTAATATCTGTGGACTTGTGAAATTTCAGTGAAGTAAACATTACAAGTTTTTTGTGTTCTATGAGTTGGTTTTTCTTATTAATAGTCATTTTTTTAATACATTGAGCAATGGTATTATTACTTTTTTTTTTTTTTTTTTGAGGCAGAGTCTCTGTCTGTTGCTGAGGCTGGAGTGCAGTGGCACAATCTTGGCTCACTACAACCTCCGCCTCCCTGGTTCGAGCAATTCTCATGCCTCAGCCTCCCAAGCAGCTGGGATTATGGGTGTGCACCACTACACCTGGCTAATTTTTGTATTTTTTAGTAGAGATGGGGCTTTGCCATGTTGGCCAGTCTGATCTCGAACACCTGACCTCAAGTGATCTGCCCACCTTGGCCTCCCAAAGTGCTGGGATTACAGGCGTAAGCTGCCGTGCTTGACCAATGGTGTCATTTTAAAACAGCATTTGAAGCTTATATTTTGCCACAGATTCGCCCAACATTTATAAGCCAACATCTTTGGCTTATAATGGAGATTCCATTGCTCCAACATAATGGAGATTCCATTGCTGGAATCTCCCAGCAATGTCTCAGCAACTGTAAGGGTCTTAGACTTAGCAACCTGAGGTGCTACTTTATAAGACGCCTGTAAACCCCATCAAAAAGTGAGCAAAGGATATGAACAGACACTTTTCAAAAGAAGACATTTATGAAGCCAACAAACACATGAAAAAATGCTCATCATCACTGGTCATCAGAGAAATGCAAATCAAAACCACAATGAGATACCATCTCACACCAGTTAGAACGGTGATCATTAAAAAGTCAGGAAACAACAGGTGCTGGAGAGGATGTGGAGAAATAGGAACGCTTTTACACTGTTGATGGGAGTGTAAACTAGTTCAACCGAGTGGAAGACAGTATGGTGATTCCTCAAGAATCTAGAACTAGAAATACCATTTGACCCAGCCATCCCATTAGTGGGTATATACCCAAAGGATTATAAATCATTCTGCTATAAAGACTCGTGCACACATATGTTTATTGCAGCACTGTTCACAATAGCAAAGACTTGGAACCAATCCAAATGTCCATCAATGATAGACTGGATTAAGAAAATGTGGCACATATACACCATGGAATACTATGCAGCCATAAAAAACGGATGAGTTCATGTCCTTTGTAGGGACATGGATGAAGCTGGAAACCATCATTCTGAACAAACTATCGCAATGACAGAAAACCAAACACATGTTCTCACTCATAGGTGGGTATTGAACAATGAGAACACATGGACACAGGGCGGGGATCATCACACACTGGGGCCTGTCGTGGGGTGGGGGAATGCGGGAGGGATAGCATTAGGAGAAGTGCCTAATATAAATGACGAATTAAAGGGGGAAGTAAACCAACATGGCACATGTATACATAAGTAACAAACCTGCACGTTGTGTACAGGTACCCTAGAACTTAAAATATAATAAAAATATTTAAAAAAAGAAAAAAAATAAATAAATAAAAGAAAAAAATATGCCTGCAAAGTACTATTGATTATATGTGAAATATTGAACATCTGCTTCTGTTAGCTTTTTAATCATTACATTTTAATTTCAATATTCTTTCAAATAAATCTTTTTTGATTTTATATGTAAGTCCCACTTAAGTTTTGGTGGATTTATTGCTTCATTACATGGTACATTTCTATAAACGAAAACACCACGTTTTTAAGCACTTCCTCATCAATTCAGGCTACAAACCTGTACTCAGCATATGACGTATCATATTTCCAAGTAAAAGTAGTCTGAATGTGTTTGATCTTCAGTTTTTCAGAATCACTCTCATTATTACCATTTGGTTTATTACTGCCACATTCAGAAAAGTTGTATCATTTCATGATGAAATGGTCCAGTAGAGCTTGTTTCGCCATCTGTGAATTAAAGTTAACAATAAATAGAACAACTTTTACTTCGTAATTTAAGTAAAATTTTAAGTTTTAAAACAGCCTTGATTAAAAATTAAAATAGTCATACAACTATTTTTACAATCTTACATTTTTCTCAGGTTTTTATAAACTTTTGGATTACAGTTGTTAGACCTTAAAATATCATGTTATTAATGTGGTCCTATTGCACTAGTTGTGTGATTTCTCACATTCCCTGTTGTACAAGTCCACGGACGTGTATTATGCACTTGGGTTTGCAGCAATGCCAAAGAGCTATAAAAGTTTCTAAATGCTGACTGACAAATTTTTTTTGAGACGGAGTCCCGCTGTGTCGCCCAGGCTGGAGTGCAGTGGCACAATCCTGGCTCACTGCAACCTCTGCCTCCTGGGTTCAAGTGATTCTCCTGCCTCAGCCTCCTGAGTAGCTGGGACTACAGGCACATGCCACCATGCCTGGCTAATTTTTTATATTTTTAGTGAGATGGAGTTTCGCCATATTAGCCAGACTGGTCTCAAATTCCTGACCTTGTGATCCATCGCCTTGGCCTCCCAAAATGCTGGGATTACAGACATAAGCCACTGCGCCCGGTCAACAATTTTTTCACTTAGCATATCACAGACAGATAAATAATTCATCATCCCACATGTGTAGCAGTGGCTTATACATCAAAACTTCGTTAAAATCCTCTTTAATCATCTCTCTCTCTCTTCCAAAAGTGCAACTCTCTCATCTTCTCTATCCCATAACCTATTCCTCTGATATGTGTTCCCTCTGGGCAAACCCAACTACCTTCTTAGTAAACAATTCTTTTACCTTCAGCCATTCATAACGTCTTCTACTCCCCCCAAGTCAGCAGAGCAAAAATCTCTTCCCCTGGACTTGCTGTTCTTAGACTATATATATATGTGTGTGTGTGTGTGTGTGTGTGCGCGTGCGTGCGTGTGTGTGTGTTGTGGGAGGGAGGTGGTTGATCACATGGTTTGAAGACTGCAATACAATTGTAAATACAAATATTTATAATTTAGTGTTTTGTTCTTGTAACAACAGTATATGATAGAGCAAAATTGAAAACTAACTGAGAACGCACTGGAAAATCGGTAAATAAGAATATAACTTGCAGGAACAGTATTCAGGTATTAAAATAAATTAAAAGTACCTGGTAACAACTACAGTGATTGCCTTTGAGTGGGGATCCTTCTACTCTGCCTACATATTTATTTTTTTGAAAATAATAAGTACATAGTTCTTTTATATTTTTAAAAGTATTTTTAAATATAAGATTACTTAAAAGAACATAATTCAATACACATTTTTCAGTGTTTGCCATGTTCTATGGTCTCTGCCAAGGAAATCATAGACTAACAAAACTGTATCACTTACATTTTGTAAAGGATGATACCAATGATTTTCAAAAAGCCCATTATAGAAGTTAAGAAAAACATTGTCAGGATTCAAATAGAAAAATGAGCCAAAGATATAATCATAAATTCATTTAAAAAATAAAAATGTTGAAGTCCACAGGTAGGAAATCTTCAGTAAGCAAAAAATTCTAGCTAAAGCAACTTAGACATACCGTTTTTTATCTCTAAATTATTGAAAATGTCAAGCAGTGATAAATAACACTTAATGCTGTGGAGATTCAGTGAGGCTGGTTCCCCCAAAGACTGCAGGTGGCAGTGTAAACTAGAACAAATGTTTACATTTCAGGACGTCTTCAGAGTTCCACAAATATTTATTGAATGTCCATTCATTCTTTCGTGGTGGAATGGAATTCACACTCAGCCCAATCCACCATTAATTTAGAGGTAACCTGATTGCCAGTTAGCTGCAAGTTGATTTTCTGTATTCCGTAATGCTTCTAGTCATACACTTCATACTGTTTTCAAATGATGCAATTTGAAATGATGTCAGGAAAATTCAGCATCTTTCATTTCCTCTACTTATCAGCAAATCTATGACAGGTATAGAGGTGGTCAGAAACCTGCCAAAAATGCTCCACCATTATCTGGGGGACCAGGCATGTACATGGTGATGAAAGTTGTCAATTAAACATTGCCCAATATCCTTCTCTGGAATTCTTGCCTAACAGGAAACCCCCAGTTTCTGCAAAGAAATTAAAAGTAGCGACAGAGGCATCTTTCAGCCAAAACATTTAAGAAAGTCATTTATGGAATTCTCACTACCCTCTTGGAAGTCAAAATGAAAGACGATGTATTTTATACATAACTTTGTAAAGTCTGCCCTCTATCATTCCTCATAGTAAATGCAGCCAGTATCCACAGATTTATTCTGTTTCAGATGAGATGAGATCCTAAATATTTTTATCTACAATTTACTGAGCACCTTCAATATGCCAGGCAACTAGTAGATGTATAAATGTTTGATCCCAGGTTGACACTTACTACAGCTCCACAAGGCAATAAAGTGCCCTTATTCCTATTTCACATCTAAGGACACATGCTCAGGGAGGCTAAGTAACTATGTCGAGGACACACAGCTGATAAGTCAAAGCTCCTGGATTGTAACCTGGTCTGTCCAGTGATAAAGCTCATATAGTCTTTATTCCATGTCACATTGGCTCCAATTTGCTTCTATTCTGACACTTTAAAATGTAGATATAGCCATATATTTATTGACACTCATTATCATTTCAGAAAGCCACAGAGACACCTAGTCAAACATAAAGTTTGTCAGAACACATATGAAAGAAAAGACAACCATTCAAATGCTAACTCAAGGAAGCCTTCAGACTTTGTAAACGTGCTTTTTGTTGCATATAATTCTTCCTAGTTAAATGGGCTTTCAGGCCACAGCAGCTCAGTGATCTCGGTAAGATGCATCTCCAAGCTGTGCCATTTCTGGATATCGTCTGGCTTCATGGGGTATGAATGTTTAAACACTGGCTACTGGTATTGCCGTACGAACTCAGCAGAGCTCTGTTGAAATCTTCAGCTGAACCACTTAAACCAAGTAAACAACTCACCTCCAGGCAGTGTGTTCCCAGCACCTATCAGATTGTCAGAGAACTGGAAGGAGTCTGACAGAACAATTTCCAGGGTCATTGGTCTACATATGAGGCAGGGGTCTAATCGTTTGACTGATGTGCTCATGCTACTGGGTAACCAGTGGGTTCCCTACATGAGTCACTTCCAAACACCCTCGGCTGCCAAAGGAGAGCAGGTTTAGTCTCCTCAAAATGGAAGACGTGAAAGAAGGGCAAGGGCAGCTTCTACAAGATTCAGGAATGCTGAGGTTCCCACGTGGCGTCAGTTCAAATGGCAGGGGCGTGGGTTATATGTGTCTTTCTTCACCTAGTAAATGAAGACATTTTCTCATCTTGGGGATTTGGTTGCTATGTATTTGAAACATTTCACCATAGAAACAATGTTAGGTCCAGCCAACCCATAAAATTCATTCATCATTGAATGCCATTCTTCACTCATGTATCTAAACAATCGTGTTGTGATGATGGA